>NC_000004.12:140796381-141421381 GCF_000001405.40 Homo sapiens | reverse complement strand
GTTAACTTTTTATTAGGTTAAAATAATGGGTTATAAGATAGTATTTGCAAGCTTTATAGTAACCTCAAACAAACAAAAATGCAACAGACACATAAAAAATAAAAAGCAAGAAACTAAATTATATCACCAGAGGAAATTATCTTCACTAGAAGAAGACAGGAAGGAAAGAAAGAAGAAGGAGACAACCATAAAACAAATAACAAACTGGCAGAAATAAGTCCTTATCAATAAGAACATTGACTGTAAACTCTCCAATCAAAATACATAGACTTATCATACATAAGTCCTTATCAATAATAACATGGACTAAACTCTCCAATCAAAATACATAGACTGGCTGCATCAATGAAAAAAAAAAACAAGAAAAAAGAAAAGAAGAAGAACAGAAATAGCACAAGACAGAAAATAAAAAAAATCAGAGCAGAAATAAATGAAAACTGAAATTAAAAAATATAAAAGATCAATGAAACAAAAATTAGTTTTTTTAAAAAGTTAAACAAAATTGACAAGCCTTTAGCCAAACAAACTTAGAGAAAAGAGAGAAAATTGAAATAAAATCAGAAATGAAAAAGGAGACATTACAACTGATACTGAAGAAACTCAAAGGATTATTAGTGGCTACTATGAGCAACTATATACCAATAAATTTAAAAATCTAGAAGAAATGAATAAATTTATAAACACATACAACCAAGAAGAAATCCACAAGCTGAGCAGATTAATAACAAGGAACAAGATCAATGCCGTAATAAAAAGTCTCTCACTAATTCTAACAAACATTTACAGAAGAACTAATACTAATTCTACTCAAACAATTCCAAAAAATAGAGAAGGAGGGAAAACTTCCAAACTCATTCTATGAGGCCAGCATTACCCTGATACCAAAACCAAACAAATACACATCAGAAAAAGAAAACAATAGGCCCATATCTCTGACAAATATTGATACAAAAATCCTCAACAAAATACTAGGAAACCAAATTCGACAATATATTAGAAAGATCATTCATCATGACCAAGTAGGATTTATGCCTGGGATGCAAGGATGCTTCAATATATGCAAGTCAATCAGTGTGATATATCATATCCACAGAATGAAGGATAAAAAAACCATAAGATCATTTCAATTGTTGCTGGAAAAGCATTTGATAAAATTCAACACGCTTCATGATAAAAATCCTTAAAATAACTGGGTATAGAAAGAATATACCTCAATATAATAAAAGCCATATACAATAGACCCATGGCTAGTATCATACTGAATGGGGAAAAACTGAAAGCCTTTCCTTTAATATTTGGAACACGACAAGGATGCCCATTGTCACCACTGTTATTCAACATCATACTAGAGGTCTTAGCTAAAGCAATTGGATAAGAGAAAGATATAAAGAGCATCCAAATTGGAAAAGAATGTCAAATTATCTTTGTTTGCAGAGGATATGACCATCTATTTTGAAAAACCTAAAGACTGCACAAGAAAACTATTAAAACTGATAAATAAATTCTGTAAAGTTGCAGGGTACAAAATCAACATACAAAAATCAGTAGCATTTCTATATGCCAAAAGTGAACAATCTGAAAAACAAATTAAAAAGTAATCCCATTTACAATAGCCACACATAAAATTAAGTACATGGGAATTAACTTAACAGAGGTGAAAAGTTTCTATAACGAAAACTATAAAACACTGATGAAAGAAATTGAAGAGGACACCAGAAAATGTTATGATATTGCATGTTCATGAATTGGAAGACTCAATATTGTTAAAATGTTCACACTACCCAAAGCAATCTACAGATTCAATGCAATTCCTATCAAAATACCAATAACATTCTTCAGAGAAATAGAAAAAAAAAATTCTAAAATTTATGTAGAACCACAAAAGACCCATAATAGCCAAAGCTATCCTAAGCAAAGAAAACAAAACTGGAAAAAATTACATTACCTGACTTTAAATTATACTATGAAGTGATAGTCACCATAACAGCATGGTACTTGCATAAAAACAGATACATAAACCAATGGAACAGAAGAGAGAACCCAGAAACAAATCTGCAAACCTACAGTGAACTTGTTTTTGACAAAGGTGCTAAGAACATAAAATGGGGAAAGGACAGTCTCTTCAATAAATTGGGCTGGGAAAACTGGGTATGCATATGCAGAAGAATAAAACTCAACCCCTATCTCACCATACACAAAAATCAAATCAAAATGGATTAAAGACTTAAATATAAGGCCTCAAACTATGAAACTACTACAAAAAGACATTGTGGGAAATGTTCAGAACATTGGTCTGGGCAAAAATTTATTGAGTAATACCCAAAAAGACCAGGCAACCAAAGCAAAAATGAACAAATGGGATAACATCAAGTTAAAAAGCTTCTGTGCAGCAAAGGATACAATCAACAAAATGAAGAGATAACCCACAGAATGGAAGAAAATATTTGCAAACTACCCATGTGGCAGAAGATTAATAGCAAGAAGATATAAGGAGTTCAAACAACTGTATAGGAAAAAATATAATAATCCAATCAAAAAATGGTCAAAAGATCTGAACACATTTCTCAAAAGAAAACATACAAATGGAAAGCAGGTATATGAAAAGGAGTTCAACATCACTGATCATAAAAGAAATGCAAATCAAAACTACAATAAGATATCATCTCACCCCAGGTAAAATGGCTTATATCCAAAAGACAAATGCTGGTGAGGATGTGGAGAAAGGGGAATCCTCGTACACTGTTGGCAGGAATGTAAATTAGTACAACCACTACAGAAAACAGTTTGGAGACTCCTCAATAAATTAAAAATTGAGCTACTATATGATCCAGCAATCTCATGACTGGGTAAATACCCAAAAGAAGGGAAATCGTATATTGAAGCGATATCTGCACTCCTATGTTTGTTGCCACTGTCTACAATAGCTGAGATTTGGAAGCAACCTAAGTGTCCATCAATCGATGAATGGATAAAGAAAATGTGGTACATATACATAATGGAGTACTTATTCAGCCATACAAAAGAATGAGATTCTGCTATTTGCAACAACATGGATGGAACTGGAGATCATTATCTTAAGTGAAATAAGCCATACACATAAAGACAAACATTGCATGTTCTCATTTATTTGTGGGATCTAAAAATCAAAACAATTGAACTCATGGAACATGGAGAGTAGAAGGATGGTTAACCAGAGACTGAGAAGGGTAGTGGGGGCCTGGTGGGGGATGTGGGGATGCTTAATGGGTACAAAAAATTAGTTAGAAAGAATAAATAAGACCTACTATTTGATAGCACAACAGGGTAAATACAGTCAATAATAATCACACATTTTAAGATATCTTAAAGAGTGTAATTGGATTGTTTGTAACACAAAGGAAAATTCTTGACAGAGTGGACAAATTCTTGACCCATTCTCTATGATGTGCTCATTTCATATTGCATGCCTGTATCCAAACATCTCATCCACACCTTAAACATATATACCTACTATGTACCCACAAAATTTAAAAAATAAAAAAATTAAAAAGAAGATCTGGGTGAGATACATGTGGACAAATCTGCATCCATGGGCACAGAATGTGAAGGTATTTGTATCTTACATGATGCTCACCAAAGGATTCTTTTGGCAGAGGCGGATTTCAATAGTGAGGGGGATTGGATGACTGCTTTCTGCAGACATCAGTTCATTTCCTCCCTCAGCCCCCTCTGCCCTTGTCCAGCAGGCTTATGAACAAAGCAGCTATGACAGCAAATGTCTTAGAACAGTTAGCTTTGCTATAATACCGGAGGCTGGGTGATTCATAAAGAAAAGAGGCTTATTTGGCTCATGATTCTGCTGGCTGGAAGGTTAGGCATCTGATGAAAGTCTCAGGCTGCTTCCATTCATGGCAGAAGGCAGAGGGTAGCTGGAGTGTGCAGAGACCACATAGCAAGAGAGAGGAATTGAGAGAGAGGGGAGGTGCCAGGCTCTTTTTAACAACCAGCTCCCATGGGAACTAAAAGAGCGAGAGCTCATTTAATACCAGCAGGGTGGTACCAAGCCATTCCTGAGTTGTCTACTCTCATGACCCAAACACCTTCCATTAGGCCCCGCCTCCAACATCAGGGATCTAACTTCAACATGAGGCTTGCGGGGACAAACATGTAAATCAAGCCTGTGCAACCTGCAGGCCGCATGTGGCCCAGGAGGGCTTTGAATGCAGCCCAACACAAACTCATAAAACTTTCTTAAAACATTAAAACATTATGAGGTTTTTTGCCATTTTTTTAGCTCATCAGCTACAGTTAGTGTTAGTGTATTTTATGTGTGGCCCAAGATAACTCTTCTTTCAACGTGGCCCATGGAAACTAAAAGATTGGACACCCCTGATATAAACTATAGCAGTAGCAGTGAGGGTTATGCCTGGGCTCAGCCACATGTACTTCTACTTAATTCAGAAATTGGTCAGATTGCAAGTATGCCATTTGGAGAATGGAGTTTGGAGAATTAGCTTCTGGAAACTCACTTTTGGCAAAGCAGCACTGAGCCCATGAACTTGCAGCCAATAATATGTGACTCACAAATATCACAAAAGAATATCAAATGTCTTATTCATCATCTAAAGGACATAATTATGAAATTAATTTGACTTAGGAGACTTACACCTCAAAGCCAAGGTTTACCAAAAGAACAATTCCCAGAACTTAACCTAAAATTATTCCTATAATCCTTTGCCACAAAAAATTAGAAAGGTCAAATTTGAAACTGTGATAATATATGTATTTATATTTTCTAAATTATATATCTGATTTGATGTCAAGAAAAGTTCTGTTTCACTGTTTGAGGACTTATATCTCAAACTTTCTTCACCTCTAGTATAGATTTTATCTTGATTTCATATAATGAAGTATCTCCTGTTGACAAGGAGTGATTATGAGAGCATTCATTACACTCAAGGGAATGGATTCTGGCCCAGAATAACAGTCTTCTCCTGTAGAGAGATGACAAAGCTTTTGTTGAAAGCTTTTCGGCCACGATGCTAACAGGACCTCTGCACCCTAGTCAACATAAATCAGGTTAGTGCTTTCAGGGGTAGAGAATCAGGCCCAATAGCAGTCAAAAATACTGGAAAGGAAATGAAACATTGCACTAAAAACATTTCTGCCACACAACCACAAAACAAATTTTGAGCTAAAAATCTTGAGGGAAGTCCCTTTTATTTCCATGTGATAAAGGAAATCTCTCTTTTTCGTCATAGTAATTCATTTTCCTCATGGCATTTAATGGTAACCTTTTTTTTCCTGAAGGGACATTTCACTGTTATTTCCCTTAAAAATTTGGCTTTTTCTGAGCTTTTCTAAGTTATATAATCACCCACTTTTTAATCCTCATGGGGAAGATACAAAGCGGAAACTAACAGGCTTCCTTGGATTTTAGAGCAAGTTGCAAAAAAAGGGTATTTTATCTTTTGAATGCCTTTGCCACAGTTATTTCAAAACAGTCATTTTAAAAATGTATACATAGCTTATAAACATTTTTTAGACTCACCCTTCCAATTAACAAAGGAAATTTCTAAACAAGTATGAATAATGACCTTAGCAGTCCAAATTTTGCATTTGCTTAAGGCCAATGAGCACTTTTACTATTTGGCCAACAAGACAGGGCTTCAGATTTGTGTGTCTATGTTCATTGTGAAAAATGATTTTCTATGATAGATCCCTAATTTTTGTCTGGTTCTCCTCCACGGGAAGCACCATACATTTGGAAAAGGACTGGGCTGAGTTAGTCGAGCAAGGTAAATTCTCTAAAGTGATTATAAATTCTTCCTCTCCCTGCATGCAGAACTTAGTAATGTGACACATTCACAATGCGATGCCCTTGCAAAATGGTGTTGCAGATTCTTCTTGATAGAGGTGCAGTCCATTTCTCCAGTATTTGAATCTGGGTCAATTTGAGTCTGGATTCATTGGCCTCAGCTGGCTATGTGACCAGCTGAGGCCAATGGGAGATATAGTGAATGTGACACAAATAGAGTCATAAAAGTACTTGCACATTCAGGCATCTCTTGGTGCTCTTGAAATACTTCTGCCACCATGTGAACAGCCACAGACTGGCCTACTGAAGGATGATCAACTCCATGAAGAAAGATCATCCCTGTAGTCAAAGCTGGTCCCTGTCAGCTGAGAGAGTCCTGTCAAAGATAGTTGAACCTGGCCCTGATCTCAAAAACTGCTCAGCAAGCCTATTCAAATTGCCAACCCAAAGAATCACAAACTAAATAAATGTGTTTTTTTAATGTCACTATGTTTTCGGGTGGTTTATTACAAAGTAAAAGCTAACTGATCCTGCAAGCAACTGGTCATCTCAGTCAGTTAGCATATAGAGCTTATAGGGCTACGATCAAAGAATACAGGGTCCTCCAGAGTGAATGCCCTCTTAGGTACTACCTCTATGCAATAAAATAGAGCCTTGAAATCTGGGTCAAATCCAGGCTCTGCCATGTCAATTGGAGCTAATCACTTTGTTTCATCCTGTAAGATCAGATTATACATTTATGAAATGAGGATATATGGATAATAATACCTACTTCATAGAAATGTTAAGCAGATTAAATGAGATCATCAATATCACCTGTTTGTATGGCATCCGGTACATAGGAAGTAATTAAACTATAGCTATATCACCACACAAATATAACAAGGGGAGTGATAATAAATATTGAAACATACTTTTGTAGCCAACATAACTCCAAGGTCTACGCTATGCTAACTGGAAACTGCTAACATCTTTGGCTCTTGTAGAGAATATCACACTTTCTTTGGTGGCCACATTCAAGTGATCTTTCAGCAAGGCTGTAAAATCTTTGGTTCTATGCCCCAATCTACTCCCTTCCTCTCCTTTCTCCACAGGTGCCCAGTGACTTTATGCTACCCAGAGGCCCCCCTCAGGCACCTGGCAAAGTTACCTTCACCTAAGCGAGTTACCCACTCTGTGTGAGAAATGTCCTGCTCTGCCCCCCTCCACCAGCCCACTCATCCCCACCCCTATCACGAATTTCTAGTTTCACCACTTGAAAGTAGGAAAACTAAGCTACCACAATACCTGGTAGGAAAACGGATTACTCCAGCCCCTCTCCTAGGAAACATATTTGTGTCTTTTAAGTGTTTTCAGGAATTTATATTTTCAGGCTGGGCTGCTGGAGGCCTCAGGCAGGCTCATATAGACGGCATGGGCCCGCTATCTTCAGGTGTCTTATATTTTGTTATAGGGTCGTTTTGCCCCTCCCTCTGTCACTCTGAGTTCTGAGATTTAAATCAGCAAGAACATCCATGTGAAAAAAGGGTTGCACTATGAAAAACCCACAACAAATCCACCAGAAAAAAAAAATTGGTGTGACTTTCACCTGACTCTAACAAATATATTTTACATAGGAATTCTCCAGTGAATTTAGAGGTTGCTTTCAGTAATTGCTTTTTATAAAAACCCAAAGGCCAAGATAATTTTCCTGTGTTTTCCTCATTTCTTAGCACATATTGAAAAACGTATTTATTTAAATAAAAATAAACAGAAGAAATATACATATATACTATGAATGGTTGTCAATCCTTAATTGCTAAAGTTATAGTTTTTGACATCTCCCTTCCTGTCTAAAAGTACTCTATTATATTTAACAGAGACAAGTATTACAGCAAGACTGATCAAGGGGAAATTCAAGAGAAAAGCTCTGTGGAAGAGTAACAAAGCAGAGAATGACATTCAACTTCCTCTGCTCTCTCAAGAGAATTCCACACTGGAATCCACACAATATATCTAATTAAAAACAGCAATGAGAATAGGAGAAAATGGGTCCAGATGCTTTTTAAATTCAGCTGGCATAGTCCCTGTGTTCCCAAACCTTCCCTTTGTCATAAAAGCCAAGGCCAGCCCTGCACCCAGCTAAGCTGCACAGCTGCACGGTGCAACGTGAGGCAAAAGGGTAGTAGTCTGTCCTAAGACTCTCATACCAGCCAGCCTGCCTACCTAGAGCTCAAGCCAAAACCTATGATTACAAGATGGAGCATCAGTAGAGATTCTGTGAAGGTGAAAATTCGCATGGAAAACTAAGCTCATTGCTAGAGTATGACAAGACCTTAAAAAGGTTTGCACAAATTTCTGTGCATATTGGTTTGGAGTACAGAGGTTAGAATTCTGTGACAATGAGAGAAGTTTTCAAATCTGCAGCAAAAATTCCAAAGCATAGACCCCAAAGCATGAACAGCTGAGAAGATAGTCATTCAGTTCTAGGAAGGTGATCATGCAAAGAGTGGGCAGGGGTGAATGGAAGTGGTGAATAATTTTATTAGCTGCAAAATCTTGATTATCATAGAAGAAGAGAAGCTCTATAACTGTCTATGGTTGGTGTCTTTTCTGGTGTCTCAAGAGATGTTATTGTGAGAAGTATTTAAGATTGACAACCTGAAGACACGGTGCCTATTCCCACGAAGAGTTCTAAGTTCCCGGTGGGATAGAGCTGGCATAGTCCTGCCTGCAATGGCTTCTGCAATTACTACCTGCTGTCACATTTAGAAAAGGGGTTCACCAGGCTGGAAGAAGAGCAAGAGCAAGACTGCCATAAAAATGGCACTGAGTCCCAATATATAATCATCTCAGTTTTCAATTGAAAACTTCAGAGAATGTGTAGGGTGACAAGGGCCCTTGGCAAGCGAGCAACCTCATGTGAAGTATCAAAACAGGATAGGTAAGGCATCCATGCAGGACCACCCGGCCCAATTAGGTGAGGGAGAAATCCAAATGAAGGGGTGGCCCAAGCAATACAAGGAGCGTGTCTACCTGTGGGTGAGACCTGGATGGGGCAGGTGAAAAATAAGTCCTGCTGAAGGTGCCTTCTGCTTGTGATGAAAAGGGCACCTACAGCATGGACAGCCAGCACGAGGAGGCAGGTCTCCACAGGGAGAGGGCATCTTCCTTGTGGAGAGGGGAAGTGGGTTACATACACAGACATAGATTATAAGGTAAATAGATTAGGGATAATGAGAGCCACATTTCTTAATGTTGGAGAATGGTATTATGAATATGCAAAGTGAGAAAACTCTGATGAACCCTGTGATGTAATAATGGAATTGGAGGCGTTGGTGTGAATTTGTGGAGAGAGAGCACCCTAATTTCCCAAGTCCCTATTTCCCTAACTCCCTAACTCTCTAACTCCCTAACTGCCTAATTCCTCAGATGAGAGTGCCAGAGAGCAGCAGAAACATCCCAATAGTAATCAACACATCTGGCTTCCAGATCATGGATTCTAAATATTATTCTTCACTAGAAGGAACCAGGACTTCTTGGAGAAATTCCTGATTCCAGGGCTGGGACAGGGAAACATACAAGATGACCTGGAATATCTTGTGTCAAAAAGCAAGGAGTTGCCCAAAGAAGAATAAGAACATATCAATAGAATACAAAAGGCAGCTGTACTGGGCTCTCACTGGCTAATCAGGGAAAAGTTGATCATCAAAATAAATAATGATAAATAATGGATTATAAGTTATTGAAGAAAATAAGATACCACAAGTCCATATATATTTAAATGAATAAATTGAAAGTTTGGCAGATAATGAGCTATTCACAGTTTTAAAGTACTTCCCCAGAAAATATGCTACAGTGAGTAACTTCACTGTGGAGACATCACCTTTATATCATGTGATAAAAATAAACATTATCAGTGATGGGACAAATCAAAATTGTGCCCTACCTGAAAAGATTCCAGGAAAGTGCACATAGCATCATTTCTGTGACAATTCTGCCAAAGATGCACAACTTAAATATAATCAAAAGGCAACATTAAATAAACCCAGATGGAGAGTCATTCTAAAAAGTTAACTGGGCAAAGTTATGTAATCCAGAAAGCTGAATTTAAGACAGGGAGCTGTCTTAAACTGAAGGAGACTAAAAAGACGTGACAACTACAACACGCTGTTGAACCCTTTTGACATAAAGGATGGTACTGGTCAATTGTCAAAACTTGAATGAGGACTGAGAATTAGAGTGGTAATGTATTGATTTTAACATTGTAATTTTGATTATCATGTGGCTATGTAGGATAAAGTCCTTGTTTTTAGGAAATGTTTATTAAAAATCCTAGAGGTTGATGGGGCATCAGGTGGGCAACTTACTCACATATGGTTTCAGAAATTTCTATAGACATTGCCAAATGTTTTAGGGAGTTGGAGAAAAATTGTCTCCAGTTGTTCACTCAGAACAGATATTACCAGGGCTCCACTCAAATATCTTCAGGCCTTTGCTAGAACACAACGCAGGAAATTGCCAACTTTGCAGCATTTCACTACGTCATTCGATTTTTAAAATTCCTATTTCACCAACTGGGAATGTTAAAATTGGATGGCATACTGAAATACTTACTAATATCCCACTTTCCATACTCCAATTATTACTCATGAGAAATCTAGCATAAACAACACAGTTTTTAAAAGTCGAATATTTCTTCTGAAGAAAAGGCAACAGAAATTACTTTCTTGCTGAAGACAAACATTTATGTATCTAAGGATGAGGCTGTATGGGAGATGCTGATCAGATACAGAGAATCAAAGAGATCTACAGTCCTATATCCTCTAAGTGGTAGGCAGGTTCTTTTAAATCAAAACTCTCTCTTCTAAATCAGAACACCTATCTCTAACAGCCAAGCAGTCTAATGAGAATAATTTTCAGGCCATTTATCTGGCCAGGATGTTTTCTCCTCAATTGAGAGAATACCATGTCAGCCAGGGTTATCTGTTTTCATAGATATCAGGGGTTTCATTCTTCATTTACTCATTTAACAATTATTTACCCAGCAATATACCTTTTTGCCCAACACTCTGCTAGGTGCTATGAAGAAGTCTGAATAGGAGTTTTAACATTTTATTTGGGAAAACAACATAAAGTCATCTGAAAGTTTAAGCAAGATCACAAAACCCCATGCTAACAGAAAATATGTAAAACTGAAGAATTATTAAATTTTTAAAAATCTCGACATTGTTTGGAAAGAGAAACAGATTAAAGAAAGAAAACAATTTTTGGACAAAAACTCAAGTGTCATAAAGACTCTCATTCCACAGTGTCAGAATTCTGTGTATCCCTTGGTTTTGTCACTGTGGCTCTTGAAGCTTTATATATGTCACCTGTATTCTTGTAGAATGAGAAATGCCATATGGCTACCTTTATACTTATAATAACATTATTGGCTTTAAAATCAAGTGACCTTTCTTGGATCACAATGTGGAAAACACATGGTACAAACAGCTTAAAATCCCCTGTTAACAACGCTAATAAAGTTAACATTGGTCTCTTAATTTTGTTTGCTTTTTCATTTTTTCAACATTGAGGAAAAGAAAATTAGATCAAAATTAATGTTTAGGCTCAAGAGACATTCGACTTCATGCCTACTCTCTTTATTACTCCAAATGTAATTAAGTATGTTGACTTCAGTAAATGTACCTTCTGCTATGCATGCATCGATTTCAACAGTAATGAGTTTGCATTCATTATAATTTATTTTAGCCAGATAATTAATACCACCCTTGTTTATTTCTTCAATCATGAAAAAGAATGGGTGTTTGCGTATTTGTTTGCACATGGTGATGATTCAGCGGTCTTTTGTATGCTACTAAATCGCAGTATCTTCCATCGTTGAGCTGTTGCTCAGGCCTAAGAGTACAGAAACCATGGCTTACAAAGGCCCAGGTACATCCATTTTTATTCTAAGCAGTGTAATGGGATTCCTAAAATCCTAAGCCACCCAGGTGGACATCTGAAGAATAATCAGTCATATTTTTAAATACCTAAGCTTCAACCTGAATAATAATCTTCAGTCTCATAATTTTATTTTGCTATTGAGAATCCAGATTTTGTCAAACTTGCCATTTGTTGTCTGATTCTCATATCTTTCTCCCTACATATTTACTCTATCTGGCTGTTTCCAGTGTTTTGTTTTATTTTGTTTTGTTTTGTTTTTGTTTTTTTGCCCCTTTCACCTTTGCTTGCCTCACAGATGAGCACATGTCTCTTTTATTGGATTGTTTTCTGGCTGGAACTTGTTAAGACACAAAAGAAAGAAAATCCAAGGGACTAACTTCGCCTTTCAATTATTTACCAAAAACTTTATTTCCCTTCCTTTCTTGGTGTATTAGGGTTCTCTAGAAAAACAGAACCAATAGAATGTGTGTTTTTGGATACAGATATAGTGGATATAGATGTGTGTGTACACACACGCACACACACACTTATACACACACACACACACACGGGGGGAGGGAGGGAGAGAGAAAGAGGGAGAGAGAGAGAAAGAGGGAGAGAGATAAAAAGGGAGAGAGAGAGAGAGAGAGAGAGATTTATTACAAGGAGTTGGCTTATGTGATTATGGAGGCTAAGAAGTCCCAAGATCTGCAGTCGGCTGGGTGGAGATCCAGGAGAGCCAATGGTGTAAGTTCCAGTCCCAAAGCTAGTAAGTTTTAAAGTCAAGAAGAGTTAATGTTTCAGTCCCGTCTGAAGACCAGAAAAGACCAATGTCCTAACTCAATCAGTCAGGCAGAAGGATTTCCCTCTTACTCAGCCTTTTTCTCCTATTCAGGTCCGCAGTGGATGGGACGAGAGCCTGCCACATTAGGGAGGGCAATCTGCTTTACACAGTCTACTGCTTTACATTTTAATCTCATCTAGAAACCCCTCACAGACACATCCAGGATAATGTCTGGCCAAACATCTAGGTACTCCCTAGCCCAGTCAAGTTGATATATAAAGTTAATCATCACACTGACTTCTTTCTCACAAACATGTGTAACAAAATCATATATGATAGGGTTTTTCTAAACACCTTTAGAAAAGCACACAAATAATGAAAAAAGACATTTTATTATTATCTACATTTCAGTGACTTTTGCCTACAGTGGCTTAATCAGCAACACTTTCCAATAGAAATGTCTGCAATGAGAGAAATGCCCTGTTATCACCCTGTCCCATATGATAGCCACTAGTGAAATATGGCTGTTGAGCCCTTGAAATGTAGCTAGCGCATTTTAAAAAGTAACTTTTTAATTGTATTTAATTGTAATTAATTTAAATTTACATATCCACTTATGACTAGGGTCTGCCATATTGGACATCATAACTAAAATGATACATTATTTTAAAAGGGGAATACATTCTCAGAAATCCAATACATTTGGAAGTGTAAACATTTCCCACTGACCTTTCTTTATAGGGAAAAAAAATAAAGGAAAACATGCATGCTGGAAATCTTGATGATTTATATTTTGAGCTTAGGTTTGGGATCCTGCATATTGACCTCAAGGGGCCACCAAAATGTAAATTAAATATACTTAATTCCTTTCCTGTTGCATGCACAGCCACTCTCATATTGTTCGAATGGGCTTTCTTACTTCAATCAAATAGAAGTTAGACATTGAGTTTCAGATGCATACTCCCTGAGCCTCAGTTTATTTAAAAATAATATTTGTATTTGAATCATAGTGTGCTAAAGGAAATAGCTATGTAAACCTCCTATAGAGGTGAAGGGGGTCTCTAGAAAGACAGTTTGCTGCTATCATTGTGTCCTTTCATGGAAGCTCATTATTATTTCAAAAGCTCAGAGGTACCCCTGTCATATTATGGAGGTGCCATCTTCCATGTTCAAGGCCTTCCATTAGACATGGGAGATGAGCTGGAACACAGGTGATGATCCTCAGAAAGAAGCACAGCAAAAATGATACTTACAAGTAGGCAAGGAACAAAAAGATCAGGGTAAACAGTTATTACTGTGCCAAAAGGCACAGATCAATAATCCAAGGCAGGTAAGGCCAACAGGTATATTGAAGAAGAGTGGACTCCTAGTACATGTTCTAAATATTCTGAATACTATATAGATTGTTCGTTATTTTAATGATAGTACATAATGCTAAACTGACTCAACAATGCTGTCAAATAAGCTAGTCACCTCTTAGATTGTTCACCTCTAAAATAAAATAATTTTGCACATAATATTTAGTCCTTAAGTGTTTCAGCAAAAATGCAGGTAAATCTTACAATGCTAACAGAGGTCTTAACAAATTTCCAATACCAAAAAAAAAAAAAAAATAGGCTGATCACATTACACAAAGGCCAAAGAAGAACAATTCTGCTGCCAACAGACTTTTAGTTCAGAAACATTCTAATTTCAGTAATTCAAGGAAGACAACTACAATTGTATGGTTTTTCCCACTACAAGAAGAATATCAATAATCCTTGCCTCCACAATAAATTGTTGTCAATATCAGCTACAAATTTGGTCTCTCATATCCTCAAGTAATAAATTTTAAGGAAACACAAACTTAGTTTCAGGGCCAAAATTATCTATTAAATCATGTAAGTAATGTGTTTCTTGTTGAAATTCATTTTCTTGACTTTGTTTTTTCCCAAGGTCTAAACAATTTTTCTTCTGAAAATTTTTAGAGTGATGCCAGTAGTACTATCTCCCTTCAAATAATGTCTAAATCATATTTGTACTTTTTTGGCTCCTAGACATACCAAGAATACAAAAATTCTGCTCTCAGACCAAGCCAAAATCAACTGCCAGATATAAAGATGGGAATTTCCATTTTACTCACATTCTGATGCTTCACATGAAACAATGCAACACTCACACAGAATAAAATATGATATTTTCTCAGCAAGAAGTTTATCTTTTACTTGAAAACCAGAGTCTGGGCTACTTCTAACATTGCTGCAGAAGCACCATTATGTGCTAAAACACTGTGAATTAAGCTATGGAGTAATCATATATGCATTTATGTGATATTGACAGAAGCTGTCTTCTCTATGGACTCTACAGTTTCTACTATAGTGGTAGTTTTATTGCATTCTTGAAAACCATCCTTTATAATTTTTTTTTTTACACTATTCTTATCAGTTGCCCTATTAAGATTGGGTCTGGGCCAGGGTTTCTCAACCTCAGCACTATTAACATTTCAGACTGGATAATTCACTGTTGAGAGCTGTCTTGTGCATTGTAGGATATTTAGCAGCACCTTTTCTACCCACTGGATGCCACAAGCACACCCCCTCCTACCCCAAGTGGTGATATCTGAAAGTGAGTCCAGATATTTTTGCCAAAAGTCCCCTAAGGTAGCACAATCTCTTGGTTGAGAATCAGTGTTTAGGCCTACCATACAAATCAAGGAAGTCATATTTTGATACCAGAGATGTCCAGTTTGAGCCAGCTGAGCTCTTTGCTGTATACTTAATTAATTAATTAATACTTAAATGTAGATGCATTACAACTGAAGACTTAGGTAATGGACATTTTGAGCATTACTTCAGGAAGAAAATCCTTAATATTTAAAAAAGTCTCTGACTTTACATTCTTCATCTCCTTTGGCCTACCTGATGATTTTATAAATTTCTGGTCATCGGCTGGGCACGGTGGCTCATGCCTGTAATCCCAGCACTTTGGGAGGCCAAGGCGGGTGGATCACCTGAGGTCAGAAGTTCGTGGTGGCCAACGTGGTGAAACCCTGTCTCTACTAAAAATACAAAAATTAGCCAGTGCTACTTGGGAGGCTGAGGCAAGAATTGCTGGAACCCAGGAAGTGGAGGTTGCAGTGAGCCAAGATCGTGCCATTGCATTCCAGCCCGGGCGATAGAGCAAGACTCCATCTCAAAAAAAAAAAAAAAAAAAAAATTCTGGTCACATTTAGCTTCATTCCAAAAGCTACAACCTCTTGTGGTTCAACATTTTCTTTTTGAGAGGAATATTGGGCACTCATGTCTCTTTTAATGACTTGAATACAATTTTCTATCAACATGGACTTAAAAAAACTTTTCTTATTCATGTGAAGATAAAAATCATTAATGTATTTGAGTTTTCCTTTTAGTTGTTTTAAGTAATTTAGATGATCACATCCATTCTTCACAAGCTTCAATAATTTTTATGAGCTACACTTCTCTGAAAATCTGTGGTCCGAATGCATGTTTTACGTGACCTGGGTAGAAGTGGAAGCAAACCAATAATTGATCAATTTTCAGTGATTAAGCATTTTTAATTTCTTGATTATAACACCTAGAGATTGCAACAGAACTGGTGGAAAATGGAGTTTTGAAAAACTTGTCTCAGAGGTAGCCACTTTATCTTCCAGCATTAAAAAAAAAAAAAAAGCAAGCCAGTGATGCAACTTTGACAGCCAATATATTTCTGGATCACCTTCATTATAGACCAACAATGTATTGCATCCATGCTGAGAAAGTTTTCAATAAGAAGCAACTGCCACTCTGCCAGAGGTTATGATATTTGGAAGTTCAGCAGTGTTGAAGAAGTGCAATGAGCTTAAATAAAAGCTAGATGCACATCAAAACACTAACATGTGAGCACCATTCTTGTTGCTTTCTGTCACTTGTATAAAAGGACAAATCTCTATTTTTCTGTTGGTGTTTGTAATTTCTAGAGATTTTTTGAACTTCCTCTGAACTAACTGGATCCCATTTACAGGATCTATTTGGCAGTTCATAACCATAAAGCAACTGTTGCAATCTCTCCAAGTTGGAAAAATATTTCCATTAAAAAAAACCCTTCAATCTCCAGTTGCAATTTGTAAAGCAATGGACAAATACTTAGTTCTAATAATTTTAAATCAACAGTTGCCTTTATAAGTGGATTTCTTTCACCCTTTTCTGTTTAAAACATATTTTTTCTTAATTTTAATCTTGTTTAAATTCTATTCAATATCTTATTTTAAATTATTGGTTTGGCATCTTTGAAAATATTTTGTTTTTCTTCAATGTAAAGTGTCACAGGATAATCTGCTTTCTATGTGTGTTTGAAAAGTTAGTAGTTGATTTTAGAAAAGGAACAGAATTTTTAAAATACAATATGAGTCTTTCCTGTTCAGATTTCCAGGCAGCTTCCAAGAAATGTTTATAGCTTCAATATTTTCACAGATAATGCCTGTGTTTTCAATGCCATCTACTCTCCTCCTACCTCTCCATATTCCTGCTCCTGACCATTTTACAAGACTAAAGCATAAAGTTAATATAAATTTATATGGCTGAAAATACCAAAATATTCCCTATAATAAAAATGTGTATAGCAACTGACCCATGTTCTATTAGAAAGTTAAATTCAATTTTTTAAATGTGTTTTAGTTTCTTTTGCTTTTATTTAAACGTGACATTATTTCTAATTTCAAACCTGTGGTAAATGCTACCTTGAGGTAGCTTTTAAAAGTGCACATTAATTAAAATTATATAGACAGGTATGTTGCCAAAGACATTCAACACTGGATCTGAGAGAAAAGGTTTCCAAATGCTGTACAAATTGCAAATGTAGTGTGCTGTAGAACGTGGGCAGCTGCAGGAGGAGGGCTGCCAGTGCACAGCAGATTCTGATGGCAGTGTGACGGACTTTAGCAGGAAGCTAAATCCAGTCTTGAAGGGCAGACAGATATTAGAGGACAAAATGTGGTATACAATCCAATTGTAGTATGCCCAGAGAATAAGAATGAGGATCATTCTCATTAGAGGGTCAGTAGGTAAGTTGACAGAAACAAGCCTGAAAGACCAAGTATCAGAGACAAATTAACAATCCAAGCATGATGCTCTGGAAAGATCACCTAAGTTTAATTCAATAGGCCTGGCTGCAAATTGGGCACCTCCATTTATAAGCTATAAGACCTTTGGTCAGACTTCAGATTCCTCACCAGCATAATAGTCTCTCATAGAAGTGCTGTGGAATGATACAAAATAACATGTAAACAATTCACACAATCATCTGGTCACACAATAGTTTCTGAATAAATGGTAGGGTGGATCGTTTTTAACCTTCTTCCAAAAGACAAGAAATAGATGGTCAAAAGGAATCAACCTCATAGGAAAAAGTGAGTGAAAGATTAGAATTAAGGTAACTAGCTTTGTACCTCAGACCCCATCATTTTACATGGTTCCTACAATACAGAGGCCATTGCTCTATGTTGCATGAAGCCCTGCAAGTACGGGGGAGAAATTGAGAACACTGACATGAAAAGATAAAAGCAGGAGTGCCTGGGTGGTAAGACGTAGATCTTGAAAAGGGAATGGATGCTACAATGTAAAAGCTTAAATCATTTAAGTCTCTTTATTCTACCATTTTAGATATTTAGAAAGCTATGAACCCTTTAAGGCTTTACTAATATCCCAGCAAAGCAATGAAATTGTCAGAGACCCTCCTAATATGAAGCCAATGTCTCCTGGCTCAGGAAATTTGCAAAGGACCAATTCCTCAGCATTGTCCAGTAGACTGACACCAGCCCCCTTCTTGAATAACGCCAACCACAGTGTACCAAAAGAAAGCTTATTTTAAAAAACTCAGCCCCCATAGATTACTATATAAACATAAATCACAACAGGCCAAGTTCACAGTGTCCCAAGAGAGACCTTTCCTCAAGTATTCCTCACACTAATCTTGCAAACAGATGGAGAAGCGACTGAGGTGTATAGATTACGTCATATGTCCAAGGCCACAATCAATCACAAATGGTAGAGACAGTAATCCAACTCGTCTCTCTGATTAGCTCTTTAGGAGAAGTGAAGAGAAGGAAACAATTTGTGTTGGACACGTTCAGTTCTCACAGGTGCTACTTCATACTCCTAAGTTGAGTTGTTATTATCTACACCTTCTGTAGAATAAACCCTTTTCTTAGAGCCTGAGTCTACAATCTTAACTTTTCTCATCAGTGCTTGAGATAAGACTTCTTTCCTTATTTCCAAGCTACCTTTTCATATCCCCAGCTCTCCAAAAACTGTTTGTTTGTTTGTTTGGCATAACGGAACAATTTGAGAGACTCCTAGTCCCAGCTAGTGATTATCCTGGCAGTAGAGTCCCTGCCCTCAGCCATGAGCAGCCAAAATAATTGGTTTTGCTTCTTGAAGTTATTCTACCTGGGTATAACAAACTCTGGTATTCCAAAAAGCAGGGGAGAGGGTTAGATGCATAGCTTAGATAAGTTACCACACGGAGAAATATACAGTCTACCAATAATGAAACTTAAACCCAATCAAATCAAGTTAGTGACTTATTTCTCATAGGAGCACTTTCTGTCACCTCAAGAATGGGATGACATTACCCACAAGACAATATACCTTTGTGTACAGAGATTAACAACTATCCCAATTATTTTCTAACATTTCCGAAAGGTCCTTGAAGCGCAAAAGCAAACTCACTGACAATAATGTGGGTTGCATTTCACAAAACCCTTCCTCTGCCCATTACGTGAAAGGGGAAGCAGTATTTCAGGCTCACTCCGAGGCATACATTTCTCTGTACAAGGACCACCACTGTTTGATTGCCAATGATAGGCATATTAGAACAATCAAGACTCATTGCTTACTCCTTCAGAGTACAGGACAACAGGTTATAGTCTAACGAGGATAAGAAAGAGTGCATGGATTTCCTTTACATTTTCTTCATGTGCTAGTTTTACCTGCACCAACTATAGTGGGTACCATAATTTCCAACTCTTCTACTACAGAGCTTAGAAGCCCTATAGGACCCTCTCAGAACCCACCCAGCTCTGAGAAACTAAGACTCACTTTAATCAGGAAAGCACAGCCTACATCTTGATTTATATCTTGACCTTTTCCATGACTGTATATTTGAAGACCAGGCTTCTATAGTTTAAACCAGTGGTTTTCAATCTACTAACCTGTGTCAGTTTGTGTCCCCTGAGAAGCATACATCAAGACATGATTACAGATAACAAGATTGTTTAGGGGAACATCTGTGGAAGGTATAGGAGGAGACATCAGAAATAGGAAGACAGAATATTCAGACATCAATGCAAGAGTCACCCCTGAAAGGGAGAGAGGAAAGGAAGTTTGGATAGGCAGGGCTTCCAACTGTAGCATAGTTCTAAGATAGTCTCAGCCAGGTTAATGGGGAATCTCCAAGCCAAAGTTGATTATTAGAAGAATCCTGCTACTGCAGGAATTTCTGGTGCTAGTACCTTCACGTTACTTAGTCATTAGCTGGGAGCAGCCTCAGGAAAGTGGGGCCTGGTCTGGATACTCCCTCAGTCTCCTCTACCTCTAATGGTTTCTTTCTCAAGGTGTCAAAATTGGATATCTTTCTCTGATTTTGTTTCTCTTTGCATATGCATTCCATCTCTGTTGTAAATGTGTGAATCGAAAAATGTGGCAACTGGGACTATCACTATCAGTGATGCTCCATGCAGCAGGTGATTTAGAGGGAAGATCTGTGGTTGATTCTTCCATGGATGCCACACCATCCTGAAAATTCTGAATGTTTGAAAAGCGAGAAATGGGAAATACTGTTGTGGGCAGATTTCTGTAAAACTATGAGTAAGTATATATGCAGCCTCAAAAGTACTCAAAATGAGTAAAATTTTTGAGGCTGCATGTATACTTACTCAAAATGAGTAAAATTCATGCACAAAAGGAAGCCTGAATTGTTTACTTAAAAATGAGTAAAATTTTAAAGTCAGGTAGCGTGATGCCTCCAGCTTTATTCTTTTGGCTTAGGATTGACTTGGCGATGCGGGCTCTTTTTTGGTTCTATGTGAACTTTAAAGTAGTTTTTTCCAATTCTGTGAAGAAAGGCATTGGTGGCTTGATGGGGATGGCATTAAATCTACAAATTACCTTGGGCAGTATAGCCATTTTCACGATATTGATTCTTTCTATCCATGAGCATGGAATGTTCTTCCATTTGTTTGTGTCCTCTTTTATTTTGTTGAGCAGTGGTTTGTAGTTCTCCTTGAAGAGGTCCTTCACATCCCTTGTAACTTGGATTCCTAGGTATTTGATTCTCTTTGAAGCAATTGTGAATGGGAGTTCACTCATGATTTGGCTCTCTGTTTGTCCGTTAATGGTGTATAAGAATGCTTGTGATTTTTGCACATTGATTTTGTATCCTGAGACTTTGCTGAAGTTGTTTATCAGCTTAAGGAGATTTTGGGCTGAGACAATGGAGTTTTCTAGATATATAATCATGTCGTCTGCAAACAGGGACAATTTGACTTCCTCTTTTCCTAACTGAATACCCTTTATTTCTTTCTCCTGCCTGATTGCCCTAACCAGAACTTCCAACACTATGTGGAATAGGAGTGGTGAGAGAGGGCATCCCTGTCTTGTGCCAGTTTTCAAAGGGAATGCTTCCAGTTTTTGCCCATTCAGTATGATATTGGGTGTGGGTTTGTCATAAACAGCTCTTATTATTTTGAGATACGTCCCATCAATGCCTAATTTATTGAGAGTTTTTAGCAAGAAGCACTGTTGAACTTTGTCAAAGGCCTTTTCTGCATCTATTCAGATAATCATGTGGTTTTTGTCTTTGGTTCTGTTTATATGCTGGATTACATTTATTGATTTGCATATGTTGAACCAGCCTTGCATCCCAGAGATGAAGCCCACTTGATCATGGTGGACAAGCTTTTTGATGTGCTGCTGGATTCGGTTTGCTGGTATTTTATTGAGAATTTTTGCATCGATGTTCATACTACAAGGCTACAGTAACCAAAACAGTATAGTACCAAAACAGAGATATAGACGAATGGAACAGAACAGAGCCCTCAGAAATAATACCACACATCTACAACCATCTGATCTTTGACAAACCCGATAAAAACAAGAAATGGGGAAAGGCTTCCCTATTTAATAAATGGTGCTGGGAAAAATGGCTAGCCATATGTAGAAAGCTGAAACTGGATCCCTTCCTTACACCTTATACAAAAAATAATTCAAGATGGATAAAAGACTTAAATGTTAGACCTAAAACCATAAAAACCCAAGAAGAAAACCTAGGCAATACCATTCAGGACATAGGCATGGGCAAGGACTTCATGTCTAAAACACCAAAAGCAATGGCACAAAAGCCAAACTTGACAAATAAGATCTAATTAAACTCAAGAGCTTCTGCACAGCAAAAGAAATTACCATCAGAATGAACAGACAACCTATGGAATGGGAGAAAATTTTTGCAATCTACTCATCTGACAAAGGGCTAATATCCAGAATCTACAAAGAACCCAAAAAACGCCATCAAAAAGTGGGCAAAGGATATGAACAGACACTTCTCAAAAGAAGACATTTATGCAGCCAACAGACACATGAAAAAATGTTCATCATCACTGGCCATCAGAGAAATGCAAATCAAAACCACAATGAGATACCATCTCACACCAGTTAGAATGGCGATCATTAAAAAGTCAGCAAACAAGAGGTGCTGGAGAGGATGTGGAGAAATAGGAACACTTTTACATTGTTGGTGGGACTGTAAACTAGTTCAACTATTGTGGAAGACAGTGTGGCGATTCCTCAAGGATCTAGAACTAGAAATACCATTTGACCCAGCCATCCCATTACATCCTTTGGATATATACCTAGCCAACCCATTACTGGGTATATACCCAAAGGATTATAAATCATGCTGCTATGAAGACACATGCACGTGTATGTTTATTGCAGCACTATTCACAATAGCAAAGACTTGGAACCAACCCAAATGTCCATCAATGATAGACTGGATTAAGAAACGTGGCACATATACACCATGGAACACTATGCAGCCATAAAAAAGGATGAGTTCATGTCCTTGTAGGGACATGGATGAAGCTGGAAACCATCATTCTCAGCAAACTACTGCAAGGACAAAAAACCAAACACCCCATGTTCTCACTCATAGGTGGGAACTGAACAATGAGAACACCTTGGACACAGGAAGGGGAACATCACACCCCGGGGCCTGTCATGGGACGGGGGTAAGGGGGAGGGATAGGATTAGGAGATATACCTAATGTAAATGATGAGTTAATGTGTGCAGCACACCAACATGGCACATGTATACATATGTAACAAACCTGCACGTTGTGCACATGTCCCCTAGAACTTAAAGTATAATAAAAAAAAAAGGAGTAAAATTTTTGAGACTGCATATATACTCATATAGTAGACTTATTTCTGTGAAATTATCTGAAGTTTCTCACCACTCCCCATTCAAGTGACCCCACTGCCGTGGCCAAGGTCCAACATAGCTGAATGCAGAGAAACAGAGGGGAAGTTTTGACTTTTTGATTTAAAAATAAACACTTGAATTGAAAGTAGGGGAAAGGCTTTGTAAAAGAGAAACTTTGGAGAGTAAAATGAAATATGGTATTTTTTGTTCATCTTTTAGTCTCTCGAAAGTAAGCCATTAAGAAGTAAGATAATAAAGTATATTTTATTAATTAAAGATTAAAAATAAAAGAATGAGAGCCAGTTTATCCTCTACATTTGCTCCCAATACTAGATAAATATTGCCTAATGTGGGATAGGAAGGAACTTAAGAAAAGAAGAGATAAAAAGATCTTAGACGCCAATGAATTCTTGAGAAGGGCCTGGTATCCCCTCCGACTCCCAGACTCAAACCAGATGTATAATAACCAAGATAAGCCCCAAGGAGCCATTGGATCTCCAACAGCAGAGGGAGAAGGGACGTGTGTCTTCCTTCCTGATGAAGGCTATGGAGTCACAAGCACAGGAATGATACATGAGAATATTCCAAAGTTTCCCCTGCCCTCAGGAAAGGTACACAAGGTAGCTGAGTGAGCTAATGACTAAAAGGTGTCTCCAGGTTCTAACAAGGAACTACAGAAAAAAGTGATCTATCTCAGTACTACTCAAAAGTGTGAGCCACAGCAGAATAGCAGTCCACAAACTGGTTGTCAAGAGTCAGTTAGGGCAGGCGCGGTGGCTCACGCCTGTAATCCCAGCACTTTGGGAGGCTGAGGCAGGCAGATCATGAGGTCAGGAGTTTGAGACCAGCCTGATCAACATGGTGAAACCCCATATCTACTAAAAATACAAAAATTAGCCGGGCGTGGTGGCATGCACCTGTAATCCCAGTTACTCTGGAGGCTGAGGCAGGAGAATCGTTTGAATCCGGGAGGCGAAGGTTGCAGGGAGCCAAGATTGCACCACTGCACTCCAGTCTGGGTGACAGAGTGAGACTCCATCTCAAAAAAAAAAAAAAAAAGTCAGTTATAAAATAAATATGAAACTGACAGGAAGCATTTAGAAACTTTTATAACAATTGGCTTTGTCACAACATCCAAATGCATAATCAATGGACTCCCTTTTTAAATATAGACCAATTTGTGGTTTCACATTCACGTGCTGAGTTGCATACTAGGATCGATTAAGAAAAAATCAGGAAGAGGAAGCTCATTCTTCACCTCAGATATTTGAAAAGCACTAGCCTATTTAATTCATAAAGAGATTAAAACAGGTCCAGGGACATCTTAATGGATGTGAGAATAAATATAAATGGCAAAAGTCTAGACAGGACATATTACATGTCAGAGAACACATTGAGCAGCAGTAGTTCAGTGCCCTTCTAAGCCATAAATACCAGCTGGCATGCGGAGCCTGAAACAACTGAGAAAATGGTAAAGTAAGTGAGTTTATAGAATTGACCAGATATCACTAGGTATTGTTGGACTTCAGATTAAATTCAACTATATTCAAGACTTAAATAATCATGCTCCTATCACTCTAGGTTTTGTGGCCAGAGAAAATATATGTCTTGCTCTAATGTTCCCTAACAGAACATTCCAACAAAAACTTCCCTAAAGCCTGAAATAGCTAAGATACTCCCATTTCAAAATATTGAAAATATGTTGAATAAAAATGTGTCCTCACTCATTCATACACAAAAGGAAGCCTGAATTTTGCCACTAAAGCAAAACTGGAGAAGTCTGAGGGAACATATGACAATAAGCATACATTATTTCATTTTGTGTTGAAAATAACTTGGTGGTTTGGATTTCAGGAATGGAGATGTAATCAACTAACATTAAAGAAAAGAGGATTTACTGAAAAGAGATCTGGTCCATAGACAGGAATGGGCACGTTACTAGAACAGCATCAGAGACTGAGGTGACTCTAGGGACTGGACCCACCCTCAGTCTTCTCTCTCTAATGATGTCTTTCTCAAGGTTTTAAGGTGGGTGCCTTTCTCTTCTCCTCTTTGCATATCCATTGTGTCTTTGTTAACGTGCTTCTTTTTAGTATTCACAGCAGCTGTCTCTTATGGCCACATGTCCCAACTCTGTGTCTACCCTTCAACCTCAAACAATAGTGCTAACTAAAACTTAGGTCACATTTCTGAAATCAAGGACAAGATTGGAGCTTTTTTTCCCTTAAAGCAGGGGTCCCCAGCCCCTCGATCATGGACCGCTTCCAGTTGTAACCTGTTAGGGACTTGGCTGCACAGTAGGAGGTAAGCAACGGGCCAGCAAGTGAAGCTTCATCTGTATTTACAGCCGCTCCCCATTGCTCATATTATCACCTGAACTCCACCTCCTGTCAGATCAGCAGCAGCATTAGTTTTTCATAGGATTGTGACCCTATTGTGAACTGTGCATGCAAGGGTTCTAGAGAATCTAATACCTGATAATCTGTCCCAGTCTCCCATCGCCCCCAGATGGGACTGTCCAGTTGCAAGAAAACAAGCTTAGGGTTCCCGCTGATTTGACATTATGGTTAGTTGTATAATTATTTCATTATATATTACAATGTAATAACAACAGAAATACAGTGCACAATAAATGTAATGTGCTTAAATCATCCCCAAACCACTTCCCCCACCCAGTCCATGGAAAAATTGTCTCCCAGGAAAGCAGTCCCTGGTGCTAAAAGGACTGGGGACTGCTGCTTTAAAGTAGACCACAGAGATAACACCCTCCTGGTCAGTCTTGGACTGCCTGTGAGTCAGTTACTCTCCTTAAGTCTACTCAGTTTTGTCTCATTAGAATGCAGAAGTGGGGAAAGGTTAAAAATCATCAGTCACAAGACTGTTCTTCCAGCAGGGAGAGAGGCAGGAGAGTTTCATCACTAATGGGCAATGGGTTTGGTATCCTGAGGCTTGGCATATCCACTACACCTGAGGGTAAGAGATGCCCTGAGATCCAACTATTTTCTCTTTGCCAAAAATTTTTAGGCAATGCTAGCAGGAAAGCCCCAGAAGCACAGGGTAGGCATAATAATCATGCATTTTTTCCACAATTTACACCATGTCTGGACTTGCTTTTCAAGTGTTTTCACATTTCCTACTCTCCTTTTTTTAATCTCCATTTTAAAAGAAGGTGATTATTACGTAAATACATAATTACCTTTTCTAAGGTTCACTGCTAGATTGGAAAATGCTGTGATATCAACCTGAGTCATTTCGCTGTTCTATACATGTGATTCTATTCTGAGCCCAAAGTACCTTATATAATGACACTGCAAAGACAACAAGATTGAAAAAGAGGAAAAAAACTCAGTGTCAACTCTGTGCTTTAATTTTAATTTAGTCGTTAAGGGTGAAAGACAGTTTGAGAGTGAGCCCCTTCACCTCAAATAAGATATCAAAGGCTATAGCAGCTGCCCAGCACAGTGGCTCATGCCTATAATTCCAGCACTTTGAGAGTCCAAGGTGGGCAGATCACTTGAGGTCAGAGGTTTGAGACCAGCCTGGCCAACATGGCAAAACCCCGTCTCTACTAAAAATACAAAACTCAGGTGTGGTGATGAGTGCCTGTAATCCCAGCTACTTGAGAGGCTGAGGCAAGAAGAATCGCTTGAACCCAGGAGGTGGAGGTTGCAGTGAGTTAAGATCACGCCACTGCACACCAGCCTGGGTGACAGGGAAGACTCTGTCTCAAAAACAAAACAAAACAAAACAAAAAAAAAACAGAAAGCAAAAACCAAAAACGAAAGTCTATAGCATCAAAGATGTAAGATATAAGCAACAAACTAACCTCAGGGACTCATGACTTGTGAGTTAGTCTATCAGCGCCCATTCTTTCTGCTTTGTCTTTCATCATTGCCAAGCTTCCTTACCACCTTCTCTGCAGGGTCCAAGCTGACTCTGCTCATAAAATGGCCTTTTTCTACTCTTGTCTCACATGTCTCAACTCATGTCCAGTCAGCATCACCATCTCCTGTCCGTCCCTTAGGATAAAAGTGTCAGCAGAGCTGTAAGAGATTCTCATGCCCAGGAGATAGCTCACCCTGTCTAACACAACCACTGCCACCGTAAATTCTCAAACATGTCTTTGGAACAGAGAATGAATGATGGAAAAGAAGTTAGAAAATATGATTTCACTAAGCTTTACTGCAATTAATTGGGTAACAAAGGTTGGTTATTTTAATCATTGTTATTTTAGGTATTACCTAGAGCCATAAGTTAAAAAAATATGTATTTGCTTTATTAGAGTGTCAGAAAAAGTTGGATATTTTCTTTGAAAGATCTGACAAGTTAAAAGGTCACTCTTGGTGAGATTAGAAAACAGTGTTAAATAGTTTGGAGGATAAAATAGCCATCCAAGGCTTATAAACAGTGGCAACATTTACAGGCATAGTTAAGGCAAGGTTGCGCTCATTAGAGAGCAGAGACTTTATTGCTAGCATAGTATGGTTGAGATGATAAAGGGCACATGCCTCCTGAAGAAGTTCACCTGGGAGAAAGAGCAGAGGAAAGGGAAGAGCAATACAGGATTGCTTCTACTTCCCAATTCACAATGATTAGGTGAATTGTAGGGCCTGGAGAGAGTCAGAAAGTGAAGAGAGCCCAGGGGCCTTACATGAATGGATGTCTCACCCCAGAAGGGAAACATCACGAATGTGAATATGTGAATAAGTGCGTCCCCCTAACGCAAAGTTTCCAAACTGTTGGGTCAAAAGAACCAAATAACTGATAACGTATCTCACCTATTGTAAGCATCCTGATGTTGGAGAATTACTTCAAACATTGCTTCTAGTTGAGAATTACCTCAAACATCTTTAAAAGTATGCAAACAAATTTTTTAAATGATGGTAAAAATTTCTCACATGGTACACAGGTCAATATAATAGAAGCCGTAAGTGCCCGAAAGGTGTTTTTTTTTTTAATTCTAAAAACAAATGTTTCAATGTTAACCTGCAGCTAAACAGAGATTTAAACAATACTAAGAATTCAGACTGTCACTTTTTTATAAGTGTAGAATTTAATAACAACACCAAGTTGAAAAAGAATATAAGAAGGAAGTGATGTAGGTAGATCAGCAAAAGTTAGCAAGATGGTTTTGCAATTATACCAAGGAATCTAGTACTAAATTTTGCCCATACTCAAGCAAGTATTTGCAATCAAGAATCAAAGAGATAAAGTATATAAAAATTTAATCTTATTAAGGCCACATTAGTCAAGATACACAGGTTTTAAATAATATAATCTAAGAAAAAAGTGGCATCTCATTAAAAAAAGGCTTTATGACTTTTCAAGACACAGTGATCATTTAGCACTCTGTTCTAATTTAAAGATAAGTGACAAGGTGCAGTTGTTCAAGGCTGTAATCCCAGCACTTTGGAAGGCCAGGGCGGGCAGATCCCTTCAGGCCAGAAGTTCGAGACCAGCCTGGTCAACATGGTAAAACCTCATCGCTACTACAAATACAAAAAAGAAAAGAAAAGAAATAGCTGGGCATGGTGACATTCTCCTGTAATCTTAGCTATGTGGGAGGCTGAGGCATGAGAATAGCTTGAACCTGGGAGGTGGAGGTTGCAGTGAGCCAAGATCGCGCCATTGCACTCCAGCCTGGGTGACAGAGTGTGACTCAGTCTCAAAAAAATAAATTATTATTAAATAAATAAAGATAAGTGCACTGGAGCAAAGAGGCTGAAGGTCACACAGCCCTCTTGATAGAATAAGAACTGTAGTTTGCAAAATATTTAGTTCAGCATCCTCATTTAAAAGATGGTTCAAACCTTGTACTGAATATAATCAGCAATCTATCACACACATAAAGTAGATTTTTAATAAACCTTTGAAAAACAAATATATAAGAAACTAACAAGTTTATGATATTGGGAGGGGTATTCTATTAATGTATTGGAATCAAATTTTTAAAAATTGGCAAGACATTCAAATCCAGACTGAAATTATGAAACCTCCTTCAATACCTTAAGCAACTAAGAGAGCTGACAACCTCTTTCAATTAAGGTTCTCCTATTCATTTTAGAGCTTATATATTTTCAGACAAATGGTAAGAAAAAAATATGCATAAAGAGGGAGGCAAAAGTTCAATGACTTTCAGTCTGCTTCAACTTATTATTAAAGACAGATATGGCACTTTGTTTTCCAGTGGTTCAAATTAAAATTTTCCCAATTGTCAGTGTAAAATTTCTAGTTTTCACCCAAAGGAAATGCTGTAGTTAGGGTATAACTCTCAAGAGATTATAGATAAACTTTGGGTTTAGTGAAAACTGTGGGATTACAAGATATTATCCTAATGTGTGTGTTGCATTCCAGTGCCTTAGAATCATAAATTTAATGAACTCTAGTTAAGTCCAGGTGGGTAAAGGACTTAAGAGATTCTGGTTACATATGGCATAAATCCAAACCAAACAGGCTCAGTAGGGAAGTCACTGGTTCACAACGGAAACATTTATGGGGAGGTGTGACTGGATCCAGGTGCTCAGATGTGGTCATCAGGAAGATATCTCTACCCATCTTTTAGTCCACCTTTTCTATATGTTACATTTTTCACGGGTAGATTTTCCCCTGAGGGCATTCCCCTGGAAAATGAGACTTGCATCATTACAGCTCCGAGTTCAGCAGAAAGAAAATTTCTCTTTCTTTCAGGACTTCACTTATGCCCACAGAAGCCCTGGAATTGAGGAGAACCTGGGCCATCTGTCTTTCACAGAAGCAGTACCCATAGCCAAGAAAAACACTTGTGCTAATTAGCCAGGACCAGGTAAATGAATGCAACCATTACTCCAACAAGTAGCATCAACTCCACTATGCCATATGAACTTGGAGTGAAAGATGGGTGGTTTACAGAGGAAATGCAATCAAAGGAAGTAAGGATGTTGGATAGTCAAAAATGATGGTGTCAGTGGAGTCAGGTTACTAACTGTTGGAGTGTGAGGTTACAAAGGAGAAAAGGGAGTAGGCAAGAATGATCCATCTGGTGATGAAATAGAGTTGGAGAGATCAGGATGAACTCATGGTTGGTTATTATAAACACAGATGATTATCTATAAAAAGATTTATGCATGTCTGTACATACAGGCACTAAGCATTCATCATATATTTCCTTGTCCTGTCAGGTAAAAACATAGAGAAACAACAACACAACAATGGTAACAAGCACACTTCGTGCAAAGATCTTGGTTCTTCATATCATTCTCTAATAAAAGGAACCAGGGCTCCATGGAGAAATGAATGCTTCGAAAGCTAGGACAGGAAGCCTACAAGATGAATCTGCAGCATCATATAGTGCCAGCAAGTAAGGAAATGCTTAAAAAAAGCAAACAGAAAACTCCACAATGATGGAGCCAAGCACCAACTGAAAGAGCTCCCAATGACCAAAGGGGCAAAAAGTTGGGCAACAAAATAAGGCAGTATTAAATTATAACACAAAGTGTGTATGTGTTGATAGAAATACTGACAGGAATAATTGAGTAAACAAATAAAGTAGGAAGGACAAATCTTTCATACAGAAGAACTCCAAGTACTTTATGTGGAAACTCCCTGCTCAAGAAGGTGGAGTACCAACACTCCTCACTCCTTAAGTGTGGGCTGAACTTAGGGACTTTCTTCCAAAAGTACATTATGAAAAAAGGGAGAGAAGAGTAACTTTACAGTGGGGAAACCTGACAAAAGCCACATGATTCAGATGAGAAAGGTTAACATCAGTGATAAGTCATGTTGATAGTATATACTGTTGATACAATATGAGAATGACACTTTACCTCTGTGGTCTTTCTCCCAAAAACCCATAACCCCCATTTAATCACGAGAAAGACAACTGCTAAATTCCAGTTGTGGGATATTCTACAAAGTATCTATCTAGTAATCAAAACTCTCAAGGTCATCAGAAATAAGGAAAGTGAGAAACTGTCATGGCCAAGAAAAGCTTAAGGAGACATAATGACTAAATATAATTTAGTATCTTAGCTGGGATCCTGAAACAAACAGGGCATTAGGTAAAAACCAAAGAAATCTACATAAAATATGGGCTTTAATTAGTGATAATGTATCAATGCTGTTCATTAATGTACCATACTAATGTAAGATGTTAATAATAAGAGAAACTGAATGCACAGTATATGAGAATTCCTATACTATCTTCACAATTTGGAGTGTAAATCAAAACTTTTAAAATAAAAAATTTTATTTTAAAAAATTTGACAGGGCACAAAAAATAAAAGGAACAAATAGAAGGATAACATTAGAGAAAGCTAAGGGATATAGAAGAACAATAGCCATCATTAAGACTTTAAGAGAGAATGGAGGAAAAATAAATAATAACATCCCCTCCAAAGATGTTCATATCCCAGTCCTCAGAATCTGTGATATGTTCCTCACATGGAAAAAAAAGACTTCAGATATGATTAAGGCTAAATGGCATTGAGATGAAAAGATTATCCTGATCATCCAGCTAAGCCCAACCTAATCAAATGAGTCTTTAAAAGCAGAGAACATTTTCAGAGGTTAAGAGAGTAAGACACCAGCATGAACAATGCTGGATTTGTTCCTGGTAGCTATCTAGACAAAGGAAGCAAGTCATGAGTCAAGGAATGCAGGTGGTCTCTACAAGCTGGGAAAGGCAAGAAGATAGATCCCTCCCACCCCATTGTCTCTAGAACAGTATGCAGCCCTGCCAACATCTTGATTGTAGCCCAGCATCAGATTTCTGACCTACAGAACTGTAAGACAATACGTTTCTATTGTTTAAGCCACTATAATAATAATAATAATCCTATCTGCATTAGCTAGGAGCTTGTGCACCAATTAGAATTTACCCTGAAGGCTGAATTGGACCCAGAATGATGAAAGTCATAATATAATCCTGACTGAATGTTTGAGGGAAGAGGAAAAGTACAAAAAATCTATACTAGGCACTAGGCTGAATGAATTACCAAATGTGTATTTAATCTTCACGACAAATGGGTGAGATTTATTGTGCCTATGTAATTTTCAGTTCTATAATTTCCATTTGGTCTTTTTTAAACATTTTTATTTTTACGCTGAGATTTCACATCTTACAATTCATTGTGAACATATTTTAGTTTTATCTCATTAAGGATACTTTTAATAAGTGCTTAGAAGTCCTTCTCTGCTGATTCCAAAATATGGCTCACCTTAGGGTTGAACTCATTTTATTTTCTTTCCTCTAGCAACTGTGTTCCATTTTCTTGTTGTGTTTTTGTTGTTGTTGTTGTTGTTCGTTTGTTTAGGTTTGGTTTTTTTTTTTATACAGGTTGGGTAATTTTATATCTTATTCTGGATATTGTGAATGTTAAATTGTGGAGATTCTAAACACTGGTTTTTTTTTTCCAATGTATGTTGCTTCTTTTACTTTAGCAGGCAATTATTTTGGCTGGGCTTAAATTGAAATTCTGATTTAGGGGTAGAAGTTCTAGTCCCTTCTCATACCTTTGTTGTTGTTGTTATTGTTAGCTGAGCTGCTAAGTCTGTGCAAAACATTAATGTTCTAGGGATCAGTCAGATATGTGGGTAGACAGAATTTTTTAATCCCTTTTTTGACTCTTTCCTTTCTGGTATTCCCCTACTCCTCTCAGCAGCCACATGTCCCTGGCTTCAGTTTTCTGCTTTCTCTGGCAAGAAAGCAAGTATGTTTTCCTACTGTTGTTTATGCCTCTCTAAGAGAGAAGAAAATGAGGAACCTACTTCTAAACCCCCTCAAGGCCCTCTTCTGAATACATACAAAGGAATGCTTCTGTTCATTCTCCAAGTAGTTGCTCTTTGTATTAAAGCCAAGTTTCATAGTTGTTTTCTGCAAAGACGTCATCCACTAGCACCTTGGCCTATTATTCCCAGAAGCAGACGTCCCCCTCAATCTTTCGATTCTAAGGAAAACAAAATTTCTTCCACTCCACTGATCTTCAAAAGTCAAAAAAACCCTACATTTTTTAAAGAAGATGGAGTTAAAAAATTTTCAGTGCAAATGATTAAATTTCTAAAAATTTTTATTCTTACATCTTTAAAAATCGATAATGGAAACCAGATAAAGAAGCTTCTAGGCAACAGAGCGAGACTACGTCTCAAAAATAAAAAATAAAAAGGAAAAAAAAGAAGCTTCTAGTATTTTTAAAGTATTAAGTGCCTACCAACACAGCACTAAACGCTTTCTTATTATCTTACTTTTTGCATTAGCACTGTCAGATGTATTCTATTTCAAGTTAACACTTGAGGAAATTGAAGTTCGGAAAGTTTTAGGAAGTAGCAAGACTAACCTGTCTTCTGAATGCAAGTCCACTGTTCTTTCTATTAAGACATGGTTTCCAGCGGAAGGTAAGATGCCTAACTTTGAAAAAATTTGCCAGAACTTAAAAGGAATTAAAAATATAAATTCTTAAATCATTTTTCATTGAGGCCTTCAATTAATTGTCTGTTTAATGAAGGCCAAATTTGTGTTAGGCACAAGGATGAATATGAGTGGCCCATGCCCTAAAAGGAATTCACAATCTAAGGAAATATGTATGTATAATTATCTCATAAGTATACATTATACAGTGACTTACTCCATCACTAAACCCATATTCTCATAAGAAAGTTTGCTTCAATACAGAAAAGACATCAAAGTTTATGGTTAATTGCTTATTAGTTACAAACTTCTATAACCCTCAAGTGAAAGCAAAATATTTGTTTGTCTTATATAACAAACTACAAACATCAATCTGAACATTATGAGCATTGGTTCATGATTCATTTGGTCTAGGTCTTTCATGAAATAATAAGATTAAAAGATGTTTATAAAGAATTTTAACCACCAAATATAAAACAGCAGATACAATGTCTTTCTTGGAACATTGGGAAAGAACCAGTGCCAAATCAGAGACCTGTTACTACTCATATCCTTTACAGAAGATGTAGTGCAGGAATTATGCATGCGTAGGGTCTATCATTTTTCCAGATCAACTTGGAACTATGAGGCAGTGGCAGTGACCACTGAGGAATTGTTAAGAGGCTAGATACAAAAACGATGACCTCAAATAACAAAGCTAATAAACAACAGCAAGGAAGACAGATAGTTGGGAGGGATTAAAAAATGGGTTTTGTTAAACTGTGTTTATTCAAAATGCCAGAACTGGAGGCAAATTCTACTAATTGCACTAAGACCAGAATGAAGTAATCCCGGATATCTTAATCTAAGGCTGAGCGCATTAGCTCACACCTGTAATTCCAGCATTTTGAGAGGCAGAGGCAGGCAGATCATTTGAGCCTAGGAGTTCCAGATCCAGCCTGGGCAACATGGTGAAACCTCGAAAAAAAAAGAAAGAGAGAGAAAGAAATTCCATGAGAATTTTAACTAATTTCAGAATAGTTAAAATTTTAACTAATTTTAGATATTAGCATAAAGTTTCCCATCCAGAGTCCAAAAATACACAGATGTCTGCCACCACTCTCTTTTCCAAAACGATCACAGATAAGAATAATTAATGGCAGGACTCCTTTGCACTGAATGCCTACTTAGTTTCCTGATTCACCTCCAAGAGTGAGTATCTGGGGAAGGGCGCGGTGGCTCACGCCTGTAATCCCAGCACTTTGGGGGGCCGAGGCGGGCGGATCACGAGGTCAGGAGATAGAGACCATCCTGGCTAACACGGTGAAACCCTGTCTCTACTAAAAATACAAAAAAAAAAAAAAAAAAATTAGCCGGGCGTGGTGGTGGGCACCCCATGCTGTCGTCCCATCTACTTGGGAGGCTGAGGCAAGAGAATGGTGTGAACTCGGGAGGCGGAGCTTGCAGTGAGCCGAGATCTCGTCACTGCACTCCAGCCCGGGCGACAGAGCGAGACTCCGTCTCAAAAAAAAAGAAAAAGAGTGAGTACCTGGGCAGCCACTGTCAACCAGTCGGAGCTAGCACTGAAGGCCACATTAGCACTTCATCCCTGATAAAGTCAGTGGTAGGTGTTGAAATGGAAAGATTTTATACAATTAGGGCTGAAGAAACTGAGGCCTAGGAAGCTTAGCCAAATTGCCCAGAATGGCAGTGTCTATACCTGAAAGACGTATGGTTTGCTAGTTGAGACCATGAACGTGAAACCACCTGCTACTTTCTCTTCTTGCCAAAATTTCACTTGCATTGCGTATACTTTGTATGACAGTAGCCATGTTATTAACCTGGTTGTCCCAGTTTTTAAAACGCATCCCTAAACAGAAGATTTGCAAAAGTTATAATATTAACAGAGCTGGCCTTAAAATTAGTTTAGATACTAAGAAGTTATGATTCAACAAATAACTTAAATCATTAAATTCCCAGAGATATTTTCCCCCAAGGCAGAAAGTACATCTAATGTTTCATGTCTATTCTTTTATACTTTTCTGTGCTTTTATATAATAAAAAGAATTAAAAGTGGCTTTAAAACTAACAGCTAAGAATTATATATCCAGAAGGAAAAGAAATATCAGGATAATAGAATAATATTTTTTATGAAATATAAGTGGCAGGCTGGGTGACATATTTTAAATTAGGCTTTCTGGAAAATCAATCTTTGGACACACAGATTTAAAAAACATTTGAAACAAATGACAAATGAGAGCAAGTAGATGGGTTGATGGCTGGAAGTGAAAAGCAGTCAAACACATGCCACGCAGTAGCTCAGAAGAAATTGTCAAAGAATAGATGAGAAAGACAAAAACTGGCATGCTAAAAACAGTTCTTAACCAGAGCAAAGGATACTGGCCGAAAAGGTGGAAACTTACGTATCAAGCCTAAGTAGTAGATGTTAAAGTAACATCCTTGGAAGCAGAGACAGAGTGGTAAAAATGGAAGCTGAGAAAGATGAAGATTTTGTTGAGAGAAAACACTTCCTAACACAATAACTTAAAAGATACAGGAAGCAGTTTTATAAATAATAATAATAATAAAGCAACTTAAAATTTTCAGTCATTATTTTTCTGTTTCCATCTTTAAAATATAGCTTAAGCAGGCCTTTTTAACTAAAAGTTAACCTAGCAGGAAACAGGTGTTTGCTAGGACCCTCGCAATAAAGTACTATAAACTGGATCAGTTAAACAGGAGAAATTTGTCATCTCACAGGCCTAGAGACTACAGGTCTGAAATCAGGGTGTTGGTTCTTCTGAGGACTGTGAGGAAACTCTGTCTCATGCCCCTCTCCTAGCTTCTGGTGGTTGGTTGACAATCTGTGGCATTCCTTGGCTTGTAGGTGCCTCACCCAATCTCTATCTTCATCTTCACATGGCTTTCTCCCTACGTGCATGTCTGTCTCCAAGTCCAAATTTCTCTTTTATTAGGACACCATTCATAATAGCTTTGGGCCCATTTTAACTAATGACATCTACAAAAACCTTATTTCCAAATAAGATCACATTCCCAGGTGGTAGGGATTAAGACTTCAACATATGAATTTGGAAGGGGGGACACAATTCAACCCATCACAAGATGGGAGAACCAATCACTCTCTAGCTATTGCTAGAGGTTTTCAAAGCATCTTCTCAACTCAGTTATCTTGAGGAGAAAGTGAGGTATCAAACACAAATCATCTATGACTGGAGGTTATATGCATACAGAGCTTATCAACTACCTGGGGATCAGATTGAAGGCAGTGACCCCATACCCTCACCTTAAAGCAGTTTTTCAACCTACATCTGATTGGTATTTCAGTTCAGATAATTCATCAGGGTTAGGGGAGGACTGTACTGGGTACTGTGAAAGGTTGTTTGTTTGTTTGAGATGGAGTTTCACTCTTGTTGCCCAGGATGGAGTGGAATGGCACAATCTCAGCTCACCGCAACCTCCACCTCCCGGGTTCAAGCTATTCTCCTGCCCCAGCCTCCTGAGTAGCTGCGATTACAGGCATCCACCACCATGCCCGGCTGATTTTATATTTTTTTTTAGTAGAGATGGGGTTTCTCCATGTTGGTCAGGCTGCTCTGAAACTCCGGACCTCAGGTGATCCGCCTGCCTCTGCCTCCTGAAGTGCTGGGATTACAGGCGTGAGCCACTGTGCCTGGCCAACTGTGGAAGTTTTAACAACACCTCTGCTTTACCTACTTGATGCCAATAGTACTGCCCTTTCCCCAGTTGTGACAATCAAAAATGTCTCCAGACATCTTCAGTGTCCCTTGGGAGGCAACACAGAAAGGACCTGAAAATCACTGTTGGAAAAGAAAATGACGAAATTTTCAAAAAGAAAAATTAGTTAATGGAGTTTTGGTTTGGGACCCAAACTAAGCATGGGGCTAAAGGTAAATACAAAAGTTACATATCTAGCTAAGTCTATAAAGAGAGAAGGATAAGGATTAGGCTTAAGTATAAAGGAAAAAGTTGAGAAAGTTAATGAAACCAGATATTCTTTTTGAATGTTAATTTTCATATAAGTTGGGTTTGTTGAAAAAAAAAGACTGTCTCTCAAGTTTATACATCAATTAACATATTTTAGCCATTGCAGAAGACAAATTTCTTTTTTTTATTATTTTATTATTAATATACTTTAAGCTTTAGGGTACATGTGCACAATGTGCAGGTTAGTTACATATGTATACATGTGCCATGCTGTTGTGCTGCACCCATTAACTCGTCATTTAGCATTAGGTATATCTCCTAAAGCTATCCCTCCTCCCTCCCCCCACCCCACAACAGTCCCCAGAGTGTGATGTTCCCCTTCCTGTGTCCATGTGTTCTCACTGTTCAATTCCCACCTATGAGTGAGAATATGCGGTGTTTGGTTTTTTGTTCTTGCGATAGTTTACTGAGAATGATGATTTCCAGTTTCATCCATGTCCCTACAAAGGACATGAACTCATCATTTTTTATGGCTGCATAGTATTCCATGGTGTATATGTGCCATGTTTTCTTAACCCAGTCTATCATTGTTGGACATTTGGGTTGGTTCCAAGTCTTTGCTATTGTGAATAGTGCTGCAATAAACATACGTGTGCATGTGTCTTTATAGCAGCATGATTTAATAGTCCTTTGGGTAAATACCCAGTAATGGGATGGCTGGGTCAAATGGTATTTCTAGTTCTAGATCCCTGAGGAATGGCCACACTGACTTCCACAAGGGTTGAACTAGTTTACAGTCCCACCAACAGTGTAAAAGTGTTCCTATTTCTCCACGTCCTCTCCAGCACCTGTTGTTTCCTGACTTTTGAGTGATTGCCAATCTAACTGGTGTGAGATGGTATCTCATTGTGGTTTTGATTTGCATTTCTCTGATGGCCAGTGATGGTGAGCATTTTTTCATGTGTTTTTTGGCTACATAAATGTCTTCTCTTGAGAAGTGTCTGTTCATGTCCTTCACCCACTTTTGATGGGGTTGTTTGTTTTCTTCTTGTAAATTTGTTTGAGTTCATTGTAGATTCTGGATATTAGCCCTTTGTCAGATGAACAGGTTGTGAAAATTTTCTCCCATTTTGTAAGTTGCCTGTTCACTCTGATGGTAGTTTCTTTTGCTGCGCAGAAGCTCTTTAGTTTAATTAGATCCCATTTGTCAATTTTGGCTTTTGTTGCCATTGCTTTTGGTGTTTTAGACATGAAGTCCTTGCCCATGCCTATGTCCTGAATGGTAATGCCTAGGTTTTCTTCTAGGGTTTTTATGGTTTTAGGTCTAATGTTTAAGTCTTTAATCCATCTTGAATTAATTTTTGTATAAGATGTAAGGAAGGGATCCAGTTTCAGCTTTCTACATATGGCTAGCCAGTTTTCCCAGCACCATTTATTAAATAGGGAATCCTTTCCCCATTGCTTGTTTTTCTCAGGTTTGTCAAAGATCAAATAGTTGTAGATATGCGGCGTTATTTCTGAGGGTTCTGTTCTGTTCCATTGATCTATATCTCTGTTTTGGTACCAGTACCATGCTGTTTTGGTTACTGTTGCATTGTAGTATAGTTTGAAGTCAGGTAGTGTGATGCCTCCAGCTTTGTTCTTTTGGCTTAGGATTAACTTGGCAATGCCGGCTCTTTTTTGGTTCTATATGAACTTTAAAGTAGTTTTTTCCAATTCTGTGAAGAAAGGCATTGGTAGCTTGATGGGGATGGCACTGAATCTATAAATTACCTTGGGCAGTATGGCCATTTTCATAATATTGGTTCTTCCTACCCATGAGCATGGAATGTTCTTCCATTTGTTTGTATCCTCTTTTATTTCATTGAGCAGTGGTTTGTAGTTCTCCTTGAAGAGGTCCTTCATATCCCTTGTAAGTTGGATTCCTAGGTATTTTATTCTCTTTGAAGCAATTGTGAATGGGAGTTCACTCATGATTTGGCTCTCTGTTTGTCTGTTATTGGTGTATAAGAATGCTTGTGATTTTTGCACATTGATTTTGTATCCTGAGACTTTGCTGAAGTTGCTTATCAGCTTAAGGAGATTTTGGGTTGAGACAATGGGGTTTTCTAGATATACAATCATGTCATCTGCAAACAGAGACAATTTGACTTCCTCTTTTCCTAACTGAATACCCTTTATTTACTTCTCCTGCCTAATTGCCCTGGCCAGAACTTCCAACACTATGTTGAATAGGAGTGGTGAGAGAGGGCATCCCTGTCTTGTGCCAGTTTTCAAAGGGAATGCTTCCAGTTTTTGCCCATTCAGTATGATATTGGCTGTGAGTTTGTCATAGATAGCTCTTATTATTTTGAGATACGTCCCATCAATACCTAATTTATTGAGAGTTTTTATCATGAAGAGTTGTTGAACTTTGTCAAAGGCCTTTTCTGCATCTATTCAGATAATCATGTGGTTTTTGTCTTTGGTTCTGTTTATATGCTGGATTACATTTATTTATTTGCATATATTGAACCAGCCTTGCATCCCAGGGATGAAGCCCACTCGATCATGGTGGATAAGCTTTTTGATGTGCTGCTGGAGTTGGTTTGCCAGTATTTCATTGAGGATTTTTGCATCAATGTTCATCAAGGATATTGGTCTAAAATTCTCTTTTTTGGTTGTGTCTCTGCCCAGCTTGGTATCAGGATGATGCTGGCCTCATAAAATGAGTTAGGGAGGATTCCCTCTTTTTCTATTGATTGGAATAGTTTCAGAAGGAATGGTACCAGTTCCTCCTTGTACCTCTGGTAGAATTCGGCTGTGAATCCATCTGGTCCTGGACGTTTTTTTTGGTTGGTAAGCTATAGATTATTGCCACAATTTCAGAGCCTGTTATTGGTCTATTCAGAGAGTCAACTTCTTCCTGGTTTAGTCTTGGGAGGGTATATGTGTCGAGGAATTTATCCATTTCTTCTAGATTTTCTAGTTTATTTGCATAGAGGTGTTTGTAGTATTCTCTGATGGTAGTTTGTATTTCTGTGGGATCGGTGGTGATATCCCCTTTATTGTTTTTTATTGCGTCTATTTGATTCTTCTCTCTTTTCTTCTTTATTAGTCTTGCTAGCAGTCTATCAATTTTGTTGATCCTTTCAAAAAACCAGCTCCTGGATTCATTAATTTTTTGAAGGGTTTTTTGTGTCTCTATTTCCTTCAGTTCTGCTCTGATTTTAGTTATTTCTTGCCTTCTGCTAGCTTTGAATGTGTTTGCTCTTGCTTCTCTAGTGCTTTTAATTGTGATGTTAGGGTGTCAATTTTGGATCTTTCCTGCTTTCTCTTGTGGGCGTTTAGTGCTATAAATTTCCCTCTACACACTGCTTTGCATGTGTCCCAGAGATTCTGGTATGTTGTGTCTTTGTTCTCGTTGGTTTCAAAGAACATCTTTATATCTGCCTTCATTTTGTTGTGTTCCCAGTAGTCATTCAGGAGCAGGTTGTTCCGTTTCCATGTAGTTGAGCGGTTTTGAGTGAGTGTCTTAATCCTGAGTTCTAGTTTGATTGCACTGTGGTCTTAGAGACAGTTAGTTATAATTTCTGATCTTTTACATTTGCTGAGGAGAGCTTTACTTCCAACTATGTGGTCAATTTTGGAATAGGTGTGGTGTGGTGCTGAAAAAAATGTATATTCTGTTGATTTGGGGTGGAGAGTCTGTAGATATCTATTAGGTCCACTTGGTGCAGAGCTGAGTTCAATTCCTGGGTATCCTTGTTAACTTTCTGTCTCCTTGATCTGTCATGTTGACAGTGGGGTGTTAAAGTCTCCCATTATTATTGTGTGGGAGTCTAAGTCTCATTGTAGGTCACTCAGGACTTGCTTTATGAATCTGGGTGCTCCTGTATTGGGTGCATATATATTTAGAATAGTTCTTCTTGTTGAATTGATCGCTTTACCATTAGGTAATGGCCTTCTTTGTCTCTTTTGATTTTTGTTGGTTTAAAGTCTGTTTTATCAAAAACTAGGATTGCAACCCCTGCCTTTTTTTGTTTTCCGTTTGCTTGGTAGATCTTCCTCCATCCTTTTATTTTGAGCCTATGTGTGTCTCTGCATGTGAGATGGGTTTCCTGAATACAGCACACTGATGGGTCTTGACTCTTTATCCAATTTGACAGTCTTTGTCTTTTAATTGGAGCATTTAGTCCATTTACATTTAAAGTTAATATTGTTATGGGTGAATTTGATCCTGTCATTATGATGTTAGCTGGTTATTTTGCTCATTAGTTGATTTAGTTTCTTCCTAGCCTCAGTGGTCTTTACAATTTGAAATGATTTTGCAGTGGCTGGTACTGGTTGTTCCTTTCCATGTTTAGTGCTTCCTTCAGGAGCTCTTGTAGGGCAGGCCTGGTGGTGACAAAATCTCTCAGCATTTGCTTGTCTGTAAAGGATTTTATTTCTCCTTCACTTATGAAGCTTAGTTTGGCTGGATATGAAATTCTGGGTTGAAAATTCTTTTCTTTAAGAATGTTGGATATTGGCCCCCACTCTCTTCTGGCTTGTAGAGTTTCTGCCGAGAGGTCCACTGTTAGTCTGATGGGCTTCCCTTTGTGGGTAACCCGACCTTTCTCTCTGGCTGCCCTTAACATTTTTTCCTTCATTTCAACTTTGGTGAATCTGACAATTATGTGTCTTGGAGTTGCTCTTCTTGAGGAGTATCTTTGTGGTGTTCTCTGTATTTCCTGAATCTGAATGTTGGCCTGCCTTGCCAGATTGGGGAAATTCTCCTGGATAACATCCTGCAGAGTGTTTCCAGCTTGGTTCCATTCTCCCTGTCACTTTCAGGTACACCAATCAGACGTAGATTTTGTCTTTTCACATAGTCCCATATTTCTTGGAGGCTTTGTTTGTTTCTTTTTATTCTTTTTTCTCTAAACTTCCCTTCTCGCTTTATTTCATTCATTTCATCTTCCATCACTGATACCCTTTCTTCCAGTTGAACGCATCAGCTCCTGAGGCTTCTGCATTCTTCACATAGTTCTCGAGCCTTGGCTTTCAGCTCCATCAGCTCCTTTAAGCACTTCTCTGTATTGGTTATTCTAGTTATACATTCATCTAAATTTTTTTCAAAGTTTTCAACTTCCTTGCCTTTGGTTTGAATTTCCCCCTGTAGCTCGAAGTAGTTTGATCGTCTGAAGCCGTCTTCTCTCAACTCATCAAAGTCATTCTCCATCCAGCTTTGTTCCCTTGCTGGTGAGGAGCTGCGTTCCTTTGGAGGAGGAGAGGCACTCTGCTTTTTAGAGTTTCCAGTTTTTCTGCTCTTTTTTTCCCCCATCTTTGTGGTTTTATCTACTTTTGGTCTTTGATGATGGTGATGTACAGATGGGTTTTTGGTGTGGATGTCCTTTCTGTTTGTTAGTTTTCCTTCTAACAGACAGGACCCTCAGCTGCAGGTCTGTTGGAGTTTGTTAGAGGTCCACTGCAGACCCTGTTTGCCTGGGTACCAGCAGCAGTGGCTGCAGAACAGCGGATTTTCGTGAACCACGAATGCTGCTATCTGATCGCTCCTCTGGAAGTTTTGTCTCAGTGGAGTACCCGGCCGTGTGAGGTGTCAGTCTGCCCCTACTGGGGGGTGCCTCCCAGTTAGGCTGCTCGGGGGTCAGGGGTCAGGGACCCACTTGAAGAGGCAGTCTGCCCGTTCTCAGATCTCCAGCTGCATGCTGGGAGAACCACTGCTCTCTTCAAAGCTGTCAGACAGGGACATTTAAGTCTGCAGAGGTTACTGCTGTCTTTTTGTTTGTCTGTGTCCTGCCCCCAGAGGTGGAGCCTACAGAGGCAGGCAGGCAGGCCTCCTTGAGCTGTGGTGGGCTCCACCCAGTTGGAGCTTCCCGGCTGCTTTGTTTACCTAAGCAAGCCTGGGCAATGGCGGGCGCCCCTCCCCCAGCCTTGATGCCGCCTTGCAGTTTGATCTCAGAATGCTGTGCTAGCAATCAGCGAGACTCCATAGGCATAGGACCCTCCGAGCCAGGTGTGGGATATAATCTCCTGGTGCATCGTTTTTTAAGCCCGTCAGAAAAGCACAGTATTGGGGTGGGAGTGACCTGATTTTCCAGGTGCCGTCTGTCACCCCTTTCTTTGACTAGGAAAGGGAACTCCCTGACCCCTTGCCCTTCCCGAGTGAGGCAATGCCTCACCCTGCTTCGGCTCATGCATGGTGTGCTGCACCCACTGTCCTGCGCCCACTGTCTGGCATTCCCTAGTGAGATGAACCCGGTACCTCAGATGGACATGCAGAAATCACCCATCTTCTGCGTCGCTCACGCTGGGAGCTGTAGACCAGAGCTGTTCCTATTCGGCCATCTTGATTAAGACAGATTTCTTATGGCTGACACCTGTTTTGATTCGGCAATACTCATGCCAAACTCAATATTAGATATTTTAACATTGTGCGTATGTATATTTTTCAACAATAATTCTTAATTTAGAATTCACTGAGGAAGTCCCCCTTACTGAAACTCAGTGTCCTCTTATGGCTGAAAATTAGTCATCATATTTTGAAGGGAAAGGGCAATCCAAATGAAGACCAGTAAAGAATAACTGAACTAACACACACCCTCTGAGGGAGTAGAAAATTGCATAACTTCATTCGTATTCTGTAGAACCATGATGAACATAATGAAAAAATCAAGTTTCAAAGGAGAAAATTGCATAACTTTGTATATCACACAGGCATCTGAGGCTGGAGCAGCCTCAGCTGGGAGGCATTTTGACAGCTTAGACACTGGGATCTATGGACTGGGTGGCAGCCACTACACTATTCCAAGAAGGAAGAATGAGTGAGCCCACACACGCCCAGGAGTGTACTTGCTGCCCTGCTATGAGCCGCTATTGGGACTGAGACTGAGTGGACCACACTCCCCACAGCTTTTTGTTCATGCTGCTTGCATGGATGGTGACCCACTCTCTCTGGTCCCAGGCCCAAGGTGCCATTTTGGGAGTTTAAAATGGGGCTGTGGCCCACCCTCAGCCTGAGGTCAGACTGACGCAGCTGTAGTCAACACCAAGCCCAAAAGGGACAGGGAGACCAGGCCATCCTACACAAATCTAGGAGAATACCTACTGCTCTGCAGTAGGCTGCTGTGAGAGTGAGACATGCAAATTTACACTTTCTACAGCTTCTTGCCCACACTATTTGCCTGGGCGGTCCTCCACCCTCCCTGATCTTAGGCCCAAGGAGTCACTTTTGAGAGTATAATAATGAGCTTCTCCCCACACTCAGCCTGAGTTCAGGTTGAAGCAACTGCAGCCACCACACAGCCAAGGAGGGGCAGGAGAGTCAGGCTCTCCTCCAGACCCTCCTCCTAGGGCAATACCCAATACCCTTTTTAGGCTGCTGCAAGACCAAGATTTGAGCAGGCTACATTCCCCACAGCTTCTTACCCATGTTGCTCACCTGACAGGGACCCCATCCTCTCTGGTTCAAGCCCACAGTGGGCACCATTTTGAGAGTTTAGAGACATTGTTTGGCAATTTGGCAGTGGTGGCCAAAGCAGGCATTGTACTTTGCTTTGTAGGCCCGAGATTGGAGCACTTGCTCTGGAGTTGGGGAAGGGCCCCCACAGCCAGAATTGGTGGCAAGTATGGAGAAGGCTGTAGCAGCAGGCACTGGAATTAGGCTCTCTCCTGTCACAGGACTGGATGGGGAGGAGAGCAGCTGAAGTCAAGGTTTCTCGAGGGTGATGAGACTGCATCCAGGAACAGATCTGTTACCTGAAGCTAGTCTGTGTGTGACACAACTGGGACCTCCAGCCTGCTCCCTTGTTTGGTTTGAGGGCAGACCCCCACCAGTCTTAATAAGAGATGGGAGGTGAAATCACTCCCCTTGGAAATCTAACCCTCAATATGGGCCACCCTAAGGGAGGGGGAAGCACAGCCTGCCAAAGCACTTCTTGGATCAAGGAAGTATGAGGAGGGCATCAGCCACTGGAAGCAGCACCGTTAAAGCCCAGGAATGGATATGGAGAGTGAGTCATCTCTCACCCCTCCCTTACCTCCCCTCCCCAGAGCACTCCTGCAAACACACTGAAATACAAAAGAGGCATGCAGCTGAGTAAGAGTCTATCTGCCACCCTTTACTCTTAAGTGCCAGCTACTGGACTCCAGCCTGAATTACACCAGCAAACAAAATGGCATTGTTACAACTAGCAACATCTGAGGAAGCCGTTGCATGAAAGTATCTGCAACCAAGGAACCCAAGCAGAGCCATGGAATCCTGAAAGTACCCAGAACAAAGCCAATCGATCATATACAATACACACCACAGTCATATCCCCAAGAGAAAAAAGAATAAAAAGTCAAGAAGCTCTATCCAAGTGCTGACAAATTAAAAAGTAGAAAAAAGAATGTCAGCTCTCTCGGATGAGAAGGAACCAGCACAAGAACATCAGCAATACAAAAACCCAAAGGGTTTTGTTACCTCCAAAGGATCCCAGTGGCTCCCAAGCAATCAATCCTAACCAGAATTAAATGTCTGAAATGATAGATAAAGAATTCAGAATATAGATGGCAAGAAACTAAATAAGATCCAAGAAGAAGTTGAAATCCAACACAAAGAAGCCAGAAAAACAATCCAAGATTTGAAAGATAACATCATTATAGAAAGAACCAAACAGAACTTCTGAAATTGAAAATTCATTATGGGGACTTCAAAATACAGTTGGAAGCCCTATCAACAGACTAGACCAAGCAGAATAAAGAATTTCATAGCTCAGAGATTAGTCTTTTGAATCACTCTAGTCAGACAAAAAGAAAATTTTTAAAACTGAACAAAGCCTTCGAGAAATATGGGATTATATAAAGTGACCAAATCTGTGACTTATTGGCATTTCTGAGAGAGAAGAAAAAATAAGCAAACATATTTGAGGATATAATTCAGGAAAATTTCCCCAGTCTTTCTAAAGATGTTGACATTCAGATACAAGAAATGTACAGAACTGCTGCGAGATACTGTACAAGATGACTCTCCCAAAGGCACATCGTCATCACACGATCCAAGGTCAATGTGAAATTTAAAAATCTTAAAGACAGCAAAAGAAAAGGCTCATATTACCTATAAAAGGAAACCCATCAGACTAACAGCAGACTTCTTAACAGAAACCTGTGAATCCAGAAGATATTGGGAGGCCCATTTTTAGCATTCTTAAAGGAAATGCCAGCCAAGAGTTTTATATCCCATCAAACCAAGCTTCATAAATGAAAAAGAAATAAAGTATTTTCCAGAAAAGCAACTGCTAATGGAACTTATCACCAGGAGATCAGCCCTACAAGAAATGCTTAAGGGGATTCTAAACATGGAAATGAAAGAACAACACTTGCCACAAAAGCACATGCAAGCACAAAGCACAGCCCACAGACCCTATAAAGCAACTACACAATTGAAACTACAGAACTAGCTAACAACAGTGTGATGGAAACAAAACCTCACATATAAATATTGACCTTGAATATAAACAGCCTAAATGTTTCACTTAAATGGCCTAAAGTTTTCACTTAAAAGACATAGATTGGTAAACTGTAGTGACACCCATAGGCTCAAAGTAAAGGGATGGAGAAAGATCTATCATGGAAATGGAAAACAAAAAATACCAGGGGGCACTGTTCTTACATCAGATAAAATATACTTGAATCCAAAAACAGTAAAAAGGACAAAAATGGACACTGCATAATGATAAAGGTTCAGTTCAACAAGAAGACTTAACTATCCTAAATATTTATGCAGCCAACATTGGAGCATCCAGATTTATAAAACAATTACTACTTGACCTAACAAAACACTTTGACAGACATACAATAATAGTCCCACTGACAGCATGAGACAGATTATTGATGTAGTAAACTAATGAAGAAATTTTGGACTTAAATTCAACACTTCACCAATTGGACCTAATAAACATCTACAGAACACTCCACCCAACAATCACAGAATATACCTTCTTCTCATCTGCACATGAAACATACTCTGAGATTGATCACATGCTCAGTCATAAAGGAAATCTTAATAAACTTTTTTAAAAAATGAAATCATATCAAGTATCCTCTGAGACATAAGTGGAATAAAAATAGAAATCAATATCAAGAGAAACTCAGAGCAATCAGGCAAGGAAAGAAATAAGGGGCATCCAAATAGGAAAACAGAAAGTCAAATTATTTCTCCTCACTGATGATGTGATTCTATACCTAGACAACCCTAAAGATTTCACTAAAAATCCCTAAGACTTGATAAACAACTTCTGCAAAGTCTCAGTAAACAAAATCAGTATGTAAAAATCAGTAGCATTTCTATATATCAATAATGTTCAAGCTGAGAACCAAACTAGAAACAAACAAGAACTTATAATAGCCACAAAAATAATTTAAAAACCTAGGAATCCATCTAATGAAGGAGGTGAAAGATCTCTACAAGAACTACAAAACACTGCTGAAAGAAATCATAGACAACATAAACAAATGGCAAAGCATTTCATGCTCATGGATTAAAGAATCAATATCATTAAAATGTCCATACTGCCTATAGCAATCTACAGATTCAATGCTTTTTTTAAATCAAACTACCAATGTCATTTTTCACAGGATTAGGAAAAAAAACTATTCTAAAATACATGAGGAACCAAAAAACAGCCCAAATAGCCAAAGCAATCCTAAGGAAAAAGAATAAAGCTGTAGGCATCACATTACCCAACTTCAAACTACAGTACAAGGCTACAGTAACCAAACTAATGTGGTACTAGTACAAAATAGCCACATAGGCCAATGGAACATAATAGAGACCCCTGAAATAAAGCCCCACACCTACAACCAAATTATCTTCAACAAAGTTGACAAAAATAAACAATGGAGAAAGGATAACCTATTCAATAAATGGTGCTGGGAAAATGGGCTAGCCATATGCAGAAGAATGAAACTTGCTCCCTACCTCTCACCATATACAAAAATTATCTCAAGATGGAATAAAGACTTAAATTTAAGATTCAAACTATAAGGGTCCTAGAAGAAAACCTGGGAAACACCATTCTGGACATTGGCCTTAGGAAAAAAATTATGACCAAGTTCTCAAAAGCAATTGCAAGTCAGCCTTGGGAAATAATTTATGACTAAGTCCTCAAAAGCAATTACAACAAAAACAAAAATTGACAAGTGGAACTTAAGTAAACTAAGGAGCTTCTGCACAGCAAAAGAAACTATAAACAGAGTAAACAGGCAACCTACAGAATGGGAGAAAATATTTGCAAACTACGCATCTGACAAAGTTCTAATATACAAAATCTATAAGGAACTTAAACAATTGAACAAGCAAAAAACAAGTAACCCCATTTAAAATGGCAAAAGATATGAACAGGCACTTCTCAAAACAAGACATGCAAGCAGCCAACACACATGAAAAAATGCTCCAAATCACTAATCTTTAGAGAAATGCAAATCAAAACCACAATGAAATACCATCTCACACCAGTCAGAATGGCTATTACTAAAAATCAAAAAACAACAGAGGCTGGCAAGGCTGCAAAGAAAAGGGAATGCCTATACACTGTTGGTGGGAATGTAATGTAGTTCAGCTACTGTGGAAAGCAATTTGGAGATTTCTCAAAGAACTTAAAACAGAACTGCCATTCAACCCAGCAATCCCATTATGGGTATAATCCAAAAGAAAACAAATCTTTCTACCAAAAAGACAAATGCACTCGCATGCTCATTGCAGCACTATTCACAATAGCAAAGACATGGAATCAACCTAGGTGCCCACCAACAGTGGACTGGATAAACAAATTGTGGCATATATACAGCATGGAATACTATGCAGCCATAAAAAAGAATGAAATCACCTGTGTGTGGTGGCTCACGCCTGTAATTCCAGTACTTAGGGAGGCTGAGGTGGGCAGATCACAAGGTCAGGAGTTTGAGACCAACCTGGCCAACATGGTGAAACCCTGTCTCTACTAAAAATACAAAAAATTATCCAGGTGTGGTGGCACATGCCTGTAATCTCAGCTACCTGGGAGGCTGAGGCAGGAGAATTGCTTGAACCTGGGAGGTGGAGGTTGCAGTGAGCCGATACCGTACCACCGCACTCCAGCCTGGGTGACAGAGAAAGACTCCATCTCAAAAAAAAAAAAAAAAAAAGGAATTACATTGTGTCTTTTACAGCAACATGGATGCAACTAGAGGCCTGAGTGAATTAATGTAGGAACAGAAAATTAAATACCATGTGTTCTCACTTATAAGTGGGTGCTAAACATTGGGTATACACAGACACAAGATGGGAATAACATATACTGGGGATTCCAAAAGTGGGGAGGTAGGGAGGTGGACAAGTTTTGAAAACTACTTGGGCAACAGAATCATTAGAAAGTCAAAGGTCAGTGTCACACAATATACCCATGTAACAAACCTTCACATGTACCCCCTAATCTAAAATAATAATGAAGCATTTTCATAGAGAAAAAAACTATAATAATGTACAAAAAATTTTCTAGGGGATGGAATAAAGAGTGACTTTTCATTTTTCCCTTACATATTTCATAGTGATTAAGGGGATTTTTTTGGCCTATATGACTTTTAAAATAAAATACAATTTGGTGAGAAATATGCATAGGCATGGCTGCTAAGAAATAGTAGCCATCACTAAGCCTTTGGTAAGGTCCCAGGAGATCCAATGCCGAGGGCAAAGGTCAGTGGAAATGGGAGGAAATTCCTCCTGTAACTTGGTGCTTTCATTTAGTGGTAGAATGAAGTAGCTCTGGAAAAAGGGAAAAAGATATATTGATAAAACTGTCAGAGTGGTATGTTTTAAAACAACTGGGGAAAGAAAATGGCTCAGATGCTTCGCTAGGAATGAAGTCGGGAAAACCTTGCCAGGAAGCAACCAAACCAATTCAAATAAACTTTAATCCATGCCAGCAACCTGGGTCACACAATAAATCAAACTGAACCTAGCGTATCACACTGAAGTCAACCACCTTATAACTATCAGATAAGGTAATAGGAGGTAAACTTGAGTTTATAAAAGGCAGAACTTATTTCTGGGGCTATGTATAAATGAAGAGAGATTTTTTTTAAATCATGTTGCAAAATATTCCCATAACTCTACAACTAATATCAGGAAATTGAATCTGGTATCTTTTTGCTCTAGGAGAAGGGAAATCTCTCATTAAAGACTCTTTCCCAAGTCCTCTAAGCTCATTGGAATATGGAATCCTGTCACCTGCTAGAGAAAAGTTTCCAAAACATGTATTTCCAAGCTTCTTATGCTTACAACATGCAAAAACATTTTTATGCCTTGGGGGGCATTTCCATCTTGGACTTGCAGAGAGAAAGCAATAACTGCACCTGCTAATGTTCACAGCATATTTAAACTTGCTGTGAAATTCTAAATAACTTGGATCACCAATAGTGAGTTAAAGGTCTATCCAACAATGCATGATGAAGCCAGTCTTGAATCCTCTAATCTACTAATTTATTTGAAAAATTGTACATAAAATAGAAGCCAGCATGTTATTTATTTTTACTACTCAGTCAAAACAACAACAGCAACAACCCAGGTTTATTGTAGTTGGTCCACATGTCAAGTTACTTCCAGCAAAAATATGCATCGTTGAGGAAAGCCAATAACCAACATAACTGGAAAATATCACTCCCTACAATGTTCAGTAGAAAAAAGAAAGCAGTTTTAAAGATTTATCTTCCCATTACATCCTCCAAAGAAAAAACTTTAAATATTATTTTATTTATACAAATAACATCTGTGTCAGGCAATTTTCTAAATGCTTTAGAAATATTATCTTACTTAATAGTGGTAATAAACCCAATGAAGTAGATACTATTAATATCTGCATTTAATAGATCAGGAAAATTAAAGCCCAGAGAGATTAGTTACTATCAAAAGTATACATAGTCTGCCTGGGCTCAGAATTAAAAGAAAAACTTCAGAGAATGTGTCTGAAAGGTGTTGTTTGGGTTTCTATAGAAACAGATTCCAAGATAAGGGTTTGAGTATTTATTGGAGAGGTACTGGGAAAATCAGTAAGGGAGAGATATAAAGAAAAAAAAGGCCAATAAGAGTACATTATTAAGCCAGCTACTGCAGTGGGTCCCTGGAGTTGATTCCTGCAAGGACATTCTAAGCAATGGAGTAAAATACACATCTCAGAATTATCTCACTCAAGAGACGTGGGTACAAGAGTATTTGTACACCAACTCTCAAGAAACACTGATTGAGGATCACTTCCAGAGCATGGGGTAACATATCCCTTGAAATTCCAGTCTATCATGCACAAGGGCAAAGCAGCCTTTGGTGATTCTACAAAAAGCCCCCATGTACAGAGAGGCAGATACTAACAGAAGTTCACCAGAATACAGTAAAATAGTTAAAACCCAAAAGATGTGGGTAGGGCACTGACAATGCCTTCAACAGTTCACCCTTTGCTTTGTGCAGTTCTAACTGTGCCCCACGTTAAATTCATTCCTATAAGTAACTGCTCTTCAATCCAGTGATCATTCAGAATTTCGAAACAAATGGGTTTAACAAAATTAGGAGGATTAATGGGACAAGCTACAAACTCAATGCTGTAATTGACCATGATCTTGATCATCTGTCCTTCTCAACTTTGGTTCGTGCTTCTGTTCATCTTGATTGCTAGCCTGTAGGGAAACCCCATATTTTATTCCTGAGGGGTCTGAGCCCATGGTTACCACTCCCTATCAGGTCACTGTTTCTCCAAAGGCCCAATTACAGCTATTACTGGACATGGAAGTATCAAGTGGAGTCCTGGTAGAGTTTCTGGTTTTTAGGAATACTCCTGCCTGCCCACTCCTCTTGATAGTCAAGTCAATTACTCAGCAATTGCTGGTCAACTGGCAGGAAGAGCCAAAGTGACTGGGTGGTAGCTAAATTTTAGTGTAGTGAAACCTTACTGTATACTCTAGTAGAAAAATCTTTCCACTTGACTTTAGAATCTCTAGACTGACAGAGGCTGCAGTTGCAGTGATGGGAAGCAAATCATCCAAGTGCATTACTAGGACTAATGGTAAGCAGGGCCACTCATACTTGTGCCCACTGACTCCTCACCTCATGCATTTTGTCTTTAGTCCAAACTATCCATCTTAAAGAGTAACAGTACTATCCCAAAAGGTGAGGGAGACAGTAGGAGTGTTCCACCACAGCAAAGAGGGGAAGTATTTAATCACCGGTGTTGTTCAGAATTGCTGGTGATAATAAAAAGGAGACCGGGGTGGAGGGGGGTTCCAAGATGGCCAAATAGGAACAGCTCCAGTCTACAGTTCCCAGCATGAGCAACGTAGAAGACAGGTGATTTCTGCATTTCCAAATGAGGTACTGGGTTCATCTCACTGGGGTTTGTCGGACAGTGGGGGCAGTACAGTGGGTGCAGGCCACTGAGCATGAGCCAAAGCAGGATGAGGCATCACCTCACCCGGGAAGTGCAAGGGGTCAGGGAATTCCTTTTCCTAGCCAAGGGAAGTGGTGACAGATGGCACCTGGAAAATCAGGTCAATCCTACCCTAATAATGCGCTTTTCCAATGGTCTTAGCAAAGGGCACACCAGGAGATTATATCCCATGTCTGTCTCAGAGGGTCCCATGCCCATGGAGCCCTGCCCATTGCTAGCACAGCAGTCTGAGATCGAACTGCAAGGTGGCAGCAAGGCTGGGGGAGGGGCGCCTGCCATTGCTGAGGCTTGAGTAGGTAAACAAAATGGCTGGGAAGCTAGAACTGGGTGGAGCCCACCACAGCTCAAGGAAGCCTGCCTGCCACTGTAGACTCCACTTCTGGGGGCAGGGCATAGCTAAACAAAAGGCAGCAGAAACCTCTGCAGACTTAAATGTCCCTGTCTGACAGCTTTGAAGAGAGTAGTGGTTCTCCCATCACAGAGTTTGAGATCTGAGAATGGACAGACTGCCTCTTCAAGTGGGTCCCTTGACCCCTGAGTAGCATAACTGGGAGGCACCCCCCAATAGGGGCAGGCTGACACCTCACATGACCGGGTACCCCTCTTAGATGAAGCTTCCAGAGGAACAATCAGGCAGCAACATTTGCTGTTCAGCAATATTCACTGTTCTGCAGCCTCCATTGCTGATACCCAGGCAAACAGGGTCTGGAGTGGACCTGCAGCAAACTCCAACAGACCTGCAGCTCAGGGTCCTGACTGTTAGAAGGAAAACTAACAAACAGAAAGGGCATCCACACCAAAATCCCGTCTGTACGTCACCGTCCTCAAAGACCAAAGGTAGACAAGACCACAAAGATGGGGAAAAAACAGAGCAGAAAAGCTGAAAATTCTAAAAAGCAGAGTGCCTCTCCCCCTCCAAAGGAAAGCAGCTCCTCGCCAGCAATGGAACAAAGCTGGATGGAGAATGGCTTTGATGAGTTGAGAGAAGAAGGCTTCAGACGATCGGTAATAACAAACTTCTCCGAGCTAAAGGAGGAAGTTTCAACCCATTGCAAGGAAGCTAAAAACCTCGAAAAAAGATTAGACAAATGGCTAACTAGAATAACCAGTGTAGAGAAGTCTTTAAATGACCTGATGGAGCTGAAAACCATGGCACGAGAACTACGTGATGAATGCAAAAGCTTCAGTAGCCAATTCGATCAACTGGAAGAAAGGGTATCAGTGATTGAAGATCAAATGAATGAAATGAAGCAAGAAGAGAAGTTTAGAGAAAAAAGAGTAAAAAGAAATGAAAAAAGCCTCCAAGAAATATGGGACGATGTGAAAAGACCAATTCTACATCTGATCGGTGTACCTGAAAGAGACGGTGAGAATGGAACCAAGTTGGAAAACACTCTGCAGGATATTATCCAGAAGAACTTCTCCAACCTTGCAAAGGAGGCCAACATTCAAATTCAGGAAATACAGAGAATGCCACAAAGATACTCCTTGAGAAGAGCTCCCCCAAGACACGTCATTATCAGATTCACCAAAGTTGAAATAAAGGAAAAAATGTTAAGGGCAGCCAGAGAGAAAGGTCGAGTTACCCTCAAAGGGAAGTCCATCAGACTAACAGCTGATCTCTTGGCAGAAACACTACAAGCCAGAAGAGAGTGGGGGCCAATATTCAACATTCTTTTTTTTTTTTTTTTTTTTTTTTGAGACGGAGTCTCGCTCTGTCGCCCAGGCTGGAGTGCAGTGGCGCAATCTCGGCTCACTGCAAGCTCCGCCTCCTGGGTTCACACCATTCTCCTGCCTCAGCCTCCCAAGTAGCTGGGACTACAGGCGCCTGCTACCACGCCCGGCTAATTTTTTGTATTTTTATTAGAGACGGGGTTTCACCGTGTTAGCCAGGATGGTCTTGATCTCCTGACCTCGTGATCCACCCGCCTCAGCTTCCCGAAGTGCTGGGATTACAGGCGTGAGCCACCGCGCCCGGCTTCAACATTCTTAAAGAAAAGAATTTTCAACCCAGAATTTCATATCCAGCCAAACTAAGCTTCATAAGTGAAGGAGAAATAAAATCCTTTACAGACAAGCAAATGCTGAGAGATTTTGTCACCACCAGGCCTGCCCTACAAGAGCTCCTGAAGGAAGCACTAAACATGGAAAGGAACAACCGGTACCAGCCACTGCAAAAACATGTCAAATTGTAAAGAAGAAACTGCATCAACTAATGAGCAAAATAACCAGCTAACATCATAATGACAGGATCAAATTCATACATAACAATATTAACCTTAAATGTAAATGGGCTAAATGCTCCAATTAAAAGACACAGACTGGCAAATTGGATAAAGAGTAAGGACCCATCAGTGTGCTGTATTCAGGAGACCCATCTCACGTGCAGACACACACATAGGCTCAAAATAAAGGGATGGAGGAAGATCTACCAAGCAAATGGAAAACAAAAAAAGGCAAGGGTGGCAATCCTAATCTCTGACAAAAAAGACTTTAAACCAACAAAGATCAAAGGAGACAAAGAAGGCCATTACATAATGGTAAAGGGATCAATTCAACAAGAAGAGCTAACTATCCTAAATATATATGCACCCAATACAGCAGCATCCAGATTCATAAAGCAAGTCCTTAGAGACCTACAAAGAGACTTAGACTCCCACACAATAATAATGGGAGAACTTAACACCCCACTGTCAACATTAGACAGATCAATGAGACAGAAAGTTAATAAGGATATCCAGGAATTGAACTCAGCTCTGCACCAAGCGGACCTAATAGACATCTACAGAACTCCCCACCTCAAATCAACACAATACAATTCTTCTCAGCACGACTTCGCACTTATTCCAAAACTGACCACATAGTTGGAAGTAAAGCACTCCACACCAAGTGTAAAAGAATAGAAATTATAACTAACTGTCTCTCAGACCACAGTGCAATCAAACTAGAACTCAAGATTAAGAAACTCACTCAAAACTGCCCAACTACATGGAAACTGAACAACCTGCTCCTGAATGACTACTGGGTACATAACAAAATGAAGGCAGAAATAAAGATGTTCTTTGAAACCAATGACAACAAAGACACAACATACTGGAATCTCTGGCACACATTTAAAGCAGTGTGTAGAGGGACATTTATAGCACTAAATGCCCACAAGAGAAAGCAGGAAAGATCCAAAATTGACACCCTAACATCACAATTAAAAGCACTAGAGAAGCAAGAGCAAATACATTCAAAAGCTAGCAGAAGGCAAGAAATAACTAAGATCAGAGCAGAACTGAAGGAGATAGAGACACAAAAACCCCTTCAAAAAATCAGTGAATCCAGGAGCTGGTTTTTTGGAAGGATCAACAAAATTTATAGACCACTAGCAAGACTAATAAAGAAGAAAAGAGAGAAGAATCAAATAGATGCAATAAAAAATGATAAAGGGGATATCACCACTGATCCCACAGAAATGCAAACTACCACTAGAGAATACTATAAACACCTCTATGCAAATAATCTAGAAAATCTAGAAGAAATGGATAAATTCCTGGACACATACACCCTCCATGACTAACCCAGGAAGAAGTTGAATCCCTGAATAGACCAATAACAGGCTCTGAAATTGAGGCAATAATTAATAGCCTACCAACCAAAAAAAGTCCAGGACCAGATAGATTCACAGCCGAATTCTATCAGAGGTACAAGGAGGAGCTGGTACCATTCCTTCTGAAACTATTCCAATCAACAGAAAAAGAGAGAATCCTCACTAACTCATTTGATGAGGCCAGCGTCATCCTGATACCGAAGCCTGGCAGAGACACAACAAAAATGAGAATTTTAGACCAATATCCCTGATGTATACCGATGCAAAAATCCTCAATAAAATACTGGCAAACTGAATCCAGCAGCACAACAAAAAGCTAATCCACCATGATCAAGTGGGCTTCATCCCTGGGATGCAAGGCTGGCTCAACATACACAAATCAATAAACGTAATCCAGCATATAAACAAAACCAAAGAAAAAAACCACACGATTATCTCAATAGATGCAGAAAAGGCCTTTGACAAAATTAGACAGCCCTTCATGCTAAAAACTCTCAATAAATTAGGTATTGATGGGACATATCTCAAAATAATAAGAGCTATTTATAACAAACCCACAGCCAACATAATACTGAATGGGCAAAAACTGGAAGCATTCCCTTTGAAAACTGGCACAAGACAGGGATACCCTCTCTCACCACTCCTATTCAAAATAGTGTTGGAAGTTCTGGCCAGGGCAATCAGGCAGGAGAAAGGGTATTCAATTAGGAAAAGAGGAAGTCAAATTGTCCCTGTTTGCAGATGACATAATTGTATATTTAGAAAACCCCATTGTCTCAACCCAAAATCTCCTTAAGCTGATAAGCAACTTCAGCAAAGTCTCAGGATACAAAATCAATGTGCAAAAATCACAAGCATTCTTATACACCAATAACAGACAAGCAGAGAGCCAAATCATGAGTGAATTCCCATTCACAATTGCTTCAAAGAGAATAAAATACCTAGGAATCCAACTTACAAGGGATGTGAAGGACCTCTTCAAGGAGAACTACAAACTACTGCTCAACGAAATAAAAGAGGACACAAACAAATGGAAGAACATTCCATGCTCATGGATAGGAAGAATCAATATCATGAAAATGGCCATACTGTCCAAGGTAATTTATAGATTCAATGCCATCCCCATCAAGCTACCAATGACTTTCTGCACAGAACTGGAAAAAACTCCTTTAAAGTTCATATGGAACCAAAAAGAGCCCTCACTGTCAAGTGAATCCTAAGCCAAAAGAACAAAGCTGGAGGCATCACACTACCTGACTTCAAACTATACTACAAGGCTACAGTAAAGAAAACAGCATGGTACTGGTACCAAAACAGAGATATAGACCAATAGAACAGAACAACAGAGCTCTCAGAAGTAATACCACACATCTACAACCAACTAATCTGTGACAAACCTGACAAAAACAAGAAATGGGGAAAGGATTCCCTGTTTAATACATGATGCTGGGAAAACTGGCTAGCCATATGTAGAAAGCTGAAACTGGTTCCCTTCCTTACACCTTATACAAAAATTAATTCAAGATGGATTAAGGACTTAAATTTAGACCCAAAACCACAAAAACCCTAGAAGAAAACCTAGGCAATACCATTCAGGACATAGGCATGGGCAAGGACTTCATGTCTAAAACACCAAAAGCAATGGCAACAAAAGCCAAAATTGACAAATGGGATCTAATTAAACTAAAGAGCTTCTGCACTGCAAAAGAAACTACCATCAGAGTGAACAGGCAACCTACAGAATGGGAGAAAATTTTCGCAATCTACTCATCTGACAAATGGCTAATATCCAGAATCTACAATGAACTCAAACAAATTTACAAGAAAAAAACAAACAACCACATCAAAAAGTGGGCGAAGGATATGAACAGGCACTTCTCAAAAGGAGACATTTATGCAGCCAACAGACACATGAAAAAATGCTCATCATCACAGGCCATCAGAAAAATGCAAATCAAAACCACAATGAGATACCATCTCACACCAGTTAGAATGGTGATCATTAAAAAGTCAGGAAACTACAGGTGCTGGAGAGGATGTGGAGAAATAGGAACACTTTTACACTGTTGGTGGGACTGTAACCTAGTTCAACCATTGCGGAAGACAGTGTGACGATTCCTCAAGGATCTAGAATTAGAAATACCATTTGACCCAGCCATCCCATTACTGGGTATATACCCAAAGGATTATAAATCATGCTGCTATAAAGACATATGCACACGTATGTTGATTGCGGCACTATTCACAATAGCAAAGACTTGGAACCAACCAAAATGTCCATCAATGATAGACTGGATTAAGAAAATGTGGCACATATACACCATGGAATACCATGCAGCCATAAAAAGAATGATTTCATGTCCTTTGTAAGGATATAGATGAAGCTGGAAACCATCATTCTGAGCAAACTATCGCAAGGACAGAAAACTAAACACTGCATGTTCTCACTCATCAGTGGGAATTGAATAATGAGAACACATGGACACAGGAAGGGGAACATCACACATCGGGGCCTGTCGTGGGGTGGCGGGAGGTGGGAGGGATAGCATTAGGAGATATACCTAATGTAAATGACGAGTTAATGGGTGCAGCACACCAACATGGCACATGTATACATATGTAACAAACCTGCACGTTGTGCACATGTACCCTAGAACTTAAAGTATAATTTTAAAAAAGCAGACAATAAATACTGTAGGCTTTGCAGTGCACATGGTCACTATTGCAACTATACAATTTTGTTGTTGGAGCAAAGCAGCCATACACAATACATATATGAGCATAGTTGTTTTGCGATAGAACTTTATTTACAAAACAGGATTTGGATTTGCTTTAGTTTGCCAATTCCTGGATTAGGCAATGAAGATAAATGGCTACTAACATCATAGAATGATAGCCAACCAGGCAATAGTTGCCTCTTTTTTTCTTTATTTCTTCTAAAAGAAAAAAATATCGGATACATGTGCAGAACGTGCAGGTTTGTTACATAGGTATACGTGTGCCATGGTGTTTTGCTGCACTTATTGACCTCTCCACTAAGTTCCCTCCCCTCAACCCCCACCCCTGAATAGGCCCTGGTGTGTGTTGTTCCCCTCTCTGTGTGTATAGGTTCTCAATGTTCAACTCCCACTTATGAGTGAGAATACGTGGTGTTTGGTTTTCTGTTCCTGTGTTAGTTTGCTGAGGATGATGGTTTCCAGCTTCATCCATGTCCCTGCAAAGGACATGAACCCACTCCTTTTTATGGCTGCATAGTATTTCATGGTGTATATGTACCACATTTTCTTTATCCACTCTATCATTGATGGGCATTTGGGTTGGTTCCATGTCTTTGCTATTGTAAATAGTGCTGCAATAAACATAGGTGTGCATGTGTCTTTATAGTAGAATGATTTGTGTTCCTTTGGGTATATACCCAGTAATGGGATTGCTGCACCAAATGGTATTTCTGGTTCTAGATCCTTGAAGAATCATCATACTGTCTTCCACAATGGTTGAACTCATTTACATTCCCACCAACAGTGTAAAAGCATTCCTATTTCTCCACAGCCCCGCCATCATCTATTGTTTCCTGGCTTTTATTAATCACCATTCTGACTGACGTGAGATGCTCTCATTGTGGTTTTGATTTACAGTTCTCTGATCATCAGTGATGTTGAGCTGCTTTTTTCATGTTTGTTGCCCATGTAAATGTCTTCTTTTGAGAAGTGTCTCTTCATATCCTTTGCCCACTTTTTGATGGGGTTGTTTGATTTTTTTCTTGTAAATTTGTTTAAGTTCCTTGTACAGTCTGGATATTAGACCTTTGTCAGATGAGTAGATTGGAAAATTTTTCCCTCATTCTGTAGGTTGCCTGTTCACTCTGAGGATAGTTTCCTTTGCTGTGCAGAAGGTCTTTAGTTTAATTAGATCACATTTGTCAATTTTGGCTTTTGTTGCGATTGCTTTTGGCATTTTAGTCATGAAGTCTTTCTCATGCCTATGTCCTAAATGGTATTGCCTAGGTTTTCTTCTAGGGTTTTTATGGTTTGGGATTTTACATTTAAGTCTTTAATCCATCTTGAGTTAACTTTTGTATAAGGTGTAAGAAAGGGGTCCAGTTTCAGTTTTCTGCATATGGCTAGCCAGTTTTCCCAGTATCATTTGCTGAATAGGAGATCCTTTCCCCATTGCTTGTTTCTGTCAGGTTTGTTAAAGATCAGATGGTTGTAGATGTGTGGTGTTATTTCTCAGGTCTCTGTTCTGCTCCATTGGTCTATATGTCTGTTTTGGTACCAGTACCATGCTGTTTTGGTTACTGTAGCCTTGTAGTATAGTTTGAAGTCAGGTAGTGTGATGTCTCCAGCTTTGTTCTTTTTGCTTAGGAGTGTCTTTGCTATATGAGGTCTTCTTTGATTCCATATGAAATTTAAAATGCCTACATCAGAAAGCTAGAGAGATCCCAAATCAACACCCTAACATCACAATTAAAAGAGCTAGAGAGACAAGAGCAAACTAATCCAAAAGCTAGCAGAAGATAAGAAATAACTAAGATCAGAGAAGAATTGAAGGAGATGGAGACACAAAAACCCTCCAAAAAAATCATTGAATTCAGGAGGTGGTTTTTTGAAAAGATTAACAAAATAGATAGACCACTACCAAGACTAATAAAGAAGACAGACAAGAATAACATAGACACAATAAAAAATGATATAGGGGATATCACCACTGACCCCACAAAAATACAAACTACATCAGAGAATACTATAAATGCCTCTATGTAAATAAACTAGAAAATCTAGAAGAAATGGACAAATTCCTGGACGCATACACCCTACCAAGACTAAACCAGGAAGAAGTCAAATCCCTGAATAAACCAATAACAAGCTCTGAAATTGAGGCAGTTTAATTAATAGCCTACCAACCAAAAAGAAAAAAAAAGGCCCAGGATCAGACGGGATTCACAGCTGAATTCTACCAGAAATACGAAGAGATGCTGGTAGCATTCCTTCTGAAACTATTCCAAACAATTGAAAAGGAGAGATTCCTCCCTAACTCATTTCATGAAGCTAGCATCATCTTGATACCAAGCTTCATCCCTGGGATGCAAGGCTCGTTCAACATACGCAAATCAATGAACATAATCCATCACACAAACAGAACCAAAGACAAAAACCACATGATTATCTCAATAGATGCAGAAAAGGCTTTTGATAAAATTCAACATCCCTTCATGTTAAAACCTATCAATAAACTAGGTATTGATTGAACATATCTCAAAATAATAAGAGCTATTTATGACAACCCCATGGCCACTATCATATTGAATGGGCAAAAGCTGGAAGCATTCCCTTTAAAAACCGGTACAAGACAAAGATGCCCTCTCTCACCACTCCTATTCAGCATAGTATTGGAAGTTCTGGCCAAAAGTTGCATCTCAATGAAAGAGCACATCACCGCCTTCAGTCTGATCAAGTCTTGCAACCCAGCTGCCAGTTTACAGGAGATACACAGAAAGAAAGGCCACATGTTAAACAAGTTGAGTGTGAGAAACTCTACAGGTCAAACTACACAAGTTTGTCAATGTAAATTGCAAGGAAAAGATAAGAATGGAGGTGGGGAACTGCAGAAAAAAATTAAAATCTATACACAGATGAAATTATTTTAAAGGAGCAAGACATTAAATAACCAATTAAAGCACTTTTTTTAAAAAAAGAAAAGAACAAAAGTTCCTGAGCCTTCAGCATTACCTTTAAGCTTGTGTTGGCTTTTTAGGCATAGAAAATGAGGATGCATGTTTGTCTTTAGTACAGCAATTGAGGAATAAGCGTTCTGTTGATCTTACACCACCTGCAAGTTGCCCAGTCTTCATGCTGGACATTGGCTCTGGCACTAATGGAAGGTTGGTGGAATTTGTCTCTAGTGGCCTGTGGTCTCTCTTTCATTATCTCCTTCACACTTATCAAACCCTGTTTTGCTCATCATTTTCAATTGATTGTAAGATTTGATCATATTTCTTGAGGTTTTAGCTCTCTAAGCATACTTCTACTAAGTAAGTATTAGGAATTTTGGAAACTGAAAAGCCTGTATGATATAAATAGATTATGCTGTTCTTCCTATCTTGATAGCTAAGATGACTAAATAATATATAGTCTAAACAGGGTCACCTTTGAAAGTGAAATTTAATAATTATGTTAGGACACCAGGTACAAGACAGTAGTATCCCGACACACGGGAAAGCATAGCCACTCTAGTAGTAGTAGAAATATTTTTCGGCTGGGCGTGGTGGCTCACGCCTGTAATCCCAGCACTTCAGGAGGCCAAGTCGGGGGGACAATGAGATCACGAAATTGAGACCATCCCGGCCAACATGGTGAAATCCCGTCTCTACTAAAAATAGAAAAATTAGCCGGGTGTGGTGGCGTGTGCCTGTAGTCCCAGCTGCTCAGGAGGCTGAGGCAGGTGAATTGCTTGAACCTGGGAGGCGGAGGTTGCAGTAAGCTGAGATCACACCACTGCACTCCATCACGACAGAGAGAGACTCCGTCTCGAAAGAAAGAAAGAAAGAGAGAAAGAGAGAAAAAGAAAGAAAGAAAGAAAGAGAAAGAAAGAAAAAGAAAGAAAGAAAGAAAGAAAGAAAGAAAGAAAGAAAGAAAGAAAGAAAGAAAGAAAGAAAGAAAGAAAGAAAGAAAAGAAAGAAAGAAGAAAGAAAGAAATTTTTGAACTGGGAAGGGCTACTCATGGTATTTAAATTCTGTCAGTCAGGTAGCACATGCTGTATCTTCTCCTAGAGTTGGCTTTGCCCCTATGTTTTAAGCCGCTCTGCACTTGGTTGGTACGTAGCATTACTTCCAACAAACTACAGTACAAGCTTCTTGATGATTTCTCCACCACTTCTAAGCCAGCTCATGTGTAAATGCAAGTTTTTATAAATTGTGCAATTTTAATGCACTAAAACACATGTAGCAACTGGCTAGATATTGTACAAGATGTTTCTTCACCTGTCTGGTTATGTTTACTCATTTTTAAAACGAAGGGTTTGAACCAGAAGTGTTCAGAATACATTGTAACTTCATATTTTCAATCTGAGTGCCATGTGTAAGTGCACAAATTCATGCACATCTTTTGTTAAGAAAGTGGATTTAAAATCAAGATGAATATGTCAAAAGCAAAGACATAGCAACATTGATAATCACAAAAATGATGTTTTTCCATATGTGGTACTACAGAACTCATCTATTAATAGTCTAGCAAATGTGAGTTTGTCTACCTTATTCTTTAACATTCCTAGAGAAAGTGCTGCTGCAGCATCATTCCAGTAACAGGAGACCCTTATTGCCATAAAGTTCTAGTCCTTTTCAATTTGAGTTATTTCCTCTAAGAATAGGATACTGCTGGGAATTCAGAAAGGGACAAGTAGACTGTAACTCAAGAGTTTAAAATACCTCTTCAGGGTTAGCTATTTCTCTTAACCTTGTAGTCACTTCCCTTTACTTTTTCATTTTCCATTGCTAAGGGCCATGGCAATGTCCAAGGGGCCTACAGTTGAGAAGTTCTAATTGGCTCTTTTCTTGTAACAACACCCAAAGGAAAACAGCAATTGACTTTTCGAGAGGTTATTGGTGTGATGCTGCAAGTTCTGAGTCCCAGGATGAGAAAGTGTAAGACTCATTGATTTAAACCCATAGCTAGCATTTACTAAGTTCTGTAAAATGCAGCAGGCAGCCATCTCTGCCTTGGGTGTTGACAGGAGTCTAAATCAGATAGACAAGTGAGACCCAGAAATCTAATGAGACCAAGTGACAAATGCAGGATGAGAAACTGAAATGAAGCTTAGCATCCAATACTGACTTCAAAAACAAAAAGTAACCCAGAATAGCCCTCCCTAAAGATGCAGAAAGGCATCTGAGGCTGTAAATAAGAGCTTAGTTTCCAAACAGCATCTTCTTTGCCAGAGAAACAATATATGCATTCACATAAACTCTGCACACAGGGCCTGACTTCCCAACTGCTCAGTTCCAAGCTTTGGAGTAACTGCCTCAGGCAAGTCTTGATCACCACTATCTCCCAAAGTAAGTGACTTTTTTTGTATTGGTGGGAAAGGGGTGGAAAAAATGGGAGGAAAAAAAGAGCAGAAATTGTTTTTTGGCCTCTTTCTTACATCCTTCTTTCTCTTGTTCCTTTAGAAACAGTTTAATAAAGATAGAAGAACATTGTAAACAAATGTCTCACCATTGCACACATACTGCTTTTATAGATAGTCCTTATCACATTATATTCTAAGTTGGGATCTGTGTGTCTCCTTATGGTAGCTTGAATGCATGAGTGGTTTAAGTGCCCTCCCTGAACCCACTTCCTTTGCAATATGACTTTGCATCTCCTCTCTTAAAGAGGTGAATGTATTCCCTACCTGCTCCACCCCTACCTTGCATCGAGGCCAGCCTTTTGACTCTTTATTTATTTTTTTGTCAATAGAATATGATAGAAATGATTTTGTTCCAGTTCTGAGACTATTCCTCAAGAGGTCTTGTTCACTGCCATCACTGTCTCAAAACCTCACCATCATGTGATCTAGGCCAGGATAGCCTGCTCAAGGAGGAAAGACCACATGACAAAGATTTGAGTTGTCTAATCTCTCCTTGCCAAGACCCTCCTAGACTTGCTAGTCCCCAGTCATGTTGCTTGCTGACAACAGGTGAATGAGTAACTCACACTGAGACCAGTTAGGTGTGGCCCAGACAAGGAAAACTGCTCATTTGACCCACAGACTCACAAATTAAATAAATGTTTATGATTATATGTTACTGAGGTTTTCTGGTTGTATGGCCATACATAATTAATACAACTCCCTCCCAAACTTGTTCACACAGAAGAGATCTGAATTCAGTCATGCACCACAGAATGAGATTTTGGTCAACAACAGACCACATATACAACAGTGGTCCCATAAGATTATAGTGGAGCTGAAAAATCCCTACCACCTAGCGACGTCATAGCCAGCCTAACGTTGTAGTGCAAGGCATTATTCACATGTTTGTGGTGATGCTGGTGTAAACAAACCTACTGCGCTTCCAGTCATATAAAAGTATAGCACATACAATTATATACTGTACATGATACTTGACAATAATAATAAACGACTATGTTACTGGTTTATGTATTTACCATACTAAACTTTTTATTATAATTTTAGAGTGTACTCCTACTTATTAAAAAGTTAATTGTAAAACAGCCTCTGGAAAGTCTTTCAGGAGACGTTCCAGAAAAAAGGCATTGTATTGAAGACCTTCCGGTGGGACACGATGTGGAAGTGGAAGACAGTGATATTGATGATTCTGATCTTGCACAGGCCTAGACTGATGTGTGTGTTTGTGTCTTAGCTTTTAACAAAATAGTTCAAAAAGTAAAAACAAAATTTTTCATAGAAAAATTAATAGAATAAGTATATAAAGAAAGAAAATATTTTTGTACAGCCATACAATATGTTTGTGTTTTGAGATGTGTTATTTCAAAAGAATCAAAAACTTTTTAAAAATTAAAGTTTGTAGAGTAAAAAATTTACAGTAAGCTAGGGTTAATTTATTATTAAATAAAGAAAATATTTATTATAAATTTAGTACAGCCGCCAGCCAGGTGCTGTGGCTCATGCCTGTAATCCCAGTACTTTGGGAGGCAGAGGTGGGCGGATCTCCAGAGGTCAGGAGTTCGAGACCAGCCTGACCAACATGGTGAAACCCCATCTCTACTAGATATACAAAAAATTATCTGGGCGTGGTGGTGTGCACCTGTAATCCCAGCTACTCAGGAGGCTGAGGCAGGAGAATCACTTGAACCCAGGGGCAGAGGTTGCAGTGAGCCAAGATCACACCACTGCACTCCAGCCTGGGCGACAAAGCTAGACTTAGTCTCAAAAAAATAAAATTAGTACAGCATAAATGTACAATGTTTCTAAAGTATACAATAGTGTACATAACAGCCTAGGCCTTCACAGTCACTCACCATTCACTCATGGACTCACCCACCATTCACTCATGGATTCACCCACAGCAACTTCCAGTTCTGCTAGGTCCATTTAGCCCAATACAGGTGTACCATCTTTTAAAATCTTTCATGCCATACTTTTACTGTACCTTTTCTATGTCTAGATACACAAATACCTAACCATTATGTTACAGTTGTCTACAGTATTCAGTTCAGGTTTGTAGTATAGGAGCACACAGCTACCTTGTAGGTTCATGTAAGTGCACTCTATGATGTTCATACAACATGCCTAACAATGCATTTCTCAGAACTTGTCTCCATCATTAAGTGACACATAATATATCTGACAGATGAATTCACAAATCAACAATTCAGTGAATAAATGAAAACAATACCATAAAGTGGATATGATGTTTAAATAGATTCTATGTCATTAAATACAGAACAACGGTGAAATACCATCTTATGTTTTCCTAACTGGAAATTCTTCCTCTGCCTCAGCCCATCTTAGCATACTAAGTCAGTGTGTAGGCCATTCTACTGAGCCCATGCCTCTACTGAGCCAGCTGCGTCCATGCCATCAGTGAGCCAAGGTCACTTACACCAACAGCACAAAAGCATGGTGCAGGGCCAAAGGGTGGCTGCCCATTACAGCGCCTGACGTGGCAACCGGATTAGCCGTGGTCGTTCACTGATGCTTCTGCCAAAGTAGAGGAAAAAAATAGGTAAACAAGTATTACTTGGAATGAAAGAAGGAAAAGTTTCCTCTCCCAGTATGCGTGTGTATATGTGTGTGTTTGTGTGTGTGTAGGCAGAGAAAGAGTGAGAGAGAGAAGACACATTGCCACACAACACATAAAAATTCCAGAAAACAAATAAAACCCTGTGATGGATACAATGGAATCTACAGTCAGGGAGAGGAGATGATAGTTGAGAAAACCTGTAACAGTGGACAGCAGGTATGGCTGCCTCAGAGTGCAGGTCGAAGGCCAGAGATTTAGAGAAAGAGGCTGTGAGCTGGAGGAGCTGGAGAAGACTGTGGAGAAGGGAACTCTCCCAAACATTAGAGGCCCAGCTCAATGTTGTTGAATCTTGAGGTGTAATTGGATGTCCAGATGGGGACACATTAAGAAGCACAGGCTTCAAGGTGAGACAACCATGGCCAATTTTCAGAGCAACTCTGTGGCTACTAAAAGATTAGAGTAGATGGTATGGACATATCTTTTTGTTCAGGGTTGAGAAGGAGTATTGGTAAAGAGGAGGATGCTGGAGTATGAATGATTGAGGCTTGAGGCTTTATTCTAAGGGTAATGTGTGTGGTGCCAGCAAGGCAAAATAAACTTAAGTGAGTCAAAAATAGGAAGTATCTAGACAGAGGCTGAATTTGTCATCCTATTTGGAGCTCAGCAAATCTTCAACAAACATGAACTAGACAAAATATTTTCCCCTTGAGATCTTAGAGTTATAGTGCATTTTCTTCCTTTTTAAACTCTCTGGAGTTGGTGAGACCTTCAAACCAATATTTACAAGGGATCACACTTTACACTTCATAACTTTGCAGGCTAGCAGCAGCAAGGGGAGGCGGCCTTTCCTTTATCCTCCCATTCCAACATAATAACTGATGTAATAGCTCAGGAGTCTTGGAGCTCACAGCTGCATTTTGGTTCACATTTCCTTCTGTCCCAGCTTGATGGTTCAAGCTTCATTCCTCCCTCCTGCCTCCCTGCTTCAAAGCACCCCCCACAAGCTAACTGCAAATGCCTACATTCCCTTTTTTTTTTTTTTTAACAGGAAGTGGGTGGCTGGCTCACCAGAATGTTCATTGTATTACTTCATTCATGAGTTGGAAGTAAAGGCTTCCTCTTATCTCTCACCAGCTTCTAAACAAGATGGCCAAACGCTGTTTAAGGGACCTCTTTCTTCCTCAGGGCTGCTCCCAGCGTTTGCTTCAATGCCTCTCGGTTTATAGCCTCCAAAGGAACTTCTTCATCAGATTTAAGGTATGCTATGTCACTCAGTGAACCAAACGAAAGCAGAATACAACTCACATTGATGTTTATGGTATTTTGTACTTAATGACTCTTAAACTACACTTCCTAAATTACTCTCATAAAAAAACTGAATTTGAAAAGCCGTTTTTCTCAACTGCCACTAATAGGCTTATCTCATTTTGCTCTGTTGCTCAATTGAGCATGACAGATTTAGCCAGTTTTTATCTTTTAAATTTTTTTTCTTTACTCCTGCTTTGCAACATAAATGTTTTGTCATTGTTTTTTTTTTTTTCATCTGAGGGCAAACTAAATTTCCAACTACCTCTGATAGTCTGATTTTTTAAATGTATCCTCCCAGTGTTTTTTGTTCTTTGTACATAGAAGCAGACTATAAGCCTGACAGTGGTTCCAAAGTTTGCAACAGATAGCTGATCTTTGGTTACTTGATCTGCCTTGATCTTCCTTGAACAAGGAAGGGCGATTTGTTCCTTTTTGCCTAAAAATGGGAACTGAATATGCTACTGATGTCAAGCAGTACTAAACCACAGCTAGAACAAGAGCAGTACATGTGTGCATATAAGATAAGGGCTTTGAGAATGCTAATATTTGGTCTATTTTCACTTAATGCCAGGAACATTCTGCAGTTAGGTATTATTCAGAAAGGTAACTCATGTAATAACTTTGCTCTGTGAGTCCTTTTATCTATAAGCCTCAGGCATTGTTCGTTAAGTCATCCAACACCAACAGCACTGACTGGACAAAGAAGCTGGGGCTTATAAGCCAAAGTACTAGTTTTATAAAAGGCTTATCCTAAGTGTACTTGTAAAACATGGTCTTCATTGAAGATCTGGGTTACATTAAAAAAAGAAAAAACAGAAAGGAAATAGAAACATTATTCTCTTAAAAAGACAAAATGGTATTTCAGAAGATGGTGAACGTTGTAGCTGAGAATTGACTCTCAAAACCAATATTCTTTAAATTTCAATCACATTTTCAAGTCCCTAAAGATGAGAACAAGCATGGCATGATGAAACACAAGACACAGACTACCCAGGGAGCTTATTCTTGCAAATCTCATAATGTAATGCATTCATTTCTTCATTTTCAAGACATTAACTGAGCAACTATCACATTTTAGGCAGTAAGCACAATGCTAAATGCTGAGGCTACTGGCATAGATGAGGCAAGATTTATATGCTCTTGGACTCACAGCCAAGTAGAGGAGATAGTCAAAAATAATTACGAGATTCAAAATGTCAACAAATGTAAATCATATATTAGTTCATTCTAGTGCTCTTTAACTTATTTAATAGTTTATTCATTCATTCAACATGTATGGAATCTGTGTTCCAAGCACTGTTCTTAAACATGAGAACATGAAGATGCATAAAAGCCTTAATCTTAAGGAGTTATCTTACAGTGAGAAACATGCCATTAACAAACATTACAGTGCAGAAACATTACAGTGCAGCATAAGATGTGCTATTAACAGTGATAGTCAGCCGAGCACGGTGGCTCACGCCTGTAATCCCAGCACTTTGGGAGGCTGAGGCGGGTGGATCACCTGAGGTCAGGAGTTCGAGACCAGGCTGGCTAACATGGTGAAACCCTGTCTACTAAAAATACAAAAAAATTACCTGCGCGTGGTGACACACGCCTATTCCCAGCTACTTGGGAGGCTGAGGAGAATTGCTTGAACCCAGGAGGCGAAGGTTGCAGTGAGCCGAGATTGTGCCATTGAACTCCAGCCTGGGCAACAGAGTGAGACTCTGTCTCAAAACAAAACAAAACAAACAAACAAACAAAACAGTGATAGTCACAGAAAGTAGAGCAAATGAGTCTGCCTGTGTGAAGTGAAAAGAACAGTAATGGCCATTCTTTTTTTCTGACGGATGGAAAACCCTAACCTGCAAAATAAATATTTTCTGCAGATGAAAAAAGGTGGGGAACTTTTATAGACCTAGCCATTCTTATTTATGAATGTGCTCATTCTCTTCCAACGTTTGGTTTATAACATATTTCAGGACTAAGATGACAATTTGGCCATACCATTCCTAATTTTGATGTTCTAAGATGTCAGTCATGGAACCAGCCAAAGATTGACTATATTTGTATAATAAGTAGATGTCAGGAAGAATGAGCCAGAGAACAGATTCAGGATTGAAATTGAGGTTTTCAATTTTAGAAATGGGATGGGCAAAGAGTTCAGTAACCATGCCTCACTTTTTTAAGGACAATGACACCAAATTACAAAAAGAAATGCATTTTATTTAGCTACTTTTATTATTTTGGGATGGGCAACCTGGTAGGAGAAAAGCCACCTTTTGAGTCTGTCACCTCCACATTAATTTGCTAAGAATATTTAGGGGTAAGGAGGCCCATCCCCTTTACTCACATTCCCTGAATGATGAGTCAAGGAGTAGCTTGTAGTAGTACAGCAGGGGGTGCAAGGGAAAGAAGGCAATTTCCTTTCTTATACAACTTTTCAGTTTATGTGGAATTTTAAATTGCTTAATTTTCAATAGTCTTATTATATAATTGATTTCTTTGTGCCTATTACTAATTATCTCCCTCAGTCTTCCAAGAGAGGTATAATACTTTTTCTGATACAGTGTAACAGGATGTTGTGACATAATAAAAAATATACATTTGGTTTCTGCCTCCTGTTCCTGCCACAGATCTCCTAAATCCCTTGGAATTTCCTGGGTAATAAGAGTGCCTTTATTCTAATAAGGCAACACTTGGCGGACTGCTGGATAACGTCAACATGAGGGCTGTTTTCCAGAAACACCAAGCCATAATTCAAACTGTGAGCTGGAGACTGGGTTAATAATTGGTCATGCCTACATGATGAAACCTCTATAAAAAATCCCTAGAAGGCAGGGCTTGGAGAGCTTCCAGGTTGGTAAATACATCCACAGGACAGGAGGGTGGCACACCCTGGCATCATGGGGACAGAGGCTCCTGTGCTCAGGACCTCGCCTTCACCTGGCTGTTCATCTGCATCTTTCATCATATCCTTTGTTATAAAGCAGTGAACATAAGTGAGTGTTTCCCTGAGTTTTGTGAGCCATCAGGGCAAAATATCAAACCTCAGGAGAAAGTCGTGTAAACCTTCCATTTGTAGCCAAGTTGGACAAATGTTATGGGTAATGTGGATATCCAAGCCATGCCACTGGCATCTGAAGTGGAGGGGTTGGGGTGGGGGCCCAGTCTTGTGGGACTGAGCCTTCAACCTATGGGGTCTGCACTAACTGCAAGGTAGATAGTACCGTAACTGAATTGTAGGACACATAAGTGGCATCCAGAGAGAACTGATTGCTGTGGGAAAAATATATCCCACACATTTGGTGTCAGAAGTGAAGTGTTGAGAGTAGAGGAAACAGTGAGTTTTTCCTCATTAACATTAAATTGGAATTTTCAGCTTTCACCACAATATATAATATATGAAATTCCAAAGAGAATTGTCAAACCAAAATGTAGATTTTCAAAGGAGCTATCAGAGAACCAGTTGGGCAGTTCCAAACCCACTGAAGAATACAAAAGGGTCCAAATATTGGAGATGAGAACAATTTGTTAAGAGGGGTGTGTGTTTACATGTGTTGCTAGACTGAGTTTCACCTTCTCCAAGGGGAGCAATGGAGTGCTATCTTTTGCAAAAAGGGCTTCACTTGGCCAATTTGGAGAGTTTGAGATAAGTCTCCTGGAGCTTGAGAGAGGGTAAGACTGGCATCTGACAGGCTTACTGGAGCAGGAGGGGCAACTGGTGAGCTCTTTGGGCAGTAAAGTATTTCTGGTGGAGGAGATGAGGACCTCAGGAGAGAGCTAGCTGGGGGCCACCTTTAGCTCTGTCCAAGAAGGACTTTCTGGAAGTGTAATGAGCCTCTAACCAAAATAGAGAGTGGATAGTGGTTCCCTAAACCCAGGGGCTGAGCACTGGGCTAGAGAGCTGCAGTTGTTGCAGCCAGATGAGCCCCACAGGGGGTGACCCTGCAGAGCCACCAAAGCAACCCAAAGAGGGAAAATCACCTGCAGACATCTGCCCATCTTACAGTATCAGAGCTAGCATAAACTTCCCTGCATCCTTTGCCTTTCTAGTCTCTGACTCCATTCCCATGGCAACAGCAATGACAACTTATAAGTAGCATATAAGTGGGCAAGAGGATAGAAAAATTACCTGCCCCTCTTCCACGGGAAGCAGCTGGTCCACTTCAGGTGAGCCATTGAGATGGGATATTAAACCAAATGCAGTTTTATTTATGGTCTGGAATTGGATAGTCTATTTGACATATTGAGAGTATATCTAAGATTGAAGCCTCAAATTCAAGGGCCCAAATTTTCAGTCTTTCTCTTTTCACTTTCATTTCTGCTTTCAAAATAGCCAAGTCTTTCTTAAGCTCATCCCTTTTTAGTAAGACTTTGCTGGAAACACAAGGTAAAGCCCATGACTGACTTTCCAAACCCTTTCCCAAGCCATAGGCTGACTAGAAACATGGTTTGCCTTCCAGGTCTCCAGAGGACAGTTTTGCTAGATGTGCTGTGATGGCAGGACAATAGAAGTATACTTTTTTACCACCTGACATGCCTGTTCTTGATTCACAGTTGACTATGCTGCAAGCGCCAAGCAGTGACTTAGAAACCCAGTCTCTTTCCACCTTAGGGTTCCACCATCATTAACATACAGCTTTTGGAGCCACTAGGTTCATTTCTGCATGAATCTGATAGGAGAAAAAACAAGAAGCCTCTTGTATCAAGATTTGTTATGAGCCATGGCCCTGAAGTGCCATGTCATTTCCTCTTACATGTGCATTGTCCAGAACTCAGTTACGTGGTCATGCAAAACTGCAAGAGAAGCTGGGAAACACTATGTTTGTGCAACAGAAGAAAAAGAAACAGGCTTGGTAAACAGCTAGTCTGTTTCTGCCTCCAGGGCTCTATAGCTTCTAGGAGTGAGCTCATTGGCTATGTAGACTTCTAGAAAATTTATTCATAAGAAAAATAGTAAAAAAAAAATCCCACCACTGAAAAATTATAAAGGGACGATGCAAGACAAAAATAGTATTTTGATTATCTTTGATTTGTTGGAAGTATAATTTTCAGCGATCAAATGTGCAGCACTGGGTAGTATCAGTTCTGTTTAGTTTGGAAACATACTACTTGAAGTTCTCTGGGCTAATTTTTCTGACCTGAACTGACTGTTCTCAGATTCATTACACAATTGTCATCCTGGGACTTCCCTGCACCATCGTTTAGATAGTCCCTTTATCCCTCTCCTGTCATGTAGCATCTTTTACTTGGATGCAGAGGCTTCCTCTTTTTGTTGGTCCTCTTTCTGATGAAGTACATAATAGTGTTCTGAGAAATATGAACAGAATGCACATTTTTTGAGATCCCACATATTGGAAAATATCATTCTACATTCACAGTTGATTGATAGCTTGGCTGAGCTTGTAATTCTGGGTTGTAATTCATTTCTCCTTACAAGTTTGAAGGGACTTCTCCATTGTTTGAGTACCATCTTTTGAATGTGACCTGTTATTTCTACCTGGCTACTTTTAGGGTTGTCTTTTTATCCTCACGGTTCTGAAATTTCATGTTGTTATGTGTTGATGCAGATTTTCTATCATTCATTTTTGGGCACTCAGATGGCTGTCAACCTAGAAATTCAAAGCTTTCAATACTCACAAGTTTTCCTACATTATTTCTTGAAGATTTTTTCCCCTCTCTCTCTGATTTTTATTCTCTTTCTTGAAAACATAATAGTTAAACATTTTGACCCTGATTTGGTCGACTGATTTTTTTAAAATATTTTCTTTCTTATCTGCTATGTCTTTCTCTTTTTGTTCTAATTTTCTGGAAGAGTCTTCACTTTATCTTTTGTATTTCTATTAAATTTTTTTACTTCTGCTGAAAATATTTTTCTTATGAATTTCTTATTCTTTTATTTTTATAGCTCCCTGTTATTGCTTCAGAAGTAAAATATATTTCCCGCATTCCCTAGGATATTTATCTTATCATTTTTTTCTTCTGTTCCTACACTGTCTTTACTTCCTCTGAGTTCCTTTCATCTTGCTCTTGGCTCTGACTTTCAAATGAGATGCTTTCTTCACATGTCTAGTGGTCCCTGTCTACCTATTCAAATTTATAACCAATCAGTAGCTCTGTCTGGGTGGCAGAACATTTGAATTGGTGGGCCTCATTGTAGGGTGATTAAAACCCAGAAATCTCAGAGTATGTAGATCTTTTCCCTTTAGCCAATCAACTACTCCATAGAGAAATCCCCTAATATACTGCCCATTGGACCTAAGCCACACCTACTCACTTTCTGTATGTTAAGAGGGAGAAAGGCTAAGGTTTATCAATGCACATTATTTAGATGTTTACTTAAGTCCCCTTTTATCAATATCACATCTTAGCTTTCATTCTACTGTTCATTCAAGATTCTTTCAAGACCAGCTTGAATGAATATGCTTTAATAAAAACACAGATTGCACTACAAAACCAAATAGTGTTAAATTTATATTATGCAACAGAATTGTCTGCAAGCTAAGTAGAAAAGGACATCTCCCCTTTATAGATGATTTTTTGGGTTATAAAAATATTATGAAGTAGTAATGATATATTTGCATGCCATCATCTACATTTTTCTTTCATTAACTTTGTCAAATTCTATTTTCAAAGAGCTTCGTTTGTCCTTTGAGGACAAATTCAACTTGTCAGGAAGCCAGCTTCAGGCAATGTCTTTCCCAGTGGCCTGCTGTATTGGTCCACATGAGATATGAAACAGAGACATCTAAAGGACATTTTAGGAACTGGAACATTAATATTTACTCTCCATCCTTTATGACTGATTCCCTTGGAAATGAGGTCTGTAGTTTATTATGAAGCTGGAAAACCTCACTTTGTAAAATTAAATTCAAAGCCACAATCATATGCCTTTTCTAACAAGATTCAAGAGAAGGCTAGAATCACCAACAGTTTTAAATGAAGAGTTATTTTAACAAAAAATATCAGAATTCATCTATTTGCCCTAAAATTATTGGAAGGAAATTGACTTAGAGTAAGCTATTTCTAGTAGTGTCACATTTTGATTTTTATTATATTTGTCCATAGTGTTACGTATAATATAGGTACCTAGTAAATAAAAATAAATAAGCAAGTTATTAAATGAACAATTAATTGATTAAAATCTGAATAAATGTAACTCAGGCATTTTTCTGACTGATTCCTCTTTAAATAGTAATTCCCAATACTCATCTTTTGGCTTGATCAGGCTTAGAGGAGTTATGACAGAATTATATGTGCAAATCTTAAATGTTAACATACACAATAATGGCATTTTTACCAGAAGCATTATTTTCCCAAATGGATAAGAAGTAATAATGAAATTTAAATCTTCTTTTCTAACAAAGGAATTGAGATAATATCTTCTTGTTCGACAGACTCTGAGTTGTTAAAAGCTTTGGTCTAAGCCATCTAATTGCCATAAAAAATTACTTTTCCTGGAAAGCTGGGGTCTAGTTCCAAGGCCACAGGAATGTCAGCTTCTTTAATGCAAAGTTTAAAAATAAATACAAGAAACAATTGCAAACCATATGACAGATTTTTTAAGGCATGTATACTTCAACTACTTCTGTGAATATTAATTTTTCCTTATGCCTTTTAAGTTCATAAGTACATGCTCGTCACTATCATACAAGACAGAGAAACAGAAAGAAAGAAACGGAAGAAGAAATATTCCAGATCTCTGTGTTGCCCACCATTCTGGGTGGTAAAATCTTAATTATGACAACACAAGTCCACGTGATAGAGGAACATATTAGAGGTCAGAGGTGCTTTGAAAACCAGCCAGTTTCACTATTCTTTTAAATTAAAGTAAGTTCAATTAATTCATGAAGCTATAATGTAAATTCAACCATCTAAGATTTCAACTAGCAAAGATGAGGAGAAAATCCCAAAATGACCACTAACATCTTGTTCAGAACTGGTCTGTTTTGAGACGGCTACATTTTCACCATGCTCTCAGGTGGCCTTTCCTCTGTGCACTCACAGAAAGAGAGAGAGCTCTGGTGTCCCTCTCTCTTCTTATAAAGACATCAATCCTACTGGATTAGTGCCCATACCTATGATCTAATTTAATCTTAATTACTCTCTTAAAAGCCCTATTTCCAAATACATACTGAGTCAGGGCTTCAACATATGAATTTTGTGGGGTTGCATTTCAGTCCATAACAAATATATAGGAGGCACGGGCTCAAACCTACAAGTACTTTTCTTCTTCTACTCCAGAAACAACTCCTTGAATTCCTCCTCTAGAATTGCTGCCCAGATGGTTTGGTAGACCATTAGAAATGTTAATATCCTAGTCCCAGAATTTTATATTATTCTCTGGGTTTCTAAATTATCTTACACTTGTATCAAATATAATTACATATTTTAAAGAACTTCTTAAATTCTGACCAAATTTATCCCAAACTTTTAAATGGATAGGACAAATTTTATGATTAAAAATTATTTTGAAAAATTTTACCTATTAATACTAATATTAATTTTTAAAATGTTATCTGTTAATAAAACAGAACTTCTTCTACTTAATATTAACCTAGAACTCCTAGTTCTATATAAACTTGAAATCAATAAAACTGCATTTCCTTTAAAATGTATTGTAACTCAGAATGTACACTATTTTAAGGTGACTCTTCCTAATCATTAATTTTCTTACATAATTTGTTTTGTGTGCTTTTTAAAACTATGATTGCCTATTCTGAATTAGAAACTCTTGAAAGATGTGTGATGGCCTATTTAACTCACTCTGCGTACTAACTAATAGAATTGTAGCTTAATATATGTTGTATCTAACAATTAAAGTTAATACAAGAGATTAAAGTGAGTAAGTCATCTAATTAGACATCCAATCTGTCCCCAATCTTACTAACATTTGTTTTCTTCATGTCCCTCACATCTACTCTTTAGCATTCTTCTTTCACATCTATGATCAAGGCCCCCATTAGTTAGACAAGGTTTTATGCCAGATCCTCTGGCATGAACCCCAAGCCATCCTGCACACATGGATCAAATCTAAATCTATATTGTATAATCTTTCTTCCCCTATGTCATTACACTACATGGCAATCTTCATTGGCTCCTCATGGCCTATAGGATAAATTCATGCTCTTGAGTCTGGCATCTGTCGTTCTCAATTGTTTGATTTCTCAGTTCACCTTCTTAACTTTATCCACATACCCACAGCTAAGAGTCCCCTAACCCCCTTCTTTCTGGCTGAGTCTACATATTTCATTGTCCCCCAAAACAAATTGTAATGGTAACTCAGGTGGTTCTTGAATTAAAAAACATTGTGGATCCAACAGATTGAGAGCAGTGCCTAAAAATTAACAGGATGTCAGCCCTTCTTCCTTCTCAGGTATCTATAAATATCCCAGATTTTTTAGTTCAAAGAAGGGAAGAAGTATGGAATTGCCTTATCAATCAGTAATTTCAGATGCCACCTGCATCCTGGCTTCCCTCTGCTTCAGATGTTGTGTTTACTATCTCTCTTGATTATCTTTTTAATCACTCCTTTCTGCCATGTTGAACCATTCCAAACCATCCCACCATGCCATTGGTCAAACACATTGCCTACCTTCTGTGTGGGCTCCCCACAGTTGGGACCGACCTGCTACACAGTGACGAATAACCCTGTGGTATCAGATGCCTTCATGACAGCTCCTCGGAGCTCCTCAGTGTCTCCCACCTCTGTGTCTCAGACTGGGAAAAACTCCTAGACCCCCAAGCATTCAATTTTTTACTAAGGCTAGCAAAGAAAAAAAAATCTCAGCAGAATGATTGGGATCCCTAGCTATATATTTTGTTCAGTTTTACAATATTCCCAGGGAACACAGATGCTCCAGGGGTCAGTCTCAGGGTAAGATCAAGTACAAACTGATGATATGCCCTGAATAGCTGAATGACTGTGCCACCAGTTTCCTTCTTTTCTTCCTTTCTTTCCCTCCTTTTCTTCCCCCATTTATTTTTCCTTCCTACCTTCCTTCCTTTCCTTCCTTCCTTCCTTCCTTCCTTCCTTCTTTCTTTCTTTCTGTTTCTTTTACAGGGTCTTGCTCTGCCTGGCCCCCATCAGGGCTCACTCCAACCTTGATATCCTGGCCTCAAGCAACCCTCCCACCTAAGCCCCCCAAGTGCCTAGGACAAGCACATGCAACCATGCCCAGCTAATTCTTTCTTAATTTTTAAAATAGATGAAGTTTTGCTATATTGCCTAGGTTGTTCTCAAACTCCTGGCCTCAAGTGGGATTACAGATGTGAACTGCCATGCCCAGACTCTTTCTTTTATTGCAGTAAAAAATATATATAAAACTTACCATTTCAACCATTTTTAAGTGTACACTTCAGTAATATTAAGTGTATTCCCAATGTTGTGCAGCAGATCTCAAGAACTTTTTTATCTTGCAAAACTAAAACCCTATATCCACTTAACACTAATTTTCTCTCCCACTTCCCAAGCCTTTTGCAATGACCTTTCTACTTTCTGCTTCTGTGATCTTGACTTCTTTATGTACCTCATGTAAGTAGATTCATACAGTATTTGTCCTTTTGTGACTGGTATATTTTGCTTCACACAATGTCTTTGAGATTCATCACTGTTTATAACATATTTTAGAATTTCCTTCCTTTTTAAGGCTGCACAACATTCCATTGTATGTACATATTACATTTTTTAATCCATTCATCTGTTGATAAACATTTGCGTTACTTCCATCTCTTGGCTATGGTGATGTAAGTAAAATGGCTGTTTAAACATCTCTTCAAGTTCTTGCTTTGAATTCTTTTGGATATATATCCAGAGTATAGTTGCTGTATCTATGGTAATTCTATTTTTAATGTTTTAAAGAACCTCTATACTGCTTTCCATAATGTCTTCTCTATTTTACATACCCACCAACAGGGCACAAGGATTCCAACTTCTCTGCATCCTCAGCAACATTTTTTATTTTCTATTTTTTTGATAGTGGCCATCTTAACGGGTGTGAGGTAATATCTTGTTATGGTCCTGGTTTGCATTTCTCTTATGTTAGTGATGTTGAGCATCTTTTCATATGCTTGTTAAATATTTGTATATCTTCTTTAGAGAATTGTCTATTCATATCCTTTGCCTATTTTTAAGTCAGGCTATTTGTTTTGTTGTTGTTGAGTTGTAAAAGTTCCTTATATAGTCTAGATACTAACCCCTTATCACATACATGATTGGCAAATTTTTTATCCTATTTTTTAGTAGTTTTTTCATTCTGATGTTTCCTTCACACACTTCTAATTTAAAATGATATGACAACCTAATATACCCAAAAAATATGTAAAGACATTCCTCGATCCTATGGTACAGTAAGTTAGAACCCCCAGCACAACTTTGTAAATGTTTCTTTTTTTTCTTCCATTTATATTCTTTGGTTATTTAGTTACAAGGAACAGAAACTCACTCAAATTACAGAAAAGTTCGTGAACTAGACCCCAAGAAAAATAGGATAAGATGGTGGGATGGTTTGAGGATCAAGGCAGTTCTAAGGGCTTCAGCAACAGCCATTCACAAATCTTCGTTAAAACTCAGTCATTAATATGACTCTGCACTTCTCTAAGTGGTTCCTTCTTCTTATACCACGATCCACTACTCCATCATCTTCTAATCCAGTGCTTCTCAAATTATATACAGTAAAGGAACATCCTTCCCCCACATCTCAATCCATCATAGGCCAGTACTTTTATAAAACACAAAACCATGCATTTGGATGTCACAGCAATGTTAAACTTTTATGCAGTCTAAAAGCTTAGCTTCTTCTCTTTTTCTTTGCTTATTGCAGACTGGTAACTAACAGTTAACAGACCAAAACTAATGTTCATATACCACACTTTCAACAACATTGCATCTGCTTTCTTGTAGTTTCTGATTGTTCATATCTTTGGGTTGCAAGTGGCCCTTCATAGTCTCTCCACTCTTTCCTACCTTACAACCTATAAATTTTGCTCCACTTCCACCCATTAACTGCCTTCCCTCTCAGTTCGTGTTCGAGAGAAAGGAAATTGCATTGTCTTGTCACCTTTTCTGCTATGTCAATGATTTCCTTTGGTTCACTTGTCCACCCTTATCCAATAACATCTGAATGGATACATAGAATCGCATGGCATGACACATGCATGACTAAGGAGCACCCCTTTGGAGATTACAGACATGGCATAAATAAATGCTCTGACGGACACATAATTTTCAGAGTTCTTAAATTTGTGTAGTATCTTACAAGAGGCTAATAAAGAGCAATAAAAAATTCTGCATTACCAGATAGAGTCCTAGTTAAATAACAAGTGTGGTTTTCTCTCATTGGAAAGAATGGACTGTTCAGTGCCTTCCCTGGGCAAGCTGAGATGCTGAGATGCTGTGGCCAGTAATTGTCAGAGCAATGCTTCACGTGCAATCCCTAGTGCTCACCTTAATTGGATGTGCCATTAATCCTTGTTCGCTAACATGACCTGAATCCAGGAATAAGTAAACATGTTCTTCCCAGAGGCCACAATCATTTTTTAATCTACTTTCTCTGTGGTAGGTCATGGTTCCAGAGAAACTGATTTAGAATTGGGTTTCTCATAAAATAAAAATAAGCAAAATGGGCCTCAGGGTTTTCCTCTTATTCTTATTCCTGCCTTTCTCTGGTCTGTATAGGCACAGGAAAGAAAGAAAAAGGATAGAAAGGAGACTCAATAAAAAGGGAGTGAATAATGCCAACTGAGGACAAAATACAAATACCCAAAATGTAGATACCAATTTGTAGTCAATTACTGGTTTCACAGTACAAAAGAGGCAAGGTCCTATCAGATGCAGTGAAAAGAACTTCAAGAGGCAGAAGGTTCCAGTGATTCAAAAGTGAACTGCTCTTTGGAATCACCTGATGAGATTTTTGAAGCCCATTCCAGACCAATTAAGTCATAATTTCTAGGAATTCATAGGGAGAAAATACATTCCAGTTTCCCTGGGGGAAAGTTCTATGTGAAACCTGTTATAGAACAATTGGTGGCTGTTTATTATTTTTAGCTGCCCCTTTATTCTTTAAGGACATTGGGTGGTAAATAATATGGTCATCCTGGGATGCACTGTATTTTTCTGGATATTTCCCAGTTGATTTTAATGTGTACTCAGGGTTGCAAACCGAACCTTTAATCCAAATTTCTTATCTTGTTCAAGGAAAAAGCAAAGTCCCTAGAATTTAAAAAAATCTGACTAAAGTCACAAGTAGTTAGCAGTTCACACTCTAATATCACACTTCTGTTACCAAAACTCCAGGGGTTTGGTTTAGGTCCTGTTGCTCACTGCACAGAAAACCAATCACTAAGTCAACCAGGATTGTCAGGGAAGAAGACTTTAATTGGATGGGTGCTGCAACTGAGGAGATGGGAAATCAGTCTTAAATCCATCTATCTCACTAATTGACTAAAGTTCGGAGTTAATGTAGCAGGGACGAAATGTAACCATGTGTGGGAAGACAGGAATTCGGGAGGGGCAAGGAAGAGGAGTTTGTCAACAGGGAGCAGGTGGTTAGGCAGTCATGATGGGTGAGGGGTTTGGCATCTCATTGTCCAAATGCTGCAATCTGGTGAGTTTCAGTTTCTTGAGGAGCCCTGATGGTTGGCTTCCTGAGAAAGAAACTCATATAAATGTAACTTTCTCAAGTTTTAAGACTGGAAGGATCAATTTCTATGTTTATTGAAAGAAACCATAAACATCAGTTCTACGGGACAATTGGGCTGGTTTCAGTCCCCCGTCCCTTCTCATTTGTCAGTTTCTCATTCATGAGGAATCTGATCATGGGTCTTTATGGCTGCTTATGCTTAGGAGAAGTGTTGTGGGTAGCTCTGTGCCATCAGTGACCTGGTGGCCACTCAGGAATCAAAGGTTAATCTATTAATAATACTATAGTTTTCTTCTGAAATACAATCTTTCTCTCTCTAGTTCCCCACCTCCACCAAAGAGAAATCACACAGGACCATCTCTTATTAATAGTACACAAAAAATTTGTTCAAATGAGATAACCGAATTTTACCCTTTTATGGTTTATTATTAATGTGAAAGCTAATTTTAACAATATAAACAAATCTATTTAACTCCAATTCTTATAAACAAATCTATTTAATTCCAATTAGTTTGACCATAAGGTAAGATTTCCATAAACCTTTTATAACCTTTACAATCTTCTATTAAAGAGTAGACCAATGCTTCAAGAAAATCCTGTTATTCCAACACAGAGGCCCAGACACTGGCCTCGTATCACTGTGCTTTTGATATTAATGTTTAATTTACAGAAAAACTCTGAACTAACTCTATCACTCAGAACCGGCCCTTATAATCTCACTTGCCCACCTCTTTTGTGATATTCCCTGGGCCTAGAGGGATTGAATAGTTTTAATTTCTGGCCTGTGTCTCATGAAAGCAGTTCATTTTGATTGTCGCCTTCTCCTAGGTCTGAAGACGAGGCTTTGACTGGTATCAATGCTCAAAATTTACAGGAGTCAGTACCTTTTCCAGACCCAGGAGTAAAAGCCCTGTCACTTAACAGCACAACAATTAGTTAATAGGAAATTTATACTTCAGAAAGTCCTATCATTTTCTCTAACATGTCACAAATTAAAACACTGATTTGCTGTCTAGTCAGCACTTCAAACCATTGTATTAAAGTCATCAGGTTACTCCTTTCACATGTCTAATTGCTAGCATTTAGTGACAGAACTGTGACCAAAAGCATAAAAAATGTGAGAGGTCCTATGCCAAACTGATCATAGTAAGACAATTACATTATTTAAAAAATGGTAAATACAAATATCAGTTCTGGAAATTCAGTATGAAGATAAATAGTCTCCTTTCATTTAAGTATTATACAACAAAACAGGGATAAAGTAAGAACAAGCACACAATAATTTCAGTGAATTACAAGTGCATCATCACAAATTTCCAACATGGATTTCTAGATACAGTACTGACAACTGATTAGGTAACTTTTATCACTAGAATCTTCAAACCAGTGCAACCTTGTACCTATTTTATTTTCAAGTACATACACGAAGGCCTAACAGTGATAAAAGGCTTAGGATCAAAAATCACTGGAAAGTCTTGCTTTCTAAAATTACTACTTAAATTTAGTGAATGTCACTTAATTTTAATAATGGTAAATAAAACTAATTTGAGAGAAATCCTGATTTCTCTAAGGATAAGGCCAGTCTTTTCTGACCATTAAAACTTTGTAACCATATCACAGTTTTTCTTCATTACCTAAAGAAAAAGATCTGAAACTAACTCAAATTATTGATTGACTTGAATTACCTTGGAAATAAACACTATATTTAAACATATATACTCTCACCTACTTTTCCAAATAACAAAATTAACAATGTACTATTTCTGTTCAGAACTTACAAAAATAAGTCTTTAATTTAATTTTGTGTTTTGCCAGTAACCTTAAAGCTCTTGTAGCTCTCAAGATCATCAGAGGTAAGCAAAACAAATCCAGTTTAAAATGGTTGATATGCTCTATTAATTTTTGGAGGCTTGACAAAGGTAGCTTAGAAACTTTAGACAAATAGAGCAAATGACAGACCGTTGTAAATGCATAGGAAACAAAATGACTTTTCACAGAACCAAATACAAGCTTTCCATTAGAAACTAGAAAAAAAAATCAATGTATACATACATATATATGTATAAATAAGTGAAACCTAAATAAGAACAAACAGTAAATAAATGAAAATTAAAAGCAAAAACAAACAGTAAAACAACATCAAATTCTTCTCCTATTCAGTTTACCTTGGAGGATACAGTGTTACCTAGAACCTAAAAGAAACATAATGGATATCTCACTCCTGGTATAAAAATTAATGTCCATGAATACCACTATACATTTTATGCCATTAAGAAACTCACTTTAGGCGCATGACTAGTAAGTGGTTTTGTGCTAATACTATCTATGCAGCACTATGCATATACTATCTATAGCAAAACTATCCTAATACTATCTGTATCATACTATGCAAATATGATATAAAATTTGGCTCCATGTTAAATCTGGCTTCATGCTTAACTATGTTAAAGAATTGCCAAACTGCCAGTGTATTTCTTTACAATATTTCTTAATTTACTTTCATTAAGAATAAGAACTTTATGAGCAGTGTTAATTAGCTAAACTTCTCTAATTGTTTTATTAGGTTTTAAAGAATATTTTACTATCTAAATTTTGTCAACTTTCTATTTTCTCTGTATATGTGTGAAGATAGACACACAGAGAAACGGGGAAAAACTACATATGACTTACACAGACCATATATGAACTACTTGGATTTATTTGTTTCATCCTAACTTTTCTAAAAAAAAAAACAAAAAAAAGTCATTTTACTTCAGGATAAAAATTTACCATACAAGATCCTTTCTCATACAAAATTATTCTCTTATTCTCTTTTATTTATAACTTTTTTTTTTTACCAAAAATACATGTACATACCTATAACTTTCTTCACATCTCTCTCCCCTATTTACTGTTCCTTTCTACCTTGTTGCATACATAACCTTTTCGAGTCTATAACTTGAATTAACCTTTAGATAACTTCTGAATTAGACAGAATTATTCTTTTTCTCAGGAAGGACACATCCTCTTTGGCACATTTTATGTACAGAATTGTACATTAACTACAATTCTTACTCTTAGTCACCTTAAATTTTAGTGAAAATGGAAACCAGAAATCCTGAACTGTCAAATATTAGCATTTTATAGATGAGACCATTCCACAATTTTTAGAAACATATTTCCCTATATCATAGCCCTTTCTTAATAGTAAATAACTCAGACATCCAATGAACATCAAAAACAATTTTAAGATTTTATGTTACACAAAAAGTTCACCTACAACATTTATCCCATTTGCATATACTCAATTCTTTCATTTTTAACAGTTTTATTACTTCTGAAAACTGAGATATTAAAGCTAGTCATTATTTCAAATTATTTCCTTGTCAACCATTTTTTACAGCCTGTCACTATAAGGTGCTCACCTAACTTAAGAAACTTACAGTTAAATACATAGGTATTTTTGTTAATAATTCAGAAGATTCAGCTGTTTTTATTAAACTAACAACATCAAATTAGTCTCATTTGTCAAGGCACACAACGATCATTTTGTTTTGGCTGAGTTTATAGTTTCATAACCTTCTGTGCCAAACCATGACACCTCAAAATATCCAGCACAGACAAATATAAAACACAGACAAAAGTGTATTCTAACATATCTGAAGACACTTCTATTTTTATCTTACCAATAATTTTAAAGATAGCTTGTTTGTTAAAAATTTGCTTAAGTCACATGAACTTGAAAACTTTTTTGAGCTTATTTACTTAATTTATGAGTGCTGTTTTATTTATAAGTCAATTTGGTAGATATGATATATAACATAATAAATATGCATATACATAAACATATCTAATGCATATACACACATAATAATCTAATAGCTTTTATTTCAGAACACTAGCCATGAGATAGCAATACAAACTCAACAGTTTACAAACATGTACACATGGCTAAACTTTGTTTACCCCAATAAGTAATCCAACAAATGCTGTAAACTAAAATTTTGGGTAAAGCAGTTTCCGTGGTAGTTTGATTTTTAAAGGGCAAACCTTCACAGACTCCAAAGAACACAGGGGTCAAACAGCAACACAGAACAACATCACATATTAACCAGCCTGATCCTACTTAGAACAGCAGCCTAAAAGCCTGGATAGACAGAACTCTATCCTGCTTTCTCATTCAACAGCATGACCCATGGAGAGGCCAAATTTCCCCAGATTCCAAGGAATATTGGGGCCAAACTGTATTACAAAAGATTATCAGTTTATCAAATTCTGATTTCCCATGGCTATATGGACTATCTAAAGAGGGCCAATCAAACATCACTGTGCAAAACATCATCAACAAAACTCTGTCAACCTTTGAATGGTGGCTTCCTTCACCAAAGTTCTAACTAAGTAAGGGTTGCCAGATAAAGTACAGAAGGCCCAGTTAAACTTGAAATGCATATGAACAAGAAATATATTTTAGTATGAATATGTCTCATGCAATATTTGGGACATAATTATGCTAAAGAAAGTATTCACAGTTTTTCCAACATTCAAATTGGAATGAGTGTCCTGTATTTTTATTTGCTAAAATGGGCAACCCTAAGCTGGTATCTCTACAGTTACATACACTTACCAACCCCACCCATTCATACTGGTCCAAGTTACACCCCAAAAGAGGGCAGAAACAGAATCTGAACAAGCTCAAGTTTGGAGGGCAAAAATGTTTCATTCTGCCTTCTGGATTGCTGTATGAAGACTTTTGTTGTGAAAGATATGAATAGAACCATGTGGAGGGGAAAAAGTGTGACGTTGAGAGTGTCCTATAAGCAAACCAGCACCCCCAAAATCCACGCTGCTTCCACTAACTTCTGTCACTGGCTTCCCACACCCAGTGAGTTCCTATTAAAATCCTTCCTTCTGTGGGATATCCTCCACTGAAGTAGTCACTTTTGTGCAATGCTTTACTACCAATATCTACCTAGAGAAATCAGGCTAAATGAATCTAGTCTCATACTTTGTAAAACTCAATTATAAATTGTTTCAAATGCTGTTTTGAAGGATGTGAACCCTCATGAAGTTACATCTGAGGTAAATATTTCATGGGTATGATAGTTAATTTTTTCATTTAAATGATGCAATGTTATGTTATTCCTTGTTTTGTATGCAGGCACACATGTGCACATAAATAAAAACTGTTACTGATCTGTACAGCCTTTTATAGCCCTATAACCATGACTTCAGGTCTCACTTAAATACTGAGTCTCACCCAGCTTTTGTTAGTGGGTATCTTTAAAAATGGCAAAATCAGGACTTGAATCCATTCAGAGCATGTACACATAGCATATGAAAAACATTGACTTGCTGCCTGCCATTGCCTAGGAATATCCTGGACCAAGTCCCAGACACTGGCCTATGTCCCAGACACTGGTTTTCACCTTGATAGATTATCTGGTTCTAACTGCACAACATAATGTAATGTCCAGTCAATTTCACAAGATCCTCACATTCATGTGTTCTGAGACATCTCTCAAATATTGGGTAATGTACTCGAGCTTGTATTCCCAGAGTTTGTTATAGCCCAAAGCCTTCTAATTAGATATATAGAACTTGCTAATAATCACTTCTGTATTCATCGTTATTAATATAGTATTCAACTGTGCTGTTGTCTTAATGAGTAGAAGTTCATACACTGAGCAGAAAATTGCTCACCTTTTATAAAGATACTGAGAGGTGACAGCGTGCAGGCAGTCCTCACAGCCCTCGCTCGCTCTGGGCGCCTCCTCTGTCTGGGCTCCCACTTTGGCGGCACTTGAGGAGCCCCCTTCAGCCCACCGCTGCACTGTGGGAGCCCCTTTCTGAGCTGGCCAAGGCCAGAGCCGGCTCCCTCAGCTTGCAGGGAGGTGTGGAGGGAGAGGCGCGAGCGGGAACCGGGGCTGCGCCCGGCGCTTGCGGGCCAGCTGGAGTTCCGGGTGGGCGTGGGCTTGGCGGGCCCTGCACTCGGAGCAGCCGGCCGGCCCTGCACTCGGAGCAGCCGGCCGGCCCTGCACTCGGAGCAGCCGGCCGGCCCTGCACTCGGAGCAGCCGGCCGGCCCTGCACTCGGAGCAGCCGGCCGGCCCTGCACTCGGAGCAGCCGGCCGGCCCTGCACTCGGAGCAGCCGGCCGGCCCTGCACTCGGAGCAGCCGGCCGGCCCTGCCGGACCCGGGCAATGAGGGGCTTAGCACCCGGGCCAGCGGCTGTGGAGGGTGTACTGGGTCCCCCAGCAGTGCCAGCCCACCGGCGCTGCGCTCGATTTCTCGCCGGGCCTCAGCTGCCTTCCCGTGGGGCAGGGCTCGGGACCTGCAGCCCGCCATGCCTGAGCCTCCCACTCCCTCAGTGGGCTCCTGTGCGGCCCGAGCCTCCTCGAGGAGCGCCATCCCCTGCTCCACGGCGCCCAGTCCCATCAACCACCCAAGGGCTGAGGAGTGCGGGCGCACGGCGCGGGACTGGCAGGCAGCTCCATCTGCAGCCCCGCTGCGGGATCCACTGGGTGAAGCCAACTGGGCTCCTGAGTCTGGTGGGGACGTGGAGAACCTTTATGTCTAGCCCGGGGATTGTAAATACACCAATCGGCACTCAGTATCTAGCTCAAGGTTTGTAAACACATCAATCAGCACCCTGTGTCTAGCTCAGGGTTTGTGAATGCACCAATGGACACTCTGTATCTAGCTACTCTGGTGGGGACGTGGAGAACCTTTGTGTCTAGCTCAGGGATTATAAACGCACCAATCAGCGCCCTGTCAAAACAGACCACTAGGCTCTACCAATCAGCAGGATGTGGGTGGGGGCCAGATAAGAAAATAAAAGCAGGCTGCCTGAGACAGCAGTGGCAACCCGCTCCGGTGTCCTTCCATGCTGTGGAGGCTCTGTTGTTTCGCTCTTTCTACTGCTTACTCTTCGGGTCCACACTGCTTTTATGAGCTGTAACACTCACCCTGAAGGTTTGCAACTTGACTCCTGAAGCCAGCAAGACCACGAGCCCCAGGGAGGAACGAACAACTCCAGACGCGCTGCCTTAAGAGCTGTAACACTCACCGAGAAGGTCTGCAGCTTCACTCCTGAGCCAGCGAGGCCACGAACCCACCAGAAGGAAGAAACTCTGAACACATCCGAACATCAGAAGGAACAAACTCCAGACGTGCCACCTTAAGAGCTGTTAACACTCACCGCGAGGGTCCGCGGCTTCATTTTTGAAGTCAGTGAGACCAAGAACCAACCAATTCGGGACACAATACCAACTCTTTCATGCCAGGAGAAGCCTCCTTAAAAAATTTCGGTGATTAACAGGTAAATATCACTTACCACCTGTGCTAAACTTACCAGTTATTACGTATACTACAGGATATTCTGCTGAAAATATGGGCAAATATAGGTGTGTAAAAAGTCCCAGTATTAGTGGGGTGGGGAACAGAGAATCTATGGCTGGTGATCACACCTGAAGCTACTATGTGCTTATTCCTGCTGGCTGACGTTTGCTGTGTGGCAAGTGCCTCTGTTCCTAAACACCATACTCTTCCTGAAATCTCTAACATGCTCACATCCGATTTCCAGGTAGAAGGAGTTAGGCATGCAAGCATCATGATTTTCTCAGCTAAGTGTTGACATGTCCCTAAAGTCTTCAGACAATTTTCTGTTCCTGTAAATGTTCCTCACCTATTACTCATGACAACTGTCCTCCTTTCATCCTCTTTAAGCTCTGCTCAAAGAAACCACTCAAAAGAAATTTTCATGAAATCAACTCACCAGGCAGAGAGTACCAGAGTACGCTGTGAGCTGGATCGGGGACAGCCTGTTTTGTCACCATTGTTTCATTAGCATCTAGTAGAGTTCTCGGTGCATATGTGCTCTAGGCACACTTAAGAGAGAAAAAAGAAATATATGCTCAGACCCTATTACACACACTCAAATAAAACAAATTTCTTTATTCATTTTAATAGTTTCTAAATATCATTATACTCTTCTATTAGTAGGATAATCTTCAGAAAATCAGAACTAAAAAGGCATTATTAGGATTTATTTTTAGAGTTTATAGTATGAGTGTTTTTTAAATTTCTCATTCTCGCTCCTTTGCTTTCTATTTACTATTTGTTGAGTATTTATTATATGTAAGAAAAACTATACTAAGTGTTGTGGATTTCATAAATTTAGTATTTAAATTTCCTGAAGATTCCAATAAAGGCTTTCTCTTTTCTTTGAACAAACACACTTAACCACCCCCTAAAAATCCACTGAGTAGTGTTTATACTGTCTTAATCTTTTCAGATGCTAAAAGCAACATATTCCTAAGCTGAGACATTCTCTACAGTAAAACATAATTTTTCCCAATTATAAGAAATTTAAGAGATGTTAGGGAAGAAACTATAAAGACGTATTTTATATCCAGAAAAGCTAGATGTTTTCCATTTTAGTTGATGTTATATATTCTGGGCACATTCCTGGACTGAAAAACAGAAGTATACTACATTTCTAAGACACATTCCCCAAAACAGCTTTACATAGAAGTTCCTGTGATCCTAATTACAACCCTATCAAGTAGGTGGGTGGGTATTAATAGATCACTTGGGGGTATGAAAATCATAGTGCAGACATACTGAATGACTTCTCCAGCATCAACAGGGAAGTAACAACAGCCTCTTTGGAAGGTAGCCCAGTACAAAGGATTTGAGAGTCATAAAACCTGGGTTTGAAACTGTGATTTGGTGAAATTACTTAATATATCTCTCTCTCTCTCTTTCCCCATAAAAAAGAAATTAGGTTGAACCATTTGAAATTTCCAATATGCAACATTTTCGACCTACAAAAATGGCAATTTCATGAGGTTCAACCTCATAATAATGTTAACACTTAAAAGAGTTGTTCTAAATGTAAAACCCAATACTATATTTAAAGCATCTAGCACGGAGCCTGGAATAGAGAAGTGCTAGACAAATGCTAGTTCTTTTTGTCCTTCCAGTGTCAGTCCTACAGCATCAGCACAATTCTGTCACTCATGTCTCAGCCATTCCTTGTAAGATTTTAGACAATGTAAAATACATTAAGTGTATTTTATTTTATAATATATTCACTAAAATATCAATACATTTTGAAATTTCAGGAGGTAAGAGAAAAACAAGCAGGTGTGTAATTACTGCTGATTTTGTAGCTTAATTCAGCAGTGCAAAGATTTTCCTGTCTACTTCCAAGCAGGGACATACCTGTCTTGAGCTTACACATTCACAGTAGTCTCAAAACCTAAACCAGGAGACTCTAGGCTTGCTTTTGGTTGCAGTTTAATAATACTGTGGATTAGTAGCCAAACATTTCTTTGAAACATTCAGTAAGAGCTAGGCAATACAGATCTGGTGTCTGGGTCTTCCAGGAAACTGACAATTTTAGGAAAGCCATGGAGGGGGGGAAAATGAAACAAGGTAAAGAGAAAGCTGTAAAATGAAGTTGATGCAGTACTGGACAAACCCAACACCCAAAATTTTCAGTTTCCATGTTCCTGCATTGTCCCTACCTTCATCCTTAAGAGTTTCAAGAGACCAAATGATCCAAAGAGCTAAGGACCCTGGATCCAAGAATACTGTTTTCCGTCTGGTAAGGACACATTTTTTTTTTTTTAATCTGTGAGCTCAACTTCCAAAGGGCATTTAAATCAATGAGAAAAGAAACAGACTATCCAGGGAAATCAATTCTAATAATCAATCGGGTAACAAAGGTCTAGCCATTTATATTCATAAAAGTAATTAGGAGTCTTGAGCGTTTAAGAACATGAATGTTTTTGTTAAAGGAAATGTACATTAATTTTCATATTAATTCATCTAAAACACAGATCTTGCTTTTGTTGAAATTATTTTCCCTCTTTCACTTTTTACCTCCTTTCTCCATGAGCATTCATTCCTATGGACTTGCTACAGTATACTAGTCACAGAGCCATCGGTCATTAAATAACTATTTACTGATTCTCCTACTTGTACTCACTATTTTACAGGCCAGATAAACATTAAAGAAAACTTTTGTAATGCTTCCTGATGTCTTTTTTATCCCCTTCCGTTAAACAAGAATCTCAGGGTTTTATAAGCTTGCAATATCCTCCAACAACGGTTGCCTAATCATCTGTTGCTAAATCAAAGCTTGATGAGATGAGCAGATAAAAATACAATCAGGGTGTGGTTATATTTCCCTCAGCAGAGGCCTCATATTGCACCACATTTGAAGAAGTAATAGACAGTGATTTTGTAGGCTGTCTCAGGCTCAGCTCATGTTCTGTTTGTGATAATTAGAACTTGTGAACCTCAAGAATGAGCAAGAGTTCTTTTTGCTTACTTCTGCTGTCCACACAACCAAAGGTCTATCTTCTTATATACGAATAGCAAGGAGAGCGGCCTTTGGAGACTGTGTGAAGCCAATCAAATAGGAAAGGCTCATTTATAGCATAGTTTTCAGCATGCTTCTAAACTAGTAGCTGTTCAGAACCTGGAAGAATATGAATCAAATTGCATATTTTGAATTGTACTAGTCTGAATCGACTCATTACTATGAATCTTGCAAATGTTCCCTTAAGCAATGAGGAAGGAGGAAATATAGAAAGTAAATCTACTTAGTAATATAAAAGGCAATACTAGCAAGGCCACACTCTCAAAGAAATTAATCGGTAAGTATTGATTTTTTACACTGTGTGAAGTTCCCATCCATGCAAACGACAACAAGGCCCTGTTGTTTGACAAACCATTTATTCAGGATCATTGGTATCGACTTGTAGTGAGTCAACAAAAGTAGGGAGTTCACATATTTTTTCTTCATTCAATAGAAAATACTGTGTCTCCTTGGCAACTGAGATTGCTTGGTTGACTTTTCCCTTTGCTTTCTACTTACAAGGTACAAACAATGAAGGAGTCCCACCACCTGTGACTTGGGTTCAGAAACAGATTTCTCTGCCTCAAATCACTGAAATAACCCACTTTGTGTGAGGGCGCAATTCTGTGCTTTATTAGATGTATATAGCATCTTTATGGTCAAGTCTCAGACAAATGATAAAAAGTAATTCAAATATAGAAAGTAGTTTTTAATGCCTGAGTTATGATTTCCTCATTCGGAGGCTCCTGAAATGCAAGTGAATAAGAATTATCACTCTTAACTAGCAAACAATACACTTTATTTTCAAACATAATCAACTTATGTAACGAAACAACTGAGTAAAAACATAAACACTTTTTCCCCATTAGGTAGAGTTTTCTCAGAACTCTGGAGTTGTGAAAATGACCCTAAGCTCAAGCAAAGAGGTGTAGAGTTACATCTCTCTTTCTACATTGGCATTGGTGATTAAAAGAAATCAGGATGAGCAGATGGTGCCTAAGGTACAAATCTTGAATATCCACTTTTCTGGAGATAGAATATCAAGTGCTGGTGTCGTCTCCCACCTCACCATTGCTGCTTTTCTCCCACTTCATTGATCTATCTCCTCCATGTCAGGCCCATGTGAGAGCTGAGGGCTTGGTTTCCTCTGATAGAAAGAAGACAAATACAGTTGACCTGGGGCTGTAGAACCAGAGGATTTGCAAAGGCATTATTGCAATCAATATCCAATCACATCAGTTTCCTTGTATATGTGCTACAGAGCAGTTCCCACTCTGTAGGTCTTTTGCTGGGTCACAATTTGATGTTTCATCTTTATACTCTAGGAAACAAGTGGACTCATGAATTTGAAGGGTTTTGTCTTCCTCTCTTAGAGTGGTCCTCTTACTCCTCTTCTCATTGGCCCCTAATTTTATTCCACCTGTGGAGACACTCCAGAATCAAGCCTCGGGTTATACTGGGTAGCTGACTGTGCAGATAGGACAAATCATGATTTGTAATCTTCCTTCACTGGTACCCTGCTCAAATACCAACACTCGTGTGCTTCCTATTGTTGAAGGTTTCACTCTGTAATACTAAGGGCAGTATTTGCTCCTGTACTAGGTTCAACAGTGTCCTTCAAAAATTCATGTGCACCCTAAACCTCAGAATGGGATCTTATTTGGAAATAAGAGTCTTTGTGTATGCAGTTAGTTAAATATAAGTTTACTCTGGATTAGAGTCAACCTATTAAGGACCTTATAAGAGGAGAGGACACACAGAGACATAGAAAAGAAAACAGTGTGACAACTGAGACAGAGACTGGAGTGACGCTGCCGCAACCACTTTCTTGCTAGGAAGAGGAAAGAAAGGATTCTTCCCTAGCGTCTTTAGAGGGGAGACAGCTCTGCCAACACCTTAATTTTGAACTTCTCATTTCCAGAATAGTGAAAAAATTAATTTATGTTGTTTAAGCCATTCAATTTTTTGTTTGTTTTACTTTCATTTACTTAATCTATTTATTCATACTACATAGATAATTATTTACTTTTTCTTTTTATTAGTGATGTCCTCTCACAAGAACTTAAGCTTCAGGAAAGCAAGGATATTTGTGTGTGTGTATGTGAGTGTGTGTTTGTATGTGTGTGTATGTGTGTGTGTGGTTTATTTCTATACTCTCAGTGCCTAGAATAGTGCCTGTCATGTTAGATGCTTAATTAACGTTTTGAAATGAATGGAAGGACAGGTAGATTACCTATATCAAAGCTCTTCATAGAACATTCAATTCCAGAAGATAATGGATAAATAAGGGGAAATATGGGACCCAATAATTTTATCCTCAGCCCATTCATGTATAAAAGCAATAGGAAAAGATTGTTAGATGTGAATGATCTCAGAAAATATAACATGCATGACCATGTTTTGAAAACCTTCCTGATAACAAAATTTACCCAACTAAGATGTGGTTCACAGTACAGAGCTTAAGAATGTGGAAGCTGCTTTCTGAAAAAACTAATAAAGTAAACATTAATTCCCTTCTAATTATGGCTAAGGCAAAAAAAAGAACTATTAATATGGCTTTAAATTTATCAAAAAGAATGCAAATGTTATAAATTATTAAGAAAAGCTGTACAATAGAAAAAGCAATAAGTATTATAAATTTGGTCAGTAGTTTTAGAACATAATAGTAAAAATCAGAAGGAACAAGATTGTCCTGTGTTCGTAATTTTTCACTCTGGGAGACTAAATTTTGTTGCCAAAAATCCTCTCATACAACATTGGTAGTAGTGAAAATTTGTTAAATCCTGTGAGAGGACAATTTGGCAATATCCATAAACTGTTAAAATATATACGAAAATTGATTGCAAAAATTATTCTAGTTTTTCACACTGACGCTAAATGCCCTACCACACATACCTTGGATTCAAGTTTGCTGGGGCCAATGGAATAGTAGCAAAAGACACAAGAGACTTGAAGAAACATTTACATGTTCCACCTCCTTTCCGTGGCCCTCAGTCTCACCATGAAAACATGCCCAGGATGGGCTTCTAGGAGAAATCCTGAGGCTTTCTAGGCCAGCCAACAGTTAGTCAACCCCCAAATGTATGGGAGAACCCAGCTAAGATCAGCAGCAACACCTAGCCAACCCACAGCTTACTTACAGCAGACATGTGAATCAATCTAGCCAAGACTAAAAGAATCACTAAACCAATATGTCATCCTATGAATAATAGTAAACGTTTGTCTTAAACTATCATATTATAGGAAAAAAACCTGATATATGAAATTACCCTGTGAGTTTATATTAAAGATACACTTACCTTCTCCAACAAGAGTTGTAACAATTTTTTTCTTATTGCAAACAATGCTATGGGGATACTTATAGTAGCATTTCTGCTCAACGTAATATTTTATTGTAGCACTGTTTGCAATAAGAAAATAATTGGAAACTGCAGAAACGATCACTAATGAGGTATGGGTTAAAAATCTTTTAAGTTGAAAGCAACAAATGTGACAATTAAAAGGCATAAATTAGACATATATTTTACATTATCACAACTTGTATTACTAAATGATAAAAATGAGTTGCAAAATAATATATAGAACTTTATATTTTATAAATATGCACATGAAAAAATGTTTGTAAGTATGCACAAACTGTTAACAGTTATTACTTCAGAGGAGTGAAAAATAGGTTGAAAATGAGAATGACTTTCATTTTTAGTATACTTAAGTACATTTTCAATTTTCAATTATATGCAGTGATTTTGTCCTTTAAAAAATAGGATGGACTTTTTTAAATATAAGGAAGACATTTTCTGTGAAACAATAAATTACTCAGTATATACTTAATGTGCATGAAGTATGAGGTAGGAATACATCCACTGACATTCTTGCATTTGCATACCACTTCCCCAAATATGAACTCACTTCTCTGACTTTGCTAGGGCTGAGGAATCATCATTACAATATCTGTAAAACTGGATTTATTAAGTGCATCCATATTGTTTATGAGTCATAGAAAATATGTTCATTTTCCTATCCATGTTAAAGGCTGCTTGGAGGATTGACGGAGCATTGCTTAGAAAATGTTCTGGAATTCAGATGAAGCTGTGTTAGTATAAATCATTACTGGTTACCATATACTCACACATACTTAGGGGATAAAGATCAGAAATTACTTAAATGTACTTTGTCTTCTTCAATCTTTCCGTAGCAGCACATGGGTCAAAATCTCCTGAAAGTTGAGCAGGGGAGCTGTAGAAGAATTCCTCCTTTTCTCGCAGATGAAATCTTATGATATAGCAGGGGTTACCTGGCCAAGAAGGTAAGTCTGTCATCCAGCAGTGCTTGCAGAGGGACTAAAATGAATTAGGATGTTCAGAGTTGTATGTTAGGTGCTGCAGAAAGGAAGAAAAGATCTCATCCATAAAGGGGTCTTTGACCCTGGGGAATGGCAGTTGGCAATTACGCTGCTTCTCAGTTCCATCCTGTGTTGCCCCAGGTTTACTTCATGGTCACCCAAACTTTCTTTGCCATGTCTTTTGTAAGACTTCTACTTATTACTATGTATCATCATCTTTTGGTAAATATAAATTCTGGCTAGGAGAACTAGGACAGACAGGGGAGCTGTCTGCACACTGTGATTAGGCATGCATCAATTCAGAGCTCCATGCTGCTAGCTCCTGTATTCTGCTGAGCTCCCAGGGAGGAAATAGGAAAAGGGAGGAGAACTCACCTGTCCAATTACAACCTACTCTGCAGTACAAAGTACTGCAAATTCCACACAGTGGATCTCTGTGATTGAAGGAGCACTTGTAAAATCTGAGACATCCTAGTTTTTGATTTGGTATCCAAAACAAATCTGAACTTTTAATTAAATATTGTTCTTTTTCCTTCTTGTTTCCAAATGAATAGTTACACCAGCAAACTTATTGGCTGAAAAGTTGTTTCCTACATTTGCACTTTGAAGTGCATCAGACAGTGGTGTGTTTGGATGTGGGTCTTGTTGAGTTTGGTTAGTGAGTTATTATTGGTTGGGATTGCAGTGGTCCTGCCAATGGAAGAGAAGTAGGTGTGCCGAGTACTGTCATGTTCACCTCCGCCTTTCACAGAGGCATATTTAGCCCTCAGTTGGTAAGTGAACTTTTTGACAAAGGTTTAAGAGGTCGTAGAGTCTGTGTAAAAGACAAAAGTCCAAAAGTGAAGCAGAAGGAATCCAGCTTCTTATTTATGTCTGGCATGGGAAGCTTCTGGATTTGATAGTGGGTGCACCGAAATTTGCATCCCAAGTCATAGCCTTTGCTCTGCCCTACCTTCTGGTATGTTGTTTTTCAAGTTACTTAACCTCTCAGGGCTGCAACTTACTTATTTGAAAAATGAATTCTAGAATCACAGAGTTGGATACAATCTTAAGGGCCAATTAGTCAAACTTTCTTTCCAGAGGTATTCTGCATGATCTGAAATGTGTCTCTGAACTATAGCTTCCTGAAATTTCATTATTCTTGTAGGAACACAGAGGAGAACAAAGAAAATTCAAGGAACTAAATTCCTTCTCCACCTCAACCACCAGCATTGATACTCCATCACTTATGTACTGCATCAAGCCGTCCTCAGAGGTGAGGAAGGTGCTGTCAAGACTAGAAGCATGTGTCCCTCTCTCCATTGCAAGATGGGACATAGAGAGGAGAAAAGTGGCAGACAGAAGGTTGGTAGAAAGCAGGTGTCACCATACTGCTGTACACACAAACTGTTAGGCCTAGATTTTGCTTTCTCCTTCTTGCTTTAAGCCTCTATCTAGTTTCCCAAATCCTGCTGCTTTTGCGTCAATGGTAGGAAAATATTAGCCATGATAACCCTTCAAACACCCTTATAAGGCTGTGAATTGAATGTACCAAGGGAGGTAACTTTATTGGAGTTGTCTCTGATAAGGGACAACTCCAATAAAATTAAGTAAAAATATTAAGATTATTGTTGATCTTGAGCCAAGAAAATGCAGGGGAAACAATGGAAAAATACCTTTAAATAATGAAAACAAAAATAAAATAAGAGCTGGTCTACTCACTACTTCATCCCATCTCGTCTGTAAAATAATACCATCAGAAAAGTGTTCAAAATTCTCTGTAGTCAAGGACTTCTCCTGCTGGTTAGAATGCAAAATAATATGAAAGACTTTTGATCCTCTAGTAATATACAAGTGTATATATATTTTTTGAGACAGGGTCTTGCTTTGTTGTCTAAACTGGAATGCAGTGGTATGATATTGTCTCACTGCAGTCTCTGCCTCCTAGGCTCAAGCAATCCTCCTGCCTCAGCCTCCCAAGTAGCTGGCACTATAGGCATATGCCACCATGCCTGGCTAATTTTTTTATTTTTTTGTAAAAACAGAGTTTTGCCATGTTGCCCAGGCTGGTCTTGAGTTCCTGGGCTCATGTGATCCACCTGCCTTGGTCTCCCAAAGTGCTGGGATTACAAGCATGAGCCAGCACACTCAGCCTACATTTTTCAATATGCATGAAATTATATGGTTTGGATGTGCTCATTTTACTATATTAAAGTATATTTCAATAAAAAGCCAGTAGGCATGAAAACATAATATTCTTTCATTTTTGTCTTCATCTGAAGTTTCAAGTTAAAAAGCAGGTTATTCAGTAAAAGAAAATTGCAATGTTCTTCTCCAGTGCCAATTAACCAATCTCCTCAGACAGAAATATCTTCAGATGGTGCTAATGCAAATCTCAATTTAAAATCATTTTAGAAGACTGAGACCATGCCCACAAATGCTTCAGAATGGGAGGTGCCAAGACTTTCAATCACACAAAACCCTGGCACTTACTTTGTTGTGTTATAATCCAGTCTTTCTGCACCTAAGCTTCCTTCATAAAAGACAATCCAGCATCATGGTTAAAACACAGACTTTCTACCACTACTACTTACATTCTTGGTGACAGTGGGCAATTTAGCAGACTTCTCTGTGTTTTAGTTTCCTCAACTTTAAAATGGGCACTGTTATAGGTATAATTGTGTCCTACAAAAAGATGTTGAAGTCCTAACCTCCAATACATGTGAATATGACCTTATTTAGAAATAGAGTCTTTACAGATGATCAATTTAAGATGCGGTCATTAGGGCAGGTCCTAATCCAATATGACTAGTGTCCTTATAATAAGGGAAATTTGGACTCCAGAGATAGATATATACCAATGAGAGACAATGTGACACAGGGACCACACCTACAAATCAAGGAACATCTGAGGCTACCAGAAGTTAGGAGAGAGGTCCAGAACAGTGCCACATAGCCCTCAGAAGGAATCAACTCTACCAGCACCTTGATTTTGGGCTTTTAGCCTCCAGAACTGTGAGGCAATAAATTTCCGTTCTTTAAGCCACCCAGTTGTTGGTACTTTATTATGGCAGCCCTAGGAAATTAACATAGGGAATGATATGGTTTGGCTGTGTCCCCACCCAAATCTCATCTTGAATTATAGCTCCCATAATTCCCACATGTTGTGCGAGGGACCCAGTAGGAGAAAATTGAATCATGGGGGCAGTTTCCCCCATACTGTTCTCGTGGTAGTGAATAAGTCTCACAAGGTCTGATGGTTTTATAAGGGGAAACACCTTTGGCTTAGCTCTCTGATTCTCTCTTGCTGCCTCCATGTAAGAAATGTCTTTCACCTTCCACCATGATTGTAAGGTCTCCCCAGCCACCTGGAACTGAGTCCATTAAACATATTTTTCTTCCCAGTCTTAGGTATGTCTTTATCAGCAGCATGAAAATGGACTAATACAGGGACCAATGATTGCATCTACCTCATGGACTTTTTATGAGAATTGACTGATTTAATAAATGTAAAAGACTTAGAACACTGCCTCATCTATTGTAAACAGTCAATAAATATTAGTATCAATTTTCATTGAATCCTAATCAGTATAACTATAATGTTACATTCATGAATAAGACAAAGGCTGGGACAAAATAAATGAGACACTTCACTCAGACCTCTTCATTGTTTTCCCAGTTGTCATCCTTTGCACCTAGTTCTGTAATTAAGAGAGTCTTCTCAGCTTTTTCTTAAATCATGTATTTTCCTCTAGTATGGCAACTTTATAATATGTTTCCCCCACTTGAAAATGTTTCCTCCTTTTTCCCACAGTCCAATCCCCCCATTAACCCAACCATCTCTCACATACATACCAATTTTAGGTCCCAAATCTCTCAGATCTCACCCTATTCACAAACCAAAACTTTATCAGAAAGATCTAAAACACTTCCCCCAAAGGCATTTTTAATCACCAATAAGGTGTTCTCACTTTCAAGGATAGTATAATGTGAATGGACATCAAAGTCTTAAGATCAAGAATATACTCTACTATTAAAGAGTTCTAACCATAAGCTAGTGGTTAATACAGTTTTAGAGGGAAGAGGATAAGGAAAGCAGACATTGTCTTTCCTCTTTCCTAAACTTTTCCCAGGTCTAGATCTACCTCCTATCAATTTTGCTACTTTGGTAAACAAACTCTTGGCATAAATTCTACCAAAGCACACTTTGGTCTTTAACTTTCATAGTAGAAGGGATAGAACAAGTATCTCTCACCTAACAGAAATCCACTTAATGGAATTTAAAATCAAAGAATGTGATTGATCCACCAATTATTTAAATACCAACTTGAGTATACTGAATGTAAACTTCCAGTGCTGCCATGTGGACTCTGCCATCTTGTCCCTACTGCATGCAGGTCCCTTATCTATCAATGGCTTAGAAATGACCAAACTCTTAACAATCAGAACTTTGCAAATCTTAAATAAAAACTGTTTTACAAACACCCCAAGACACATTACAAATCAAGAAAACTGAAAATCATTTTATAGAATGCATAACCCTCATGGTCCCAGCAGAAAACAGGTGGCATGCTAAAATTGGGCAATTTAAGGAGGATTTAATTAAAGAACTATTTGTAAAGATGTGGGCAAGATATATGGGAAACATGAAGGATGATGCAGAGCCAGGGGTTAGTAACTATGAAGTGCTTCTACCACCTGTAGCCTGAGGGGCAAGGTAAGAGAATGTTTATCAGAAACCAGATGGAGAGAATTGTGTAGACAGGATTCCCTTACCGACACTATGATCTTCAGCCAGGATGCAACAAGCTCCTGGAAACTCCAAAGGTAAGATAAACATCCTGACCTCTGTCTCCTCCCTACTCACTATGAAGTATATCCCGTAGGCTAATCTCAACTGGAAACCAGAAGGCTAGAAATCTTACTGATGTGATGTCCAGGGATACAGAGCATATGAAGGATGCAGAGAGTGGGTCAAATGGAAGGAATGTAGCAAAACATGTAAACTTGAGTAAGTATTTGATCTCTTTGAGCCTATGTTTTTCAATATTTGGATTCCAACAGCCAGCTCAGTGCTGACAGAGTCAGCAAGTTCTTGTTGAGTGGGATTGTGTCCATAAAATAATGTATATAAAATAGACAAGCTCTATAGCTCCTTTCAATTATGACCTTCTCTGATTACTATTTTGTTGATTGTCCTCAAATATTATTAAATAATCATGCCCTGACCATAATAAAGAAGACTTCATCATTGCTGAGGATGAATTTCACACCCCAGTCTTTAACTCTATGCTCTGCTATCTCTTCCATCTAAAAATACAAAAACTGATTGTTCAGGTGTTACACAATGAGATGTCTAAAGAGAAGAAAGACTAAAATATTTAGGTAAGGACATGGATGCAGGATAGTAGGGGAGAAAAATCGCTTTGATTGTAAACTTGGGCACATTGAGGATATTTGAAGGTCATAAAAGTTTAACCTGTAATATACCATAAAAAGGAGAGATGGGAATAACTTCTGGAAATATTCCTTTAATTTTTCAGTTCTTTATTTCAGTAAATTTTTTGTGTACTGCTCTTGGTACTCAAAATGGTACTCACAGTAGATGCTCACAACTGTTTATTAAATTGAAAATTACTGCAAATATTTTAACAGAAACACATGATTTTGCATTTACCTATATAATTTGAAAAAATTTGCTACTTATTTTCCCTCAAGGTTTAACTTAGACATTTTCAATATCTCTCTTAATAAAAGATTGTATTTTTCTAGCAATAATGTCTTTTCTTAGCAATTGTTACAAACATATGTACAAACTGTATTGCATAGTGTTGTTACAGAAAGTAAGCCAACAAGAGCCCTGTACTTCTTTCCAGAGAGTTATTTCAAAACAGCTTTCTCCTCCTTAAGCTCCTTCATTGGTAAAGAAACATCACAAAAACGTTTTGAGTCATTCAATTCACTTTGTAATCAGGTCTCCAGTGCCATAAACTGTGAGTACTTGCTAATTTGCCCCTGAAGATTTATTCATGAGATATTTTTCCTGAATTTACCCCATTTGATCTTGTCCTTTTTTTCCTCGACAAGCCAAATACATCTGTTCTGTTAAAGTGCCTGTACCTGTTAAGTGTTTGTATTATGGGGAAAATCCTCCCTTAAGACTCCTTCAATTAATACATCTATGACTACTTTTCTGCTTTTTTGTTCCCCTTTCCTACTCTTCTTTCCATTTATTTATTTTTATTCTTTAAATAAATTTTTTCTCTGCAAGTCCTCAAGGCAGTACTCAATAATATAAAGGGTATATAATTAATTGGTAGGACTGTCAGAATTTAACAAATTTCTTCCAATATTTTCTTCCATAGAATACTCTTCTCTTCCTCACTCTTTAAACTCTTACTCCCAGGAACTCCCTTCTGATGGGAAAACGATGTTCCAAGAAACCTAAAATGACTTTCTCTGGCTCTCACTGCTATTTCAGTTGCACAGCTGGGATTAGATCTCTGGAGCTCTGATTTACAATTAGGCAATTTAACCTCAATTCTATCCCTTGTAGTAAACAGTAAATAAGACCCATATTTCACTTGAATATTCTAATCTGAAAAGAATAACATGCCTGATATTCTTTCCTTGAAACACTTGGTTTATAAAAACATGGAAAGGATTTTCTATTCTGAGTGAATGTGTCAGCAGCTCTGAGATGACAGCTGATAAATTGTCCTTTGAAATCATTAAAAATGCTGTTAAAAATGTATATTTGACATCTTAATATGAAAATGACAAAATAAAATGCTGTGTTCCTGCTTGTCTACCTAAGGCTCTGTACGGCACACTCTAAATGATGGTGACTAACACCTGCTGTCAGGCATTGCCTTCATATGCTACAAAAATAACTTCTCTAAATATTCTTAAGAAAGTCAGAAGTGTGTGTCAGCCATCTGTCTGCCTTAATTGGTTTTTCATTAGAATCCTACCATTTCTTTGAGTTGTTATTCCAATTTTTTCCCTCCATTTCCTTAAACTGACCTTTGGGTAGGTTGGGAGGGCCAGCCATGGGAACACATCTAGTGCACTGCTAGCAATTGCAGCCAGGCCCAAAGTTAATGCCCCTTTCATGTGCACATTCAGAGTCCCTGTGTGGTGCCTTGCACACTTTGTTTCTCCAGAGTTTTGCAAAAGAACTGGCAAGGGTCAGATTCAACTAGCACCTCCTGGCTAATCAAGCATCAGACCCCCTGCTAGGTGTTTCCCATGAGATGCCATCACACTCACCAAAAATGGAAAGAGGAGGTTGAGCAGCAGCAAACTCTTGAGCCCTGTATCCAAGGGAGTCGAAACGGCAATCCATAGGAAGTATCACCTGGCTGTGCAAATACAAGGTCTGTTTCTCATTTCTCCTCCTGGCTTGCAAAAGTACTTTCAAACCTCTGCATCCTTAGTGCAGAAAAGATCAAAGATACTCAGATTCAGAAGATCCCTGATAATCTGAAAAGTGAAAACAGACTTAAGAGAAATAATGAAGTTAGTAATCAAGAACTTAAAACTATCCACATTTGATATAAGGTTCCTAAAGTAGAACCACATCACGTGCAACAGGAACAGTGTGAAACAGTGCAAGGATTCACAACAGCTAAAAAGTAGATCCTCAGCCATACTGCCAAAGGATGTGTCATCATCAGTTTCCTACTGAAGAGGAATAAGAAACTGATATCCCAACCCATTGTGTTTCCTTTGTAGTTTGGTCTATATAAGCAAACATAGTTCTCTTGAAAGGCTGATATTCCAGTGTTCTCAATAAATCCTTCAGTGGTCCTTGTTAAGTTCATTATAAAAGATTCTCTTAGTATTGTTACAAAGAGATACTTGCTATTGGAAGAACTAACCTGAATATCTTACCTGAGTATTAGACATAAAATTCAGGTGACCAGTGTGGACCTATCCAGGCCAACAGCCTCAAAACTGTCTAGATGCTACACATTTATGCCACTGTACTGAAGGAAATCAGGGATAGAACCAGGCTACTTTTGTCTAAACAATGTTTCTTCTCTAGTACCAAAGAGAGGAAAAAAACAGCACATCTCTCATTGCATGGCTCTTCCCGGCCAAGACACTCTGGTAAGATGGGATAATTAAAAATGGAGAGAGGGAGAGAAAGGGAGAGGGAGGCTGAAGGGGTCTAAAAGTAAGCAGTCTGGTTTATGAGCAATTTTTAAAGATAACGAGAGGGATTCTTGATGAAAAGAGAGATGAGAGGCATTTTATGCTTTTAAGTGTTTGAACTTAAAGAAAAGATATTTAAGTAATAAATACATTATGGAGTATAATCCAAACCTAAGAGACTGCAATGTTCTGGGACAATTCACCCTCATAAATGAATATATATTGCATTTTAAAGTGTCTTACCAAGGCCTACAGACTAATATATTACAAGTTAAATGTGCAATTGTATGAATTTCAAAATAGCCATAAATAGGAGAAATGGATTTTGACTTAAGTTTTATGGCAGTGAGGGGGATTGATCTAGCCTAACACATCAATACCCTTTTCCTTTTGCATTATACAAAGAATGGATTACATCCATCTGCTGAAAAGCAATGGCAGTATCAAGAGTCAGACAGGACTGCATTCCAAAACTCTACTACCTATTAGCTGTAAGCATTGAACAGGTAATTTATCATTTGTAAATAAAAATATCTACTTTCTAGGAAGAATTAAAGCAGATAATATATGACATGGCTCATGACACCATGCCCAAACATGGTAGTTCAATACATGTTTTTCCTTTTCCTTTTAATCTCAGAAATTCTTAAAAGAGAGAGAGAGAGACTAATCAAGGAGTGAGCAATGCCTTATGTTTCTATAAACTCCAATTCACCAATTACTTACTGAGCTCTCAGGAGGTGCCATGCTGTGGGACTCTAGCGACTAAAGAGTAATGTTAAGTGTAACAAATAGGACCCTCTTACTAGCTTGGGTTACAAATATGGTTGGCTTGAGCCCATATACCCACATTGGCAGGATGCCCAGTAACTCCCTCTGGAGAATTCTCCTCAGTGCCAACCTAAATTGCACAAATATCCTAGAGACTTACTGATTTCAAAAGTGGTTAGCCCAGCTTCCAAGCCAAGAAAACCACTGAAATGCCTGATCAAATCACTGATAACTATTGATCAATGGTCCTACACAACCCAAAGGATGGGCATCATTTTTGGTAGTCATGCCAATGCTGCCAGACTTCGGCACAGCCCATCACACCTACACCCCAAGGTTACAGTCCTCTCTCATACATGAACAGAAGCCAATGTTTCTCAAAATACAACACCATGCCAAGGAGGATTGGATTCATAAGCACTCTGTGTGCGCTGCAAAAAGTCCCTCTCTCAACCATCAGAACCCTTGGGCTGTCTTCTGTTTCAGAGATCAAAGGTTTATAGCAAGGTCAACAAACAACCAAGTTGGTAGGCCAATTCCGGCTCACCGTATGCTTCTTTATGACCATGAGCTTAGAATGATTTTTACATTTTTTAATGATTTTTTTAAATATCAAAAGAAAAATATTTTGTGACAAGTGAAAATTATATGAATTTCGGTGTCCATAAATAATGCCATATTGGAATACAGTAATACTTAAAAATTGTTTATAGCAGCTTTGGTGCTACAATGGCAAAGTTGGGTTTTGAGTTATTGTGACAGAGATCATATGGCCCACAAGTCTAAAATATTTACTACCTGGCTCTTTAAAGAAAACGTTTGCTGACCGACCTCTAGGTTAGATACTTAGTCCCTTTCCTTTCTAAAGGCCCCTAGGCCCCTTATTCAAACTAGCTCATCACTCTCTCCTGAAAGTTCTGCAAACCTAGGGAAGATAGAGATTTTGATAGGCATGAACATCACAGAAGTAGGAGTGTTACACTCTTTGCCCAAGACAGACATACCAATCCACCTCACATTTGCAGAACAAAGAGAGTCAGTAGTAGGGACTATAGAAGTGTTTCAAGGGTGCTTACAGTCTGCTTACCTAAAGAAGCAGACAGCAGCTTCCTTGAAAAAAAAAATGTTTTAAGTGTTCCCTTGTATTAGATCCCTGCCACTTCTCATATCCAAACATGAAATATGAATTACATGTAGACTAACGATACTAGAAAGTGCCCTGAGCCCACCCATAGAGAAAAGCTGGGCTAGCCAGCAGGAAGACCCTCAAAGATCCTTTAGTTTAATATAATCCTAAGTTAAAAAAGAAAAGATTAAAATAAAAATATGTTCATCATAAAGTTTATCGCTAAGTCCCATTGCTGATGCTCAGTAAATCTCAGTTGAATTCGGGAGGTCTCACTCATTAATTCCTTCAGCAAATGTATTTGAGAAACTACTCATGTCAGACACTTTACTAAATCCTGAAACTATAGCAGTTACTCAAACAGATTAAGCAGCAGAAGAAATCACTGCCCTCAGAGCTCATGTTTAAGTTGAGGAGCACAAACAATTTTATATATAATATATAAATTATATATAATGTGTGTGTGCATGTGTGTGTGTATATATATGTGTGTGTGTGTGTATATATATGTATATATAAAAAATATAAAATATGTTAAATGGTGACCAGTGCTAAGAAGAACAATAAAGGAAGAAAGGGGAAGAGGAGTGAGAAGAGTGGGTGCAACTTTAGAGCGAGAAGCCCATATCTGAATAAGGGCATGAAGGGGGCAGGGATGAATGGAGAGGATACCTCAAGGAGAAGCATTCCAGGCAGAGGAAAGAGCAAGGATAGAGACCGGGGCAGAAGCTCACCTGGTGGGAATCTTCTAGTGGAAATGTGTGTTCCTATTCTATAAACAGCAGAGGCCAATGCAGCTACAGCAGAGCCAGGGAGGCATAGAATCAGTATATGATCTTAGAGAGTTGGGATGGAGGAAGTAGGAGAGAGAACAGTTCAGTCCCTGTGAACCACTGGAGGATTTTAGAAAAAAAGAGTAGGGACATTATGTGAATTACATTTAACAGGATCTTTCTGGCTGCAGCCGACTGTGAGAGGACCAAGGGTGAAAGCAAAAAGATCAACTGGGAGACTCCTGAAATAATCTTGACAATGCCTGAGGGTGGCTTAGACCAAAGTAGAAGCAGTGAAGATAACTGAAAGTTGTTGAATTGTGGACAGATTTCAAAGGTAAAATGGATAAGATTTGCTAACATGTTAAATGTAGTACGAGTGAAAGAGAGAATTCAAAGATGACTCTAAGATTTTTTTGCCTGAACAACTGGGAGAATGGAATTCCCAGGGAATGAGATGGAAAAAACTTGAGGTTTGGGGTAACATTGAGTTTAATTTTGGACATAATAAGTTTGAAATGTCTATTAGCCATCTGTGAAGAAATATCAAATACACCGCTATATATACAAACCTGTGATTCTGGGAATAGTTCCATCCTGAGGGTATACATTTGGGAGTCAGCTATATGGAGGTGGCATGAAATTCTTGAGATCAGAAGAGATTATCCAGGGAGTGAGCACAGATAGAGAAAGGAGAGGCCACAGGTCTATGTCCCACTTTTCCAGCAGAACACGGTGCAGTGTTAAACCATTGCCACACCTCGCCAATGAAACTAGACCACACTTACCCAACAGCCCAATTATTTGGAAAATTCTTGAAATACAGAAAGGAGTAGAGCAGCCCCAGGAGCTGTTAAGGTGTCTCAAAATTTATTCACTGTAACTCCCAGGAAAGTTCCATGGGACATCACCCAGGGCTGGCTGCAGCCTCTCAGAAGCACATGCAATGACAGCAGCTAAATGCGACTGACAAAAGTAAATCAGACACAGCTTAAATAACCGTGAAGCCTAAAGTTTGGACTCCCTGGTGCTTAGCCCATTTCTCTTTCTGATAAATAACTCTACCACCTAATTATTGAGGTAGCAAATAGTTGTAGCCCCATCTGGGCTAGCCTGAACTGTGGGTCTGTTAGTGCTCCTTAAAACTACTATTTTGTTCAGGGTGTATTTAGGAGGACTGAGCACTCAGTGGGGAAAGTTGCTAGAGGCAATACTCAGCTTCTCCTCAACTACCCAAACAAATCTGCGCCAGCACCAAGCTCACACACTGGTTCAGGACCACCAGCACTCTGCAGGAAACCCTCTTCCCCAAAGATGGTTCAGTGACCACTTAATGTTATTTCAGCATGACCCTTACATATGATGACCATGTGATTAAGTATCCAACCTGGGATACTTTCTAGTGTCAAAGGGGGTGCTATTACAACAGGTATCAACTGGGACTGTGTAGGCAGGAAAGGATTCGTAGTCCTAGCAATTCACACCCTCACTTACTCCACTCCCATTCCAGGAAGCTTATGAAGGAACTTCTTCCAAAAACATAAAATACTGCCTGAGATGACTTCTGGTAAAAACAACTTTGTCTGAGACCATTTTCAGAAATAGTTTAGCATGTCTTACAGATGTGAGGTCCTGTACAAGTTACTGACCACCCATTCTTTCATCTATCTCTGCCTATCTTTTATGGAGCACCTGTTCTGTCCCAGGAACAAGGGACACAGATTTATACAAGGGAATCAGTATTGGTTAAGTTCATATTTAAGTATGTTAACTCACTTAATTCTCACAAAACCAGTGAGAAGTTAACCCTGCTTGACCAGTGAATTCATGAATGCTCAGGGAGGTTATGGAACATGGCTAAAGTCACACAGCTAGCGGGTGGCAGCAGCAGGATTTTATTTCATCACTGGCTGCTAAGCTTGTTCCTCTTTCCTTGTACTACACTGAGGGGAAAGATGGTGAAAGACTCATGAAGGACATGAAAGGAGCTCATGAAAGATGATGAAAGACTCTTGAAAGACAGGAGTCCATGTCCCACAAGATGGCTCAGGCTTTGGCACAGTGTTTCTTGCCACTTTGGGAGGCTGAGGCAGAAAAACTGCTTGAGGCCAAGAGTTCGAGACCAGCCTGGGCAGCAAAGCAAGAACCATCTCTACAAAAAGGAAAATCTTACTTTAAAAAAATATGGTTGAGTCCACGTGAGAGACTACAGTACTTCCTCTTTCCTATTTCCATAACAAATCATTTCAACATACAATCAGATTAAGAAAACTGCTGTGAAAATTCACCATGTGACCCCTTCCCCACCACCCCACTAAAAATACAGGAAACCCTCCCAGTGCCTCCTAAATATTCATGGAGGAATCTTTCAGATGGCACCATAGGCAGTTTGATCTGCAAAGACAAAGTCACTAATATCACCTTTTAACAGCCAGTAGTTTCTTCCCTAATTAAGAATGTACTCTCCCCACCACCAGATTTCTTCTTAGTCTAAGGTTTCATCATCAGCCAGCATTTGCCAGTGCTGCCCTAAGGCGGCTGGCCATCAGAGCCACGTGGGAGCATCACTCCTCAGGCTTCACTGCCAGAAAGGCTGGCACCAGAGTTCTGGGATTGGACTAGGGAATCAGTATTTTTAACAGGTCCCCAAAGTGATTCTGATGCAGTCAGACCACAAATATTTGGCTTTTGGAAATTAATAAGTACCATTAGAGAGAAAGTTTGTATGAAAAAAAAAAATACATCACAAGTGCGGTTCTTGCTACTTCTGCCAAACTGCCATTTTCTCCAAGGTACTTCTTTCTGGTAATGGAGGAAGAGAGCTAAATCCAATTAAAACTCTCTGTGATGCTACTGAAGCTCAGTGTGATGGTTAATTTATGTATCAACTTGCCTGGGCTGAGGGATGTCCAGGTGGCTGGTAAGATATTATTTCCAGGTTTGTCCGTGAGAATGTTTCTAGAAGAGATTAGCATGTGAATCAGTAGACTGCATAGATTCCCTCACCAATGCAGGTGAGCATCATTCAATCTCTTGGGGGTCTGAATAAAAATGTGCTCTCTCTCTTTGAGCTGGGACATTCAGCTTCTTCTGCCCTCAGACATTGGCACTTCTGGCTCTCAGGCCTTTAGTCTCAGACTGAATTATACCACCAGCTTTCCTAGTTCTCTGGCTTACAGACAACAGATTGTGAACTTCTTGGCCCCTGTAATATCATAAGCAATTTATATAATAAATATCTATGTCAATACAGATATAGATAATTAGTTTTATTTCTCTAGAGAACCTTAACTAATACATCCATTGATATTAAAATCATTATCAACCTGATATATATTGGTAAATTAGAGTATGTCTCATCATATTATAGCATAATGATAAAGTCTTAATGCATATTCTACTTTTGCAATTTGGGGTCTAGCTAGCCTTCTCACAACTCGATGTAGGACATAGTTTAGATTCTTGTGTGTAGATAAGCCCTTGTCACCTTTTCAAAAAGTATTCTTTATAGCATTAAGTAACAGATGACCTAAATATTTTTAAAGTTTATAATTTACCTTTAAATCTGTAATTTGTACATTAAAAAGTTCAGGAATTATAAAGGCCCTGGAATTAATATAAAAACAAATATATTTTTAGTATAGGGAACAATCTCTTAGTTATGATTAAAGGCAACCTTATTTTTATCTCTCACCATTTGATTGCACCTTGAATTTATGTGGGCTCTTTAAAGATGTTAATGCCTAGACCCTACCCTCAATGGTTGTGATTTATTTGGACTGTAGCATAGCCCAGGCATTGGGATTTTTGAAAGTTTCCCAGGTGACATTAATACACAGCCAAGATTGAGAAGTGTGCTTCGCACACGATGGAGTGGGAGTACTCTGCAACTGAACCAAGGCTTGGGCAAGTCCCTAACTTCCCAGCAACTCTCAGAGGATGCAACCTTCTGCTCACCTGTGTAAAGCACAGTCTCAATGAGGAAGTTTGACAGTCCAGTCTCTTGGAGAAACCCAGCCTCTAGATTTCTCTATTTATTTTTGCTTTTAATGTCCTCTCCAGCTCACATGGCTCGGGTGGTGGAGGGGTGGCCAGTGAGCCCAGTCCTCCTGCTGTCTGCTCTCTCTGCTCATCTGCTCCCACAATACAGAATCAGTATTCTGCTTTGTGAAGGCTGGGCTGGGAGATAAAGAGGTGTGCATAAAGAGAAAGAGTTAGCAAAGTTACTTGGCTGGGAAGTTTCTTTGGGCTTTGGGGGCCTACCAGATGGTTAAAGCTGAAGTCGTGGCTGAGTAGACAGATGTTAAGCTATCCCTTTCCTACATGAGGCTCTTTCAAGGTCTCTTCAGAGATTTCCTTGTTGGGACTTCCTTCACCTGCAGTTTCCTTGGTTGCAACTCCTTTCCTGGCTACTTTGCATGTCCATACTAGCAGTCCCTACTGGCCTCTTTTTTCTGTGGCCTATTTTCCTCCCTGTTGGTCCCCAGGTAAAATCTCTTCCCCCGGCACACATCTGGTCCAGGGAAACACTGGCGCAGCCCTTAGACCATGCTCTCAGGGCTCTACCTCAGGAACACTTAGCCCTTTCATTGTTCTTCCCAGTTCCTGGCCCCAATCAGATTCAGTGCATTCTGTTAGATTTATCAGGCTTCCCAAAGTAGAGGGCACATTTCAGAGCCCTCCGGGACATCTACTTGAAGTCCCTTCACTTTCTCAGTTGGTGTGTTTAGAGCCAAAATGAAGCCAGTGGGCTGAGAGGTGAGGGTTGGGGCAGGAAGAACAAGGCAGCCTAGTTGGATATGATGTCTCAGGGGAAGAGGTCAGAGTGTAAAGGGGCCTAATAAGCCAAGGTACCTGCAGGGGTGCCCACTAGAAGGCTTTCTGCAGAATGCGATGTGATCTAATTATGATTCGAAGAATAGTGTGGACAGTAGGCAGACAAGAGCAGAATCAGATATGAGGCATCACAGATAAGACCTGCTCTCATGGCCCCTGCTGATGTGTAAGGCATTTCCCCCGAACCTCTTCTGCAGGTCAAGAAGACACTTTGCTCCTTCCTTTATCCTAACCCTCTGCCCAAACCTGAGAAAAATATGACAGAGGCCCATTGCAGTTTAGAAGGTCTTTATACTAACCCCAAGATTCTCATTTAGGAAAGAGTCCATAATGGTTTCACTGGAGTGAAGCAAAGGCAACTGTACAAATATAATCAGCCCACTGAAGGTTCTGGCCTACAACATAAGAGTTTCTTCTGTTTAGCACCATCAAACACTCTCGTGACTGCACATATCAATAACTTTAAGAAGTTACCTTCTCCCCACTTGGACACAGGGTGGGGAACATCACACACCAGGGCCTGTCGTGGGGTTGGGGGAGGGGGCAGGGATAGCATTAGGAGATATACCTAATGTAAATGACGAGTTAATGGGTGCAGCACACCAACATGGCGCATGTATACATATGTAACAAACCTGCACGTTGGCACATGTACTCTAGAACTTAAAGTATAGTAAAAATAAATAAATAGAAGTTACCTTCTCCCTTTTTGGAGGGCAATTTGACCACATCTATTAAAACTTTAAGTGCTCATAAAATTTGACCTTGCAATTTTACATCTGGCATCCATCCTACAGAAACACTGAAGTCTGTGCACAGAGTTACAAACACAAGAACATTCACTTTGCATTATTTGTAATAGTGAAAATTGAAAACCTTAATGTTTCATCAGTATAATGGTTAATTAATTCATGATAATCCATATTACAGATAGTTATGCAAAAGAAGACCAATTTGAACTCATGGAAACAGTGACACGATTTATGGTTAAGTGGGGGAAAAAACTAGTTTCAGGATAATATGTATGGCAAGATCCCACTCTTGGAGAGAAAAAAAGATATATGTGTACAGTGTATGCACCTGTGTCTGTAAAGGCCCACAACAAAGTCATCAAACTATTAACAGCAGTGGCCTTTGAGAAAGGGAGTGTGAGTGGAATGAAGAGGCCAAAGAGAGAATACAGATTGCTCAGCACTTCATAGTGTGATTTAATCTTTTGTAATAATAATGCATTTGTACATTTCCTATGTGACTTTTTTTAACTAGAAAAAATAAACAACAACAAAAAAAACAAGAAATACAGAAATGTGGTTGGCCTAAAAATCTTGGGTATTACTTCTTAATTTTAACAAAAATGTTCTTACAATCCTAGTCTGGTTGCTATTCCAGCCTTTCTAAATTCCTGACCTTCACTGCTCATCAAATTCTAATTAACCTTGTGGTTCCCCAGAGTCTTGCAGGTGTCCGGACCGGCTGGTGTCTCCTGGAGCAAACCAGCCCTCCTTCTTGTGGTAGGCAACTGCCTGGGTGCTAACTCCTCGGTGACAGCAGTGTAAATGATTCCATTGGTCTTCTAGGAGGCAGGAACTTCACAGACCTCAGTGCATAATAACAAATTCAATGCTTAACAGGACTTGTCATGCATGGAAGGAGCTGCGGTCGCCACCACAGTGGTCACAGGACCACAAGTGTGAAGTGAAGAGCTGGCTCTGACAGTGATTGCTCTCTCTAAACAGGTCAGGGTTTGTTCTGCCTCAGTACAAACAAACAGTGCCCTCTTCTGCCCAGCAGCAGAACTTCTCTTCAAAACCATCACCTTGTCAGAGTATCTGGAACTTTCACCCTGTTAGGTTGTTCACTGCAAAATGAGCCAAAGAAACTGGAAAATAACACTGATGAGGGAGAGGTCATCTGTCGGAAAGCTGTCACTCTGATTCTGCCCTAAATTCATGTCCCAATTTTACAAGCATTCTATTTTAACCGCAGAGAAGATGAAAAGATTTAAATAATAGAGTAAGTTACATCTATCAAACTGGCCAAAAAAAAAAAAAATTTAAGTGCTTAAACTTTGTATTGCTATGATAAAATATTATCCATGGTATGGAATATCAGTTCAAGCTTTCTGAGAAACAGTCTGGCAGCTGGTTACCATTTTAAAAATATCCTTTATTACATTTTAGTTCAATAATTATTTATTTGGGAATATTTCATGAAAAAAATAGACACAAAGACAATGAAGTAATTTACATAAAGATGCTTAGAGCCATGTCATATTTCATTATTATATACTGAAAAACTGGAAAAACTCAAGTACAAATGGCAAGCAGTAAATAAATTGTTATATGAAGTACAATATAGTATTACAATGCTTTACTATAAAGCCATTATGAATTGTAATTTCAGGCCAGGCATAGTGGCTCATGCCTGTAATCCCAGCACTTTGGGAAGCCGAGGCACGTGGGCTGCTTGAGCTCAGGAGTTTGAAACCAGCCTGAGCAACATGGCAAAACCTCGTCTCTACAAAAAATACAAAAATTGGCCACGTGTGGCGATGCACGCCTGTGGTCCCAGCTACTCAGGAAGCTGAGGTGGGATGATTGCTTAAGCCCAGGAGGTTGGGCTGCAGTGAACCTAGATAGCACAAATGCACTCCAGCCTGGGCGGCAGAGTGATACCCTATCTCAAAACAAACAAAAAATGGTAATTTCAGGGACTGACATAATAGATTTACTGTATATATGATACTGGAAAAACATAGAATACAAAATGATGCTCATACTCTTACTATAATGCAAGTGTATACAATGGTAAAGGATTTTAGAGTAAACAGAGTTTAGTATACACTCTTATATCTAAAGATAGTTCAGTATGAAGCAATATAGAAAGGTAGGAGAGGGAAAGAAAGCAAGACAGAAAACAAAATCTATTAGCTATTGTGTCATGCCTCATTTCTAACTGCCTCATCTCAAAGTATCATTTTCTCTGTTTTGGAAGCCAGAGAAATCTATTTTACTTCACTAATAGTTTGTAAAGAGAGAGCATATCACTTATTAATGTATAAAAAAGCAAAAATAGCTTTAGAAAGAGTTGCCAAACTCCCTCTGTCCTTTCTTAAGCACACTTCACACTTTTGGCTCATACAGATAGAAGCTTTAAAATATTCTAGGTTCAATTATTAGTATTTATAATCTCTAAAGCTAAAAGACAAGTTTACTCAGAAGGTTCAGGAATGTGAAAATCAATGTAAAATGACAAAAAGTTTCATGAAACCCCTGATAAGGCTAAAATCTGACAGCTTGATGGAGACATCTCATATTGAGAGTTCAGGCAAAAACAGTGAGCTTTTGTAATTCTCACTGTTAAATTCACAATATAGTCTCAGTTCTAGCCTGGAGATATTTAAAGTATGGACTTGAAATGTCTAACAAGACACAAACCTTTGCAAGAGCTCAGCACTCTCTTCCATAAGGACCAGGATCAAAATTTATCCCATATTAAGAACCACACAAGGAGTTTGTTAAAACCTCATATTCCTGGGCCTCCTTTGCCAGAGATTCTATGTAGGTCTGTGACAAGGCCCTGGAATCTTTTTTTTTTTTTTTTTAACAAAAGCCGTGGGAGCTTCTGATGCAGCTGGCCCCTGTACTTGGATAACTATTAGTGTAGTAAACAGTAGGGTTCCTTAATTAACCTCCTTGAAAATTTGTCAGTCAGTCCCTTTGGAGCTGGGATCCAGACACTATGTTAGAAAACACAGAATTCAACCAATTCTTAACATCCCTGTTACCAGATCACTAGTCCATGCCCCACTGCCTCTTGCCTGGCCCTTGTGATGGCCTCCTCACTGGCCTCTGGTTCCTTACTCTTGCTCTTCACACAACAGTCAGAGTGGCCATCTCAAAGCCCAAGTCAGACCATGTTACTCTTACGGATTCCTAATTGTTATTTACAAGGCCCTGCATAATCTTATCTCTAGCTACTTTCCTAACCTCATTGCCTCTTCCCTTTTCCTTCTCTACTCCAGCCACAGTGATCTTCCTGCATTACTTCAACATACTAAGTGTGCCCCAGACTCAGGGACTTTGCACTTTCTGATCCCTTTGACTGGAATGCTCTCCCACTCCTGCTTGGGCTTTCTTCTCATTGGCACCCTGAAGAGAGGCCCTCCTAGTCCCCTAGTCCATTATCCTTTGTCCTCTTATTTTTCTTTTAGGCACTTGCCACATGACGCACGATATTTTTAATTGTATCTTTGTGAGAGGTGACTTTATCCATTTTATGCATGACTCAGTCTCAGCAGGTAAAGTGGTGTGTGCCATGTAAAAGGTGCTCAATAAATATCTGATGAATGAATAAATGTAGGAATTTCACATGTAGAGTCTTTGGGAAATAAAATATAGGTAGAATCTTTTGGAGTCTACTTGTAGAATCCAACTTTATATAAAAATAAGAAAGGCATAATTTGTCTGATCTGCTACATTTCTAGATTCCCCAGTGGGATTTTCATTTTAAAAAGGAGGTACTCACGCTGGGCTACAGAAATTGACATTCACATAACCCTATTCCTGTTCTGAGTCATCTTGTTGTGCTGGAAACTCAAGTGACACATATTAAAAAGAAGAAAAATTGTCGAGCCTCTTTTTCATTATTGCTGTAGTTTGAATGATTGTGTCCCCTCCAAATTTTATGTTGAAACTTAATCCCTAATGTAACAATAGTAAGAGGTGTTACCTTTGAGAGGTGATTAGGGGACTCTGCCCTCATGAATGAGGTTGGCACCCTTGTGAAAAGGCTCAGGGTTGGCCAGGCGCGGTGGCTCACGCCTGTAATCCCAGCAGTTTGGGGGGCCAAGGCGGGAGGATCACCTGAGGTCAGCAGTTTTGAGACCAACCTGGCTAACATGGTGAAATCCCTTTTCTACTAAAAATACAAAAAATTAGCCAGACGTGGTGGTGTGCGCCTGTAATCCCAGCTACTTGGGAGGCTGAGGCAGGAGAATCTCTGGAACCCAGAAGACAGAGATTGCAGTGAGCCGATATCACACCGTCGCATTCCAGCTTGGGCAACAAGAACTCTGTCTCGAAAAAAAAAAAAAAAAAGAAAGAAAAGAAAAGAAAAGGCTCAGGGTTGAAGGGAGTGCTCTCTTGACCTTCTATCCCTTCTCCACCTTGTGAGGCAACAGTATTCCTCCCCTCTGGAGGATGCAGCAACAAGGCGCCATCTTGGAAGCAGAGAACAGCCCTCGCCGGACATCAATTCTGCAAGTGCCTCGATCATGGAATTCTAAGCCTCCAGAACCATGAGAGATAGATTTCTACTGTTTATAAATTATCCAGACTGTGATATTTTGCCATAGCAGCGTAAAAAGACTAAGATAATTATACATCCTCACTCTCCAGGTTTAAAATAGATAAATTCAGAAAGAATTTCAAATATGATGATTTTTTTTAATGTTTAACAGGTTTCTTGATGCTGCTGGTTTTTTACAGTTCTCTTGATGACTATTACGAAGGTATATGAAGAGGCAGGTGCCTTGGGAAGCTAGTGAAGCCAAAATCCCAGAGCTTCTCGCTTGCGTAGACTCCTGTGAGGGCTGGGAATTTCTGTCATGGAATGTTCCAGATGAGGAGGGGAAGCCCAGCTGCACTCAGGACACACTTCTATGTAAGCAATTCTAGTACATTGTGCAGAAATATCTAGAAACAAGGCACCCAAATCTCCCAGCTTCCAATAATTTATCAGAATTTTTCTTCTGATGGTGAGTATTTACTCTTGTCCCCAATTTTGTATTTGTAGTTTTTAAATTCATTTTTCTAAAAGGGGCCTGTGTTATATACAGTTTTTATGTGGCAGTTGATCTTGCCGTCTCACTAAAGTTGGAAAGTCCTTTGGGACTGAGATTGTGTTTTATACTTTCTCTGTTTCCCATGCCTGGGATACAACTGAGCTCATGGAGGAAGCCAAGCTAATGTTCTGGCCTTCAGTTCCCTGCATGGATCAAAACTGGTTTGGGAGGTTGTAAAGCTTTTTGGGAAATTACTTGTCCCTTGTGGTACTTGAGGATTTAGAGTGCCATACCAAACATACTGCTTTAAAACTAAAAGAAGGTTTTTTTCTTTCTTAATTGTCAGTATTTGCATTATAATATTTATTTTGAAAGATTATGTACTTTTATTTCAATTAAGGATTAAAAGTGTGGTTCTTCTGATTCCACAGGCATTTATTTTGAGTAAATATCTATCTACAAGGTAAATTATAGAAAAATATCCAGGGGCTGGGCACAGTGGCTCCTGCCTATAATCCCAGCACTTTGGGAGGCCTAGGTAGGCAGATCACTTGAAGTCAGGAGTTCACGCCCAGCCTGGCCAGCATGGAGAAAACCTGTCTCTATCAAAAATTCAAAAATTAGCCAGGCATGGTGGGGGGGCGCCTGTAATCCCAGCTACTAGAGACGCTGAGGCACGAGAATCACCTGAACCCTGGAGTGAGCTGAGATCACACCACTGCACTCCAGCCTGGGTGACAGAGTGAAACTGTGTCTCAAAAAAAAAAAAAAAAGGAAAAATATCCAGGAAGATTCATTTGTTAAGAAGTGAGAAAAAATCAGGAATTTTTAATGAAGATCTAATTTGCACTTAGTTCTTTATAATGGAGACTTATTGGCTTACATCTCTTATTTTATATAATTTTACTTACCAGTAATAAAATACTGTAAAGCATTGTTTTGATTCCAAAGGAGTATGAAGCTGTTTAGAATCAAATTTGGAAGAAAAAGGTACCGAGTCTGTCTCTGACGATTCATGAGAGGTTCAGTCTATGCTATTAAGATGCAGTTCTGGAGCAGGTGTGATGGCTCATGCCTGTAATCCCAGCACTTTGGGAAGGTGAGGCAGGAGAATTGCTTAAGCCCAGGAGATTGAGACTAGCTTGGATAACATGGCAAAACTCCATCTCTACAAAAAATACAAAAATTAACCAGGCCTGGTGGCACACACCTGTAGTCCCACCTACTTGGGAGGTTGAGGTGGGAGGATCACCTGAACACCTAGGGAGGTCAAGGCTACAGTGAGCTGTGATCACAGCACTGCACTCCAGCTTGGGCAATGTAGTGAGACCCTGTCTCATAAAAAAAAAAAGATCCTGTTATGTAGAAGCATTAGTAACTCAGTGTCAATTAGAAGTTTAGAAGTTCATGAGACTTAGACCTTGTGTATACAATCCACAAAGTCAAAGTCTCTGTAAACATCAATAAATGCTGCAGACAATCTTGTGTCAATCAGTCCTGCTAGATTTCTCCTGCTAGATTTCTCTACCAGGAGAAACCTAGCAGAGAAATCACAAGGAGATAAGTGCCATAGAAATGATCAGTAGTGAAAGAATAGTGACTAAAATTCTCTATACTTCTCATGCAGACTACCAATACAAAAAGCACATACTTGCAATTTCTCAAGGAGGACGGTGGCATAGATTGTTGACTAAAAGCTAGAAATTAATAGATCAATAATATGGAAACTTGGAGATAGATTCCATCCAGATGGAGCCATACACAACAAGAAACTGATGAGAGAAAAAAAATTGTAAGAATTAGAAAACTCCAGTCAGAGATATGGTGGTATGAAATCTTCCCTGATTGTTTTACTGGGGCTCAGTGTTTCCATCAGCTGTTCCACATGACAGCACATTACTAAGAGATAATTTGAGAGGGCCTGGATCAAAGAAGCTTGCGGCGATTGCTGTTGGCAGTCTCTATTGGCATTTTGAAATGACAGCCTCTCTGGTAACTGTCAAAATCTGGGTTCATGTCTACATTGTTATGTTTAAGCCAAAGGCATTCTTAACCCAAACTTGGCCCTTGTCACCATCTCTATTACCAAGGCCTCCCACAAGTTTTATTTTACTGAAGGGTTTGGAAAGGCATTCACAAACTTATAAAAACATTAGTGTTTCATAAGCTACCTGGTGGCTTCCATAATATTTCCATCTGCCATCTACCTCTGTAACCTGGCCAAGGAATTTTCACCTAATTGCCTTTTCAAACAAGGAATTCTAAAAAGCAATGATTGTAACTGTTTAATATACAACTGACAAAAAAGTAGCTTTCATTTTTTGTCATTCCACTGATATGAAATGAGAAGTGCATGTATGTGTATGTGTGTGTACGCAAGCATACACACATGTATATTTCTCAGGAACAAAGTCACTAATGAAATTTGACTACCTCCATTCCACCCTGCTGTTTTCAATTACACAAACTCATTAGCTAAATTATAAGGACAAGATAGCTCTAGAATTGCTACAACAATGATTAAAGTGAAGGTGAAAGATTATTTTTTACCCAGCTCAAAATATTCACCTTGAAATTGCTAGTGGGTAAGAGAAGCTAACTATCATACTATACTCTTTTTTTTTTTGAGACATTGTTTCACTCTGTCGCCCAGGCTAATGTGCAGTGGTGCAATCTCCGCTCACTGCAAGCCCCGCCTCCCGGGTTCACACCATTCTCCTGCCTCAGTCTCCCTAGTAGCTGGGACTACAGGCGCCTGCCACCACGCCCAGCTAATTTTTTGTGTAGAGATGGGGTTTCACCGAGTTAGCCATGATGGTCTCGATCTCCTGACCTCGTGATCCACCCGCCTCGGCCTCCCAAAGTGCTGGGATTACAGACATGAGCCACCACGCCGGGCCATAACACACTGTACTGTCTTAAAGGTTGCCCTGAATAAAAACCATAATTTGAGGAGTCCACATAACTAACTGGGGAAAGTGGTATATTTGGGATGAGAAGCTTCCTCAAATTTTGCTATGTAGTGATAAGAATTTGGCTCTTTCTGGCCACCTTCTGTGTCATCCTGTCATTCGCCACCATAAGTAATTGGCTACTTTCCTCCACTGTCTCTCGTTATTTTCCTCCTCCCACCTCTTTCCTTTTCCTAACTCAGTTCCCTTGCTTTGATTTTCCTTTCCCCTCTGCCTTGTCCATACCATAGCATTAACATAATCACCTAGGATTCACACTGGGTTCTAGTGTTCAAGGTTCTGAAACGGCTGGGTCAGCCATTTCTGATCCTTTTCTATCCCCAGACACATAAGGGATGTAGCAGGCAGTGCCATCAAAATCCATGGCTCTCTACAGCACTAATTTTAAGAGGTGGAGAAAGGCGTATCAGATTCTCCAACGAAAAAGAAACTTTATAGGTTGAAAACTTTTAAATGCTTCCAATGAAGATCTGATCAGCATGTTTCCCTACATTCCTTCTATGTCGTGTTGGCATCACTGGAAAGAGCCTCGCCTAATGTGGTGGCTTACGGACCAGCATCACCAACGTCACTTGGGAACTTGTTAGAAATGCAGAATCTCAGGCCTCCACCCCAGACCTACTGAATCAGAATCTGTGTTTTAACTAGATGTTCACATTAAAGTTTGAGAATCACTGTGCTCTCATGGTAGGAATATAGTAAAACCCAACATATCTAATGGTGTAAATGGCATTCAACTACTGATAACAACATATGTAATAGAATATTATGATCTTTAGAGTAAAGCAAGCTGCTTTTTATTTCTAGCATTTAATAACTGAATCTTCAACAAATCATTTAACCTTCCAGAACTTTGGTTAACTCATGTATAAAATGGAGATTATATCTATCTTACAGAGACCATGCACATACAATTTTTAGGAGAATGCCAGGCTTAGAGTGTGCGTGCAATATTTTTTTACTACTTATGGTTAAAACTATTATTATTGTCATCATTATTTAACCAACTTGGCTTTATGTGCTAAAAAAAAAAAAATATATTTAGATCAAGTTACACAAGCATGCTTCTCATCTTCCCAAAGCTTACAACATAAAATGAGCAATAACTATATGGGCAATTGCACAAAAAAAGCAATATGCTGACAAGATAACATATCCATTCAAATCTGTTTATGCTGAAATTTTAGTGAGCGTGAGCTTGGGTTTATTAGTCTGACCCACTGATTAAATAGCATTATTTGAGTCATAAACTACAAAATCAGAAAACCGCTAAGAGATGATGAGATTAAAACATTCACCAAACAAGAAATATGTCAAGGAAGAGTCAAAAACTTTGGTACCAGAGAGGCTTTATGCTGCTAGATACACTTTTTTTAAATCAAAATACCAACTTAATTGTTAATGGAATTTTTAATTATCTATTACAATCCGAACTGGCTAAAACACATAGTTCCTTATAAGCTCAAACCAAACATTTAATTAAACCTACCAAGCATAAGTGGCATATTTTTTATCCTGTCCCGTAAGCAGAAGTGTCAGAAAAGGCCTTTTACTCTTTGTTAATTGAAAAATAAATAGGTTTCCAGGAGAACAGAGTCATCTCTTTAGAACAATTCATCCACCATGCAATTGTACAATTTATATCTATTCTAGGTACCAACCCTTGCCATTGCTTAGTCTGATAATTAGGAGTAGAAACTAGAAATAAATAAAAGCATTATTTTTAAAAGTATTTCAAAGTCTTGTTTTTAGTACTTTGCATTCAACCCCAATCCCCAACATAACTTCATTATGTTTAAAAATATAATTTTAAGAAAAGATTATTTATGTTGTTTTCAGATAGTCCTTTTGAACCGTCTTACCAGTAATTAAGAGATAACTATGAGGCCTTGCACACTGGCTCACACCTGTAATCCCAGCACTTTGGGAGGCCAACGCAGGAAGATCACTTGAGGTCAGGAGTTTAAGACCAGCCTGGCCAACATGGCAAAACCCCATCTCTACCAAAAATACAAAAATTGAGCAGGTGTGGTGGCGCATGCATGTAGTCCCAGCTACTGGTGAAGTTGAGGTGGGAGAGTCACTTGAACCCAGAAGGCAGAGGTTCCAGTGAGCTGAGATCATGCCGCAGCACACCAGCCTGGGTGAAAGAGTGAGACCCTGTCTCAATTAAAAAAAAAGAAAAAAGAAAAAAGAAAGAAAGAAAGAGAGAGAGAGAGATAACTGTGAGTCTTTTCCTAAATTTCTTCATCTGCCCCCTTTCTAATTTGTTTGCATTCATTGAACTTAGATGTCCAAATAATCAAAACCCATTACTAACTGGCTTTTACTAAAATCACTTCTTCACTTTCTCAATAGTTATATTAAAATGACCAACATTCTTTATCTGTTTATTAATGTTTAAATATTAACAAATTTCATTAAATTAGCTCAACCAAATAACGTTCTGGTACATAAAAATTAATTTGAAATATATAGTAATATGATCCTTTTGTAGTTCATGAGCATAATGATTGGGTGTTCGCATACATGTGTGAGATGTGCCACCCTCTGAACCTAGTTACAATGTGGGGATATTACCTGTCTGACCTGAAAAAAAAGAAATATATATTAATAAAGTAGTTAATCGTTTGAGGTTTGAAATAGACTTTCACAGAAATTCAGTTGGAAATTCACAGATTGTATGACAGAAACAAGATCTGTAGTTTACAATACAGAAATCCCCTAACACATTATTTATTTAGAACAGCACTGCCAGGTCACAAGTAGTGTCTAGATAACCTGGAAAGCCAAGAATTGGCTAGAAACCCAGTCATGGATAAAGCTCTGAAGTTGAATTAATTTATAAAATAGAATGTGATTCACTTTGAGTTATCAAACAAACATAATTTATGAGCTTCCTCTTTACCTTTGTTTTTGTTTTGTTTTTCTGGGGGTTTTTAATCAGCTTTCAGTCTAGAGGTTGGGGGTATATTCTTATCAGCTGACCAGAGACTATAAATAGAATAGACAATGGAAAGAGCCTCCATTCATCCATCCATTCATTCATTCATTCATTCTCCAGAATTCTAGTATATACAAATTTGTTTCTAATGCCTAGAAATTAGAAAAAAAGAAGGTCACTGCTCTGCTGGTCAAAAGGGCAAGTAAAATATATTTTCTTTAAGAAGGGCAAAAAGATATTAACCACAGGTGATATAATTAAATTATTTCATTATTTTAAAATTGTGGTTTCCAGGCCCTACACCTACTTGTTTAGAAGCTATGATATGCCAGTCACTGGCTGGTACTGAGCAGGACAGCAGGATCCCTGCCTTCATGGATCTGAAAGTCTAGTGAAGCAGAAAGAGAAGTAAATTGGTGATTACAAGTGGTACTTAAAGTACAAAATTCTATGGCATAATAGGAAAGGGGGCCAACCCAGAATGCAGGCATTAGAACCTCTTTCCAGGTGAAAGAAGGGTATCTAAGTTGAAATCTGCAGGGTATTGACAAATATTTGCTGTTAATTATCAAAGCAATAAAAAGTAACATAATAATATATAACTTTTTACATATTAATACTTGCAATTTTTTTTTTATTCCTGTGTTCACAAGGGTTTGGGGTAGCAGGAAATGGCCTGATAGAGTACTGGCGAGAATAAAAAAATTGGTATTATCACTTTCAGTACAATGTGGCAATATACATCAAAAAATATAGAAATATGTGTACATTTGACTTACCTAAAATACCAATTCTCAATATTTGCTTTAAAGAAAAATATATGGACAAACTATCTACATTACCATCTAAATGTCTAACTATATAGTGACAATTAAATAACTAATAGTACATTCATATAATGAAACAGCACTAAGTTATTACAACATTGGTATAAAGAAATATTTATTAACATGTATACAATCATGATATATTAAGTAAAATGAGAAGATTACAAACATATGCATAATAGAAACCCTTTTTGGTTAAACACACACACACAGAGTTCTGGAATGATATAAAAAGTGTGTTAAATAAAGTTATCTTTGGGTAAGAAGATTATACTTTCTTTTTTGGGAGGACTTTGTGTGTGCCTCTATTACTAATTTTTTACATTAAAAACATGCTGCTTTTATAATTCCAGAAACAAAAGTGATGGGATCAGGACAAATATATTAAATCATAAATATTTTTAATCCCACCCTTCTTTCAGCTCCTAAGGAGAAGCAATAATAAAAAAGAGGTGCCATGTAAGAAAAGAATCTAGAGAGGCCCACCCAGCAGGAGCACAGCTAGGTGTGGAGCTCACGGCAGAGCAGATCACCAAAGGCTTTGCAGGCCCAGAAAGAGGAGCCTTGACTTTCAAAGAGTCATAGGACCCTTCATAAGCTATTCTAAGCCTTCCACATCCAGGGAAAGCATTTGTTACAGAGGAACAAGGTAACAAAAGAGCTCAAGGAAAAGAGGCCTTGAGGAAGTAAAACTCTACATTAAAGATGAGGCTGTCCTCAACACAGCCAAAAATGATTTTTTAAGACATCGTATTAGATTATGTCACTCTTCCATTCTAATCTCTCTAACAGCTCGTCTTTCAACCACAGTGAGCCAAATTCTTTACATGGTCCCACAAGGTCTGACACCTGACAATCTTTCTGACTTTTTCTTCTTCTGCGATCCCTGTCTCTTACTGCACTCCAGACTAGCCTCCTTGCTATTCCTCTAATATACCAAGCACAATCTCACCTTGGAGTTTGTGCTGGCTGTTCCCTCATCAAGAATGTTGTTCCACCCACTTCCATTTGGTTAACTTCCTCCCTGCCTTCAGATCTTTGCTTAAATGTCACCTTTGACAAGTCCCACTTTTACCACCACATTTAAAGATGCAAACGTCTTTCATATTAACCCCATCCCATACTTCCAATTGCCCCATCCTGCTCTATTTTTTTTCATAGCATAATCACTTTCTATCTTCCAACTTATTTATTATGTTGATTATTATTTGTCTGTGTCCTTGCTACCAGGCCAGAGCTTTTTGTTTATATAAGCACTGACATATCATAAATATCTAGAACAATGCCTAGTACTCCATTGTTCTTAAAAGATAATTTTCAATAAATAAATGAGTGAATAAAGCTGCATGCTTATTTCATGCTTCAACTTTGAGTTAACTTAGAGTCTGGTTACCTTTAGGGAACCATGTAAATTAAGTATAAGAAAATCTAAAATAATTATAAGGCCTTAGAAAGGTTCTGCTGGGGTATTTGGAGTTATAATATCAAATAAATATTCAAACTGTTGTATGCTATCAGTGTCATTCTTAAGCTCTCATCTCTAAGATCTTATGTTGTAAAAAATAGCTTTTAATTTGATATCTAGGTTTTGGTTTCATCACCTGTAAGATGAGGAGATTGCACTAAACCATCATTTTGATTTCTTCTAAAGGTTTGGAATTTCACACTTAAGAATGTCAGGTATTTGTCCCAGTATTGTGGACTGAAATATTGCCAGTCATAGCCCCTCACAAAATATGTTGACTAGCCTTTTTTGATATAAAACTGCCTTTAATTCATATTCTCCTTTTCTGGATTCTTCTAGAAAACATAAAAATTCAAACATATGTTTATAAATACACAAAAGCAAGAAAAGAAAAATTGAGACATTTCTCTTAATCTGAAAAAACCTCTGAATTTTGGAAATTATTAAAAATGCTAACAGGACAAAACACATTCTTTTCTTAACACCATTTGAAAACAAGACTGTTTAGAAATATTTCATATGACAACATTTGCATGTAGTGATTTTGAAAGAGGAGGGATTCTCCTTTTTTTCCCTCTCCATCAACTTCTCTTCTGAAAAAAATTAGTACTTTCACTATTGCATAACCTGGTAGAGTTTATGAAAGTACAGCTTCCATCATTTTTTCCTGTTTTTTACTATTACTTTGAAGGTTTCTTCTATTTTCAGCTTTTGATGGCGTCACAGTTTCATAAAAACGTGAAGACATATTAAATTCCTAAGTTCAACAGCATTTAAATCCTTTCAGAATCATTGCAAATTCATTAAAACTAGAGAAAGCAAGTGACTAATCTGTAAATTCAGCATTGTTTGAATTTACAAAGATTATACTTTTAAATTTAATATATGAGAAAATATGATTTTATGAGCAAACCATACATAGATAATATGCCTTCAATTTTCCTAAACTATGAAGGTAAACATGTCAAAAAATGAGTTAAGTTTTACATATTTTAGTATTAATCTTCCTCTGTCTTTGCCACTCAAACTAGGAAAAATACTTTTATGCCTTCAAAATTCGATGAAATATTGCATCTTTAAATATGAACACTTCAGTGTTACTGCTTCATCAATGAACAATTAGATGTTTAATGTGTTACAATGATCTTCACATTAATTTGCCTGGAGTGAAAACAGGAGCTCCACACAGGATTGATCAAATGACTTTTAAGTTCCCCAATGCTAAATTGTTTCAGAATACAAATGGAAGTGCATTATAGCCACATGAGCACTCAATGAATTCCTAATGAGCAGATGCCATTAGAGTGATTGCAATATATAATGACATTACCTGCAGATGAAAGAAGCACCCAGCACTCTGCATTTGAAACCTGGCATTGCAATGACATTCTTTGCTGGATCAATTCAAGTCTCATTCAGACTGCAAATGAATGTGCTCTAGAAGAAGGTATTTTATAAATGGATTAAATGGATAGCTTTTTTTTTTTTCCAAAATTCTTAAATGTCCCTTACTTTCCCTCAGAAATCATCTTTTCTTTAACTGGGGAATGCCAGACTAAGATTTCCAAAAACCTGATAAATGTTTACATCAAATGAACCACCATGCCCCCTCTTCCTCCATAAAGCGCCTTGAATTTCTTCTTTCAGGGGCCACATTAGTACAAGGGTTATAATGGCGTAAAATAAGCCCTGAGAGAGAGAGAATTTCAAGGAAGTGTCCACATCAAAACAAAAACTGCTTCATTCACTGCATTTTTTCAAGAACAGGGATTTCTAGAGTAGAGACAATGTCAAATCTTCAGTCATTATTTATCAAAATTGGACACACATAATATTTACTAATGTTTATTGGGTTTTTTTTGTTTGTTTGTTTGTTTTTGAGACGGAGTCTCGCTGTCGCCCAGGCTGGAGTGCAATGGCGCGATCTCGGCTCACTGCAAGCTCCACCTCCCGGGTTCACGCCATTCTCCTGTCTCAGCCTCCCGAGTAGCTGGGACTACAGGCGCCCGCCACTATGCCCGGCTAAATTTTTTGTATTTTTAATAGAGGCGGGGTTTCACCGTGTTAGCCATGATGGTCTCGATCTCCTGACCTCGTGATCCGCCCGTTTAGGCCTCCCAAAGTGCTGGGATTACAGGCGTGAGCCACTGCGCCCGGCCGGTTTTCAATTTTTATAGCAGCTACAAAGTCCTTTTCTGCTGTGCAGTTGGGATCCCATTCACTCCTTCTATGGTGTACTGTGTTCACCCATAAAATCAAACAAATGGAAAAATGTCCTCCTTATGCTTCAAAAAATTATCTTTTTGGAGCCAGGACAAGTAGATTAGAACCCAGACATTATGTCCAGTGCATTTCATCTGAGATGGCGCAAGTGAAAAAGGGGAAAGGTGCCAAAGCTTCACAGTGCTTAGAAAAAAAAAGAGAGTTAATTACCAAAAGGCAGTGCAGTCAAAAACATGTGTGGAAGGCAAAACAGAGTGACTGCCTGTTAAAGTACAACGTAATTAGAAACAAAAGTGGTATGCATGGATATCTGTCAGAACTGGTTGGTTTATGCTGTAGTAACAAAAAACACCACCATAATATCAGAGATTTAGTGCAAAAAAACTGTTGTTTCTCAGTCACCCAAAGTCCTTCATACCCCCTGAAAATGTCTGTCCTGAAGGTATGGGCTCTGCTTCGATTAGCTGCATTGATTACATGGCACTATCCTTGTAATAGTGCTCCCGAGGTCACCACAGCAAAGGAGTGTGCTGGGCAGTCTCATGTGGATAGTAAGTACTTCCGCACCAAAGCATTGTTTGTCACTTCTACTCACATTTTGTTGGCTAAATTGAGTCACGGTATCACGTCAATCTTCAAGAAAGAGTGGAAATACAATCCCTTTCCCACCAATATCCCCCAACACTGTGTGCCTAAAAAGAGTAAAACCTGAAACACTGGAGAGCAACCCAAACATCTTCCACACCATGGAAAACCAAATGAATCAAAATTTCCTTCTAGATGTCAAGCTACATATTCCCCAACCTACACTGACTTTGTCCTAATCATTTCTTTACAAATAAACTTATGTGGAATTATGGAATATAAATTCTCATGGAAATATGGATGGAGCAGTTAAGTAAATTAATATTAGTGGAATTAATCATTACATAAAAGATGGTTAAGAGTATTTTATCCTTAATGTCAAAGCAGATAAAACAAATAAGAGATATTTATTTTGAACAAATTTTGATAGGTAAAATTATACTCGTTTATTAAAGTGAACTAAAGAATGACTACATTGATAATCAGACCACTGCAGCCACTGCCAACACCAGCACAGACCACTTGGAAGCCAATATATTATCTTGCCAGTGCCACAGCCATTGACCGCACCATGCCTGCTGCCCAGGGGCCCAAAAACCCGCCCACCCACCTGGCTCACTGCGGCCATTGCCAGCACATGAGCAAGCTGCCTGGAGACCTAAGAATTGGCCTCCCCAGACCTGCTAATACCAATGCCAGTATATGTCACTCTGGGGCCCAGTTCACCACTCAGTACAACTTCAGTCCACAACTGCCACATCCCCATCCCCAGAAAAACTTCAAAACAGCCTCCACTAAAAACTTCACTCTAAGCTACCGAGGAAGTCATGGACACTACCGAAGCTGTCTGTGGGTTAAAAAATTATACAAAGACTACACTACTGCATGCCCCCAGAATTAAGGCCAAAGTGCCCTATCCAAAACATCATAGATATATCTTAAGGAAAAAGTCCTCCCCTATGAAAGCAAATTCAAAAACCTGGAAAAATTGACTTTACAACAGATGTGCAGATATCAACTTAAGGACACACAAAAAAATTAATAAGCAAAGAAATATGACATTTCCAAAGGAACACAATAATTTTCCAGCAACAGATTCCAATTTTTAAAATTATGAAATCCTGAATGAAGAATTAAAAATAAGTATATTAAAGAAGTTCAATGACATACAAAACAATTTAGATAAACAATACAAAGAAATCAGAAAAAATAATTCAGGATACAATTGAGAAATTTACCAAAATAATAGATGCCATTAAAAAAAGAAATCTGAGAACTAATTAATTCACTAAATAAATGCAAAATATATTTGAAAGCTTCAGCAATAGACTGGATTACACAGAAGGAAGAATTTTAGAACTTGAAGACAAGTCTTTGGAAATAACCCAGACACAAATAAAGAAAAATGAATAAAAAGAATGAACAAAGTCTGCATGACATATGATACACAATAAAGTGATGAAATATTTGAATTATCAGTGTTCCAGGAGGCAAAGAAAAAATGAAAGAGATAGACACCTATTTAATTAAACAATATCTGAAAACTTTCCAAATCTAGCAAGAGATGTAGACATCCAGGTACAGGAAGCTCATAAATCTCCAAACAGATACAATTCAAAAATGTCTTCTCCATAGCACATTATAGTCAAATTGTTATAAGTCAAAGACAAAGAAAGAATTCTAAAAACAAGAAAAAAAGCATCTAGTCACATTTAAGGGAACTCCAATCAGACAAGCAGTATATTTTTCATCAGAAACCTTACAAGCCAGAGAAAATTGGATGATGTATTCTAAGTGCTAAAAGAAAAAACTGCCAGCAGCAATGTCCTTCATAAATGAAAGAGAAATAAAATATTTTCCAGACGAACAAAAGCTAAGGTAATTCACAACCACTAGATTGGCCCTATAAGAAATGCTGAAGGGAGTTCTACATGTGAAAGCAAAAGGACAATATCTACCATAATGAAAACACATGACTGTATAAAGCCCACTGGTAGAGCAAACATACAAATGAGGATGTGAAGGGACTTAAATGTTACCACTATAGAAAACCACTAAATGACAATGATAAACAATAACAGAGAACAAAAAGAACAAGGGATATACAAAACAACCAGGAATCAATAAATAAAATGACAGAAGTAAGCCCTTACATATAAATAATAATCTTGAATATAAATGGACTACTCTTTGCAGGTAAAAGATATGAACTTTCTGAATGTTATTTTATTTTATTTTATTTTATTTTATTTTATTTTATTTTATTTTATTTTTTGAGAGGGAGTCTCACTCCTTGCCCAGGCTGGAGTGCTGTGGCACGATCTTGGCTCACCACAACCTCCACCTCCTAGGTTAAAGCAATTCTCCTGCCTCAGCCTCCTGAGTAGCTAGGACTAAAGGCATGCACCACCATGTGCAGCTAATTTTTGTATTTTTTGTAGACACAGGGTTTCACCATGTTGGCCAGGCTGTTCTCAATCTCCTGATGTCATGATTCACCAACCTCAGCCTCCCAAAGTGCTGGGATTACGGGAGTGAGCCACTGCACCCAGACCTGAATGTATTTTTTAAATCCAACCCAACTATATGCTGCTTACAAGAAATTCATCTTACCTGTAAAGACACATGTAAACTGAAAGTAAAGGGATGAAAAAAAAAATTCCATGCAAATAGAAACTAAAAATGAGCAGGAGTAACTGTACTTATATCCAAAAACAACAGACTTTAAGTCAAAAACAGTACGATTAGACAAAGAAGGTCATAAGATAATAATATGGTGATCAATTCTGCAAAAGGATATAACAATTCTAAACATATATGCACCCAACACTGGAACACCCAGATATATAAAGCAAATATTTTAGATCTAAAGAGAGAGATAGAGTCCAACACAATAGTAATTGGGAACTTTAACATCCTACTCTCAGCATTAGACAGATCATCTAGACAGAAAATTAACAAAGAAACATTGGATTTAAACTGCACTTTAGACAAAATGGACCTAAAAGACATCTACAGAACATTTTATCCAACAGCTTCAAAATATATATTCTCCTCAGCACATGGAACATTCTCCAAGATAGACTATATGTTAGAACCCAAAACAAGTCTCAACAAATTTTTGAAAAATAAAAATTATACCAAGTATCTTCTCAGACTATAATGGAATAAAACTAAATATCAATAAAAAATAAACTTGGGAAAAATATGTAAATATAAGGAAATTAAACAACATGCTACTGAATGACATTGGGTCCAATTTCTAGGAACAAATGAAAATTGAAACACAACATACCAAAACTAATGGGATGCAAAATCAGTGCTAACATGGAAGTTTATAGCACTAAAATCTACATCAAAAAAGTAGAAATATTTTAAATAAGCAATCTAATGATCCACCTCAAGGAACTATAAACACAATAACAAACCAAACCCAAAATTAGTAAAAGGAAAGAAATGACATAGACTAGAGCAGAAATAAACAAAATAGAGACTAAAGAATACCACAAAGGGTCAACAAAACAAAAGGGAAAATAAACTAAATTAATAAACCACTAGCTAAACTAACTGTGAAAAAAGAGAGAAGACTCAAATAAATTAAATAACAAATGAAAAAGAAGACATTATAACTGACATCACAGAAATATAAGAGATTAGCAGAGACTACTATGAACAACTACACATTAACAAACTAGAAAACCCAGAGGAAATGAATAAATTCCTAGAAACACACAGCCTACCAAGGTTGAATCAGAAATAAATAGAAAACCTGAGCAGACCAATAATGAGTAAAGAGATTGAATCAGTAATAGTAAAAATAAAATCTCCCATCAAAGAAGTTCAGGATCAGATGTGTTTACTGCCAAATTCTGCCAAATTTAAACTTCCAAAGAAGAACTAACAGCAATTATCTTCACACTATTCCAATAAATGAAAAGGAATGAATTTTTCCTAAGTCATTCTACAAGGCCCTACTACCCTGATACCCAAACCAGATAAAGACACAACAACAACAAAAGAAAACTACAGGCCAATATTCATGATGAACATAGATGCAAAAATCCCCATCAAAATGTCAGCAAACTGAATGCAGCAGTACATCAAAAATATCATATGTTGTGATCAAGTGGTATTTATCCCATTGATACAAGGATGGTACAACATATGCAAATTAATAAATGTGATACATTGCACAACAGAATGAAGGGCAAAAACCATATGATTATCTCAACAGATGCAGAAAAAGTATTTCACAAAATTTAATATCCCTTCATGATAAACTCTCAACAAACTAGGCATAGAAGGAACATACCTCAATATAATAAAAGCCATATATCATAAGCCCACAGCTAACATCCACTGAATGGGGAAAAGCTGAAAGCCTTCCATCTAAGAACTGGAACAAGACAAAGATACTTTTATCACTCCTAATCCATATAGTGCTAGATGTCCTAGCCAGCCCAATTAGGCAAGAAGAAGAAATAAAAGCCTCCACATTGAAAAAGAGGAAATCAAACTGCCCCTTTTGGCAGACAACTTGATATTATATCTAGAAAAACCTGAAGATTCCACCAATTAAAAAACCCATCTTACATATGGCAAATATACTCAATGAAGTGGCAGGATACAATATCAACATCCAAAAATCAGTAGCATTTCTATAACCCAATAATGAACTAGCTGAGAAATAAATCAATAATGCAATACCGTTTACAATGGCTACCAAAAAAAATTACCTAGGAACAAATTTAGCCAAGGAGCTGAAAAACCTCTACAATATTGGTATAAAAACAAACACATAGACCAATGGAACAGAATGGAGAACCTAGAAACAAATCCAAATATTTATAGCCAGCTGATTTTCTACAAAGTTGCCAAAAACATACATTAAGGAAAAAAACACCCTCTTCAATAAGTGGTGCTGGGAAATTGGGTATCCACATACAGAAGAATGAAACTGGACCATATCTATAACCTTATATAAAAATCAACTCAATGCATTAAACACTTAAACCTAAGATGCAAAAGTGTAGAACTGCTACAAGAACGCATCAGGGAAATATTTCAGGACATTGGTCTAGGCAATGATTTTATAGTTAAGACCTCAAAAATATAGGAAACAAAAACAAAATTAGACAGATGGGATTACATTAAAAAGCTCCCGCGCTGCAAAGGAAACAATCAACAGAGTGAAGAGATAACTTGGTGAACAAAGAAAATATTTGCAAACTATCTGACGACGATAAATACAAGGAACTCAAACAACTCAACAGTTAAAAAAAACCCCACAAATAATCCCATTAAAAAGTGGGCAAAGGACATAAATACATATTTCTCAAAGAAAGACATACAATGGCCTATGAGTCTATGATAAAAAGGGTTGACATTGGTAATTACCAAGGAAATACCAATCAAAACCACAAAAATATCATCTCACTCCGCTTAAAATGGCTATTATTTTTTTAAGAAACAATGATGGTGAGAATACAGAGAAAAGAAAACTCTTAAATATTTTTGGTGGGAATGTAAATTAGTGCAGCCATCATAGAAAACAATACGGGGGTTCCTCAAAAAACTAAAAGTACAACTACCATGTGATGCAGCAATCACACTACTGGGTATTTATCCAAAGGAAAAGAAATCGATATATCAAAAACATACCTGCACCCTCATGTTTATTGCAGCACTATTCACAATGGCAAAGACACAAGATCAACCTAACAAACATTTATTAAAAACAAATGGATAAAGAAAATGTGGTATATGTACACAGTGGAATACTACTCATTAAAAAGAATGAAATTATGTCATTTGCAGCAACGTGGATGGAGCTAGAGGTCTTTATTTTAAGTGAAATAAACCACACACCAAAAGACAAATATCGCATATACTCATTCATAGTGGGAGCTTTCAAAGTTGATCTCATGAAGGTAGGAGAGTACAATGTAGATATCAGAGACCAAGAAGGGTGTGTGGGTTGGTTGGGGGTGGGAGCTGAAAGAGGCTGGTTAATGGGTACAAACATAGTTAGGCAGAACGAATAAATTCTATTGTTTAGTAGCAGAATAGAATGGCTATAGCTAAAAACAATGTATGTTATATTTCAAAATAGCTGGAAAGGAGGGCTTGAAATGTTTCTAATACATAGATATGATACATACTCCAGGTGATGGATACCCTAAATAAACTGACTTGATCATTACACATTCTATGCATGTAACAAAATATCACATGTACCCAGTAAATACATACAAATATTATGTATCAATTAAAAATGAAAGACTGCATTGAAAAGTGTGTGGAAATAAAAATTTTAAATAAGTATATGTTTCTATTTCTATATCCAAAGTTCTTATGATTTTTGCTAAAGTTCTTAACTCAATGTCAGACACTCATAAGAATGCCTGACAACAAGATCATTTGTAATAAAAATCTAAAGTATATAATTTCACCACTAGAGCTAGCTGGATGCACAAAAATTTTTTAAAGCATAATTAACAACAAAAACCCTTTCACATATTCTCTATATCATCCAATATACTACAATTTGTTGCTTGTATTATTCAGTGAGTAGTCTTAGGGGATATAAACATTATATCATCTCATAAGTAGGTTTAGCAGATGAAAGCATTAGTTGCTCAATATAGTGTGAAAACATAAGGTTAAATCAAAAACCAAAACATTTCACTGTGTAGTGTGACAAATATACCTATAAGAATTAGAAAAGTTTGAATTGTAGCTTCTGTTGCTTTCTAAGGCAACAATGTTAAAGAAATCTACAATTGCCATAAAAGTGGGCAGAGCAAGAACGAAAAACAAAAAGCTCGAATGGGACAAGAAGGTAATAATTTGTTTGAATTTATGATTGATAAAAATTAAAAAATAATTAGACAATAAAGAGAGAAAATGAGGAAATTTAAAACAGAAATACAAGCTATACCTACAAATTGATTATTTTAATATACTAGTTCTGTTTATCCAAGTGAGTGTTTATTCTCTTGCAGCTGTCACATTGAGGGCTAGTATATTCATACCAGAAGCCTCGATTTCTCAGAGCCCTTCTGGATTTCTTCTTTTGAAAAATGTCAAGTGCAGTGGAAGCAGAGATATTACTGGGCCTGAAAATCCCACATTTTCCTCAGTCCTGATTTCATCACATTAAGAAGGGCATTGCTAAGCTGGAGCTCATGGAGACCAGGTAGAATGGGAAAACAGAGGATTAAGAAATGTGCTCTTAAGAAGAATGGATAAAGATCCTGGGGATATTTACCCTAGAAAAGAAAAGCCATAGGAACGACATGATAGCTCCCTTGCAATATTTGAAGAGCTATATTCTACAAAGGGGATTTGATTTATCCTCTGTAGTTAAAAAACACAGACTGTTACAGGAATATTGATAAATATAAAAAATATTGGTAACAATTACAACTGACCAAAAAGGTATTATTTGGTAGTAAACTTCCCTTTATAGAACAAATTCCAAAAAAAAAAATCAGATACTTATCTTTTGGGAATGGTATGAAAGAACATTTATATTGAATAGGAAGTTAGATAAAAATAAACCCCAGTATTCTTTCCAATGTTCTGATTATTATAATCTATGCATTTAGGGCTTGGACACATTTCTTAGATATAAATTTGATTTTAGGGAAACAATCATTAACTGTCAAATCTGGTGATTTAAGTGGGCAACCAAACTAAGTTATGCCAAAATAAATATTTTATTGTTTATTGTATTTTTTGAATGAAGTGAGACCTTAAAAATAATAAATGAACTTTCACATTTGCTTTAAACTGACTCTGACTAGAAAGCCCAATGTAGTTTTCATGCAGGTTTTGTTGGTTTTCTAGATGTATTGTATTTCTAAAATGTACTTTTTTAACCATAGAGATATTATTCTGTTCTTAAACGTTTGAAAATTAATGTAAAGATGAAAAAACTTATAGTCCTGTCAGTATAGTAGCACCACTGTTATGTTGAGTGGTCATTTTTCCAATATTTTCCTTTTGTATGCAGTGCTTACATACAGTCTATTCTCATTATTCATGATAACTATTTTCTATAAAGTTACCACAAACACTGATTTAGCGAAAAATGAGCCACTGTTCCTAGGAGAAATGTAGTATTAGGCTCCTGTGAGCCTCTGTTCACATCTTCATCAATTAATCAATATATAACCTTGCTTTTTGTATTTTTCTATTCAAAAACGCTTTATTTTTATATATTGTTGATTGTTTCGTTAGCATTGAACTGACAGCCAACACCACTATAACTAACTCATGCCTGAACAAAGCTTATCTAACACATTTATTTTCTCCATAAGGCATATCACAGCCTTTTTGTGCTTAGGAACACAAGACAGCATGTTAGAGACACATCTGGAGACTATTTCAAATAGTAAAATCATCAACAAGAAGCTGAAAAAAAGTCATAAAATAGACAGCCAAAGCACACTCATTGATAGTATCGGAGCCAAAACCAAAATGCAGAGTACAACCTTGTTTAACTGCAGTCAGGAAATATGCACATCAGGTGACTGAAATGCTTGCTGCATTGCATATGGCTGCAAGTGACTGAAAAAGTGCCGTGGTATTAATTTGGGGGTGCACAAACAAATTTTAGCAAATGGGAGAATTTGCAAATATGGAATATGCAAATAATGAGGCTCAATTGTATTTTGTATCCTGTCTCTTACTACATAGCTTTCATAATAATGACTTTTAATGACTACCTTCTAGCCTATGAGTAGTTCCACCAAACTTTATTATCTCATTCTTAGATTGTTGCACCCTTAGCTCTCTTGAGTTAGGAGCCTGGAGTTGGAAGTGACAGACAACCCTTCATAAACAGATCAACAAAAAGAAAATCTCTTAATTTACAGAAACTGAAAAGCCCAGAAATACCTCCTGCTGTCTTCAAACATAGTGAACTTGAAAGTTCAAGCAATGCCACTGTAACTGTTTTCTATCACTTGTCTCTTCCCTCTCCTGTGTAGCTTCTGTCTTAGGCTTCTCATGGTAGATGATGGCAGCAGTTCCAGACCCTAGTCTCTCCACTTTACATAAAGCATGGAAGAGAGATGGCCCTTCCCAGAAATCCTACTAAAATTCTTATTGCATATTTTCGGCTATGATTAAGTCATATGCCCGCTTCTGAGGCAATCACTGTGGGAATTAGGTGTTCTGATCACCTAAGCGTGGGTCATGTGCAGTATCTCTAGAGTTATGGAAGGTGTGGTCCCCAGGCCACATAAATTCAGAAGGGGAAGGTAAGCAGATGGTGAATGGGTGCTGGGAAGCAAAGCAGGAGAGATCCACGAAAAGAGGATTATTTTTCACTTTTTTTTTTTTTTTTTTTTTTTTTTGAGACGGAGTCTCGCTCTGTCGCCCAGACTGGAGTGCAGCGGGTGCGAACTCAGCTCACTGCAAGCTCCGCCTCCCGGGTTCACGCCATTCTCCCGCCTCTGCCTCCCCAGTAGCTGGGACTACAGGCGCCGGCCACCACGCCCGGCTAATTTTGGTTTCGTAGAGATGGGGTTTCACCGTGTTAGCCAGGATGGCCTCGATCTCCTGACCTCGTGATCCGCCCACCTCGGCCTTCCAAAGTGCTGGGATTACAGGAGTGAGCTACCGCACCCGGCCTTTTTTCACTCTTAAAAGTAACACTACTGGCAGGTCGCAGTGGCTCACATCTGTAATCCCAGCACTTTGGAAGGCCGAGGTGGGCAGATCACCTGAGGTCAGGAGTTCGAGACCAGCCTGGTCAACATGGTGAAAGCCTGTCTCTATTTAAAACACAAAAAATTAGCCGGGCGTGGTGGTGGGCACCTGTAATCCCAGCTACTCGAGCGGCTGAGGCAGGAGAATTGCTTGAAGCCAGGAGGTGGAGGCTGCCCTGAGCCCAGATCATGCCACTGCACTCCAGCCTGGGAAGCAGAGTGAAACTCTGTCTCAAAAGAAAAAAAAAAAGTAACACTACTATGTTCATCTTTCTGCAAATAACCCCAAACATAATTTTAGTAATAAAATCCCAATTTCAAATACTATTATAAAATATTGAGACTGGGAGAGCCCAAGGGCTTCCTCTAATCCATCTACCAATCCAGTGAGGAATTCCCCTACACAATTTTCCTAGCTAAGAGTTTCCAGATTTGTTTGGAAATCTTCAAAGACTGTAAAATCCACCTTCTGACTGTAGTTCACCCTGGTGCAACAAGACAATCCTTTGCATAAATTCTGTTGCCATTGTGTCCTCAAGGCTTCTTTTCTTCAGGACAAATGTGCAAGTTTTCAATCTTTCCGCAAATGCTATTTCAGGCTCCCTACCATCCTTGGAATAGTTTTTATTTAACTCATATTCCTTTTAAAAGGTGAGGCCCCAGATATTTTGGTAATTAAAGTGGACCCTCAAGCTGGTAAGAACATTTCATGTACACGCTCTCCAACAAAGAACTGAGTGCAGCTATTTCAGTTTCCCAACTGGATCCTGGATTCCTATTTAGTGGGCTCAGTTTCCTGCTAGAATGCTCTCACCATCATCTCCACCTGAATAAACCCTACCCATCCTTCAAGACCTGTCTCATTCGTCTCTCTCCTCCAGCAAGTCTTTTCTAGTTAAATCGAACTGGGTCTCTCTCACCTTTTAAAGGCCTATCTGGTTTGTTGTTAATGCTGTTGTTTATTGTTTGTGTGCTTGTTTTGTCCCTCTCTTGTGGAATATACCATATATTATTGTCTTCAGCAATCTTATCTCTTATACCAGACTGTAAGATTCTCTTCTGAGGATGCTTGTATTTTATTTTTCCTACCCGTGCCTAAAACTGCTGGGTGTTTAATGGGTATCATCTTCTAAAAGGAACTATGAGCATAGCCTAAGGCTGTGCTAATAGACATTCAGTAATGTAGGAGTTGATTAGTTCTACCATAACTCTGCCTTACCTTATTATTAACACTGTCTTTCTCCAAGCAGTGGACTGAGCCCTTCCTTCAGAAGAGAATCCCATTTTATTGATCCCATTTTATTAGATTTCATAATTTTGCAAATTCTAGCTGCAGTTTTCCTGATAAATTTACAAGTTCCTGTTTGTAAAATGCAAGATTCATGAAAAAAGATATTGGGTAGATTTTATTCACCACTTCATCTACCATACTTAGAACAATGCCTGATACACAGTAAATTTGCAAAAAAAATTGTTGAATTAATTGTATTTATAATTGGAACTTATAAACCTACTCTTTTATATTTATACTTGATCATGTGCTCTCCCTTAAATGTTTTATGCACCTTATGTATCAAACTCTAGATGCAAACACTTTTTTTTAGAGACTTACATAGAATAATAATGTACTTATAATAAAATGTGCTATACTATTCAAATATAGAAATAATGGTAATTAATTGCTAATGTCTTCATTTGCAAGAAACTAGATTATTTTAAAAAAGGACACCTTTGCATATATAATATATAACTTTGTAAAAGTTTCAGGCATTTAAGTTTTGATATTTTCTTCCTTCTTTCTCTACCTATTTATATAAACTTTTAAGGTGCATAATGAGAAAAGATGAAGTAGGTGTTTCATCTGTAACATTTAGTACCACACAAATGTGAGTGCTCCACTCACTTTGTAGATGAGTTACTGCATATTCAAAGACATATTGTAACTTGCTCAAGGTCACACAGCTAGGGTGTGACAGAATCAAATATTTAAGCCTGAACCAAGATCTCTCTGACTACAAAACGTAGGCCATGTCCCCTCTGACACACACCTCTTAATGTTGCCAGGACTTCAGCCTTTTTATGGGGACTTTATACAAGTTAAGACATTAATGGACATGGTTTAAGGCTGCTTTATCTCTTCTTACTATATATTTTTGAGGTTGAGTAAATATGCATAGACTAAAATGTAGACGTCTTATCAAAGTCCAAATAATATTATCAGAAAATTACTGACATTTTTTAAAAAGTTACATAAAACATAAAAGTTCTGATTAGTCTATTGTTTAGAATTCATTGTCAAAAGGCAAAATTACATTTTAAAAGCTCTGCTTCACAGGCAAGATTATACAAAAATTTTTGAATCCCACATTTTTAGCAGTTTTAAAAGAATACTGGAAAACAGATTAGTTGGCTCGTTGGTAAATTTCAGAAAGCTCTCTCAATTCCATCTATATAAACATCTGAATAGTTTAAAACAAATGGATCCCAAAGGAAGATTCAAATCAAACCTCACTAAACTTGTCATCTGTTTTTTGTACATCTTTTGTCACAACACAGCACACAATTTCTTTTCCATGGGCAACATATGGATGCTCATTTTCTTCCACTTCCTTCCACATTTAACCACTATGATAACAGTCATTAGAGGCTCATTATGGTACTCCACGCTTCGCAGTCCCACAGTTCAGGAGGCTACATACACAACCCTGTAATTTACCTAAGCTCTCAGTTCTGGTCAAGAGAGATACAGCAAAATGAGATTTAAGAATGTTTATTAAGGTGGACAGTTTAGGCTCTGACACCAGAGTGTATCATTAATTGAATGGTTAGCATTACCTTCACTGACATAACATTCAGCATTGAAAAAAATGGTTCTATTACTAGCTTGGTTGGTGCATCTCAACTTACTGAGATATATACATGAAAGTAGTGTAATGTGCCAGGAGTCCACCAACTCAGCTCTGCAGCAACATACCCTCAGTGGGCTAGTTTATGGGCATCTCAGTGTGCTTCCATAATTTTTCAGTGATTTTAAATAATTACGACAATTTCATTTTAGTAAAAAGAGGTCATTTTCTCCATTTCAGAACTTCAATCCATCTTATGGACCCTGCTTCCCTGGCTGCTGGAGGTCCTTTATGAGACTTGGTTGCAATTTCTAAGCCCTATAGCTCTTTGTCTCATGTTAGTGTAGGCCGCTTGCAGTCTTATGTATCCTCTGTGGCCTCCCAACTCAGGCCCTTCACGCTCAAGCAGGCTCTATGCTTTCTTCCCCTTGAAAAAGAAAACTAAGGAAGGCACCCTTCTCCCTCTGTCAGCCTAACTGTGCTACCCTATGCTCTCTCCCCAGTACTTTTTGTTGGGATTCACTCAGGATGGTGGCAGAAATATTAAAGGGAAATATTAGGAAAAGTTATAGGGAATGGTCACAAACCTTTTTGGAAGGCCGAAAGGTTCCATAGCTTGTAATAATTGAACAGGCTGAAGGCAGCTGGTTCTTACCTTAGAGCATTAGGTCGTAGGGTAAATACTAGGGACAATAGAGGCTTCCCAGTTAAGTCTGTTTACCCTACCTCCATTAACTAACCTTTAAGCCAGATGGCCCTCTCACGGGGGTTGACCAGGGATATTGCCCCTTAAACCATTATTTACTTTAAACTGTGGTACCTGAGCTCTAATCATTCATAGAACTATTCTCTTAACCATGTTAATTATCCACAAGTGTGTTAACTCAGAACTTCTGTTGTTAATTGTATACTAAATAAATGCCTGGAGTGCAAACTACTCAGGGCTGGTCGGCAGTCAGTAGTAACAAACCTCTCTTGGTGGGCAGGCAGTCGGACGCTCAGCAGGACTGGCAAAACAGAATATCTGTGTGTCAGTGTACGTTTTATTCATCTGTCGTTTGGGTCAGGGTCTGCGGGGCAGATCCCCGCAGCTAATGCCCTCTTGTGAGCAGCAATACCTCACTTTTTATCAGCCTCTGGCTGCAGAAGAGCAGGACCACAATCCTGGAGGCTCAGCAAACATCCCATCAATGGTGGAAAATGTTTCCTCTTCGTCCCACATGGAGTTTACAGATGATGGGTTTCCAACTTCCAGAAGAGGAACCAGCTGAAGAGAACATCCCACTCCCCGCTCCCCACCACAAAAAAAAGGTATCCTCCTCCTCACCCCCTGCATTGGTTTTCTATTGCTGCTCTGACAAAATTAATACAAACTTAGAGCCTTAAAGCAACACGAATGTGTTATAGTTCTGGAGGTGAAAAGACTGAAACGGGTCTCATGGGGCTGAAACGAAGGTGTCAGCAGAGCCATGTTCCTTCTGAAGACTCTAGGGGGGAATCGGATTCTTGATGTTTCCAGTTTCTAAAGGCTGTCTGTATTCCTGGCTGATGGCCCTGCATCAGTCAGACCTAGGCTTCCGTTGCCACATCTCTGATGATCTCTTCTGCCTCTCTGATATAAAGACCTTTGTGATTATATTAGGCCTACCCAGATAATCCAGGATAATCCCCCTCTCAAGATTCTTGACTTAACATCTGCAATGTCACTTTTGCCATGCAAGGCAATATATTCACAAGTTCTGGGAATTAGTACATGGACATGTTGGGCAGGGGGTCGTAATTCTGCTTCACACTCCTGTGCTCCCCCTTGTATCAAAGGCCATCCGACCAATTTGGACTCTAGTCCAGAACCTCAGGCAACTAGAGTTCTTATACCAATAATCAGACCTCTCCAACTCAGCCTTGGAGACTTGCCTAGGTCACTGTGGCATCCTGCTCCAGGGTGACCCCCAGTGATCCTTACCCCTGCATGCCTTTGTGTGTATCCCTGCCTTTCTGTGTGGGTTTTCCTTCATTGAATCAGAGTATCTGTGTAACTAGTAGGATACAAGAATTGCCACTGCTCTCTTGGTCTTATGCTAGCTCTAGGGGAAACCCAGAGGACACTTGAGGAGCCCTGTGGGAGGCCCACATGGAAGGGAACTGAGGCCTCCTACCAACAGTCAGCACCATTTTGCCAGCCATATAAATGAGACACCTTTGATGTAGATCCTGCAGCCCCAGTCAAGACTTCAGATGCTGCAGCCCCAACTGAAATCTCAAAATCATGAGAAATACTGATCTAGAAACTACCCAGGTGAGCCACTCCAGGATTCTTGACCCACAAACACTGAGATGAATATTTATAGTTTTAAGCCACTAGGTTTTGGATTATTTGTTATGCAGCAATAGATAACATGGTCATTCTCTCCACTGTAATCTCAGATCATCAGAGTCAACTCCTCAGCTCAGGAGAAAAGCCCAACCAGTACTGAACTTTGTTCTATTACAGGTGATAATGCCATAGCATTTTTATTATGTCAAAATGCTTTCCTTCTGTTTGCTCTGCCACCTCCATCATAATTACGGAATTAAAAAGAACCAATCAGATGCATGTATTTTGCTCACTCTTTTTTATACTTCAGCAGTAAACAACTGGCCTTTGGAGACAGTGAACTTGACCCTTTGCCAGTGCATAATGGCAACTACAGTATATATGATTTTGGAGGCCTGGAGATTTGCTTGCTGGAGGTACACAGGTCTCCACAGTCTGCATGACCAAGTGGTCACAACTCTCTACCATATTCATACTCTTAAGTGGAGCCTCCCAAAAACAGGTACCTTGCAAAATGAAGAAGATGGGGTGGAGGGACACAGTGCTACAGCACTTCCCTTTATCTTTGCCAGGCCTTAATATTTGTTGTTTCCAATACAGAAGGTTAGCTAAGAAGGTCAGTTAAACCACTGATTTGTGATTTCTTAAAGTAAGGTATGAGGCGCTCTTGGTATATGATACAGCGTTCTTTGTTGTATGAGGCTGTTCTCTTTACTGTGGGATGATAAGCATCCCCGACCCTACATAGTACACATCAGGCTCCTGCACACACACACACACACACACACACACACACACACACATATCCAAACATCCTTTTAGAAGAGTGACGTTGCCCACACTTGAGAACTATTGATAAAATGTGGACTATAGTTCTTGTTACCCAAGATTGCTAGGCTGCAAGGTACATTCATTTATTTAAAAAATATTTATTATTTGCCAGGCACCGTTCTAGGCAGACACTAGGGATCATTTGATAAGCAAAACAAATAGATCACTTTCATTGAGCTTATATTGAAAAGATGAAGAGAGACAATAAATAAAAATAATCAAGATTGAGAATTGATATAAATGCTTTGAAGGAGGAGAATATATGTTACTATTGGCTAGAATCATAGGTAGATTTGAACTAATTTGGATGATTAAAAAAAACTTACCTGAAGAAGACAGAGCTAAATAAGGAGGAAAGGAAAGAGAATCCTGAGAAGAGGAAACAGCCTGGGCAACAGCCCCAATGTGTGAGGGACTGTGGCCTAGATAAGAGGCAAACAAAACACAGCTGCTGTGACTGAAGGGGGAAAAACAAGGGAGAGAAGAATGTAAGATGAGAATGGAGAAGTATGTAGGGCTTGACAATAGCATGGATTTGCGGTTATGTCCTAAAAGCAAAAAAATGCATGTAAAGCTAGGAGAATGTGGGGTGTCATTAGAAAAGAAGGAAAGAGAATGTTTTTATGTGGAAAAGAGTTAACTGCATCACTGCTGCTAAGGAGTCAAGTCAGATGATGCACTGGCCAAAGTGACTCACCTCTAAAAAGAATACAAAGGGAGTGACACTGTATGACTTCCAGCAGCAGATTATAAAGGAAGGTCCCAAGAGAAAAGCTGTGCAAGAAATCATTCTGTAAGGAAGCCAAGGAACTGCCTAGGAAGCCCACAGGTAGCTGTTCTAGCAACCGATCCAACTGAGGTCTCAGCCCACAGCCAACACCAACCTCCAGAGGCAGGAAGGAATGGGTCTTTGGGTGATTCTAGCCCTCAGCCTTGGAGCTTCTGCAGCAGCAGCTAAGTGGAGAAGAGAAAAACTTTATCTATAAATCTTTTTTCAAACTACAGATATATGAAGAAAATAAATGTTGACATTGTTTTAAGCCACTGAAGTTATGGGCAGTTTATGCAGCAGTAGATAACTAGAACACATATATTCCATATGGCATAGCCACATGGAAGGAGTCATCTGACCAACATCAGACTGTACATTTGAGACAGGAAATTTTATTGTCTTATGCCACTGATGTTTAGACTTCTGTATGTTGTGGAAGTTTGCATTAACTACCTTGACTGGTACAGACGGAAACTGGAAAACAGCAACAGGGCTTAGCAACATAGTCACTGGTGAGCTTAGGGAGAGTTATTTCAGTGGAGAGATGAATTAGGAAGCCAGAGGATGAGGAAATTAAGACAGGATTCTGGACAACTATTTCTGGTAATTTGGTTGTGGAGAGTAGAAGGGAAATAGAGTGGAATTGGGTGGGGATCAAGAATCTAGTGAAGCTTTCAGGGTTTTCTTGTATATCTAAACAGGAAAGAATTGGTCTGGTTAAAGCCAATGGGAAGAGCCTGCTGAGAGAGAGGGGTTGAAAGGAAAAGAGAGTAATGGGATTCCTGTAAGGCTTGAAGGGATGGGGAGCAGGAATTAATCTTACATAGATGACACAAATTTTCATTTCTATTGAAGAAAGAGGAACAGACAGGTACATATATGGGTAGGTTCATATGTTTCGTGTTAAAATATGAGACTTATTTTTCTCTATAAAATAAGAGCAAGTTTATCTGTTGCGAGTGAGATGGAGAAAAGTGTACAAATTTTAAGGACTGAAGACAAGGAAGGGGAGAAACACAGTTTCCTGCACCTACAATTATGACAATTTTTCTCCCTGGCACAATTCTAAAACCAGGGCATCTGAGTTCACCTGAATGAACTCTGAATTGTTCACTTTTCCCAATAGGAGAAAACTTTCTCCTTCATTCACACCTCTATCCCAGCCTCAAATTATCTAAATCTCCCATGTCAAAATCCTTCACAGGCTACAAACCACTTCCCCTCCCACAAACGTCAGTGTGCACACCCTTTAAATCCAGGACAGGCAGCCTTCACAGACCTTCAGCCGACAATGTTTGCCTGAAGTTTCTGACAACAAGGAAACACTTCTATATGATTTTTGTACATATCTATCTCTTTGTTAGAGTATAAAATTCTTTTTTTAACTTTTATTTTAGATTCAGAGGGTACATACGCAGGTTTGTTACCTGAGTAGACTTCCTGATGCTGAGGTTTGGAGTACAACTGATGCCGTCACTCAGGTACAGAGCAAAACAGGTATCACCCCTTTTTCATTTTGTGTCTTCCATGATTCCCAGTATTTAGTAGGCTCACAATTGCCTACTTGAAAATGTTCATTAGCTGCCTTTAAGCTATTAGATACTCAAAATACTAAAAATCCATTCTTTCAGTATTTCATTGAAATGTTACAACTATGTTTTATTCCCATCAATAGTCCCAAAGAGGCAGAAGAGGCATCAATAACAGATTGGCTACAAAAGCCATTCATGTTCTATTCATGAAAAGAGAGGCAATTTCTTTTCTGGTTGTGTAGTCAAAGCCAGTCCAGCTGAATAGTAAAGCAGATGAAAACAGGGACTCTGAAAACAAGGAGCTCTGGGTTGGAATCTCAGATACAAAATTACTATCTGTGTGTTTCTTCAAATATCTTATCCTCTGTTTTCTAATCTGTAAAATAGAGAAAACACTATATACATTTCAGGGTTACTGTGGGATATGGAAAAAAATGCATATGGTATCCAACAGCTAGTAGGGACTTATAAATCATAGCTATTAGTACTCATTCAACAAGCATCTAAATGAGAATCAATAGGACTCAAGTCAATGTGCAATCCAGTATTAAGGAAAAGATTCTCATCTGGGTATTTAATTATATTTGCCCCAAGGGCATAATAATTATGTAAAAACTTAGAAGTTAAAGAGAAATTATTTCTTTAAAACTTAAATGTATTTTGTAAACACCATATAAATAATGAAAAAACTGTGGGAAGAATTGCTAGTTCTGCCATTTGTGTTTGTATTCTCATGGTGATAAACCACACACTTGCTCTCTTTTGCACTGTAGATGTTTGTTTGATTCAAATTTATATTAGAGTTCTTGTTGAAGAAGCACTGCCCTAAGGCTTCTAGGAAAAAAATTGCTCAGGACCACAGCTCTGCAAGTTTTAAGACAGCCTCTGAGATAACCCTGGGCTATGTTATTCATTAAATTCACTCTGATCTTGATAGCCAGTGACTTGTGCAGGTTGGTAATCACCATGAAGATTGATGTCTTGGGGCACAGTGTTGCTAAATGCATTCATATTTTAAAAGTAGACAAAATGAAGTATGTACATTTATTACCAACTCTCAGTTAACTGAAGTAATTTGGGGTACAGAAAAACAGTCTATCCCAATTCTAACCCTACCCACTTGTGCTAATAAACTGAGCATCCTTAGGACTTGGTTTTTTAAAAACTAGACTCCTTTTTAGCTAGAAACAGTGATCATGTCAGTAGCAGCAAGCATCACTAGCTCCCAGATTGTGGTTTCAAAATATTCCTTCTCACTAGAAGGTTTCTTGGAGAACTGGGTATTCTAGGTCCAAGGCAGGAAATATATTAGAAAAGCCTGGAACGTCTTATGATTCCACATAGCAAGGAAGCTATCAAAGAAAATTAGGGTTGTATCCAAAGGATTCAGGAGCCAAATTAAAGAAGTCTGCACTGACCAAAGATGGGACTACTTGAATTTCAAAAAGAATAAGAAATGCAATGAATTTAAACCTATAACATGTTTAAATCCAAAAGTTCACAGTGGTGTTTTTAAAAAGAAGTAAACTAACTGATTAAAGGATAACAGGGAATTAACTACTGATTTTGAAAATTAGAAAATAATCAGCTTAAGGAGATTTTGGGCTGAGACAATGGGGTTTTCTAGATATACAATCATGTCATCTGCAAACAGGGACAATTTGACTTCCTCTTTTCCTAATTGAATACCCTTTATTTCCTTCTCCTGCCTAATTGCCCTGGCCAGAATTTCCAACACTATGTTGAATAGGAGTGGTGAGAGAGGGCATCCCTGTCTTGTGCCAGTTTTCAAAGGGAATGCTTCCAGTTTTTGCCCATTCAGTATGATATTGGCTGTGGGTTTGTCATAGATAGCTCTTGTTCTTTTGAGATACATCCCATCAATACCTAATTTATTGAGAGTTTTTAGCATGAAGGGTTGTGGAATTTTGTCAAAGGCCTTTTCTGCATCTATTCAGATAATCATGTGGTTTTTGTCTTTGGTTCTGTTTATATGCTGGATTACATTTATTTATTTGCATATATTGAACCAGCCTTGCATCCCAGGGATGAAGCCCACTTGATCATGGTGGATAAGCTTTTTGATGTGCTGCTGGATTCGGTTTGCCAGTATTTTGTTGAGGATTTTTGCATCAATGTTCATCAAGGATATTGGTCTAAAATTCTCTTTTTTGTTGTGTCTCTGCCCAGCTTTGGTATGAGGATTATGCTGGCCTCATAAAATGAGTTAGGGAGGATTCCCTCTTTTTCTATTGATTGGAATAGTTTCAGAAGGAATGGTACCAGTTCCTCCTTGTACCTCTGGTAGAATTCGGCTGTGAATCCATCTGGTCCTGAACTCTTTTTGGTTGGTAAGCTATTGATTATTGCCACAATTTCAGATCCTGTTATTGGTCTATTCAGAGATTCAACTTCTTCCTGGTTTAGTCTTAGGAGGGTATATGTGTCGAGGAATTTATCCATTTCTTCTAGATTTTCTAGTTTATTTGCGTAGAGGTGTTTGTAGTATTCTCTGATAGTAGTTTGTATTTCTGTGGGATCGGTGGTGACATCCCCTTTATCATTTTTTTTTGCGTCTATTTGATTCTTCTCTCTTTTCTTCTTAGTCTTGCTAGCAGTCTATCAATTTTGTTGATCCTTTCAAAAAACCAGCTCCTGGATTCATTAATTTTTTGAAGGGTTTTTTGTGTCTCTATTTCCTTCAGTTCTGCTCTGATTTTAGTTATTTCTTGCCTTCTGCTAGCTTTTGAATGTTTTTGCTCTTGCTTTTCTAGTTCTTTTAATTGTGATGTTAGGTTGTCAATTTTGGATCTTTCCTGCTTTCGCTTGTGGGCATTTAGTGCAAAGTCTCAGGATACAAAATCAATGTACAAAAATCACAAGGCATTCTTATACACCAATAACAGACAAACAGAGAGCCAAATCATGAGTGAACTCCCATTCACAATTGCTTCAAAGAGAATAAAATACCTAGGAATCCAACTTACAAGGGACGTGAAGGACCTCTTCAAGGAGAACTTCAAACCACTGCTCAATGAAATAAAAGAGGATACAAAGAAATGGAAGAACATTCCATGCCCATGGGTAGGAAGAATCAATATTGTGAAAATGGCCATACTACCCAAGGTAATTTATAGATTCAATGCCATCCCCATGAAGCTACCAATGACTTTCTTCACAGAATTGGAAAAAACTACTTTAAAGTTCATATAGAACCAAAAAAGAGCCTGCATCACCAAGTCAATCCTAAGCCAAAGGAATAAAGCTGGAGGCATCACGCTACCTGACTTCAAACTATACTACAAGGCTACAGTAACCAAAACAGCATGGTACTCGTACCAAAACAGCATGGTACTGGTACCAAAACAGAGATATAGATCAATGGAACAGAACAGAACCCTCAGAAATAACACCACATATCTACAACTATCTGATCTTTGACAAACCTGAGAAAAACAAGCAATGGGGAAAGGATTCCCTATTTAATAAATGGTGCTGGGAAAACTGGCTAGCCATATGTAGAAAGCTGAAACTGGATCCCTTCCTTACACCTTATACAAAAATTAATTCAAGATGGATTAAAGACTTAAACATTAAACCTAAAACCATAAAAACCCTAGAAGAAAACCCAGGCATTACCATTCAGGACATAGGCATGGGCAAGGACTTCATGTCTAAAACACCAAAAGCAATGGCAACAAAAGCCAAAATTGACAAATGGGATCTAATTAAACTAAAGAGCTTCTGCACAGCAAAAGAAACTACCATCAGAGTGAACAGGCAACCTACAAAATGGGAGAAAATTTTCGCAACCTACTCATCTGACAAAGGGCTAATATCCAGAATCTACAATGAACTCAAACAAATTTACAAGAAAAAAACAAACAACCCCATCAAAAAGTGGGCGAAGGACATGAACAGACACTTCTCAAAAGCAGACATTTATGCAGCCAAAAAACACATGAAAAAATGCTCACCATCACTGGCCATCAGAGAAATGCAAATCAAAACCACAGTGAGATACCATCTCACACCAGTTAGAATGATGATCATTAAAAAGTCAGGAAACAACAGGTGCTTGAGAGGATGTGGAGAAATAGGAACACTTTTACGCTGTTGGTAGGATGATAAACTAGTCCAACCATTGTGGAAGTCAGTGTGGCGATTCCTCAGGGACTAGAACTAGAAATACAATTTGACCCAGCCATCCCATTACTGGGTATATACCCAAAGGACTATAAATCATGCTGCTATAAAGACACATGCACACGTATGTTTATTGCAGCACTATTCACAATAGCAAAGACTTGGAACCAACCCAAATGTCCAACAATGATAGACTGGATTAAGAAAACGTGGCACATATACACCATGGAATACTATGCGGCCATAAGAAATGATGAGTTCATGTCCTTTGTAGGGACATGGATAAAATTGGAAATCATCATTCTCAGTAAACTATCACAAGTACAAAAAAACCAAACACTGCGTGTTCTCACTCATAGGTGGGAACTGAGCAATGAGAGCACATGGACGCAGGAAGGGGAACATCACACTCTGGGGACTGTTGTGGGGTGGGGGGAGGGGGGAGGGATAGCATTAGGAGATATACCTAATGCTAAATGACGAGTTAATGGGTGCAGCACACCTGCATGGCACATGTATACATATGTAACTAACCTGCACATTGTGCACATGTACCCTAAAACTTAAAGTATAATAATAATAAAATTAAAAAAAGAAAAAAAAAGAAAATTAGAAAATAATAGGAAAGAATCAAGAATTTATCATATATTTCTTGTATGAACTTTAACATTAGATAGCCTATACTAGAAGGCAGAAGTATCACTTTATGAAACTATTTCAGTAAATTTAAAAAAGAATTGCAACTTCCAATGAATTAATAGACCTAGGCCATGTGTATGGCTGCTAACATCACCGAAAGAGAAACAACTGGATCTTATGTGTTTCCTGCTGAGAGAACATAAAATCACCCACAGTTTTGCAACAGGTATTAAATATTAGTCTGATCAAGACTTTGGATCCAGCTACCAATTTCAGGATGTATCAAGGACATAGGAAAACAATGAGTATGAAATGTAAGTATAAGATCAGAAAAATTTAGACTCTGTGAAACTCTACATGTCACATTGTATGAGTTCTTCATAGATAAGGGATCAGCAAATAAAATTAATGGTGAGGGGTCCTAGAGACTAAAAGACAATTAAAAGACATATCAAAGTTTTTTTAAAAAGGGTCAAGCTAAAATATATTATGGAGGCATGCATATTGAGATAATAAAATTAATCTTAAAAACACTAGTATTAGCCGGGCGCGGTGGCGGGCGCCTGTAGTCCCAGCTACTCAGGAGGCTGAGGCAGGAGAACGGCCTGAACCTGGGAGGTGGATTTTGCAGTGAGCCGAGATCGCGCCACTGCACTCCAGCCTAGGCGATAGAGCAAGACTCCGTCTCAAAAAAAGAAAAAAAAACACTAGTGATTGCTCTAAAAGTCATGACAATGGTTATTTGGAAGGATGGGAGCAAGTTGCAATTAGAATGTGATACATAGGGGAGGACCTCTGGGGTGCTAGGAAAATGCTGCTTTTTGACGTGGTCGTTTGGTTGATAATAATCCACTATTCTGTATATTTTACCTGTGTGGTATTCTCAATGTTATTTTAGATTTTTTATCTTTTTTCCATACATATTCTGCTTATGTGTCAATATATGTTTTATTTTAAAATAATGAAGTTGGGTTTTTTTCTTTTCAAAGAGAGAAAAAAATAACAGATATAAGTGATAAAGAAGGAGATAGTCTCTAACCCTGGGTCCTTGAGTTAGATACTCTCAAGAAATACACATTCTCTCTCAGGACTTTGCAGACTACATGCTATGTATTCAAATAAGAGACTGAGACTCAAACTTATCCCTCAGCTGAAGATAAACTTCTTGGACTGTCAAGCTACAGTATAAGAAACTCTGTAAGAATGGATTGGTGGCCAAATACATTCATTCTGAAAGATGAACACCTTTTATTTGCTTGTTTATTCATTCATTCACCCATTTTAGACATTGTTAGAATTCCCTGTGTGTTCTATGCACTAGAGATGTAAAGATTAAAACTCAACAATTTAAACAGACAGACAACAAAATCATGAGTTACACCACCATAATTAATGCACGCACACACACACACACGAGTCTAAGGAAACACAGAAAAGTTGTAATTTATTCAAATAAGGAAACAGGTCATGGAAGACATCTTAGAGAAAGTGATGCTTGAGTTTCACTTTTAAAACTGAGCACAAGGTAGTCCAGTGGCTGAGGAGGGAAAGAAATTCCAGACAGAGGAAACCTCTGGAGCAAACTCAAAAATATGTGAGAAATCATAGCGTAGTTGAGGAACTGTACCTAGTTCAATTTACCTGAAGGCCATTTGAAGATAGGGTGGTGGGAAAACTGAGGGAGTAGAAAAACTTAAGGGTGAATAAGGTTTTATAGATAGAAAAAAAAGCAATATGATGAAATGTCCAGTAGGTAGCAGGAGCTATTTGTTGGATGTATGCAGGATGGCTGGAAGAAAGAATGGATTATGAACGGGTAGATGAGAAGGCCTTGCTAGGAAGTTCGAATGTCATCCTGACAGTTTTCTACAGCTATAAAAAGATTTTAAGCAGAGGGATATGAGCAGATTTGCATTTTAAGAAATACCTCTTTGGCAGATGTGTGGAATGCAGAGTGGAATTGGAAGGTTGCGGAGAAGAGCAAAAGTTCAAGTGAGAAAAAAATCCTAACCTGAACTAAGGCAATGGCGGTGACGATGCAAACGATAGAATGAATTTGAGATCAATGATAGATTCAAGAGAGGTGACTTTTGATATAGGAAAAGTTGATTTAAAAGGCAGATTTATTTTCAGGTTTCTGCCTTGGAGTGATGTCATTAACATGATCTTAAAATTATAAAGCAGAGTGAAAAAAATAACTGATAACGATTATCTCCTTGGCCAAACTTTGTTCAGGTTCTTCTCAGCCTTCTTTTTGACTAGGCCCAACTTTAGGCTACGTGTCCTTCCTTGTGAAGTTCAGCCCCTAATGTTTCTCTAAGTAACTTCCCATCCACTGACTCCCACACTGCTCCTGGGCTATAATTTGCTATAATTTCCCACTTCTCCTTGTTGTATTAGAAGTTGAGCCTAATCTCTCCTACTACACAACCACACTTTAGTAGCCACCGGAATAAAGCCTACCTTAGCATCTTTAACAAGTGTCGTGAATAATTTTTTCTTTAACAAATCAAGAAAGGTGACACTTTTAATACGGGGAAGGTTGATTAAAAAGGCAGATTTATTTTCAGGTATCTGCCTTGAAATGGTGTCATTAACATGATCTTGAAACTGTAAAAACAGAGTGAGAAAAAATATTTAAAGTATATGCAGGACCAATCAGATCACAATTAAATATATCAGGAAGCAAAGAGAGAAAAAACTCCACTTCATGCAGAAAAGAAAATTGGCTGAAAATACTGTGAGGGGTTAGCCAATTCATCAGATATGAGAACTAGGTAATTCAGGAAAAGGCACTGCAAGATGACCCCATGTGGAGAGCATTAACATCAAAACTCAAAAGTTTGAACTGGCAGGTAGTAGCATAACAACAAAAAATTCACCTTCCATATTTACAATATAAGACATCACATCCAGGCAAACTGCTTTTTGATATTCAACCTCTGTCAGCTGAGAAGTTCATCATACAAATCACTTGGGGTGATAAGCTCAAAACTGTATGAGATGACATAATTATATTCTCAACTCCAGGAAGAGTTAAATGAAGTATCAAAATTATGAAGTCAATAAAATCTATAATACTAATTTTTAAAAATTTTTGTGGATACATAGTATGTGTATATACATATATATTCATATATGTGTGTATGCATAAATATATATGTGTGTATACATATATATTCATATGTGTGTATACATATATATTCATATGTGTGTATACATATATATTCATATATACATGTTTATATATAAATTCATATATATGTATAAATATGTGTGTGTGTATATATAGGATACATGATATGCTTTTTTATTTCTTTAAGACAGAGTCTCCCTCTGTCGCCCAGGCTGGAGTGCAGTGGCGCAACCTCCTCTCACGGCAACCTCTGCCTCCCGGGTTTAAGCGATTCTCCTGCCTCATTCTCCCCAGTAGCTGGGATTACAGGTGCCCACCACCGCGCCTGGCTAATTTTTGTATTTTTAATAGAGACAGAGTTTTGCCATGTTAGCCAGACTGGTCTCAAACTCCTGACCTCAGGTGATCTGCCCACCTCAGCCTCCCAAAGTGCTGGGATTACAGGCGTGAGCCACCGCACCCAGCCCATAATATGTTTTAATACAAGCATACAATGCGTAATAATCACATCAGGATAAATGCAGTATCCATCACGTTGAGTATTTATCCTTTGTGTTGCAAATAATCCAATTATACTCTTACAGTTATTTTTAAATGTACAATAAATTACTGTTGACGGTAGGCACACTGTTGTGCTATCAAATAGTAGATCTAATTCATTGTATCTAACTATACTTTTGTACCCGTTAGCAAACCCCTTTCTCCTCCCAACTACCCATTAGCCATCCGTACTCCATCCCCCCACTACCCCTCACAGCCTCTAGTAACCATCATTCTACTCTCTATCTCCACAAGTTCAATTGTTTTAATTTTTAGCTCCCACAAATAAGTAAGAACATGTGAAGTTTGTCTTTCTGTGCCTGGCTTATGTCACTTAACAAAATGTCCTTAAGTTTCATCCATGCTGTTGCAAAATACAGGATCTTATTCTTTTTTATGCTTGACTAGTACTCCATTGTGTATATATATCAATTTTCTTTATCCATTAATGTTGATAGACATTTAAGTTGCTTCCAAATCTTGGCTATTGTGAACAGTGCTTCAGTAAATGTAGGAGTGCAGATTCTTGTTAATATACTGATTTCCTTCCTTTGGGGTATATGTCTAGCAGTGGGGATTGCTGGAACATATGATACTTCAATTTTTAGGTTTTTAAGGAAACTCCAAACTGTTCTCCATAGTAGTTTTACTAGTTTACATTCCCAAAAACAGAGTATACATGTTGCCTTTTCTCCACATCCTCACCAGCATTTGTTATTGCCTGTCTTTTGGCTATAAGCCATTTTAACTGGGTGAGATGATGTTTCATTGTAGTTTTGATTTGCATTTCTCTGTTGACCAATGGTGTTGAGCACCTTTTCATATACCTGTTTGCCATTTGTATGTTTTCTTTTGAAAAATGTCTATTACAATCTTTTGCCCATTTTTTAATCTTGATTATTAGATTTACTTTCCTATTGAGTTGTTTGAGCTCCTTACATTCTGGTTATTAATCCCTTGTCAAATGGGTAGTTTGCAAATATTTTCCCCCATTCTGTGGGTTATGTCATCACTTTGTTGATTGTTTCCTTTGTTGTGCAGAAGCTTTTTAACTTGATGTAATCCCATTTGTCCATTTTTGCTTTGGTTTACTCAAGAAATCTTTGCCCCATTCAATGTTCTGTTTTCTTTTACTAGTTTTATAGCTTTAGGTCTTGCATTTAGGTCTTCGATCCATTTTGATTTTCTGTATGGCAAGAGATAGGGGTCTAGTCTCATTCTTCTTAGGGATACCCAGTTTTCCCATCATCTTTCCTCATTGCATGTTCTTAGCAGCTTTGAAAAAATGAGTTCACTGTAGATTTATGGATTTGCTTTTGGGTTCTCTATTCTGTTCCACTGATCTATGTGTCTGATTTTATGCCACTATCATGCTGTTTTGGTTACTATAGGTCTGTAGTATAATTTGAAGTCAGGTAGTGTGATTCCTTCAGTTCTGTTATTTTTGCTCAGGATAGTTTTGGCTATTTTGGGTCTTTTGTGGTTCCATATAAATTTTAGGATATTTTTTCTATTTCTGTGAAGAATGTCATTGGTATTTTGATAGAAATTGCATTGAATCTGTAAATTACATTGAGTAATGTGGATATTTTAATAATATTGATTTTTCCAATCAATGAACATGAAATATCTTTCCATTTTTTGTGTGCCTTCTTTAATTTCTTGCATCAATGTTTCATAGTCTTCATCTCAGAGATCTTTCACTTCTTTGATTAAGTTTATTCCTAGGTTTTTTTTGTAGCTATTATAAATTGGATTATTTCATTGATTTCCTTTTCAGATTGTTCACTGTTGGCATATAGGAATCCTACTAATTTTTGTATGTTGATTTCATATCCTGGAATTTTACTAAATTTGCTTATCATTTCTAATAGTTTTTTTCATTGAGACTTTAGGTTTTTCCAAATATAAGACTGTATAATCTGCAAACAAGGATAATTTGACTTCTTCCTTTTCAATATGGATGCCCTTTATTTATTTATCTTATCTCACTACTCTAGATTGGACTTCCAGTACTATGTTGAATAATAGTGGTGAAAGTGGGCATCTTTGTCCTTTTCCAGATCTCAGAGAAAAGACTTTCAGCTTTTCCTAGCTGTGGGTCTGTCATATATGGCTTTTATTGTACTGAGGTGTGTTTCTTCTATACCCAGTTTCTTGAGTTTTGTTTGTTTTTTTTTTTTTTTTTTTTACCATGAAGGGATATTGAATTTTATCAAATGCTTTTTCAGTATCGATTGAAATAATTATATGGTTTTTGTCCTTCATTCTGTTGATATGATGTATGGCATTGATGTGCATATGTTGAACCATACTTGCATCCCTAGGATAAATCGCACTTGGTCATGATGATGACCTTTTTAATGTGTGGTTGAATTTGGTTTGCTAGTATTTTGTTGAGCATTTTGCATCAGTGTTCATCAGGGATATTGGCCTGCAATTTTCTTTTTTAAATGTGTCTGTAGTTTCAATGTCAAAGTAATACAGGCCTTGTAGAATGAGTTTGGAAATATTCCCTTGTTTTCTATTTCCTGGAATAGTTTGAGTAGGATTGGTATTAGCTCTTTAAATATTTGGCATAATTCAGCATGAAGCCCTTAGATCCTGGGCTTTATTTTCCTGGAAGACTTTTTATTATGGCTTCAATTTCATTACTTGTTATTGGTCTGTTCAGGTTTTGGATTTCTTCATGGCTCAATCTTGGTGGGTTGCATGTGTCTAAGAATTTATCCATATCTTCTAGGTTTTTCAATTTAATGGCATATAGTTGCTTATAGTAACCTTGAATGATCCTTTGAATCCCTGTGTTATCAGTTGTAATGTTTCCTTTTTCATCTCTGATTTTATTTATTTGGATCTTTCTTTTCTTTGTCTGAAGGTGTGTCCATTTTGTTTATCTTTTCAAAATTCCAACTTTTAATTTCATTAATCTTTTGTAGTTTTATTTCAATTTTATTTTTTCTGCTCTAATTTTTTATTGCTTATTTTCTTCCACTAATTTTGAGTTTGGTTTGCTCCTGCTTTTCTAATTCTTCAAGTTGTATTATTAAGTTATTTATTTGAAGCTTTTTTTTTGACGTAAATGCTTATTGCTGTAAACTTTCCTCTTAGTCCTGCTTTTGCTGTACCCCATAGGTTTTGGTATGTTGTGTTTCCATTTTCATTTGTTTTAACACGTTTTTAAAATTTCCTATTAATTTATTTATTGACCCACTGGCCATTCAATAGAATATTATGTAATTTATGTATATTTGCATAGTTTCCAAAATTCCTTTTGTTATTATTTCCAGTTCTATTCCATTGTGATGACAGAAGACACTTGAAATAATTTCTATTTTTTTTGAATTTTTAAATACTTGTTTTTTGGCCTAATATATGGTTTATCCTTGAGGGTAATCCATGGGTTCAGGAGAAGAATGCATATTCTGTAGCTCTTGGATGAAATGTTACATAAATATCTATTAGGTCCACTTTGCCTGTAGTGCAGGTTAAGTCTGATTTTTTGTTTGGGGGTTGATTTTCTGTCTATTAAATGCTGACAATGGGATGTTGAAGTCTCCAGCTGTTATTGTATTGTGGTCTGTCTCTATCTTCAGCTCCAATAATATTTACTGTATGTATCTGGGTGCTCCAGTGTTGGGTGCATATATATTTACAATTGTTATAACTTTTTGCTAAATTGACCCTTTAATTATAAAATTATCTTATTTGACTATTTTTTTGAAGACTATTTTGTCTGCTATAAGCATAATTATTCTTGCTGATTTTGTTTTCTATTTGCATGGAATATCTTTTTCCATCCCTTTTAGTCTATGTGTGTCTTTATAGGTGAAGTGTGGTTTTTGTAGGCAACAGATTATTGGGTCTTATTTTTTAACCCATTGAGTCACTCTATGTCTTTTGATTGGAGACTTTAGTTCATTTACATTCACTGTTATTATTGATAAGTAAGGACTTACTCCTGTGATTTTGTTATTTGTTTTCTGGTTGTTTTGTCTTCTCTTCTTCCTTCCTTCCTGTCTTTCTTTTAGTGAAGGTGATTTTCTCTGGTGGTATGTTTTAATTTCTTTTTTTGTTTGTTTGGTTTTCATGTATCTGTTGTATGCTTTTTTTTTTAATTTGAGGTTACCATGAGGCTTGCAAATGATATCATATAACCCATTATTTTAAACTGATGATGACTTAACACTGATAGCATAAACAAGCAAACAAACTAGCAAACATCCAAAGAGAAAACTAGTAAAAACTCTATACTTTAACTCCATCTTCCCACTTGTTAACTTATTTCTTGTTTCTATTTACATCTTACTATACTGTCTATGTCTTGAAAAGTTATTGTCATTAGTTTCGATAGCTTCATTTTTTAGTCTTTCTACTCTAGATGTGAGTAGTTTACAAACCACAATTACAGTGTTATTATGTTCTGTTTTGCTGTGTATTTACTCTTACAAGTGAGTTTGGTACCATTAGATGATTTCTTATTGCTCATTAATGTCCTTTTCTTTCAGATTGAAGAATTCCCTTTAGCATTTATTGTAGGACAAGTCAGGTAATGAAATCCTTTCGCTTTTGTTTGTCTGGGAAAATCTTTATTCTTCCTTCATATTTGAGGGATATTTCCACTGGATAAACTATGTTAGAGTAAAAGTTTTTATCCTTCAGCACATTGAATATGTAATGCCACTCTCTCCTGGTCTATAAGGCTTCTACCGAGAAGTCTGCTGCCAATCATATTGGAGCTCCTTTCTATGTTATTTGTTTCCTTTCTCTTCCTGCTTTTATGATCCTTTCTTTATTCTTGACCTTTAGGAGTTCGATTATTAAATGCCTTGCTGTAGTCTTATTTGAGTTAAGTCTACTTGGTGTTCTATAACCTTCTTGTACTTAAATATTGACATCTTTCTCTAAGTTTGGGAAGTTCTCTGTTACTATCCTTTTGAATAAACTTTATACATCTGTCTCTCTTTTTTACCTCCCCTTAAAGGCCAATAACTCTTAGATTTGCCCTTTTGAGGTAATTTTCTTAATTTGTAAACATATTTCATTCTTTTTTATTTTTTCCTTTTGTCTTCTCTGACTGTGTATCTCAAATAGCCTGTCTTCAAGCTCACTAATTGTTTCTTCTGCTTGATCAATTCTGCTCTTAAAAGACTCTGATGCATTATTAGTATGTCAACTGCATTGTTCAACTCTGGAATTTCTTCCTGATTCCTTTTAATTATTTTAATCTGTTTGTTAAATTAATCTGATAGGACTGAATTCCTTCTCTGTGTCATCCTGAATTTCATTGAGTTTCCTCAACACAGCTATTTTGAATTCTCTGTCTCTCCATAATTGGTCACTGGTGCCTTATTAAGGTTTTCTGGGGAGGTCATGTTTTCCTGGATGGTCTTCATGCTTGTGGATGTCCATCAGTGTCTGGACATTTAAGAGTTAGCTATGAATTGTAGGCTTCACAGTCTGGGCTTGTTTGTATTTATCCTTCTTTTGAAGGCTTTCCAGTTATTTGAAGGCATTTGGGTGTTGCAATCTAAGGTTTGGGTTACTGCAGCTGTATCTATATTAGGGAGCACCCCAAGCCCAGCTGTGGCTCTTACAGACTCATAGAGGTATCAACATGGTGGTCTTGGATAAAATCCAGAGGAATTCTCTGGATTACCAGGCAGAGACTTTTGTTCTCTCCTAAGTAGAGTCTCTCTCTGTGTGTTGAGCTGCCTGAAGCTGGAGGAGAGGTGACACAAGCACCCCTGTGACCACCACCACTGGGACAGCGTTGGGTCAGATCTGAACCCAGCACAGCTCTGGGTCTCACCCAAGGTTTGCAGTAACCACTGCCTGGTTATCACTTATGTTCACTCATGGTCCTAGAGCTCTACAATCAGCATGTGGTAAAGCTGGGTAGGCTTATGTCCTTTCCTTCAGGACAGTTAGTTTCCCTGGGCCCCAGGTGGATCAAGAGATGCTATCCAAGAGTCAGGGCCAGGGTTCAGAAAACTTAGACATCTTCCTGGTGCTCTATCCTACTGTGGCTGAACTGACACCCAAGCCAAAAGACCAAGTCCTTCCCACTTTTCTATTGTCTTTCCACAAGCAGAGGAGTCTTTCCTTGTGGCCTCCACTGTTCCAGGCCTGTAGTGAGTACTGCCTGGCTACCACTAATGTTTATTCCAGGCCCATTCCTCAGTCAGCTTGTGGTGAATGCTGCCAGGCCTGGGACTCTCTCTTCAGGGCAGTGGACTCCCTTTTGACCCAGGGCAAGTGCAGAAATGCCCTCCAGGAGCTAAGGCCTGTAATCAGGGATCCAGGAGCCTACTTCATGCTCTATCCCACTGTTACCAAGCAGATACCCAGCTGCAAAACCAAATTCTCTTTACTCTTCCATATTATTTCCTCAAGCAGAAGGAGTCTCTCCCCACAGAGCCACCACAGCTGGGAATATGCTGGGTCACACCTGAAGCTAGCACATCTCTGAGTCTCACCCAAAGTTTATGGTGAGTACTGCCTGAAGACTGCTGCTGATTATTCAGGGCCCAAGTTCTCTTTAGTTAGCAAGTGATGAATCCTGCCATGATTGGTTCCCTCCCTTCAAGGTAGCAACTTCCCTTCTGGCCCAGGGTATGTCTAGAAATGTTGTCTGGGAGCTAGGGCCTGGAATAGGGCCTCAACACTCTGCCTGGTGCCCTTTTCTACTGTGGCAGAGTTGATATCCAAGTTTCAAGACAAAGCCCTCTTTACTCTCCTCTCTCCTTTCCTGAAGCAGAAGAAAGAAGTCTCTCCTGCAGCTGTGAGCTGTGCTGCCTGGGGTCAGATGAAGGTTGACACAAACACTCCCTTGTCCACCCTGGCTGGTGTCTCACTAGGTCATGTGTACCCCAAGTCCACTGACTCTGAGCCCAGCACAGTACCAGGACTTGTCCAGGAATTGTGGTCCTTGTGTCCTAGACTGCCTTTCAAGTTTATTTAAGACCCCCTAGCACTTTAGTCTGTGGTGGCAGGGCTTGCCAGAACTCAGGTTCTGACCACTGGAATGGGTCATTCTCCTTTGGCTAGGGCTGGTCTAAATGCTCCCTCTGTTGGTGCTGGCTGAGTTCTGCCCCATGTTACTTTCTGCTGTAATGGGGCAGCATTGAGTTCTAATGCAAAGTCCCACAATCACTGTGTTCTCCCTCCCCTAAGTGCAGAGATTCTCTCTCTGTCACACAGCCACAGCCAGTGGATGGGGCAGGGTGATGTAGATGATTCCAGACTGTCTTTCCTACCCTCTTCAGTGCCTCTTTCCTTAATATGATATTAAAACCAGGTACTGTGATTGCTCACCTGATTTTTGGTTCTTCTGAAGGTACATTTTTGTGTGGATAGTTGTTCAATGTGGTGTTCTTGTGGGAAGATACGACTGCTGGAGACTTCTATTCAGCCGTATTGCTCCAGCTCCTGCCTCAATATTAATATTTTTGTGTAAAGAGAACAAAACTGTTCATATTAGTTATTTTAGGTTTATGAGAATTTTTTCCCTTTGATTATTTTCTATTTCTAGTATAAAGTGTAAAAATTATAGTTGATTTAAACTTGTTATTTTAAAGTAAAATTTTATTAGGTATATGAACAATACTGCAACATTTCAGAGAATGTAAGACTCAGCATATGCATAAGTTTAATTTACTAGATTTTTAAGAATTTATTAAGTAATTCTGATGGTGTTATTTGTTAGTGAGTCACATAAAGTGATTCTAAAACAAATCTTAAGTACAATAGATATATAAATGAAATTAAGTAACTGGTTAAAACAAATTTAAAGGTGACTTAACTTGGCATATTAATAAATATTATCAAATTCATAGGATCAAATCAAATTCACACATCAAAGAAAATGTAGTCTCTGAATAATCTTTTCTGGACCTGTAAGTCACCTATGAGAGCATTAAAAAAAATCACATGGATGGGTGATGATAGTCTTTGTCATAGGGGATACAGAAAAAAGAGTAATTATGGAATTAAATAATGAGGTGCCTATGGGACATGTGGATGAAATTATCAATAGATATTTGGAGAGCTAGATTATATTCTGAATGTTTGTTCTTTTAAAAAAATACATTAAATATATCATATCCCATAAGCCCTGGAAATACAGTAGTGAACAAAATAGGCATGATCTGTACATATTATTGGAAAAGCCATATAGTGATCACAAAAAATATATAAGTATTGAGAAATGCAATGGACAGAATTAAAATAATGTGAAATGATACAGGGCAGCAAGGGGTACCTTACACTGAAATTTTAATTATTCAAAAAGAGTCAGCCTTCCTACAATTAGAGGAAACGGTGTTCTATTCAGAGGGAAGGGCTAGAGCAAAATCCCTGTGACAGAAATAAGCTCAGTGAGTTTGAAATAAAAAAGCTCTCTGACCAGTGTCTAGTGAGTAAGGAAGGGGCTAGGTGATGAGGTCAAATAATTCACAAAGATCATATCTTGTAAAAAAAAAATAGGTAATAAGTTTGGATTTTATTCTGAGTGGTAAGAAAATTTTAGAGAGTTTTGGGGAGGGAAGAACATCTGATTTCAATTTTAACAAAATCACTTCATGAAGAATGGATGACAGAAGAGCAGGAGCGGAAGCAGCAAGATCAGTTGAAGATATATTGAAATTGTCCTGCTGAGAGATGATGGTGAGTTGGATGGAGTGACTCAGGGTACTTTTATAGGCAGAGGCAACAGAACTTAATGATGGGGTAGATGGAACAGGAGGAATGGGCAAGCCAAAGAGAGGAATCAAGAATAACTCCTAGATTATTGGCCTGAGTACATGAATGAATATTCATGCTTTGGTACTGTCATGAGAAAGATGTAAGGAGGAAGAGATTAAAGAAGTGGGTGCAAAATTCAATAGTTCAATTTTGTCCGTGATTGCTTGAGATACTTATTAGATATGTAAGTAGAAATGTCTAGTAGAAGACTGGAAATAAAACTCTAGAATTCAGGAAAGTAATTGGGGTTAAAGATATATATTTGAGAGCCACTGGCATATGTCATATATACCTAAAAATAACATTGTATGTTTTCTTCTTGAGAATGATCCCTTAGAAAAGAAGGAGTTCATATACTTGAGTGTCTCCTGCATTGTGGCATAATAGCAATTATATCAGTAGACTGACCTTATAGGTTGTTATTATAAGTTACTCAAGAACATAAGAAATATGTAGGATTCAGCTGATAAAAATATCCATAAGAATTCAAGGATCCTGAAATTATAGGTAGGAATAAAAATATTTCATCAAATTCAAAGATCTTTAAAGTTAAAGAGAATTCCTATTTCTATTCCTCAGGATTCTGAAAAGGCAAAGAAATGAAAAATTTAGTCAAGTGACAAAGCTGAGTAGGATGTGCTAACTTCCATGACTACAAAAAAGAATTGTATAGTATGTATAATATGAATCCAAAGAAAAAGGCTATGTGTCTTAGATTTACAGTTATTGACAGAGCAACTATAAATAAAGTTCAATGTAACCTATTATAGTGACTGACAAGAATTCAGTGAACTTCATGGCTGGGATTCCCTAGTTGTATATAAATTCAGTTAATTAGGATGGTAATTGTCTTCCTTAATGAGTAGCATCTTTTGCTGGTATATTTATATCTGTAATTTATTTAAAATTGTTGAATATATCTAATGTGATATAAATTGTTAGCTCATTTCAGTCTATACATAGGAGAAGCCAGTTACCTAAATCAGGAATTTACATTTCTGGTATAATTAGCTAGCATTTAATTGGAAAGGTCACACTTATGGGGTGGCTAATAAATACGCTTCAACTATGTTTAGCTTTTGGCAACAGTTGGGGCTTTCATAATGCACATAATGAGTGTAAGAAATAGGTTTCTCATTGGCAAAAATTAGTGATACCCAGGATAAGTTTAGAGTTGTTTAAAATATTATTTAGATTGTTAGAATTTCAGAGAGACATTTCCTCATATTTGGACAAATGAACATTTAGAGTTCTGTGGCCTGTATTTTTAAGTATAGCACCCTAGGCTGTATCCTTAAATGATCCTACGTTCAACTGCTGGTTCTGAGAATTCTTAGTTGACTGTTTCCAGTAGATAATTGACCAAATTCTGACACTAGAATAATGCTGAATTTGCCTTAGATAAATCTTTCATATGAGAGGCTGTTGAGCATCTAAAAGAACAGAGAGCTGTAACTTCAATAGGCTTAGGGAATGGGTTACATCTCTGTGATATGGTTGTTCATTGGTGTGGCAGGCAACATCTAGCCTGACACATGTTTGCTTTGCTTCCTGGTTATGAGGACATGCAAGCTTGCACCTACTTATTAACTATAAGTGGCAATAAACATTTACCAAAAATAATAAATTAGCTTCTGTCAGTTCACAAACCCAGGTAAAAATTCATGAGCCAGGACCAGTGTGAGAGGGGTATAAACTACCTCCAGGATACACACCCCCACTGGGAAACCCAGTAACCCTGGCCACAGAGGAAGGCCTTAACCCTACCCAGTGCTGAAGCTGATTTAGCTCCAGTGGGGAGTGTACAAGAAGACCAGCACTAGAAAGTGCTTTGTGTGCAATCCCAGTCTCCAGTAAGGACGGAGGGAAGCTATTTCTGATTCTGCCTCACAGATGACCACACAGATGTCTGTCAGCTGACTCAGGCAGCAGTCACAGGTTAAAAGAAGTTCCCAACTGAGATTTGCAATATAATCTCAATCGAAGACAAACTCCCTTGGCCAGAACCAAGGGGCAACTGGGAAGTGTGCTGCAGCCACAAGCATAGGAGCTGTTTGCAGGTGGACTGGGAGGGACATGGCCTGAAAGTCATCGTCACTGTCTCCCTGGGAAGTTTTGAGTTCTGAGCACAGGCTGACTGGAACCAAGCTAGCTGTTGCTAGTGGAACGCTGTAGGTGTGAGACCTGACTTGCCAAGTGCATGGGAATTGGCTTGGGCTTACTGCTGCCTGCTACTCCCCACTTCCCAGGCAGACTCTTCTGTGCAGCAGAAGCAGCTGTGCTCCTCCCTGGAACATTACTCCAATGGCCAGATAACCACCTTTTGACCCCAACTGGGCCTCCTGCATGCCCCACAAGTGGACAGCCAGAGCACAGACATTCAAGACCCAGCCCCCACTGACTTTGCACCTCCACCCCTCCTGGTATCTGAACAAAAAGGACAGAAACTTTTAGGGACCCTATGGCCCCACTCATTGCCAGAGACACCAGAGTACCTCCCCTGGATACCATAAGGCAAGCACAAATCCCACCACTGCCACTGCAGCTGATGCTTTTTGCAAGCACCACCTGCTGGCTGGAAGTGAGCTGACACAGTCCATTATAGCATTGCCAGGTAGAATAACATAACACCAATGAAGGAGAAAACTTATGTGTGACCTCAGCTATCAGAATGCCTGCAGCATCCTGGCTAGCTAGGAGGTCCTGAGTCTGTCCATGTGACCAGTTCATCATTACTGCAACCAGTATTGGAGAAAGCCAACACACTAAGACTATTCATAACCAAGGAAATCTCACAGTCTGTGTCACTCTTCTGCCACCCCCATCAGAGCTAGTGCTGGTGCCCACTGCTGGGAGACTTGAGGACAAGGCATATCACTGGACCCCTTGCAGACATTCTCCAGAACCAGCCTGGAATGTGGCAGCCCACTGGGCAGCTGGACCCAGAGCAGCAGCAGCACACACAGTAGTCTGGCTCTCAGAGGCTCCTGTTCCTAGGGGAAGGGGGATGGCACCACATCAAGGAAGCAACCTGTGGGACAAAAGAATCCAGACAGCAAGGCTTGAGTCTCAGAACTTTCTGCTTGTGGAAAGTTTATTTCAACAGAGGCACAGATGCAGTGCTGGGCTCAGAGAGGAAAGTCTGTGGCTCTACCCCAACAGGCAAGCAGCCCTTGTGCTTGTGAAGGATCCTGGAGAAGGGGACTTCTTTTTCCCTTCATCTACCACTGCAGACACAGCTGGGGCTTCTCCCATGTGAGCTCAGCATGAGTATACCTGTAGACAGCCTTTCTGGAACACTTCAAAGTGACTGCATCCTCACGGCAGGAGTGCCCTCCAGGTCTGTCTTGCATGAAGGGTAGAGTCATGATCCCTCTTTATATGGAACATCAAAATAAAAATAAATACCTGTCTGATCTGAATAGCTGAAACACAGGGTCAGGAGTGTGACTGGGAGATAGTTCACTTTCCTACTAGCCTGGCAGCGGAGCTGAGGTGGCTCCCACCCTACCCCCTGATAAGACCTCAGCACATTTCACCAAGAGGTCCCCAATCACCTCTGTCAAGGCTGGGACCTCAGTGCCCCATTAGGTATTGCATCGACCCACCTGCTTTAGCCACAGCCAGTTTTAACCCATGGACTCCTTCCCTATTCATCTGAAGCCTGAACTATTCAACCCAGAAAATAAAATACTAGGGCATAAATAAATAAGTGCATACCACAGAAGAATGAGATAAGTTTTAAGAGACCTCTGCCATACCAACCTCATAGGAGTCAGTGAACTTGTTCACACACTGAGTACATTGCTACTATAGCCAGCTTCTAAGAAAGCTATTATACAGAGACTTATAACCAAGGAACTCATATAGAGCCTTCACCCCTGAAAGCACCAAACCCAAATTAGGTAACAATGAACTGTAAACATTGAAGCCACATCCTTCAAGGGGAAAGAAAAAATAAATAAAAAAAAAAACACAGTTGAATCAAAAATAAATTCAAGAATAGTTAGGAAAAAATGAGAAAGAACCAGAAAAATAATTCTGGCAATATGACAAAACAGGGTTCTACAACATCCCCCAAAAGATCACAGTACATCTCCAGCAATGGATCCAAAGCAAGATGAAATCTTTGAAATACCAGATAAAGAATTCAAAGAGTTGATTATTATGCTACTTAAGGAGATATAAGAGAAAGGTGAAAACCAACATAAAGAAATGTAAAAACAATTCAGGATATGAATCAAAAATTTTCTAAACAGATATTTTAAAGAAAAATCAATCATAACTTCTGGAAATGTAAAATACATTTAGGGCATTACAAACTGCAGTGTAAAGTTTTGTTTGTTTGCTTGTTTTTTTTTGTTTTTTGTTTTTTGGGTTTTTTTTTTTGACAGTCTCACTCTGTTGCCCAGGCTAGAGTATAGTGATGCAATCTTGACTTACTGCAACCTTCACCTCCCAGATTCAAGCAATTCTCCTGCCTCAGCTTCCCGAGTAGCTGGGATTATAGGCGCCTGCCACCACGCACAGCTAATTTTTGTATTTTAGTAGAGACAGGGTTTCCTATGTTGGCCAGGCTAGTCTTGAACTCCTGATCTGAAGTGATTGGCCTGCCTTGGCCTCCCAAAGTGTTGGGATTACAGGCATGAGTCAACTCGCCACCCGGCCAATACAGTGTAAAATTTTAACAATAGACTGGAATAAGTAAAGAAATAATTTCAAAGCTCAAAGATAAGGCTTTTGAGCTAACCCAATCAGACAAAAATAAAGAAAAAAGAATCAAAAGAAATGAACAATGTCTCCAAGAAATATGGGATTATGTAAAATGTCCAAACCTAAGAATCACTGGTGTTCCTGAGGGAAAAGAGAAACAAAAAGTCTGGAAAACTTCTTTGAGGAAATAATTGAGGAAAACTTCCCAGGTGTTACTAGAGATTTAGGTTAACAAATACAAGAAGCCCAAAGAACTCCTGGGAGATTCACTGCAAAAAGGACATCATCAAGGAATACAGTCACGAGGCTATCTAAAGTCAATAGAAAGGAAAGACTTCTCAGAGCAGTGAGATAAAAGCATCAGGTAACCTATAAAGGAAAACCTATCAGACTAACAGAAGACTTCACAGCAGAAACCTTACAAGCCAGAAGGGATTGGGGTCTTATATTTAGTCTCCTTAAACAGAATCACTTTTAGCCAAGAATTTTGTATCCAGCAAAACTAAGTTTCATAAATGAAGAAGAAATAAAGTCTTCTCCAGACAGCAAATGCTGAGTGAATTTAGCACTGCTAGAGCAGTCCTACAAAAAATGCTAAAAGAAGTTCTAAGTCTTGAAACAAAAGATCAATATGCACTGAAATAGAACCTCTTGAAAGCATAAAATTCACAGTTTATAAAAACAATAACATGGCCGGGCACAGTGGCTCACGCCTGTAATCCCAGCACTTTGGGAGGCTGAGGCAGGTGGATCACCTGAGGTCAGAAGTTTGAGACTAGCCTGACCAACATGGTGAAACCTCATCTCTACTAAAAATACAAAAATTAGCTGGGCGTGGTGGTGGGCTCCTGTAATCCCAACTACTCCGGAGGCTGAGGCAGGAGAATCACTTGAACCTGGGAGGTGAAGGTTGCACTGAGCCAAGATTGTGCCATTGCACTCTAGCCTGGGCAACAGAGTAAGACTCTGTCTCAAAAACAAAAACAAACAAACAAGAACAATGAAGAAAACAAAGTATCTAGGTAACAATCAACATGATGACTGGAACAATATCTCACATCTCAATATTAACACTGAAGGTAAATGGTCTAAATGTTCCACTTTAAAAATACAGATTGGCAGAATGGATAAAAAAAAAAAAATCACAAATCAAACATCTGCTGTCTTCAGGAGACCTAACATGTAAGGATTCTTTTTTTTTTTTTTTTCTGAGACCGAGTCTTGCTCTGTCACCCAGGCTGGAGTGCAATGGCGCTATCTCTACTCACTGCAAGCCCCGCCTCCTGGGTTCATGCCATTCTCCTGCCTCAGCCTCCCGAGTAGCTGGGACTACAGGTGCCCGCCACCATGCCTGGCTAATTTTTTGTATTTTTAGTAGAGACGGGGTTGCACCGTGTTAGCCAGGTTGATCTCGATCTCCTGACCTCGAGATCCGTCCGCCTCGGCCTCCCAAAGTGCTGGGATTACAGGTGTGAACCACTGCACCCGGCCCATGTAAGGATTCTTACAGACTCAAGGCAAAGGGGTGGACAAAGATACTCCACACGAATGGAAAACAAAAGCAAGCAGGAATAGCTATCCTTATATCAGATAAAACTGTCTTTAAAAGTTAAAAACAAGACAAAAAAAAAAGGTCAAAATATATGATAACAGGATCAACGTAACAAGAAGATATTACAATTCTAAAAATATGTGCACCTAACTCTGTAGCTCCCAGATTCATAAAACAATTACTACTAGACCTAAGAAAAGAGATAGACGGCAACACAATAATAGCAAAAGACTTGAGCACTTCAGCACTCCACTGACAACACTAGACAGATCATTAAGGCAGAAAGTTAACAAAGAAACACTTTCCTTAAACTGCACTCTAGAACAAATGGACCTAATAGATATTTTCAGAACATTCTACCTAAGACCTGCAGAATATACATTCTTCTCAGCACATAGAACACTCTCCAAGACAGCATATGTGAGAGGCCACAAAAAAAGTATCAATAAATTTTTAAAAATAGAAATCATATCAGGTATATTCTCAGACCACAGTGATAAAACCTGAAATCAACTCCTAAAGAAAGCTCCAAAAGTATACAAATACGTGGAAATTAAACAGTCTGCTCCTGAATGATTTTTGGGTTAACAGTGAAATCAGGATGGAAATTTAAATTTATTCAAAATGAGTGATAATAGTTACACACAAGTTATCAGAACTTCTGGGATACAGCAGAAGCAATGCTAAGAGGAAAGTTTATAGCACTAAATGCCTACATTAAAGTCTGAAAGATCACAAATTGACAGTGTAAAGCCATACCTCAAGAAGCTAACGAAACAAGAACAAACTAAACCCAAAGCTAGCAGATGAAAAGAAATAACAAAGATTAGAGTAGAACTAAATGAAATTAAAATGAAAAACTATATAAAATATTAATGAAACAAAAAGGTGGTTATTTGGAAAGATAAACAAAATTTATAGACCATTAACTAGATTAACCAAGGAAAGAAGAAAGAGGATTCAAATAAACTCAATTAGAAATAAAAATGGAGGGCTGGGCATGGTTGCTCGCACCTCTAATCCCAGCCCTTTGGACGGCCAAGGCAGGAGGATTGCTTGCAGCCAGGAGTTTGAGAAATGAAAATGGAGACATTACAACAACACCACAGTAATGCAAAAGATCATTTAAGACTACTATGAGCACCTCTATGCACACAAACTAAAAATTTTGAGGAAATGAATAAATTCCTGGGAACATACAACCCTCCTAGATTGAATCAGGAAGAAGTAGAAATTCTGAACAGACTAATAGCAAGCAGTGAGATTGAATCTGTAATTTTAAAATTGCTAACAACAAAAAGAAGCCAAGGCCCAGATGGATTCACATCCCAAATTCTACCAGACCTTTAAATAAGAATTGGTGCCAGTTCTACTAAAACGATTCGGTTACAAGAACCCAGGGCACTAGTAGCAAGTTCATGTAGGTAGAAAGTGCACAATCACACATTTGGTTGCACCATTTAGATTCAGCATTTAAAGTAGAGAAAGGAAGTGAAGCCAGCAAAGTTCTCTAAGAAGGAATGGCCAGTGAGGTAAAAGGAAAGCTGGAAGAGTGTGATTTGGTGGAAACCAAAGGAAATATGTTTGAGGGAAAAGATAGTAGCAACCTGTGTAAAATACTGAGGAGAGGGTATGATACTTGGGGGCTGATCCTTGGATGTGGCAGCATGGAGACCACTGGTAATCTTGATGAAAGTAGTGTTTGAGTGAGTGGCCTGGTCAGGTAGAAGCCAGAAGAATAGATGGAAAGGTGACTGTGCAGACTCTAAGCCCTCTTTCAAGTATGTGCTACTGCTCCCAAAAGCTGCATGTGTGTCTGCAGCTCTACTAACCATTTCTGCATAGGATTCAAGCTTCATCTTGCAGCCCTCCTAGTGGTGCAAGGAGCCCTGCAGGAATCCTTCTCTTCCTCTTCTTGTGGGTGGCAGACACTTCTCACTCTCTGCCACAGCCATGTTGGTTTTCTTTGTTCTCCCATATCTGTTAAGACCAAGATCTCTTTACTTTTCCTTAAAAAATACTTTATCATATAGTTTGCTCATAAAGTAGTGGGCTCAATGGGTGCTATGAGGTCTATTTTTAGACTTAGCTCATAGTTGAAATATAAATGAAGGTCACTGCACTCCAACATTCTGATATTAGAAGACATCAACATACTGAGGAATCAGGAATTCTCTGAAGGCCAGCCAAATTAAGTGCCTTTTTAAAATGTAAACTGAGTGAATGACAAATTCCAGGAAAAAAAAGATCTGGCTTTTATTATTTATGCTGTATTATACAAGATGTAGTCTAAAGTGATATACAAATGCATTTATTTGACCACACACAATTATATTATTACTTATTAATGGCTATCTTAGTAGCTAATACATCTTTCCTAATGATGACTTTTCAGTTAGCGTAAAGCAGAAGCTCATAGATTAAGTTGTTTGATTTAAAATCAGAATATTCTCACTTCTTTTTGTGTGAGTGTGAAACAGGGTCTGGCTCTGTCACCCAGGCTGGAGTGTAGTGGCGCAATCTTGGCTCACTGCAACTTCCACCTCTCAGGCTCAAGCTGTCCTCCCACCTCAGCCTTCCAAGTAGCTGGGACTACAAGTTCTCACCACCATGTTGCCCAAGCTGATCTTGAACTCCTGAACTCTCGCCATCTGCGTGCCTTGGCCTCCCAAAGCACTGGGATTACAAATATGAGTCACCATCGCAGGCCAGAATAGTCTCACTTCTATTTTAACAAAAATTAAGGGAATGTCAGAGGCCTGCTATTTAAAGTTAATCCCAGAGTCAGCAAAGGTCACTTACAAAGATTCAATTATCCTTGTCATTTTATGTAGACTCACATCACACATTTTAATAAGCTATATTTCTTCATTATTCTCCATTGTGACTAGAGATAATTTGTGTTCTCTATTATGTCTCCTCTTACCCCCATCTATACATCCTACTTTCATGGAAAAGAAAGGCTGAGTGGGCATTTCAGGTTGGAAGCACTTAGGAAAGAGTTTTTCTCAGGTTTCAGCCTAGGTCACTAGGGTCCTGCATTAGATTAAAGCAAAATCATCACCTATTGATAAAGTATAAGTTTGCCCTTTTTCTGTATATTTATTTCATGCAATAAGGAGTACTTATAGAGCTGGAATCTGGTATCCTTTGGTCATTTGACCAAATAACATCATTTGGCAACAAGTATGGGTTTTTGTTTCATTATAAATATATTTTGTAATCCATGGATGACTTTTAAGTTTCTTAAGTATCAAACACATAACTTAGTCACGCTGGCTGTGTCAGTTAATCTTTTAATGAGTATTAACCATCGCCATGCATAAGGGCCTCAATGCATATTTGTTCAATGAAATGAAATGTTACCTTTAAGTATTTAAGCCTCTAAGTGAAAAAAGTAAATCCAACACTTTCTTCTATTACTTCCAAACCAGTATAGGACAAGTAAGATTTTAATGAGAAATATTTTTTGGATGTCAACTTGGTGGGGTAGATACTTAAGAGGATGTTCAAAGGTTAAACAAAAAAAGACTCGTGTCATACTTCTAAGAGCTTTATCTTTATAAAACACATTGACAAGCACACTTAAAACAAAGTGTGCTTGTCAATGTGTTTTATAAAGGGGGATTTCAAAAAAGAAGAACATTTTGTCAAGTTGAAAGACAAAGAAGATCAAATATTTTCTTTAGACTCAAGTTCAAAGCTAGATTGAGAGGCCTGGGTGGCATTCCAGACCGAAATTTGGAGGAAAAAAATATTTTTTAAACTTTGCTTTTATTCAACAACAAGAGTTTCCAGGCAAACAAAACTTTAATAATACTAGTCTTTTTTTATTATGATGATTGTCTGATAGCATTAAGTACATTTCTTTTTTGAAACAGAGAAATACTATCAGCAAAGTAAGATAATTTGATGAGCTCATCAGGTATGTTACATAGTAATGGGCTGACAAAGCACTTGCCACCAGATGCTTAAAGGTCAAAACCATATAGATGATTCAAACCTTGCTTTCATTGTGTTTTCTTCTCTTGGAGGCTAAGAAAAATTTGCATCATATAAAAAGAGGACTCTTTATACTAAATTTGTATAATAAGGAATATATATATAGCATATATATTACATATATATATTCTTACAGAAATGTTACACAGAATACATGTAAATCTCAAAATGTAAAATAACAATGTGTGTGTGTGTCTGCCCTTCATATTTATAATTGTGACTCTACTCTACCGTAGTCATTTCCTTGCATTAACGATGTAAAAATTATTTTTGCTTCAGAGTTGCATGAGCTATTTAAAGAGTCTGTTGCTATTTTTACTCTGACTTTTATACCTCTGTTGAACTCATAGGTTTTTCTCAAAAAAAGCTATGCCCTCTTAACCAGTACATCCTGTGGAATCCCAGGAATTCACAGTTGCTTACTCAAGACTGTGCAAGCTTTCAAATTTGAAACACAGTTACAGAGCATTTCTTCTCTCTCTTTATGGTTTCTTACATTAACTCAAATGTGAAATCCTTAGTCTTCATCTAGCCCAGGAAAGTTGCACTCTAAAGAAATTTTACTGTTTCAATATTTAGAATAAGTTTGCTCTGTGGTTCCATTAATGACTTGGTCCTCACTGATATAAAAAGCTTGTAGGCAATGTTGAATAAAGAAACCAAGAGACCAAATATAACATTTATGATGACTGCCAGTAACAATTATTTGGCATCTTTTAATTACAGCCTAGTGACAATATCCCAGACTGTAGAGTTTCACATTTCATGAGTCAGTTTAAATTTCTTCATTAATATCAACAGTATCAGACAATGTGCTAAGTACTAATATTGTGAGACTCTGTTAGTTCACTTTCTACTTTTTCTCTTTGAGAAGTTACAATGCGATAAATTTCTGCACCTCACTTATGGCTTAGCTAATACATACTTCACCATAAACTCTGGCAGCATTTCAATTTTGTATTGAAATAATAACTGTTTTATGTAAAAGCATTCGATCCTATAGTCATATGAAACATGCCAAAGTGTTTACACTTTCATTTAAGTTTTGGGAGATAACTAAGTGTATTCATTTCCTATTGCTGTTATAACAAATTATCACAAATTTAGTTCTTAAAACAATGCACATTTACTATCTACAGTTTTGTAGGTTAGTAGTCTGACACAGGCTTCACTGGGCTAAAATCAAGGTGTTGGAAGGCTTCTATGCCTTTCTGAAGCCTCTAGGGGAGAATTTGTTTCCTTGCCTTTTCCACCTTCTAGAGGCTGCTGTATTCTTTGGCTCATCATCCCCTTACTTCATGTTCAAAGAAGTCCTAGTCATATTGGAAAGGTAAAGACCCAATTCCTCACATCTCGTCACTTCAGTCTTCTCTTCTGTCTGTCTTCCACCTTTAAAAACCTTTGTGATTTAAGGTCAGGTCCTACATTAGTCCGTTTTGACACTGTTGATAAAGACACCTAAGACTGGGTAGAAAAAGAGATTTAATTGGACTTACAGTTTCTCATGGCTAGGGAGGCCTCAGAATCATGGCGGGAGGTGAAAGGCACTTTTTACATGGCTGCAGCAAGAGAAAATAAGGAAGAAGCAAAAGCGGAAACCCCTGATAAACCCATCAGATCTCATGAGACTTATTCACTATTGTGAGAATAGCAAGGAAAGACTGTTCCCCGTGATTCAATTACCTCCCCCTAGGTCCATCCCACAACACGTGGAAATTCTGGGAGATACAATTCAAGTTGAGATTTGGGTGGGGACACAATCAAACCATATCAGGTACTTAGCAAATTTAATTCCATCTGCTACTTTAATTCCCCTTTGTGATATAACATAACACATTTGCAGTTTCCTGGAATTGGGACATGAACACCCTTGGGAAGCCATTATTCTACCTACTACACTAAGATAAAAATTTCCCCCAGCTTTATTCTGTTATAAGTAACAAATAAAAACTGAATATACTTAGTGTTCAACATGACATTTTAATATATGTATACTTGTGAAATGATTAAATCAAGATAGATATTTAATACTACCAAAAATCTCTGTCCATGAGCCAGGATCTCATAAGCCTATCAATTTAAACCCTAGGTACATATGATCTAGTTTATAGAGTTTATTCAGTACAATAATCTTCATTTCCTGTTAAGATACAACTATATGCAGTTATAGAAAAACAAGAAGCACAGCATATGAACAGTTTGAATAAGCTGAGTCAGCAATATACAGAAGACCCCTGAATTAGGTGGATAACTAAACCAGATGATACTCAGCATTTTCAAACTTTGCAAATCTGCTAAGGACCTGCAGAGATCTATTCTTTCCGTTTATACCTTCTCAGTCAGCATGAAGCAATAGAGGCTTAACTTTTATTGGGGTACAGATATTAGTAGGAATAAAATGTTTTCTCATCAAAACTATAAGAGTCTTACAAGTTAGCCTTGAACTTCTCTGAATATAGAACTGTAACTTTTAAAAATTAAGAAAAAAGAAGGATCACTGATTGCCCTGGTTTCTCCTGACAAGCAAAATCTATACTTACATTAAACCTTCAATAACAATAATTTTTTAAACTTATAAATATCTACTAAATGTAAGGGTGGTATTAAGAATTATTTTTAGTTTACTGATGGAAAACCACTGACAAGATTTTTTAAGGCAAGTTTACTAATATTACTAAGTTTACTTTGTTAGGAATAGATACACACTGTACTGCAAGTAGTTTATTGCCATGCATTTTTTTCTTTGGTGGATTAAAAATACTAAAAGAATCTTTATAAATGTGTATGAAAAATAATATTCCAAAGGAAAGTCATGTCTAATGGACTAGTTTCTATGCATTAAAATATATCTGGATCACAGCTGTCACCTCAGCCAGAATAAAGTAGCATGGATAAGATTTACTCTCCCACTTGAAAGAAATTTAAAAACACACAAAATATAAGAAATAACAATTTTTAAGATACTGGGTATCAAGTAATTCAAGAGACAATAACTTCTAAAAGATGAAAAACAAATAGAGTGAGTCTTATAATTACCCAAACTACTTACTACCTTAAGAGATTTTGCAGGCCACAGTGTAGGGTGGCAAAACCCAGGTGGAGCCCAGCGGACTCCCTGAAGAGAAAGAACGGAGTCTGGCTGGACTTGCAGCTAGGCTTATTAATGTAGTGTGGAGTTTATAATTTATGTAAAACGTAAAGCACATGACAATAGCACGAATATCCAGAGGCGAGAAATGGGAGAAAAAAATTATAAATATACAAGAATTAAGAATGTATAAGGCTCTTGGACAGTACATAGATATTAAAATATCACTTGAAGAAAGGTTGTGATAGGTTAAAGATGTGTGTACTATAAACTCTAAAGCAACCACTAAAACAATAAAACAACGAACTATAGCTTATAGGCCAACCAAGGATATAACATGAAATCATAAAAAAATTTAGTTAATCCAAACAAATTTTTTTAAAAAAGAGGAGAATATAGGAAACACAGACAATATGGGACAAACAGAAAACAATAGCAGGATGATAACTATAAGCCAAACTATAGATAATCATATTAAATGTAAATGACCCAAACACTCCAATTAGAAGACAGATTGTCAGATTGGATAAAAATGCAAGGCCTAACTACACGCTGCCTATAAGAAACTTACTTTGAGTATATAGGCACGAACGATTAAAAGTAAAAGGCTAGAAAAATATAAACCACATTTAAACTAATCAAAAGATAGCTGGAGTGGCTATAAAAATATCCGATAAAATAAATTTCAGAACAAAGAATATTATTGAGGATCAGGGTGAGGAAGTTATTTCATAATGATTAAAGGCTCAATCATAATATAACAATCCTAAATGTTTATTGCCTAATAGCACACCCATTAGAGCTAAAATTAAAAAGATCGTATACCATGTGCTGGCAAGAATAAAGAGAAGTTGGCTGGAAATGTAACAAGATACAGTCATCTTATAAAACAGTTTGGCAGTTTTTTAAAATATGTTCTAGCCTTTCCACACCTATATATTCAACCTAAAGAAATGAAAGCATATATTAATACCAAAACTTGTATGTGAATATAAACAGTAGTTTTATTTGTAATAGCCAAAAACTGGAAACAACCCAAATGTCAAGAAACAAGCAAATGGATAAACAACTTGTGGTATATCTATACAATGGAATGCCACTCAGCAAAAAAGGGAACGAACTACATGGGTAAATCTCAAAATAATTAAGCTCAGTTAAAAAAAAAAAAATCCAAAACAATAATGAGTACATACTGCATGATTCTGTTAATATAAAATTCTAGAAATACAAACTAATTTGTAGTGACAAGAAACAGATTAATTGTTGCCTGGGTCCAGAGTAGATGGGAGTTGAGAGAAGAGACTGGAGAGAGGGATTGCAAAAGAAAATTTTTGGAGTGATGTTTATTGTGGTGATGATTTCATGGATATATACATATATCAAAACTTGTCAAATTGTACATTGAATACATCAATTATACCTCAATATAGCTATTAAAAAAAGAGTGAAGGCCAGGGATAATAATTTCAGTAGACAGCATAGACTACAGGAAGCTATAATAATTGAGCTGTCTGGCAGCCAAAGCATATATACAGAGAGATAAATTCAAACCATTCCTCTCTTGTAAAACCACCACCACAAACACACTGGCCAAATTTCCACATGTATTAAAATAACAGTACCATCTTAGGCTAAGATCATTACCCTCACACACGGACACCCATAGCATAGCATGATTTTTGCTGACTTATTGGTTAAGTTCTAAGTTTCTGCCCTATCAGACATTTAACTATGAGCTATGATGTATTATGCCTAAAATAGTGCTAAAGAATTCAGACGCACTTATCTAATTTAATCATCAAAATAGCCTTCTGAGATATTACCCTCTCCTTATAGATGAGGAAACTTAGGAAAAGATCTCAATATTTAAGAAATGATAAACTCAGAACTTGAAGCTGTATTTGATCCCAAAATTAAAAATGAATCAGTAAAATACATGCAAACATATCAGTAATTTTATATTGAAAATATATACTGCTCCTTTGAAATCAGTTGGGAAAATGATTAATTTATTCTAAAGGTTCTGCGAGTACTTTTGAAAAGTATTCTTTTAGAATTACACACATGTATCTTCAAAATGTAATAAATCCTGATTTTTCAAACATTCCTACATTTAAGTAGGAAAGCTAGGAATCGTTTGGAGCCAGTGATGCTGAGCTAACAAAGTAAAATCCATTTTGAACCAAAATTTCGGTATGCCTACAAAAGTCAAATAGCTTCTAAAGAAAATATTGAATAACATAAATTTCATCAAAAAATATAAATCACCTTCAAGATTATTTATTGATTTAAAGAACACATTCTAGGTTTGTTTATTTGAAAAAATGTTTCCTTTGTTTAGTGTGGTTCATACATAGCAAGTTCCTCCCCATGTAGAATATCATTTTTTTTTTCTTGTCTCTCTCTGTCACCCAGGTTGGAGTGCAGTGGCGCGATCTTGGCTCACTGAAACCTCTGACTCCTGGATTCAAGCAATTCTCCTGCCTCAGCCTCCAGAGTAGCTGGGATTACAAGAGCCCACCACCATGCCTGGCTAATTTTTGTATTTTTAGTAGAAATGGGGTTTTGCCATGTTGGCCAGGCTGGTCTCGAATTCCTGAGCTCAGGTGATCCACCTGCCTTGACTTCCCAAAGTGCTGGGATTACAGGCGGGAGCCCTCGGTGTCCAGCCTAGAATATCCTCAAATCCTTCCACAGTGACCCCAGTTTTTATTTCTACCTTTCTGCATTCTACATTTTCTTTGTACTTTTCTTGAGCACACATTCAGTCTGGTATTAGTAACTTCCACCTGCATTAGCCCCGTTTCTTCAGAAAATACTAAATGTGCAGTCCCACAGAAGCAGGAGTAAGTGAAAGAGAAACAAAGTGGTGAAGAGGGGAGAGAAACCTCACAGGGTAGGTTCCTGTATGGCCAGAGTCTGGGACAAGCCAATTTCGTGATTTCACAGGATGCCTTCAGAGAGAACATTAGAAGTTACTGTGAAAGGGGAGAAGAGGGAATAAGTTTATCCACTAATTTCTGTTTCCCATTAGTTAGAGGTCACTCCCATGAGGCTTTACTATGCCTGCACTTCTCCATTACACAAAAGTGGACCCAAAGCAAATCCAACTGTATGTCATACCTCAGTGGCAATAAAAAAGCCCCAGGACATGTGACCAGAGATGCGGTCAGGTTGTACCCACAAGTGACAAGAGGCAGTGGTCTCCACTGGTGCAGCGGATCCTTTAGTTTGTAGTGACAGCAACAGCAGCAACAGTGCTCTGGTTCCATGACCACAGGAGGAGCACAGGCAGTTTGCTTCTAGAACAGCTCTAGACAGAGTGGGGTGAGGAGACTGGCCTGGCTTGCTTAGGGAGCTAAATACTGTACCGTACCTCTGTTGTGAGAATTCAAAGTGCCTATGCAGGTAAAGCAGCTTGGGCAGTACAGAGAACACATAGCAAATGTTAGCTACTATTAACCTTGTATTGCATCTTATTTTCTCAAATAAAATTTAAGCTTTAATGGCTTACATAATACTGTATTTACCTTTAAATCTTTCATCTATCCTAGTATTCTAGTATTTTGATGACAGGTATGTAGCAAGTGCTAACTGAATTTTTACCTGAATTTAATGTAAAAGTGCTGCTGTTTAGTGGCTAAACTGAGTTATACAAATTAGCAAATTGCAGTTAGCATATTATTTTGCTTTCCCACCAAAGCTCTTTATCAAAAATTCCCAGGCCAGGCATGGTGGCTCATGCCTGTAATCACAGCACTTTGGGAGGTCAAAGTGGGCAAATCACCTCAGGTCAGGAGTCCTGGACCAGCCTGGCCAAAATGGTGAAACCCCGTCTCTACTAAAAATATAAAAGTTAGCCAGGCGTGGTGGTGCATGCCTGTAATCCCAGCTGCTTGGGAGGCTAAGGCAGGAGAATCACTTGACCCCCGGAGGCGGAGGTTTCAGTGAGCCAAGTTCAGGCCACTACACTCCAGCTTGGGCAACAGACTGGGACTCCATCTCAAAAAAGAAAAAAAAAAAAAGCTCTTGCCTCCATCTACATTGTATTTCTTATTTAAAATGCTTCCATATGCCTGATTTAGCATTGTGCTATGTCTGGTTCCACAAAATACTATTAAGGCTTAATATATTAAGCTTCATTCTTTGAATTATTCCCATTAGGCAAATAAGTAACCAGTCATTCTCTAAAGCACAGGTGAGCATGCTATATGGTCTATTCACTTTCAAAAATGGACTAATATATTTTGCATGAGCAGAAGCTTGTAGGTGACTTATAAAGGTCAACCTTACATACATCATTACAATATTCCAACAAGGAGTTTGCCAAACCATGACCAAAATGCACAGGAAGAAGCGTATATACCCCCATATTCTTAAGTGTCAGCTATTAGATTCTGTATAGGGATAGTAACTTCATAGCTATTTGTCATGATGGGCCGTGTTGAGCTAAATTAGCCAGACCAGTCACTTGGTCACCAGATGCATGCTCTGCTCTGGGAAGGATTTGATTTCAGCCAAGGCAGCTCTCTGAAGCTGGGGCAGGTCCTAAACTTACCTGACAACTACTACCTCTGCTAGTCTTGGTAATTATCTGGTGGCGTGACCCAAACCCTCATCCGGAAGCATCTAGTCATTATGCCCTCCATAGCCTGGGGCTGTTGGCTATGTCCATATATGTTCATTTACCACCACAAGTGGGCAAAGGAGCACCTAAAAAACTCAAGTGAGTTGCCTAGATTCCACTTATAATCCTCCCTATCCCCATCATGTAAGAGCAGCCCTACCTCCTTCTGATGAAGAAAGGTATATATCTCTGCCAAGACAGTGATTTCTCTTCTTGGCTTTTAGTCCCTAGACATAAAAAGTCACAAATACCAAGGTGGCAAACATAGTTTATAATCCAATGGTGGCACTTATTGGGTCCCCTGAAGAAAGGTATCCCCTCTGAGGACATAGAATTCTAGTCATTCAGAACCCAGGAGTGTAGAGATGGGAAGCATAATGTTCCCCAGTGAATCACTGGAAGTGACGGCAACTCCTGCTTCCACCCCTAATTCCCATGGCATATTAGCTTCCTAGGGTTGCTATAACAAATTATCACAAACTGGATGACTTAAAACAACAGAAAATGTATTCTCTCACCATTCAGGAGGCCAGACGTTCAATATCAAGGTGTTGGCAGGGTTTATCACTATTAGAGGGTCTGAGGGATAATCTGTTCTATGCTTCTCTTCTCACTTCTGGTGGTTGCGGGCAATGCTTAGCATTCCTTGGCTTGTAGATGAATCATGCCAATCTCTGACTCCATCTTCTTATGGCTTTTTTCCTTGTGTGTCTTGTGTGTCCTCTCATCATCTTTGGATATGAGCCTACCCTAACCCAGCGTGACTACATCTTAGCTAATTACATCTGCAGAGACCATACTTCCAAATAAGGTCACATTCTGACATTCCAGAAGAACATGACTTTTGGGGTGACACTATTCAACCTACCACACATGCATTTTATCTATTGGAAACACATTGGAATAGAAATACCTGTGAGTCAATGCATATCTGTAACTTGAAGGATGGTATGAAATTTATAGAGTATTGCCTCTGAACTGCTGCTTCAGTGTGTTTTCAGCACACCACTGCACCACATCATCAGGGAGGAAGTTTCTGGGTGGTGCACTATAGGATACAGTGAATCCCATGGTCACAGGCCTATTACTGCAACCTTCTTTACTTTTAAGATGATTCCATGGCCTGACACGTATTATGTGGGATTTCATGCCAGTGAATCAAACATTCCATAAGCCCCCAGGTACCAATGCTGGATGAGGCCCTGCAGGAAGGAAAGGTAAGCCCATTTCAAGAATGTGGATCTATTCCACTGATAATGAACCACTAGCCTTTCTGGGGTGGCCGCTCTGATTTGTCTCCCAAAGTGATGATACCCCATCAAGGGTGCAGCAGTTGCCCCTGCTGCTGACAGGTGACATTTGGCAGTGGTGGTAACTAGATAGGCCTTGGTAAGTTGGAAACCATTCTGTCTGCCTCTGGGAGTATATGAATCTCTAAATGCAGATGGCGTAAGCTTCCTCCATAACCCAGAGATGAGCATTGTGACTCTCCTACTGCGGCTTGCTACAACACAACTTATCTCATCACTAATATCTCCAATATAATAGCATCTGCTCTATGGCCCAGAAAGCAGGGCTACTTCCACTGCAACCTAGACCAGCTGCAGAACTCTTTCCTGCTGGGGGCTCCACTTAAAACAGGCAGCCTTTTGCATCAACTGTTACACTGGCCAGGACACTATCCTCAGGTGTGACATATGCTGCCTCCGGAACTCAGGATGGCTCACCAGGCATTGTGCTTCCTTCCTCAGAGTAAGAGAATGCATGTAGTCATTTGCTTTATACTTTAGAGCTGATGCACCAAACTGTCCCTCACCATTGGAACCCTGAAAAATTTATGAGTATGGCAAAAAATTTATAAGGTTTATCCACTGAAAGTTCGTAAAATTTATCTCCTCCCTCTGGAACACGTCTCCTACCAAGTTCTCAATGTTCTAGCCACTTGTTCATCCAGCCTCAACATAGTCATTGTAACAGATCTATGTTCTTTAGGATAAAGTGGCATAGTTTACAAAACTGTAATTATATATTGTTGCCCATTCTGTGTAAATGCAAATTGTTTCTGATTCCCTTCTCTTATTGAAAGAGAATACATTTGCATGAACCAAGATGATATTCCATACACTTGGGTCACGTGTATCTGCTCTAACAAAGATATCACATCTAGCATAGAAGTTGCAATCAAGGATATTACTTCATTGAGCTTGTCTGTAGCCATCTTCTAGGATCCATAAAGTTTCTGCAGGGGCCAAAATGGTGAATTAACAGATGTGATGAGACGATCATCTCTGCATCTTTTAGATCCCTAAGGTGGTACTGCGTCCTGCCAAGTGATACTATTGTGTATTACTATCTGCCTGAAGTGAGAAGATACAAGGGTAGGCAGTGTCAGAGGCTTCACTTGGCCCTCCACACATGCTGTGAAACCACTGTAAGCTTAAACTTGCCCAGGACTCCTGGTATAACCCAACTCCTCCCTCACCCCCTACAAAGAAACAACAGGGACACTGAGTATCTGGATATCAATGTCAATTCAGATTCTATGTTCAACAATCCTTGAAATCCCTTATATTTCCCCTTTCCTAAGCTTAGAATTACCAGAGCAAATGGCTGTGGGTCCCTTTGAGTTAACACCAAAAGGAATCATTACCTTGTACAAATGCCATGGTGTCCTGTCTTTCCTCCTGGGACCCAGCCACCTCTTCAGTCTGGGCTCCAGGTCTGAAAAGTGACTCAGGTCCAGAAACTGAGCAACGGATGCTTTATTTTTATTGGGGTGACTACCATTAGCTTCCATGTAATCCATCCTTAATTTTATCTAATGGGAAAAACTGAGTAGTATTCTTGTTGGCTACCCATTTGTTTTGTCCCTAAAGTGCTGTGTTACATTAGCCTTCTCCATAACTCTTTGCAGGTTAGGACCCCTTGACTACCACTCTCACTTTCTCATTAACTGTAACCCCCTGACTTTTGGCAGTTGGGCACTGCCACTTTAGCCACTATTTTTCAGAATCTTGTCATACATTGCCATCAGCAAGCTGAACTCTGTTTTCTTTTCCTACTGTCTGTATGGCCTACCATGAGCTACCACACGTTTTTAGAGATGCTTATACCCCATCATCAGTGCACATTTCTATGGCACTGTTAAATGGTGTGTCCACTGAGCCTTCCCATGGAACATAATCATCTCATCTTCCAATCCATTCCAGCATACCCAATTCCCTTAACCATTTAAATCCATTCTTCCACCATGTCACAGTAATCCCAGTGTTTCGACTTTGCTCAGAAAGGACCATTACTTTTTCCATATTTCAAGAAGCCATCCTGGTAATGAGTTCGCACCATCTCACAGGATCCTAGCCAGGTTATTAAAACCCTCTAATTTAACTCTTAGCAATCCAAAGATCCAGTGTCAGGGCTGCCATCAAACTCCTCCCTAATTTTATGTTTTGACCCTCTTAAGCACTGATTCCAATCTCAAGCATATTCCTCCAACTCTTCGTAATTCTTGCAGTTCTTTTGGGGCATAGTCTTGTTTCCTCCCACTTCAGTTCCAGCACCTCAACTGAGTTTTGCTTAACTTTATCGTCACTTAACCCTAATTTTAGGCCTGGAGATACTAACTATAATGGCCTAGAGATAGGGCAAGTCTTGAAGAGAGCATGTTTCCCGAGGAAAGAAGCCTCTGCATTGTCATCCAGCCTGAGAATGAAGTGGGGAGTGCTTGCCCTTAACATGGAGGGGTGGGCTATGACTGCAAACTCAGAAATGCAGGAGTCTGGGGAGTAAAAATCTCCAGCACCATCGATTCAGATGTCTCCATCTAATTTGTCAGGGTCACAGGTTTTCCCAAGCAGTTTGCCGATGCTGGCATAATAGACTTGCCTTGGCTGGCAACTGTCTTTAAATTTTATCCTTTGAAACTATTAAGTCTCGGGCTTGCTCCTCAGTTTTTTCAAGCCGTCCTACTGCAAAAGGTGAAAAGCTTTTTCACATGCCACCAGAGGCCCTCTAACTTTGACACCTGGCTTTCCATTGCCTGTTATTGTCCTTGGCTGTTAAGTATGCTTCTATAGAACAAAAATGGCTTAACAATGGCCATTCAACCCTGTTATCCTCATAGCTACAATTTTCTCCATACATCTAAAATGTGAGGCAATCAGATATTGTCTCTCCTTGTACAACTACCCAATCCCTATTAAATGCCAGTGTTAAGTTGTAACAACTGGGACTTGTGACAGGACTGTCCTCCACCTATCAATGATGGGGTCTGGGCTGCTTATCTTTAAGTGTATACCACACAGTCTCTATTACCTATTTCCATATGTGTGAAAACTGAAGCAGTTTGTAAAAAAATTAGAATGCTTTCCAAAACAAACTGAAAATACAGAACAAAAAATTAAATATAATGTCAAAAGTATTTAAGTGAAATAATAGATTTATTCAAAGAGAAATAAAATGTCCTGGGTAAAGCTTCTGTAATAATACTATTTCTGATACTGTATCTCTGAAAAATGGCTAACTAGTCACCTTATCAATACATTTAAGGCATCAATAATAGGTACCACTGAGGACATACATTGTGAAGAAAGAGAAGAATAAGTCAAATACTAAAACATACTTATCATGACAACTCAAGGTGACATGAATATTTAATGAAAATTTAGAATATAACAACATATGACTCTCATTCTGTGGACATAAAAGGAAAAATACAGTAATTCATTTTACTCATTACATTTTACAAAATCAGCCCAATGAAGCAGTATTTTTTAATAAAAACAGTAATTTAATTTCAAACAAATATATTACCATCCTATTCCTTTATCTTGTATATATGTATCTAATTGGCAAAACATACTTTACTGAAATCAGTAACAATCCAATCCATGATACTTCAATTGCTTCGATCAATAAACATCTTAAATTTGAAACTCATTTTTCTTATGCCATAAGCCTGATTATCAGTTCTATAAAAACGCTACACCCTATTGCTTGGCCCATTAAGTGTAACTAGTCTTCTGCACAAGGCTAAGTGGCTAAGGTACTTTTGAACAACCACACACAATTCATCAAGCACACACACTCACTCCTGCTCCTCTCACACACGGCCACCAGAGCAGCTCCCCTAGTTCTCTTGTTCCTCATAGTGAGCATAGCCACTAGCATAGGTCCTTCCTAAATTCAAATTAGTAAACAAATCTGATGACTCAGTATCTGAATCCTTTCTGCCTTCATCTTCTTCCTCTTCATCATCCTCTGCTTCATACTCATCCTCCTCCTCATCGTGGTAGCTGGTATCACCATACTTATCAGATGAAAGGTTCTTCCAATAAGCATCATACCCAGAAGCTCCATCTCCCTCTTCACCTCCAGTCTGCCTGCCAAATTTCAGGGAGCGTGCTATAGAAGACAGACAAGTACAAGGCATTTTGTTAGTTCCAGTTCTCTACATTCTCATCTTCCTCTATAAAATTTCATGGATTTCATTGGCTGCTTCAATCCCAAATGAAAAAATAGGTCACATTTTCCTAATTTTTTCACCTGAGTCTATATACAACACCATAAAAAATAAAAATTACAGTGTAATTTCATTAAATCTAGAAAACAAATTAGACCAACAGACCACTCCAAAGGTATTAAGGCATGTTTAAAACAAAAATACCTTCCGTTTGGCCACTGACAGTTTATTTTCAAATCACATAAATCACAGAATACAGCTGATTTCGTATCAGTACATTTTTCTTAAGACAGCTATTTTACAATGCAGATGCCCTTAAAAACAAAGCCTGTCATTTCTTCTGCCTTAATAGTGACACAAAGTTCAGTGCAGAAGATCAGCAAAATCATCAGTCTCACCTCACCATGCAACTACATCTGTGATTAAACAAAGCAGTCAGTCACTTAGAATTATGGTTCCATTCTGATATGTTTGGTTAAGAGTCAAACTTCTCTTTAACAAAATTGCGAGCTGCATTACTATAAGCATGCTTATTCCTTCACAAAAAAAGTTACATAAAAACCATAAAATAATTTCCTATAGTAGTGCTATATTACATAAATAAACATAGGTGCTCAAATATCACACACCTAAGATAGCTTCAGAGTGAATTTGACTTCTAGGTACTTAAAATTACCACCACTTTAATATTAAGGAATTATAGCTACTCAACTATTTAACAAGGAAGACTCAACAAAAATAAAAAAAAATCACTCTTTATCTTAAATTTCAGTATTTGCTGTCATTAACTAAGGCAAATACCAAATATCAAAATGAATATTGGTCTATTTAAGTAAAACTGAAAAACTTTACCCACATATTTTCCTAAGCTGTAAAATTCCACTTGCTTAAAAGAACACATTCATCTTTTCAAATAAGAAGAGGCAATAAGAAAAATAGACCAAAAAAAAAAAAGATAAACTTTGTCTAAGTATGAAAGCAAAAATCACTTCCTTAGTATCTTAAGGGCCTTACTTGACATGCTAAGGTCCTTAGTCTCCTGAGTTTCATGCCCACATTTAGGACAAGGAGGCTGTTTTCCTTTTTCTTGCTTAAACACTTTGCTCCTTGTATGATCATCACAGAAACAAGCCTGTATAGGAGAAGCAAAATAAAGTAAATAAATAAAAATGTAAAAATATACAAAAAGACAGTATTCAGTGTTTTAAAGATATAGCTTTATTAAGGCAGTGAGATTAACAATTTTGTTGGGAGCAGTCACACTTCTCATTTCATTTTCTTAACAGAAATGGTTTTTGTCAGGACCCTTCTGAACAATGATCTAACAAAAGGCAGACTATATTGAGTATGACATGTAAGTACATTTAGCTGTTCACAAATATTTCAGTACTCATAAGGTCCCTGATGAAATGAAATAATGGTGAACAGCCTATTTACTCTCACACAGTGTATGGTCTAACTAGGGATGGAGACAGTGAAAAGGCAATTACAAGACACTAAGCACTGAACGGGAAGTGCAGAGGGAAGGGCACTAAAGCAGACATGGGATTTGGGAAAGGCATCTTAGAGACACGAAGTCTTAATAGCCATATGAAGAATGGGAGGGCAATAGGGTAAGCCAAGATGGAAAAGTATTCCAGACAAAGAAAACACAGATAATGCCTGAACACCATTTGGTAAAACTAGAACAGAGTTGGAAGATAAATAAGACATAGGGTTAGGAATATAAGAACTAGAGAAACGCTTCTGAGAGGAAGGGCATTGGCTGCATCTGTTTAGTAATCTTTGACGAACGAATGCTAGAGACTAGGCCTAAGGACACAGAAAAATTTGGAAATCTTTACCCAAACTCTTCTAAGCAGGTATATTTTGACATTAATTAAAATAGACTCTCATCATCTTGGTCAGAATGTTCTCCACTAAAAACACAGAGCCAGGATTCCAGAGAAATGTGCACTAGCCACAGCTCTACTAAAAGGTGACTGGATGACCATTGGAAAGTCATGTAAGCTTTCTCAACTTCAATTCCACAGTCTCAAAAATAAAAGAATTAGACTACATAATTTTAAGGTCCCTTATAAATTAATTATAGCTGCATATAAGCCAAGGACTGGTGGAGGGGTATAGAGATTAAAAACAAAATCTAAAAAGAAAAAAACGCATTGGTATACCTTACAACGGAGACATGAGTGCTGACCAAGCCGATTGCATGAAACACCTGTGGGAAATAGATTAATTTTAAAATCCCGTTATTTGGTTCTTAGAATTTTCTTTTGTCTTTTATCAAATCACTAAAAGCTTGCAATGGAATATAGCCTTATAGACAGCTGCCTGTCTTTTGGGTTCAAATGCTATAAAACACACAAAGCTCCCATGCTGCAAATAAAATAATTAAATTTATTATTATACATTCTGCAAAAGGCGACGAAAGGCTCAAAAATGCTATATACTTCGAGATGCTCTTTTAATCTGAGAATTTTATATATAAATATTGCAAGAATTATATACACATGCATACACATTGTGTGTCTATGTGTGTGTAGTATGTATGTTGTATGTATATCACAGAGATGACTTATCTACTTTAAATTTATAAATAAGTATAATAATTAGGATTTCATACCAGAACAAGAACCAAATTAAAGGAAGAGAATACCTGGGGAATTTCGGTCTTTTTCCTATAATAGTAACTACTATTTAAAAAGGGCTTTTTAAATGCCAAGTACCACATGCTATTGTTTTATATGGTGTCTCATTTCAATGAACCTTCCAAGAAAAAAACTATGTGTAAAGATGATACTATTACCCAGTCAGCAATGCTGGCTCTCAACTGGAAAATACGTGAGAATTTTGTGTATAGGTTAAATACAGGTGCCTGGCACCCACCACGGACTTAAAAGATAGAATCTCCAGGGATGAGGCCTGGACATCTACATTATTTTTAAAACCTCCACAGGTATTTTTGATATACAGTCCTGTCTAAGAATCACTAGAACCAACTAGCAGAAACAAACAGGGTGGTATCTCTTACGGGAGGGCATTTGGAAATGGGAAGGAAGGGTGAGGTTTGGTTTTTTATAATAATTTGAAGGTAAAAATGACATGTGGTACTCTGAACCACGAAAGGTGTAAGTCCTGCAATGCCTGATCAAATCAAGCCTACAAAATGAAAAACTGGCCCAACCAATATGCCACTGGCATCCCTGCTGAAAAATTTACAACTATATTCTGACTGTTCTGTTTTCTAGAAACAGAAAATAAAGACTGAGTTAAATTACAGTTCATGAGAAGCAGTATAAAAAAACTTGATTCCTTTTTCATTAAGATTAATAATTATACTATTCAGAATCTTGGGTATAAAGAACATCTAATACTTAAAAACTTACATTTAAATGTTTCTGCCTCTAAAACCTGGCAGCTGGCTTGATGCTCAAATTGATCATCTTCACAGAGAAAGTTATGGCAAAAAGAACAACTGAATATTCTGCCTCCTATTGGATTAAAAAAACACAAATGTAATTAAGATAAACTTTAATTTAAAAAAACTCATATCTATAATACTGCTTAGAAGAGATGGTAAGTTACTTTGGAGATACACCAAAATTGTTCAGCCATTTTTATTCTGATAAAAGCTAAAATGAAAACTGTTGAAGTCCTTGAAACTGAACTGAAACTGAGAAAAGGGGGCTCTTACTCTCCACTAGCTACCCATATAACACTCACAATGCTCAAAGAGACTACCTGCTCCACCACAACTTCCCTCCATGTTTGGGTAAACAATACTAGCATTGACAATAACAGACAGTATAGATCCCTTCTCTAACTACACTGATAATCAAAACAGTACCAGTAGTTAGGATTGACAGTATCCTGAAAAAAATCTCAAAAACAGCATTCAAAATGTTTCAAAGTCAACATTCACCTATAACAAAGCTCATTACTTGTGTCTAATGACTCACCATGGTCCCACACGCCTCGTTCACATTCAACACACTCAGCATCGGTAAGAGGGCAGGCACAAGCATGTGTACTGAGACATTTCCTACCATGGCAAACCCAAGCTTCACAGAAGTCACATATTGCACCCTGTAACCAAGGAACAAGAATACATAATCATTATCACCTGACCACCTGCAACCATTCTTTAACCACGGCAACCATCAAAACTGTATACATTTAGCAATTTATCAACCCTCAATGATAGTAGGCCGCTTCATTTAAACATTTTACTACTCACTCTAAGCCAAAAATAAAAAGGGTTCTCTGAAAAACAACTTCTTAACAGCTATCCACAATATACAAAACTCAGTTACATATCAAAAGAAAAAAAGGTAAACTGTACACTTATCCTAATATTATTTAATTAAGCCAAAGAGATGGAAGTATTTTCCTCAAAATGAATTTAATTCAAATAAAGTTTGAAGGAACCAACAGCTTAAGCTTTCTTGTCTATAATAATTCCTGTAACTACACTGAATTTTTAAATACTACCATTTCTGATTTTTAAAATACCTTCTTATCTATATATTTGCATAGCTTTTCTAGAATTACTGAGAAATACGAAACTTCTGCCAGCTTCTTTTTTTCTCTTATGACAACTTATGTTTTAATAATAATTACATTTCTTTGTGGAAAAAATTTGAAGTAAAATATATGGAACTAAAATACAGGGTAAGATTCTCCAATTCTATATCAAGAAAAGACAATAACAATATGTTTCAATAAAACATTGACACCTACCAAATATTAAAAGCTAGAAAGAATCTTAAGAGAGTAGGATCAGACAATCTTTCCTTTATAAAGGAAAAGCATGGGGCCCAAGACTAAATCCAAGTCCCGAGTTGGATTACAGGTGAGGTGAGATTTAAAGCCAGGATTTCAGAATCTCAATTCAGTATTCTATTATTCAAGGCTCTGAAACAAATGTAGTAAACAACAAATAGGAAGAATGTTTTTTGACTTGCAAAAATGGGTTATCAGTATAGCTAGCAAATCATCAACTATATCTCTTGGATCAGCCAGGGTTCTTGCAAAAAAGAGATGGTACTCTCAAACTAGGTAATCTAGAAGAGTTTTAAAGAGATAATTTGCAGAGGACAGGGAAGTTCTTAGGACAAACAGGAGAGGACTACCTGGCCATATAGGGAGAACTGTGGTCCTTAGAGAAAGGATAAAACCAAACCAGGATAACCTGGTACGGAGTGAGATGAAGGAATAAACACCCAGATCTTATTCTCCTGCTATTCTCAGGGGGAATCTGGGGAGGCAAATAGAAGATATCCAGAAAATCACTTTTCTAGAATTTACAACTAAAGATATATGACTCTACTTAAATGTTTTCTTTATGTAAGAAGAAATTATTCACATTCAAAAAACAGTGATTTTAAAAAATGAATTTGGCTGAACTTAAGCTACCAAGGAAGACTGAAAGTGTTTTTGAATAAAGATAACTTGACAATCCTATACTTAAAATAAAGAGCAATTCACAAGATGATAATTCTCGCTCCTTGCTTCTATAATATATGCACATATGAAATATATCATAGGTCTCCCTCATAATAGAAGTTTACATGTTCTTGGAAATTTACCATAAATAAAATATTCCATTTGACATAAATATAGTATCATTTTCCTCATAGATTAAAATTTGAACAAAATTTTATTTGAACATAAAATCATACTGCAATACAGTAAAACTGGTTAACTCATATTTAGAAGGAAAACATGTTTCAGGAAAAAGAGCAAAATACATCACATAATCCAGTTGGTTTTATTATTCAAAAAGCTGAATTTACTTTAAAAAATCCTATATGTAATGAAGAGGTATGTTAAATATATACACTTTTTTGAAATGTAAAGTTTTAAAGAACACTATTATCCTAGGTTCGTTTGGAACTAAGTTGCTTATTTAACCAAAGGCTTAAACGTTGGTTAAGCAGGGCTTTCGGTACACTAAATACTGTTTTGTGAAGTCTGGTTAAGAGATATTAGAAAGGTACCACTGAGTATATACCCAAAGGATTATAAATCATGCTGCTATAAAGACAAATGCACACGTATGTTTATTGTGGCACTATTCACAATAGCAAAGACTTGGAACCAACCCAAATGTCCAACAATGATAGACTGGATTAAGAAAATGTGGCACATATACACCATGGAATACTATACAGCCATAAAAAATGATGAGTTCATGTCCTTTGTAGAGACACGGATGAAGCTGGAATCCATCATTCTTAGCAAACTATCGCAAGGACAAAAAACCAAACACCGCATGTTCTCACTCATAGGTGGGAACTGAACAATGAGAACACATGGACACAGGAAGGGGAACATCACACACCACAAACCGGGGACTGTTGTGGGGTGGGGGGATGGGGGAGGGATAGCATTAGGAGATATACCTAATGCTAAATGACGAGTTAATGGGTGCACCACACCAACATGGCACATGTATACATATGTAACAAACCTGCATGTTGTGCACATGTACCCTAAAACTTAAAGTATAATAATAATAATAAAATTTAAAAAAAAAAAGGTACCACTGAGAAATGAAATTCTGTTTAGATCAGCATGAAAAGTTTCCATGCCTTGTATGTTCCCTAATAAGAAAGAAAGAAGCAGCTAGAAACAAGTGGGTACTAAGGGAAAATCATACAAAAAGCATGCCACTCATAATCCAGATAACTACAGATTGATTGAAACAAGGGACAAAGCAATGATATTTAGAAAAAAATAACCACTGATCAGAATGACATTTTCTTATCCTTGAAAACGTACTAGTCTAAGAGATAATAAGAAGCTTACCACCATTGCAAGGCCAGTACTGTATACACCAGCATGCTTTATGACACAGTCTGAAGACTTCATCATGCACTTTGTTTTCCCTAATGAAGAAAAACATTTGCACTGTTAGTCTTGCAAAGGAATACATACCAGTACTCACGAATTCCTCCTTTTATCCAGCCCAAGTTCCTGAGGAAATAATTTAAAAACTAATGAAATTGAATCAGTATTTACTGCTTACATAACTAGAAAGAGAAAATGGATATAACTGAGACTTCATTACTCGAATCAGACTTTTCAGATTATACATTTACTAATAAATCTGTAAAATGAACTATACAATATATATGCTAATTTGTACTAAATCAGAAATTGCAGGTTATGCTTTGTAATCTAATGATCATTTTAACAGTTTAAAAACTTATCAATCTTCAGATTATTCAAAACAATTTTTAAAGGAATGCTTTTTATAACAAATTTTACATTTTATAATTCACAATAAAAACTGTGGTTTGAAGTTATTTCTTTCCACAGAATAATACCTCAAACCAAACCAAATAATGATTATGTAACTTATCGAGTTAATGTAATTTTATCCAAACATAAAAATTTACAACGAAGCCCCCAGTTAAACATTTTCCCAACAAAATTTTGAAATAGTGCCCAAATAAGCACAATAAACAATACGGTGATACAGCTACAAATCACCACACAGCCACTAAACCTCTGATCTAGAAGCAAATTAAATTACCAACTCAAAACACTATCAGGAAATTTGCTTATCAGATATTATGTGAGAGTTAATGATGACATTAATCATCCATCTGAGACTCCACAAAATGGAACACAAAAGAAACAATTTTCCGTTATCTTGATTTCCTAAGGAACAAAGTTAGTAGGAAATGGGAAGAGAAACTGGAAATGAGAGGCAGCAGCTACCCAACTGTTCCATGTCCAACACTAAGAATCAGTAAATGAGAAATGTATCCATCTAACAACACTACAAAATTTAAGCCCAGAGACACTGAAAATAGGGGTAAGTCCTAGCAAGAACTTACCTATTAATCTTCCACAAACTCTGTTTCCTCACTCTACATTCATTACTTTTTGCAAAACAAGGCTATGAAAACTACCATATGAGTGTTCCATATAGGCCAGTTTTCTCTTTTTCATTAATTGTGGAATTGAAAAGATCTTCTTTGAAAGCTAGAACTACATTAGAAATATTCAGGGATATAGCCCTAAACACTACTAACTTTCTGGAATATTATTACATATAAACACACTTAAATGAGCATACCCCAAATTGTTCTACCTGAAATTATTATTATTATCTCATAAATAAAAGCAATACTTGTTCATCAAAAGTTGGGGGGGGATGTAAATCTAGAGTAATAAAGTTAATTGGGTTTCTTTGTTGCAAGTCTTCAGAACTTCTAACATATAAATATATAATAGAAATCTCCCAGATGAGAATGAAAGGAGGATGCATGCAGTATTTCTCAAATGTATATCGATATATATTTTTCAAGAAATATCCATTAATATTTCAGGAAGTCTGTGGAAGACTATTTGGGAAACACCCATCTTGCTAACATTTAGTTTTATTTTGTATAATCATTTTGGGGTACAAGTCTCCACCTATACTTAAGAACCGGGCACATGACTTAAGAACTCTATTTAAATCACCTGGGAATACATGTGAGGAAACTCATGAATCATATGGTAAGCATCAAACACAAAAACTACTGATCACAAAATAAGTACCAGGTAAATGTGGAATAAAATTATTCCCAATGGTCTAACACACTGCAGGTAATATCAGCAGGAATCAAAATGTAGATAAGTAAACAAACAGATACTGACAAGACTAAGGTAGTATAACTAAAAGTTCAGGATCACCAAATGTTATGTCTGAAATCTGATCTTTCACTGTTTAAAAACACTTATTGGTAACCTGTATCTAAATTGTACCTTAATTATTTTCCAGCATTACATCAAAGAGACAAAACCAAGGCTTGATAGTTTTTTGGTAGGCAAAATAACATGTTTTGTTATTTTGTTAATGGTAAGGCATAATATTATCAACAATTGTAAGCACTGTAACCAATAGCAACAAACCCACCCAAGTTCAAATTGTTGAACTACCAGTTGATAAAAAGCATATGTCCTTAATTATTACAAACTTACCACACTGTGCACAAATTGGTAACTTCTGTACAGAATTACAAAAGTAGCAAAATGCTCTATTCTTCTGCCGCCTTGTCATGTAAAATAAAATTTTAAATTATGGTCAATGTCAGATAAAAAGTCAGAGGGACAATTTTATTAAAGGTAGATAGAAAAAGAAATAAAATTTACCTCTGACACTTGTCACATTCCTGTAACATATAAAAATATCACATTAATTTTTCTGCTGACTGAAAACTGCAAATTTACTTGTATTACAAAGAATAACCTGCTTTTCAGGTTAAAATTTAAGTGACACTACACCAAAGCCCCAACTCCACCCATGTATACAAGCACCTACCCATGCTTAAAATAACAAAGGTATGCGAGAGTGATACTCCGGGTATATGATTCCCTGAAGAAGTGGCATTATCACAAAGGAGGCTAAATACATTGGTAGTTTCTTTTTCAATTGTTTGTAAGGAATAAAATACCACAGAATGAACACAAGAACTATCCTTTTGATAGTTAAGTACATTCTAAGCCTTATGAAACGTTAAGCACATATTATTCCAAATGAAGTGGGTGACCCTTAAAATAATGCATTTATCTAAGGCACCGTTCCAAAGAGAATACAAAATAATAAAGTTCACAGAAAATCCAGATTCCTAAACATGGTTTTAAAAGCTCTCCACAATCTGGCCCCTAATCACTTTCCAAACCTTCTTGGCCTATTCTTTTTAGACTCAAGTCACTAATGGTCAGCCATTCTCCAAATATGTCTTATATTCTCTCTTCTCCATGTCTTTACTTATTCGAACACTTTTCCCTGAAAAGTGCCTCCTACCTGTTGAAAGTTCTGGTGAAAATCCCACCTCTTCTGTGAAGTGTACCCCTTCCACACACAGCCAACTTTATCACCTCTTAGTCCTAATAAATACATTGTACCTTTATTGAAGCACTTCCAAAATCTAGCTGTCATTATATATATTTAGGCATGCCAGTCATTCAGAACCTCTCTTCTCTGGAAAGGACTCTTAAACACAGAAGACAGCCTCACTGTCACATCTGCGCTATGTAATCTGTCCTCACCCAACCAACCCCAATAAATGTTAGCCCTGGGACAGGCACTGGGTGAAGTCCAGCCTTTCAGAGTTCTTTCCTTCTCTGAGGCACAATATGTGATGTGAGACATGCAAGCTACCTGTAACTATGAAACCCAACAAATGGAGTAAGACAATATGAAAAAATGGAACTAATAAGGAATAAGAAACAAAAGCAAAAGATAGAACTACAAGTTGTTCCAGGTTCCAATTGTCCCCGAGTCCCAGGTATATCCTTCCCCTTCCCAGCAATATGAGTTATTCCATTATCCATTCAATAAACTATTTTTCCCTAAGATTAATTTAAGTTAGATTTCTGTCATTTATAAACAAACAAATCCTAATATACAACATAACTGAGCTATAAACTTCTGGAAATAGAGACCATGTAATTCATCTATGTATCACTACCCACAGTGTCTGAAATAATACCTGGCACAGAGTAGATGCACAATAAACGTTTGCTAAACTAAGCTACATTAAACAATTCATGTATGTTTGACAAAAGGAGAAGGAAAAAATAGGAACAGTGGGAAAAGAAAAACAAAGAAAGGAGTGGAAATAGAGAGAACCGGAATAACTCTACAGTCAATGAAAGAGGTAATGATGACCTAATTGTTTGCTTTTTCGCATATTTCAAAAAGCATATTTCAAAAGCAGCCACCATTCAAAGCAGCCCAGAAATTATCAGGACTAACCCACTTAGCACAGGTAGATAAGGTAATAGAATGGGAAGCCAACAGATGTTAAGTAGGAAGTTCAGAAAAGAGAAATGAAAGAATTGCTAAGAAAATATGATGAAAACCCAATAAGACTAAGGCATTAAAGAAACTGGAAGATGAAAGTTTCTATTATCTATTCTTGTCCAATATCTACCTTTATCACCAACAGTATGTAAAGTAATATGCTAGGTTTTATAATAATATAAAATCCAACAACAATCACTGCCACTCAGTGAAATCAACAGACGTGCCAGAGATACTAAATTCAGCAACAAACTATATGCAAAAACACTGTCTTCACTAAAATTTTATTCAGGTATACGTCAGATAAAATAGTATATAGTTTTTCCAACTACCAACTGATATCAAAAAAAGCTGATACCATTGAGGCATTACATGGATGTTTAGCTAAATCTATAGTGCTTCTTGATGCTCTTAGTTGTTTTTCACGTTCTCGGCGGTTCTCAGCCTTCTTCCTCGCACCAGTCTTTTTTTTAGGCATTTTCCCCTATTTTGACACAAGAGAACAGAAAAGATATAATTGACTGACTGCATTTACTATTTTAATAAACTAAGAAATAGTATAACAAAGTGTCCTTTTTCTTGTTAAATGTTAAACTCTATCCTTTCGATAGTTAAGCACATTCTAAGCCTTATGAAACGTTAAGCACATATTATTCCAAATGAAGCGGGTGATCCTTAACGCATTTATTGGCACTAACGATTCTAAAAATGTAAACGTCAAAAAAATTTACCCTAAAAGACAAACTAGTCTTCTTTTCCCACTAAGAAAAAAGTTTCTCCAATGATAAAGTATTCTGCACCTCATTAAAACAAATGAATCATGTATCATTAGCAAAAACAAAAAAATCATTAATAAGAGCATTATTTAGCCAGTTTATATCACTTTTTTGAGCTATATATTCAGATGACCTGACGCTGCCAACACCTTAAGTATAACAAGTTTAATTTTTCCTATGTAATATGTAAACAAAACATCTAACAGTCAACAAATAACACTATTTATTAACTACAAAGTCAAAACATTCTGAAGATATTTAAGGTATTAGTTGCTCTGACTTTAACAAATGCTCTTCCCTCTACACGCAGTGAGCATGTAATTTTAACGGGGTTCAAATTTACGTTTAAGAGTATGTTTAATTTTCATCATTTAGTTGAAATACAAGATTTTTCTAAACTGAAGTTTTCTGAACTGAATGCTCAATTAAAAAAAAAACAAAACAGGTGGTAAGCAGTACGGTAGCAACTGAAAAATAGCCAGATTTAATAGGTGGTTATTTCGGTAACGTAACGCCCAGACCACTAAGGCACCATTCCAATATGTAAAATGACAAAATCTAGAGGGCGTGCTGCCCTGGCCAAAGAACCTCAGAAAATAATCACGAGGTGATCATGCGGATTAACTTTCTGCGTCCTCAGAGATATCCTCTGAATCCTCTGATAAAGTTAAATCTCATTTTTTTTTCCCTCCAGTTTGTTCTGCACGCTCAAAAGAGTGAATCTTCTTCTCAGCCTTATACGGGTTCAAGCCCTTTTCCGGTAACACTCCAACTTCTTGCATGCACTGCGTGTGTCACCAAATGAGGAAACAGGCACGGGGCACTGCGGCTTTAGGAGTCCAGCCTGGAGCTGGAGGACCCAGTGGGGCGGAGGGGCGTCCAGGGGAGAAGCGGCGGAGGTGCCAGGCGGCTCGGGGACCCGCAACGGGGACCCGCAACCGTCACCCGCCCGCGGGACACCCTACCTCGTGCGCGCTCCGGGCAAACCTCGCTCACTTTCGCCGGGAGACCGGACTCACTCAGGGGGCCGAGGGACAGGGAATGGCGTGAGGCCCACCCGCGACAGCAGTAAATCCAACTCGTGGACCAGGACTCCGGGAAAGAAGGTACTAACAGCCAGGGAGGCTGACAGCCGATTCCGGACACTAGGAGACGGACCGGACGTCCTTTTACGACAGCAGCGCCTTACGGCTGACGTCATAGGACGGGAGCCGCCCACCTCTGTTCGCTCCGCCCCTTCCCCGCCCACTCCTGCGGGGGCCAATGCCCCATTCCTAAGCAGAGGATCTGCAGAAAAGGAAGGGAATGCGAGGGAAAATAGGGAAGCAGAAGGAGGGAAAGCAGGGGAAGGCCCCCTCAGTTTTACTTTTTTAGAAAAAGGAGAAATCTAAAAGGAAGAGGAAAATGAACTCACAGACTTGGTACTGGATCAATTGACTCAAACAGCAAATTCATGTTGAATTCTGTTGGAAACCTTTCCCCACCTCTACATCTTGCGTGCCTCACATCCCACCTTTTCTTGGTTGCTGCGCAAACTGTGCCTTCAGTTGCCTGATGAACTTCCGTACCAGCCTCCCCTGTCTCTTATTTCTGTTATGCCCTCTGGATTCCATTCCTTTGTGAACAAATCATCCCACATTCTCTACCTCTAATGTGTAATCTGCCTGCTTTTAACTGAAACCTGATGATCCTCCCCCTGCATCAGAATCTCCTTCCGATCAAGCACCTCCACCTTTGCATAGCCGACCAAGCTGGGTTTCCTAATCTCTTTCGGAGCTCTGCCGCACTTAGGATTCAGTACCAGGCCTATTCCTGTGCTTTTCCTGCCCTCCCCCTGCAGGAGATAAAAGCCTCTTTATTTGGACCAAAGAGGCCTTCTGGAATTTACTCTTAGATTTTGATAGCCAATTAACCATCTCAGCCTTTTGCTATTTTCAAAGAATCAATTTTACTTAGCAATAACAGTCAATGCCACTGTCATTAAGGTTACTATTTCCCTCATAGTTCTCAAATGCCTGATACATTTTACCTACTCGTATATAAATTAGAATACCACCCCAGTTACGTTAGAATACCACCCCAGTTTCATTACTGATGAAAGTTGTAACTATTGCACTGTTACCTTGTGCCGAGGTCTGTGTGTCCTACACCTACCACCGAGGGGGTCCTCATTGATAGTCACATGGCCTGTGATTCGAATCATAAATCCCATCTTAGCCTAACTTGAACCACTCCTGACACCAACTGTTTTAGGTTGGCTTCCCCAGGAAGCATACTCTGAGTCAGAGAAGAGTATAATGAGTATGTTAGGGAATGCTTTGGGGAACAACATCTGCAGGAGAAATGGAAGCAGGATTGAGCAGAGGGAAGAGTTGACCTGCAGTGACGTCTCAGTGAAGGCCTCGTTTTGAATCTGGGATATCCCTTCAGAGTTGTCTTGAGTTAGGGGAACTGGGCTGGACCTTTATACACCTATGACATTTAGTCACTGGATGAACGCTGCCAAAGGAGAAGAGTGCAACCTTGGGTTAAAGGACTCCTGAAGATGGCCAAGAGCTGGATTGTGTTGGCTTGCTGCACTCTCAGCAGCTCAGGAAATAAGTCTTTCATTGAGGAAGAGGGATCTGGGTAGTGCCTGCCAGTATTCACTACCAAGAGTGATGGCAAAATAAATATTCTGACAAAGACAAAGAACCTTTACTATTCACAGATACTCAGTGAAAGAATTTCAAAGGGCAGTCTTCACAAGATGAAAATGGAATTTAAAAGGCAGGAGGGAATACAAAAAGTAATAATAATCAATTTATTTAATATATAGGGTAAATCTAAAACATTATATAAAACGACAAAATTATAATAAGCAATTTGGGATATGAAAATTATAAGGAACTGAAATATTCTATAAATTCAATGCAATTCAAATCAAATCCTCATATAGATTTTTTTAATGGAATTTGGTTAATTGCTCTCTCAAATTCATAGGAACAATTAAAGATTGAAAAGCCCAGACCATTTTAGTTATACAAGCAGAAGGATACTTTTATTTATTATAAAGCTCTAGTAATTAAAACAATATTGCATAGTTTCAGGTGTCAGCAAATAGACAAATGCAACTGAATAGAAAGCCTAGATACAGACTCACATACATTTGGATATTTGGCAAATGGTATGGGTTGCATTAGCATCAGTAAGAAGACAGGTATTATTCAATAAATGAGGCAAAGACTATTGGCGATCCATATGGAGGAAGATAAAATTAGATCCCTATTAACAGCACATATTTAATAAGTCCTAGGTGGAAGGACCTAAATATACAAAGCAAAAATAAAACTATTTTAAGAAAACATAGGAGAATGCCTTTATGATATTAAAGTAGAATGATTTATTAAGACACACACAAAAAAACAAAAAATTTAATGAACAATGAATTCAATAAAATTTAAAAACTTCAGGATGATTAAAGACATAAAGTAAAAAGGCAAATGAAAATGAGGGGAATGAATTTTGACACCCATGTAACTGACAAAAGATTTATATACAGAATAAATGACACCCATAAGATTGTCCAAAATGTAAAAGCCTGGCAGATCAAAGTATTGGTGAAAGGCGGATAAACAAATTTTAAGCAATTCTACTGGGAGTATAAATGTTAAACCTGTTTTGGAGAACCACATGGCAATGTTAAGTAAACGTAAATATGTGCAAAACTAAAGATTCAACCATTGTCCTTCTAGGTTTCTACCATAAGAAATTTGCGTACAAATATACAATGATACCATAGCACAGTTCAACAGCAAAAATTTTTAAGCAACCTATCTTTTATTAGGAAAAGGAACAAATTGCATGCTATCTATATAGCAATTAAAATTCATAGACTTTATAAGCATCAATATGGACTAATTCCTAAATTTGGGGGAGATATTTGGTGAAAAATCAAATTGGAATGCCGCATATGTAAAACTGTAAAGCAAAAATCAGTTGTATACATTATCATTTACGAATACACACACACACACACACACACACACACACACACACACACACACACACATACCTTGTAAAAGTACCAAAAGATGCCTGGAAATGTTACTAACTTCAGATTATGGTTACCTCTGGAGAGGGAAGAAAAGATGTATGATGTGGAGTGTTAGCCATACTTTTAGTTTTCAGAACAATACTAATTTTAAAACATATATATTAATAATCCTCAACAGCCACCAGAATGGCTAAGATTAAAAGACTGGCAATACCAGCGACCAAGTATTTATTGGTAAAGACGTGGAGTTACTGGAACTCTCATCCAGTTTTGGGGGTTGTAAATGGACTACCACTTTGAACATTATTTAGCTTCATGTGTTAAAGGATATATATATATATCTCCAAAATGCATACCTGTATTTACTACAATATATGTAAAATAGGCCAGGCATGGTGGCTCACGCCTGTAATCCCAGCACTTTGGGAGGTGGAGGCAGGTGGATCACCTGAGGTCAGGAGTTCGAGACTAGCCTGGCCAATATGGTGAAACCCGTCTCTACTGAAAATACAAAAATTAGTCAGGTGTGGTGGCAGGTGCCTGTAATCCCAGCTACTTGAGAGGCTGAGACAGGAGAATTGCTTGAACCTGGGAGGCTGAGGTTGCAGTGAGCCGAGATCCTGCCATTGCACTCCAGCCTGGGCAACATGAGCAAAACTCCATCTCAAATAAAATAAAATAAAAAATATATACGTAAAATAGTATTTATGGTAGCACTATTTGCAACATCTCCAAAACTATAAACAACCCAATTATCCCTTAACAGGAGAATGAATGAATGGTGACATATTCATATAATAAAATATTAATATTATACACTAACAAGAGTGTACAAACTACAGTCTCACATAACAATATGGATGAATGTCACTAACATAATGTTAAGCAAACAAATCTCACAAAGAAAAAAAGAACACCATGATTTAATTAAATAAAGTTTAAATATAGTCAAAATTAATCTGATTAGAAGTCAGGATAGAGGTTACCTTTGGGTGAAGGTAGTGACTTCAAAGGCTCACAAGCAGAGTTTCTAGAGTAAAGGTAATGAAAACATCCTACTTATGATGACTGTGTTCAATCTGTGACCTTTCATCAATCTGTATTATAATTTATGTAATTTATGCATGTTTCATTTTGCTACAAGGTTTTAAAAGAAATCTTAAAATAGAGGCAGGAAAGTATGGATGAAAGTCTTAAAATAAGCCATCTATAGCAGTTCTTCCCAAACACTTACTTGCTGTGACATAAATAGAAAATAATACAGGTCACACAGGGAAAAACAGGACAGGTCTGTTTATTATGAAAGGTGACTCTGTAATTTTCTTCCCCTTTTCATTTTTTTTCTTTTTGTGGAAAGGTAAAATCTTTGTTCATTTATCTTTCTGAAAAGTATTCTTTACTTGACAGGCACTTCTCACATATTATTCTTAGAAGCAAGAGGATTTTTTTCATTTCTGGGCCCTGACTCAGGTCCAGCCACACTTGTGCCCTACTGGCAGCACACAAATGTTCCAGGACATTTTGGAGAGCTCTGGAATATAGGACTCTTTAACTTGCCCATTTAAGTGTATCTCAGTTTGGCTTTCTTTCAGGAATTAAAGTTTGTTTATTTCTGCAAATAATTCCTTTTCTAATGCTATCTGCTGTGTGTGTGTGTTTGTGTGTGTGTATACACATATGTATATGTATATATAATGCAATATTCTTCAGCCTCTAAAAAGGAGGAATTTCTTCTTTTTATTAAATAAATAATTCCTGACATACACAACAACCTGAAGAACACTTAAGAACATTATGCTGAGGGAAATAAGCCAGACACAGGACAAATACTACAAGCTTCCACTTATATGTGGGTATCTAAAATAGTCAAACTCATAGGAGCAGAGAGTGGAATGGTGGTTGCCAGCGTCTGCGAGTAAAGGGGAAATGGAGAGGGGCTAATCGGCAAAAAAATTCAGTTACGCAAGATAAATAAGTTCTACAGACCTACAGCATTGTTCCTAGAAATGACAATACTGTGCTGTGCGCTTAAAAATCTGTTTAGAGGGCAGCCCTTCTGTTAAGCATTCTTGCCACAATAAAATTTTAAAAAACTTCTAGCTCATAAAAGCACTTCCTAAATCCAGACACCTATGTTGTCCATCTTTTGAGCACTCCACAAATAATAATTGTGGTTCGTAAAATAACTGCATAATAGATTTCATCTCAGTACCTTTAAAGCATCACGTTTAGACTGATAAATGATCTTTTAACAAATGGTTTGTATATTTTGGGAAAACCTTATATTGCTCATAACTGTCTAGCAACTTATTTCTCCTTTTTATCCTAGTTATCACACCCTATTATCCACTGGACCTATATATCATAAGGAAGACTCTGAGTACCTCTTTTTACCAATTAGCTTTGGGGAAAGGAGAAGGATTTCTAAGTTTCCAATACCTGCATAGCCCTTTATAGATTACTAAGGTTTTCACATTCATTACTACATTTAATATCAATAAAAACTCTATTGTAAAATAGTTATTTCTTCAGTTTACAAATAGAAAGCTGAAAATTAGTTTCATCTGTTGACAAAATGGGTTTTCAAAACTGAATACATCATCATTCCCCCAAAACTGATGCCTCTTTCTTGCTGTCTTAACTCAATGAACAAAGGGCACTAATTCATCTGTTGAAGCCAGAAATCTTGGAGTCAATCCAGACACTTTCATCTTTCTAACCTATCAGTCTAATCCCTAAGTGTTTGTAACATGACCTCCAAATTATCTGTCAAGTACATTTCCTCAACAAAGTCCAGATCTCTATTTCTGGTAAGATGTCTGGAGAAATTCTGTAACAATAGAGCACACATAACACTGGATAAAACAAAACAAAAGCAAAGAGATCAAAGACATTTTCCAGTGCATGACCAAAGTGGCAGGAAAATGGTAAAAGTTCAAGGAGACCAGAAGGACTCAGTAAGTAGGAATCCACACAGTAAGCAAGCTCTGGAGCTGGCATTTGGCTGGGACCATCTGAAAATCCCCAGTGAACTAGAACTTGGATTCTACTGAGAAATTTGTACACTGATAATATTGTGTCCGGAATTGGTGGGTTCTTGGACTCGCTGCTGACTTCAACTATGAAGCTGCGGACACTCGCAGTGAGTGTTACAGTTCTTAAAGACGGTGTGTCCAGAGTTTGTTCCTTCTGATGTTCGGACATGTTCGGAGTTTCTTCCTTCTGGTGGGTTTGTGGTCTCGCTGGCTTCAGGAGTGAAGCTGCAGACCTTTGCTGTGAGTTTTACAGCTCTTAAGGCAGCGCGTCTGGAGTTGTTCATTCCTCCCGGTGGGTTCGTGGTCTTGCACCTTCATAGTGAGTGTTACAGCTACAGCTCATAAAAGCGGCGCGGACCCAAAAAGTGTGCAGCAGCAAGATTTATTGCAAAGAGCGAAAGAACAAACTTCCCACAGCGTGCAAGGGACCCCAGCAGGTTGCCACTGCTGGCTCAGGCAGCCTGCTTTTATTCCCTTATCTAACCCCACCCACATCCTGCTGATGGGCCCATTTTACAGAGAGCTGATTGGTCCGTTTTACAGAAAGCTGATTGGTCCGTTTTGACAGGGTGCTGATTGGTGCATTTGCAATCCTCTAGCTAGACATAAAAGCTCTCCAAGTCCTCACCAGATTAACTAGACACAGAGCACTGATTGATGCGTTTACAAACCTTGAGCGAGACACAGGGTGCTGATTGGTGTGTTTACAAACCTTGAGCTAGACACAGAGTGCTGATTGGTGTATTTACAATCCTTTAGCTAGACATAAAGGTTCTCCAAATCCCTACTAGATTAGCTAGATACAGAGTGCTGATTGGTGCATTTACAATCCTTTAGCTAGACACAAAAGTTCTCCATGTCCCCACTAGATTAGCTAGACACAGAGCACTGATTGGTGCATTTACAAACCTTGAGCTAGACACAGAGTGCTGATTGGTGCCTCTACAATCCTCCAGCTAGACATAAAAGTTCTCCAAGTCCCCACCAGACTCAGGAGCCCAGCTGGCTTCCCTAGTGGATCCCACGCTGGGGCCGCGGGTGGAGCTGCCCATCAGTCTTGAGCTGGGTGCCTGCACTCTTCAGCCCTTGGGCGGTGGATGGGACTGGAGACGGCGGAGCATGGGGTGGCGCCTGTCGGGGAGGCTAGGGCTGCGTGGGAGCCCACCGCAGGGGGCTCAGGCATGGCAGGCTGCAGGTCCCGAGCACTGCCCCGGGGGAGGTGGCTGATGCCTGGTGAGAATTTGAGCTCTTCACAGGCCGTCCGGCAGTGTTGGGGGACCCAGCGCCTCCTCCGCAGCTGCTGGCCAGGGTGCTAAGCCCCTCACTGCCCGGGGCGGTGGCGCCAGCCTGCAGCTCCGAGTGCACTGCCTGCCAGGTGGGCCGGTGGGCCTGCCGAGCCAGCGCCCACCCAGAACTTGCACTGGCCCGTGATCGCCAGGCGCAGCCCCAGTTCCCGCCCACGCCTCTCCCTCCACACCTCCCTGCAAGCAGAGGGAGCAGGCTCTGGCCTCAGCCAGCCCAGAGAGGGGCTCCCATAGGGCAGCGGCCGGCTGAAGGGCTCCTCAACGAGGCCAAGGAGGCGTTGAGAGAGAGCAAGGGCTGCCAGCATGTTTTCACCTCTCAATATAGCTTGGCTCTGTGTCCTCACCCAAATCTCATGTTGAATTGTAATTCCCAATGTTCCAGAAGGGAGGTGATTGGATTATGGGGTCGGATTTTCCCCTTGCTGGTCTCATGATAGTGAGTGAGTTTTCATGAGATCTGATTGTTTAAAAGTGTGTAGCTGGCCAGGCACGGTGGCTCACACCTGTAATCCTAGCACTTTGGGAGGCCAAGGTGGGCGGATCACTTGAGGTCAGAAATTCATAACCAGCTTGGCCATCATGGTGAAATCCCTTCTGTACTAAAAATACAAAAAATTAGCTGGGCATGGTGGTGCATGCCTGTAATCCCAGCTACTTGGGAGGCTGACACAGGAGAATCCCTTGAACCCGGGAGGTGGCGGTTGCAGTGAGCCAAGATCATCCCACCACACTCCAGCCTGAGCGACAGAGTGAGACTCTGTCTCAAAAAAAAAAAAAGTGTGTAGCACTTCCTCCTTCACTCTCTCTCTCTCCCGCTCGGCCATGTGAAGATTGTGCTTGCTTTCCTTCCATCCCTTAGCCATAATTGCCTGTTTCCTGAGACCTCCTGTACAGCCTATGGAACTGTGAGTCAATTAAACCTCTTTTCTTTATAAATTACCTAGTCTCAGGTAGTTCTATATAGCAGTGTTAGAACAGACTAGAACAGCTGGAGACAGAGGCCCTGTGGCCAAGAAGAGTAGGAGGCTGTGTTGGAGACTCTTGCATAAAGCTGGGACCAACAGTGAACAACAGCCTCAGTGTAGAAACAAAGTTAGAAAAAAATCTTGCCACACAGAAGAAGCTAGTAGGAATGGTTTTCTGTGTTGTCTTTGTATCTAAGTAGGGTGGGAAAAATCAAAGATAAAAAACACCACAAGCGAATTCCTACCCACAAGCCCACCTTCAAGCATATGTTTAGTTTGTTTGATTTGAAGGTCTTCACTGCTGTATTCTGCAGTGGAATAAGAACAACAGATAAGAGGAAGCTGAAGAGGCTCAAGAATATCCATAAAGTTTGATGTCTTCGGTATGCAGTTACTAAGTCCCTTCTTCCTAGGTTTACTGAGAGGATTAAGTATGATGATACATATAAAACACCTAGCACAGTGCCTGGCACATGGGAAACATTAAGTGCTAAGTTCCTTTTGTTGCTACCCGGCTGTTGGAGATCCACAGCCCCCTGCTCATGGTTTAGCCTACTATTTACCTTTTAATCCTGCCTGCCTGCTCCTTGAGCCTATAGTCATCCAGTGGTCTCCAGTGGGTCCTCCAGATTATTCAGTGAGATATTGTCTTGGTAGCACCTGGAACTCTGGAAGCACTGAAGTGAGACATTTAAATCAGATTGAGTAGTTCAAGGTTATCCCGTGAAGCCTCAACTCAAAGTGGAGAAAGCATCCACTTTTTTCTAGTTTCCTCTTCTATTTATTTCTTTTAGTTAAATTCTATTCTTCTATTAAATTCTTTCCTTCACTTTAGGAATGATTATTACAACTCTGCCTGAGGATAGAACTTGAGATGGAATGAGGTTTTTTCAGTTGATTAAAATATTGACAGTAAAGATTATATAGCAAAGTCAAACTGCCCTATCTTCCAAACCTGAAAAGTCATTTACTGTTAATTTTGAATATGGAATGTGAGTTTTATCCAGTATGGCCATCTGGATGACAATAGTTACCAGATCTCCAAAAAAAAAACAAAGTAAGTTAAAATAAATGAAATAGTTAAGGGATAGTCAATTCTATTACTTTCCTTCTTAGCAACAAGTGGAAAAACAATGTATAAATAACCCTTAGTGCTTTTAAAGCAGACTCAACATAATACGAATTAAAGTACATTAATGGTTGTACTTGGAAGAAATAATAGGGCATTATTATAAATTGAATCAGATCATTTTCTAACTGGGAATGTAAGATGTGTTCATCATGAAAAATATCTACTATCAGATAATAATTATTGACTTAAATTATACTTTCATTTTCCTTAGAATGAGATCAAATTATAGCTTCAATGAGGTTTTCTTGAAATAGCAAGCGTAGGTGTATCTAATACCATCTGCTTCTGTAATTAACCACAATAAAGCCAAACACTTTAAATTATCAAACATATAAAATAAATGTGATTTGCTACTGTGATTTTTTTTGAAAACCTACTTAAAGTTATTTAGACACTAAGTAAACATTACATCAAAATCAGATACCAAATATATCAGTCAGAAAATGCATCCAAATATATGTAACTGAAAACCTAATTAATGATGGATTCAACAAGGTGGTTTTTCTTTCATATACAAGAAGTCCAAGACAAGGACAGTGATGCAAGAACTTTAGTACTGAAGTCTTTGGGATTCTTTTACCATGCTCTCAATCATAATCACAGTTAACTAACCTTTTAGGCAAGAAAATTGAGGAAGGGAAGAAAGGACAAAAGGACACACAAAAACAAAGTCAACCTCTGTCAAGAAGTTTTCCTGAAACTTCAGGCAAAGGACTATGGCCTCAGATAATTGACCAGAATTGAGTTACATGAGCATGCCTAGCTGCCAGAAAGACTGGCAAATGGAGGTTTTTTTTAGCTGGACACTTCAAGCCAGAATAAAATTGGAGTTCTGTTATTAGGAAGAAATGGAAAAATTGATATTAAGTAGGAAACCAGAAGTGCTGGCCACACCTTGATTTTTGGTAGTCCACAAGACAAGAAATTTCAAACTGTAAGGGTGACTTTAAAAAAAACAATGGGGCCAAATGAAAAACAATGTTTTTAAAAAATCCCTTCCAATACAAAGCAATTAGATTCTGTATAAAACATACTTTTTAACATGTTGCTTAGCTAATAGGAAGTAAGAAAAATCTCTTATCACCACTACCCTCTCCCTGGAAAAAAAAAAAAAAGCTGAAACTGCAACCAGCACATTAAATGTAAGCTAACATGTAAGGAGTGTGTTGTCTGAGGGCAAAATCAACGTCAGCATTGCAAAAAGAAAACTAAGCCTCTTGCCAGCAACCACTTCAAGGAGCTTAATCAGTGGTTCAGGTTCTAACCTGAAACCCCGAAGGTAACTAAAGTGGTCCCGGATCTGTGGTGTTCCCTGACTCCAGTGAGAAGCAAATATAAATACTCACTGGTGGAAAGAATTGTCAACTTAGGCCTCCAGAGTGTCCACAGATTAAAACCAGCCAAGCATGAGAGATCACAATAAAAGATCATCAAATACACATAGAAGTGGTCTCATAGAAAAACAAAACAAAAAACCTACAAATGTGATTCATCTTACCATTTCTAATAATTTTTCCACAAATAATTTTGGCTTTTATAATTAGACAATTATCTGTGACTAATGACCATTTTCGTTCTACTTTCTATCTCTTTATATCTTATTTGAATTTCTTGCCTTATTGATGTGGGTAAGACTTCCAATACAATAGTTAATAGAAACCATGACACAGAGCATCCTTGTTTAGTCCCTTTAAAGAAAATGCTTTTATTATATTGCCATTAAAATAATATTAGAAATTATAGGGTTCTTTTTTGTCTTTTAGGGATGGGGTCTTGCTATATTGCCCAGGCTATTCTCAAACTCCTGGCCTCAAGAAATCAGAGTTTTTTTTTATAGATACCCCCCCATTTTGGGTGGATGGGGAATTAAAAGTGTTACTTTCTATTACTAAGAGATTTGGTTTTAACTATGAATCCATGATGAAATTATGAACTCTTAATAAATTTAAAAAGACAAGCAACCCAATCAAAAAATGGGCAAAGGATATGAATGGGGAATTCACAGACAAGAAAACACAAATTGTGAATAAATACATAGTTATTTTTAGCCTCAATAATCAAGTAATTTCACACCTAATCACATACTCTAGGGAAACTTCTAAACATAGGTAGCAGGAAATATATGCAAAAATATTTATAGTAGCATAATGGAAAAAGACTGCAAATCAGCTCAACTGTTCGGCAGAAGACTGGATTAATAAACTGTTACATATTCACCTAATGCAATGCTATATAGTAGTGAAAAGTGAACTATAACAACATGCAGACTTGTAGACAAATTTCAGAAATAGAATAGCATGTACATATAGCATGTACAATAGTATATTAAACATACTATTTTGCATGTAGTAAATATGAAATACTTTTAATTATAACTTTTAATTATAACTCCAGTCCTCCCTTTCTTGGTGGGTGTCGGGAAACGCAATTTGCCTTTGTCCTTCAGCTGCATATTCTTGCTGTTATGCCAAGAATGCAAGGCCCTTTAGTTGGGCCATTGCTGAGATTTATATTTGCAGTGAGCAACCTTGAGGATTGAGGTAAGGTGTCTCACCAGACAAAGAACAAGCTTGCTTCCATTTGCTGAAAAAAACCAGTTAATTATTCAAACTTACTCTTCCTTGACTGTGATGCAAACCTACAGGATGTATAGTATCTGCTCTGGCCACTGTTGTCCCATGAATACTGAAATCCTTTGTCTCTGACCCAAGAGTCTTGTGTCTTCTGCCAGTATCCACAAAACAGTAGCAGGCTAACTTCAATCCCATGAGTGCTGAAGTCTTTTGTCTCTGACCCAAGAGTCCTGTGTCTTCTGCCAGTATCCACAAAACAGTGGCAGGCAAACTTGTTAGTCTGCAAGTAGTATCAAATCTCAGACTCTGTAGACCTTGACAGTGAGTTGGGAAATGAGAAAGACTTCAAAAGACCTTAACCCTGTTTAGTTACTAACTAGCTATCTTGACTTGGAGTATTCAGTAACCTCAATAGACTTTCCATTCCTTTGTAAAAAGAGCAAAATTGAAAAGGAAAGAATTAAGGTATAGCTGCTAGCATTCCATGATTCTGTATAAACACAGAAAAAATATCCTGACAGGGTGATGGCACTCATCCAGGTAGAATGGAGCTTGCAAAGAAGAATTGAAACTCTTTTGCAATTTCACTTTGTAAATGTCTGAATCTGAAATCGCTAAGTGCTTTGGTGGCTGGTGTTCCTTTTCTTTTCTTGCCTTTTTTTTTCCTTGCTTAATTTTCTGCCTATGGGTATCAATGCAATGGGAACAATGAGATAGAGGAATATGCTAGCCCCTCGGGGCCATATTTCTCCTTCTGTGCTCTTCTCTGTAGTACAGGGGCTGGAAGCCTGGGATCTGAGTTAGCTTCCACCAGTGAGAGGCAGTCACATGAGATTTGGAAAGCAGAACCGAGGAAGAAGCCATTATTCTTCTTCCCGCAGGGCAAGGCAGGAATACTGCAGACATGAAATTTTACCAGTGGCTTCCGGACATTCTGCTGATGATCACTTATTGTGATGCCACAGATAACTGAGATCATCAGTGGTGATTCCCTGTGATTCTTTCAACTTCCATATTTTGTGAGGCAGTTTTCCTGACTTTTGTTTCCTCAACGCTTTTTTTTGTTTTCTGTTTATAAAGTGCCTAGTATGTTGTGTTAAATCTTTCCTGCTTGAAATACCTGCAATGGTTTCTTTTGTCCTGACTAAACCCTCCTGATAAAAAGAAAGTAAAACGTTGAGAAAAGGCTACCCCAAGTATGTTTTAACCTTTAGTGGTAAAAATAGAACTTCTGATTAGAATCCATATCTCTATATGTTACTTTTCTATGCTGCCAAAACAAACTTAATGGCTTAAAACAACCCAAAATGTTTTATCTCACAGCTTCCGTAGGTTGGAAGTCTGGGTAGGCTTTCTCTTCTTTGGATTCCACAAAACCCAAATTATGATGTCAGGAGGGCTGCGTTCCTGATTGGATGTCGTGGAGAAGAATCCTCTCCGAAGTTCATATAGGTGGATTGTTCAATTCAGTACCTTGTGGTTGAGGGCTGAGGCTCTCGTTTCTGTGCTGACTGTCATCCAGGGGCTCATCTTTGCTCTCAGAGGCTGTCCACATTTCTTCTCCTGCTTTCCACATTTCTTCTCCTGCTTTCCATTTGACCCCCTCCAGGAACAGACTCATGGGGTCAAGTGTTTCCCACATTTCTCATCCCTCTGATTTTTTTCCTTCTGCTGCATCTCTCTAATTCCAGCCAGAGAGAGTACTCTGCTTTTAAGGGCTCATGCAATTAGATTGGGCCCAGATAAATAATCCAGTATAACCTCTCTATTTTAATTTATCTCTAATTAATCTGTGTGATGGTTAATATTAGGTGTCAACTTGATTGGATTGAAGGATGCCTAGATAACTGGTAAAGTATTGTTTCTGGGTGTGTCTGTGAGGGTGTTGTCAGAAGAGATTGACATTTGAGTCATGGGTGGGGAGAGGAAGACCCACCCTCAATGTGGGTGAGTACCATCCAACAGGCTGCCAGCATGGCTAGAACAAAGCAGACAGAAGAAGGTGAGACTGGCTGGCTGCCTTCTTCTTACCATGCTGGACACTTGCTTCCATTCTTCCTGCCCTTGGACATCAGACTCCAGGTTCTTCCACCTTTGGGACTTGCACCAGCAGCTTCTCGGGGGTTCTCAGGCCTTCAATCACAGACTAAAGGCTGCACTACTGGCTTCCTTGGTTTTGAGGCTTTCGGCCTCCAACAGAACCACTTACTGGCTTCTCTCTTCCCTGCTGGCAGACAGCCTATTGGGGGACTTTGCCTTGTAATCATGTGAGCCAGTTCTCCCAAATAAACTCACTTTCATATATACATATATCCTATTGGTTCTGTCCCTCTAGAGAACCCTAACTAATACAACCTGCAAAGTCCCTTTGCCAGGTCATGTAACACAGTCACAGGTTTCCAGGATTAGGGCAATCACACAACTGGGGGGGCATTCTGACTACCTATTATCTATAAAATTTTGAATCTATTGGTATCTAATTTATTTGTTATATTTTCTTAAATTGACATCCTCATTTGAAAGCTTTATGACCTGTCCTTGACTATGGCGGCAATCTTTTTGAACTTGGTGTTTTGGTTTGGGAACACTCTTTTTTTTTTTTTTTTTTTGAGATTGAGTCTCATTGTTGTCACCCGGGCTGGAGTGCAATGCTGCGATCTTGGCTCACTGTAATCTCTGCCTCCCAGGTTCCAGCAATTCTCCTGTCTCAGCCTCCCAAGTAGCTGAGTTTTCAGGCACCTGCCACCATGCCTGGCTAATTTTTGTATTTTTAGTAGAGATGAGGTTTCACCATGTTGGCCAGACTGGTCCAAACTCCTGACCTCAGGTAATCCACCTGCCTCGGCCTCCCAAAGTGCTAGGATTATAGGTGTGAGCCACCACGCCCGGCCAGGAACACTCTTTTAAATAAAAGAAGGAGAGAAAAGATGGAAGGAACTGCCAGTGCAAAGAGAGCAACGACAGCAAAGCAGACCCCAAGGTGGCTTTAGGAAGCAGGCACTGCAAGAGTGATCATGAGTGAATTTGGAAAAAGAGTGGATCATCTTATAGAGGGATCATCTTAATTATTTCATTTCAGAAACTGAAGATGCTAGATCCACTTTGCCCCTTATCAAGCAATCATAAGTGTTAACTCTTTTTAATTGAACAACCTCCCTTCTAACACAGGTGTGCGCACACATACACAAACACACATGCACTGACCAAAACTAGGAAATAGTTTATTAAAATTAATTTTAGCCAAATCCTCCTCTGAGATAGAGAGAAAATTTGGGATTGCCCCTTAGAAGCTAGAAACTAAGAGATTATTCTGTGGGATATGAAGGTATTGCCAGCTCTCTTTAAATAAACAAAATATGGGTTTAGCTTTAAATTGGGATAAAGTGTATTCCCTGCTATTTGGCACCCAAGAAGAAATATCTCTCATCATAATGAATACCCACTCATGAACAAACCCTGGAACATATTTGTGCTTTGATGTGGAACAAAAATATTCATTAGAAGAATGACTGGATCTTTTGTCCTGCCTCTGTAAATCCATCATCTATCTCAATAATAAAAACCATTTTTCCTCTCTAATTTTGCCTTTCCAAACCCAATTCTCATTCTCTTTGTTTCCTTTATTACCTGTGAAGCATAGTATAGAAAAGAAAGAATGAAACATGCAGAGATTTATAATAGCCTGAAAGAATCTTCTGTTTTATCATCTTAGGTCCTCAAGTTTATTTTTAAAAATGGGATATGAAAAACATCTTATAAACATTGTATGTGAATAGCTTATGTACCTGTACTAGATGCTTAGGGTATAACAATGACTATGAAAACTCAAAATGAGTTAATATGATTTCTTAATACTTGAGATTTATATAATAAAATGAATGCAGTGAATTTTAATTCTAGTTATTGGTGAAAACACATGCATCAATATTCTGTTAATATTCTAGCCTTGTGTCAAATGACCTTAAAAAGCGTGTCAATATTTATTTGATGTAAGACCATTTTATTTTAAGCATGTTTATCCCAAATGGGTTAACTATGCTCAGAAAAAGACCTCAAGGCATGCATTTATAGAAATAGATGATCTTGACAAAATTTTACACTCAAAAATACTCCTGAGTTTTGCTTATATGAAAAAGGTCCTTTAAAATAATAAACAGTCTTAGATTGCAGTTATGCTGAGATAAGATTTGCATATCTGACCCTCAAAATACTTATTAACATTCAACCAAAGACTGAGAACCAACTCAGCAAGTGTAAAATGTGCAAAAAAGCATAAAAATAATTTTTATATTTGTATCAAAATGTATAGCTTATTGAGAATTTTATCTTAGCTATCTTATTTGGATAATGTACATCAAGATTGGCACTGTGAGTCCCAAATGCTGCTTCCAGCTCTGCCCCTGACAATAACCTCAGTTTGTCTTCTTTAAAATCCCTCTCCACCCTCAAGGGGCAAAATAGCTCAACTTAAATGGCACATACTCATAGGAAAGGGAGGAGATGGGATGCAAAATATTTGTACTTCTTTAGTGTCTACTATATAATAAGTACTAGAGATGCAAAGGTAGATAAGGAATTTTATCTTTTTGTCTAAGAAGAACATGAAGGCAATGAAGGCATTTTAAGCAAGGTGAGTGGATTATCATAACTAACTTTTGCAAAGATTTTTCTTGGTACAATATGAAGAACTCCTTCTTCTCTCTCAATTCTCACTTCCAATAGATTATGACAACTTTTGTTCTGTTCTCACTGCTCCTGCATAAGCTCAACTCTCCTGCTTTTCTCACGTGGAATATTGCTGGTTCTCATCCCTGCTTCTGATCACATCTGCCCATATCTATACTCTAACTCCAAGACTGATTCTTCAAAACTGCAGCCTATTCATATCAATTATCTATTTCAAATGGACTCTATAATTTACATTGTGAAATACAAATTCCTTTAAAACCAGGAAATTTCCTAGCCCAACACCCCAGTCTTTATCCACAATGAGCTGCTTTCAGTTCCTGAATGGCTGCATTTTACACAGTGTTACCCTGGCTTGGATTTCTTTTCTCTCTGCTCTCACCTGACCTTCTGCTGGGTCCTACTCATCTTTCCAAAATTCTTAACAGAAACATTACCCCTCTGGGAAGGTCTAGAGAAGAACTTTTTTTTTTCTTCACTGTGCTTGGGAGGGCATATTTCTGTTACTCTCCTTACCAAAAGCCAAGAAGACATGAGCTGACTAGATGCTGTTGCTGCTGTTGTTTTTGTGCCCAAACCCATGCCTTTCCTTCTCAGGGGGACTTTTCTCTATCCGCCTCAGAACCCAAACAGCACTGTTGGCAAAAATGAAGATGAAACAAAACAACTTCCTTGAAGGTTGTCCTAAGCTAATTAGCAAAGACACAAAAAAAGACCCTGAAAATTACAGGAAGGTTGAGAATAACTTCCCCAGACCTGGTGCCTTTGGGGTATCTAGTAAACTAAGTTGAAGTAATCCTTGTCTATCTAAAGGCTGAAGGAGGAGGAAATGGTGACCAGAGCACATTACTTCCCAGTCACACAGAATGATCAAAGTCCACATTTTTTGTTATAATCGAGTATTTTTGCCTGCATAAATATGGCACATATATATATATATAAAATCTCCAATATTATATATCTCCAAGATATATATATCATCTCCAAGATTATATATCTCCAAGATATATATATATCATCTCCAAGATTATATATCTCCAAGATATATATATCGTCTCCAAGATTATATATCTCCAAGATATATATATCGTCTCCAAGATTATATATCTCCAAGATATATATATCGTCTCCAAGATTATATATCTCCAAGATATATATATCGTCTCCAAGATTATATATCTCCAAGATATATATATCGTCTCCAAGATTATATATCTCCAAGATATATATATCGTCTCCAAGATTATATATCTCATATATGTGTGTATATATATATATATATATAAAATCTCCAAGAGGACACCCAACTCATTGGTCATGGAGACAAAATATATATCATAAAACAAAATTGAAAATAAATCTTTCAGCATTTTCACAAAAAACATAAATTTTATTTTGAAATGTGTGCCAAATCTCATACTCTTAAGGATTTATTGCCACTCTATTCTTTATAGCAAGTATTCCATTTAATGGAATTGCATGCAGTTACAGAGTAAAATATTGTTTGTTAATTTTGTACTGATCTGACCCCTAAAGACTTTTGAAATTTTTTTGTCTCTATATATTGAATAACTTTCCATTTTTCCTGTTAAGACAAATGCTAATGATAAAACATTTGACCACAGACAATAAAATTTATTATGATTTTATAAATTAATAAGAATAATTCTAATGTAAAACTCACAAACTGGTTTTGAAAGCATTTATATACAAAAGTCCAAAAGGCTTTTAAATATTTGAAGACTATTTTACATTAGAGTATGACTTCCTCTTCCAAAAAAAAAATTTGAAAAATAATCATTCTATGTTAACTTGGTGTAATTTTTTTTAAAGGTCTTACTTTAAACTCACACCTAGTAAAACATGGATAAAAGTGTCTATAAGAATATACCAATTAACAAAATACTGGGATTCTGACTGAACTCTGGTTATGTTTAAAACAAGAATGATTCAGATGTTTTGGTGAACTCAGCTATTTTTTTTTAGCAGTCCAGGAAGTTCTCCTAGCTCTCTTCCTAAATAAAGAAACTTGCTCCCCTGATTTCATTTGATCCCAGACTTGAATTCTGTAACAACAGTGAGATGGTACATGAGCCAGACAGGGAACATTTAAGATTTTTCCTTGGATTCTGAGACGGAAACAAACAAATAAAAAATAATTCTATTTACTGGAGTGTCATCCTCCATTTGTGCTGTTATAACAAATACCTTAGACTGGGTAATTTGCAAACAACAGAAACTTATTTTGAAGGCTGGGAAATCCAAGCTCAAGGTACTATCAGATTCAGTGTCTGGTGAGAGCCAATTTCTCATAGATGGCACCATCTTGCTGTGCCCTCACATGGCTGAAAGGGCAAGCAAGCTCCCACTAGCCCTTTTATAAGGGCATTAATCCCATTCATGAGAGTGGAAACCTTCATGGCCTAATTATCACCTGAAAGTCCTGCTTCTAATAGTATCACATTGGGGATTCTGTTCCAACATATGGATTTGGGGGAAATGCCAACATTCAGACCATAGCACAAGGTTTCTAAAGTCAAGCTGTTTGTTGGTAGCCATTTTCCAAACTATAAGGAAGGAACATTGGCAAAATGAAGACAAGCAGAGATTGAGATATAGAAAGGATGAGAAAGAAAGAAAAAGAAAGAAACTTCTTGGTGAAGTGGAGTCCCTGATTTAAGAGGTCCTTGAGGCTTTGGTTCCAAGAAGAAAATTGCAAGACTACACCCATTCTCTCCTTTTCATGGAGACAATGAGGAGGTGGCACATCCAGAGAGAAAAATGAGAAAGGTGACCTGGAAAAATTTCTTTGTAAACCCTTGAATGGCTGACCTTCTGGAAGACACACCAATAAAAATTACAAGGAGAATTGTCATTCATACAGTGTCTTCAGAAAGATATACCTGGTCTGTGTAGAATCACTTATAATAAACAAACCTGGAATCTATGGATTTATGAGGCATGGCTATCTGGAAAGCCTCATGTAAACCATATAACTTATAACTTAAAACTTCATTTTGTATTTGGGTATAAAATGAAAATGCTTCATAACCAAACAACATTCTTCTGTGTGAGTAATGTGGCCTCATGCATTGTTTATAGTAATTGTATATCAATTTGGGCCAGAATGCATCCAGATATAAGAAAAGATGTGTGGACCTACATTGGTGGTCCCAGAACATTCGTCTGCTTCACCTATGTCTCATATTAGTTATGTCTCTGAAATTATTGGTAAAGATTGGTAAAGATCTGAAATAATAATCTGATCTATTGTATTGTCTCAGTTTCCTACACCTTCCTTTTTCTGTCATCCTCTGGTTTCTGTGGGCAAGTGAATTACCCTACTGTTTAATCTAGTTGAGATTGGGTTTCTGCTGTTTGCAACCAAAGGAGTCCTAACTAGTAAAATAGATCTGATTTATTGGGAATTCCCAATACATATGGTACTGGAACTTTTAGTGCCTACTTTTTTCAACTTATTTGAGGGTCAATGGTAAGCCAGAACTGAAAACGAAGGTTCTTCTTTAAAACCAAAAGGCAAGATTTACTTTCTCACCATTTGTAGATTTTTCTTGATGATGCTTTTGTACCTCCATGTGAGTTACCCTTAATCTTTATTTTCATACATTTTTTTGCAGAAGAGCCTGCAATGGACTGAATGTTTGTGTTTTCTCCCAACACACACACCAAATTCATAAAATGAAGCCCTAATTCCCAATGTGATAGTATTAGGAGGTGGAGTCTTTGGGAGGCAATTAGGTCATGAGGATGGAATCCTCATCAATGAGATTAGTGCCCTTATAAAAGAGACCTTAGAGAGCTCTCTCACCTTTTCCACTATATGAGAATATAGCAGGAAGATGAAAGTCTGTATCCCAAAAGATGACAGTCTGTATCCCAATGTGATAGTATTAGGAGGTGGAGTCTTTGGGAGGCAATTATAGACAGAAGATGACAGTCTGTATCCCGATGTGATAGTATTAGGAGGTAGAGTCTTTGGGAAGCAATTAGGTCATGAGGATGGAATCCTCATCAATGGGATTAGTGCCCTTATAAAAGAGGCCCTAGAGAACTCTCTCACCTTTTCCACTATATGAGAATACAGCAAGAAGAAGACAGTCTGTAACCCAAAAAAGGGCCCTCATCAGAGTCCACCCATGCCAGCACCCTGATCTCAGACTTCCTGCCTCCAGAACTGTGAGAAATAAATTTATCTTGCTTATATAAGCTATTCAGTCTCCAGTATCTTGTTACAGTAGCCCAAACTAAGCCTTATCAGTAATTTAATTAATTTAAAATTGATTTTCTCTGTTCAATCTTCTGTACTTCAACTGGTCAACCTGGATTTAGCACTTGTCAATATGTATATATGCACATATATATGTATAACTAAAAAGTCCATACTTTTATTTACCCACTATAAATATTGAGGGCATTCTACTAAAAATTGAGTTTATTTCCTTATGTATAATTTGGGGGAAGACACGAGAATGTAGAAATTCTACTGTTTTCATTTTTAAAATTTATATGCAGTAAAATGTAATTTCTGTTGTATATAGTCCTATGGTTTTGACAAAACATAGTCATATTTCTCATTATAATTGTAATACAGAACAGTCCGTCAATCTGAAAATCCCCATTGTGCTGTATCTTTGTAGTCAGCCCTCTGCCAATCCTCTGTTCTCTCCCTATAATTTTGCTTTTCCTAGAATGCTGCATAAATGAGATCATACATTATGAAGATTTGGGGGTCTGACTTCTTTACTTAGCAAAATGCATTTGAGAGTCATCCACATTATTGAGTGTACCAGTAGCGTGTTTCTACTGCTGAGTACTGTTTCACTATATGGATGTCTCAGAGTTAGATTATCCAGTCATCAGTTGAAGGACATTTGGATAGTCTCCACCTTTGGACATTGTGAATCAATGTATAAACATTCATATAAAGGTTTTTATGTAAAATAAGTTTTTATTCTCTTGGATAAAAAGTAGATTGATGGGTCATATGGTAAGTGTGTCTTAATAAGAAACTGACAAACTACTTTCCAAATTGGCTGTAAAATTTTGCAATCCCACCAGCAATGTGTGATAGTTCTAATTGCGCTATATCCACACTAGCACTCAGTATTGTTGGTTTGTGTTTTTTTAGACATTCTAATAGGTGTGTAGTGGTGTCTCAGGTTTTAATGTGCATTTCTCTAAATGATTAATTATGTTGAGCATCTTTTCAAGTGTTTGTTTGCTATTCATACTTCTTTGGTAAAGTGTCTGTTCAAATCTGTTGCTCATTTTTTATTGGGTTGTTTGTTTTCTTATTGTTAAGTTTCAAAATTTCTTTGTGTCTTCTGAATATGAGAATATTTGCCAGATAATATGATTTGCAAATATTTTCTTCCAGTCTGTAAATTGTCTTTTCATTCTCTTAACAGAGAAAAAGGTTTTAACTTTGATAAGTCTAATTTATCTTTTTTATTTGATGAATTATGCTTTTGGTGTTGTAAAAGCCTACTTTTGTTTAGCTACTTAATTGTTCTACTTTAGCCTTATCTGATAAGATTTATTTTGAAGGCAGAGACAAGTATGCTTGAGATGCTCTTAGCCCCAAACTGAGCAATAAAACTTTTACTGAATTTTTAAACTTTTTAAAAATCAGTGAGCTCATCTTCTGTGAATCTTTTTCTAACCCCAAAACCTTCCTGAAGTATACTTCTGTTTAGTCCTGGTCCTCTGGACGTACCATTAATTGCACTTATCATTTTTCGCTCTTGTCATCATCTGTTCATTATTCAACTTTCTCAAGCTCCTTGAAGGCAGGAATCATATGTTCACCTTTTAGGTCAGCCCAATGTCCAATGCATAATAGATGTGCAACAAAACTTTATACAGTGAATGAATCTGACTTCATGTAAACACTTTAGACAAACTGAAAGCATTTCTGGAAACAGACATAACTGAAAAATCTATGAATTAATCTCTCAGGATCTATGAAAAGAGACAAATAAAGAAGAGTGGTCTAGGCTGGGCATGGTGGCTCATGGCTGTAATCCCTGCACTTTGGGAGGCCGAGGCAGGTGGATCACCTGAGGTCAGGAGTTCGAGACCAGCCTGGCCAACATGGTGAAACCGCGTCTCTACTAAAAATACAAAAAATTATCTTGGATTAGTGGTGCACACCTGTAATCCCAGCTACTCAGGAGGCTGAGGCAGGAGAATCACTTGAACCAGGAGGCGGAGGTTGCAGTGAGCCAAGATTGCACCACTGCTCTCCAGCCTGGGCAACAAGAGCAAAACTCCAAAAAAAAAAAAAAAGGAGTGGTCTAATACTTTGCAAGATAGTTCGTAGTGAATAAAAGCAATCAAATTGCCTTGTTAATTGATAAAATAAATATTTAACTAAGCACTTACTATGTGTTGAGCACTCTGCTTATTGAGGCCATTTCTTTTTTATTTATTTATTTTTTTTTTGAGACAGAATCTTGCTCTGTCAACCAGGCTGGAGTGCAGTGGTGCCATCTTGGCTCACTGCAAGCTCCACCTCCCGGGTTCACACCATTCTCCTGCCTCAGCCTCCCAAGTAGCTGGGACTACAGGTACCCACCACCATACATGGCTAATTTTTTGTAGTTTTAGTAGAGATGGGGTTTCACCATGTTAGCCAGGATGGTCTCGATCTCCTGACCTCGTGATCTGCCCACCTTGGCCTCCCAAAGTGCTGGGATTACAGACGTGAGCCACCGCACCCAGCCAAGGTCATTTCTAAGTATTTGATTACTTGACTTTAGAAAATACAAATTGTAAAAGGTGATGAAAGTAAATTTGGAGAGAAAATACAAAATGTGTTTTAGCTTAATTTTCTTTGTTATTCTGAAAATGGTTTATCTTAAAATACAATAAGTTACAAATAAAAACTATTAAGAATTTTAAAATAAATACATTAAGTGCCATTTATCTTCTCTCATACTATATGTTGAAATACTAAGATAATCTACTACAAAAAATGGAGGAAATAGATACACTCAAAATTAAGTAATTATGTACCTAACATGTAAAACTAAATTTGTTATTGCATAACTCAAAACAACACTAACATATATTCAAGTTACATTTTTTACAAATACCAAATGAAGACATTCGAAATTGAATTGTAATTCTGAATTCACTAAAATTTTGAGATTAATTATTTGTAATAAAATAAAAATTTCAGCCTGGCATTTGTACAGCAAACAAAAGCTACAACTCAGATAAAAGGAAATAGCGCAAAGGAGTAAAAAAAAAATTGTTAAAACACTTTTTTTTGGGACAAAATTAATCCAGATCTTGACATCAAACACTGATCAAAAGATTAATTTATGTTCATGTTTTCTTAACTGGATATGAGCAAAACTTCACCTTGGCACTTACTGAGATAGATGGACCACCGTTTAATTGATCAGGAGATTTTGGATCAGCTGGCCACCTTTCTGGAACTTGTCTCTAAGGCAGATTCTGGGAGATGGGAAATTAAAGGAATCAGTCACTTGTGCTGAGGCAGGGGAAGGGTGAGTCATCTCTTATTAAAAGGGTCAATCTTTAAAGCTAAAGGGGATACTAAAATGCATATCTTAGCAAGAAGTCAAGGCCAACTACAACTGCAATTCACCACTAGTTCCTCAATCCAAAGCTATGCACAGTGGGATGGTAAAATAGTTACTAGAACTGATAGTTTTATGCATTGTAACAAGAAATACCAACTCTTTCTAACTTTGTATTTATACCAAAAGCCTTCCTGACTTGAGAAACAATGTAGTGGAAGCATAATGGAGCAATTCTCAAAATCAAAGGCAAACCCAAAGAGCTGGACTTGCAAAGGGCAGAACCCAAGGCAGCTCTGAATATCTAGGTGGCAGGAACAAATTACTGCTGACACTGGGGCAATCAAATCCAACAGCTGCTTGGTATTTGCATCATCCCTCTCAAGAATCAAAGTCCTAAAAGGGGGAACCTAACTGATGTAGTGTGGGTCATTTGCCCTCCTCCCTTTGCTATAGAAAGACAGGAAAACTGGACCAACAGTTTCATCAAGTCTCCTCAAATGGAGGAGACAGAAATCCCCTTAAGGGGATCAGGGTTTTTTTAACAGAAGAAAGAGTAAGAACTGCAGCATGGTAAAAACACCTGCCAGAACCATCATACCTCTTTATTTTGTGTACATCAAATTCATTTCTATTTTGAGCCCCATCCAACCAGACAAGAGGAAAGCTTTACCTGTTGTTTCTTGGGGTTTCTTCACCATAGGCATTTTGCTACACTTCCAAAACTTTAAGCATTGCCAAAGTACAGTGAAGGAGCACTTTGGATTTTGGTTTACTGTCCACATAGATTACTTGGAGAAGCCCATAATCTTTGTCCACATGCCCCCTTTCTGCTGTTCTTTATCACTTCCAACCTGAGCTTTGCACATGGAAATCTTTAATGAGGCGCCTATAACTCTAGTTTCCCAGACTACTTCACAGCCAATCCTCTCTAGAATCGTGATGCATGTTTCGACTTTATCAATGAACAATAATCAAGTCTCTTTTACTGATAAAACCCTCAGATTGCAAACCTTGTCACATAAAAATAGAACCTTTTTAAACATTGCATAAAATCTTTCTCCCCTTGTGTTTTTCTAAACTATCCTACTCCCATAAATTGACTTAACCTTTCTACCAATTTTACCACCCCTATAATTAATTATCTTGTGGGCTTAGATTTTTAGCAAAGAAAGTAGGTCATTTTGCAGATTACTGATGCTTTCTACCATAACAACATCCCCCAACCTTCTACCCACCTCCACCAGTCACTGAAGCCAGAGAGCTGAGATCAAGGTTCAACTTGAATGGAGGTGGGGAAAGGAGGAAGAGGGAGAGGAAGGTAGTCAGGGGCATTGAAAAAGAAAAGATACAGGGAGAAAACCACATAAATTAATATCTGAAAAGCTTTTCTAGTCACACCAAGATCAAGGATTAGCATTACTAGCAGATGGAAAGTGACCTAGAATAATTCCAGAAATGGAGTCTGGAGGCCTTCCAGGGGCTTTTTACATAATCCTAGCTCAGGTTTAGGAGGGCAGGCCAAGTTCATTTAAAGGGGCAGACACTACATCAGGATCCCCAGTGGGTAATCGAGTATTTTTCCTCGTAGCCTGTGAGGAACTTCTCTTTTTAGTTTTATGAGGGGTTTATGCTTGTGCACAGGTGTGTGTGTGTGTGTGTGTATTCATGTATCTGGAAAGGGGATGTGTAGGGGAAAGTGTAGAAAGGCCTTAATAGCCTTATATTTCATGTTTCCTTTTTGAAGATCTGTACTTATCTTACATAATAGTAGCTACTATTATTGTATCCTTACCATGTGCCAGGCAGTGCTGTAAACTTTTACATGTTTTAATTAACTCATTTAATCCTCATGACCAGCCTATGAGGTAGATACCACTATTATCCCATTTTTCCGAGCAGGCAACTGAAGCACAAGATGAAGTAAGTAGCAGAGTTAGGATTTGAACTCGGGCAGTCTGGCTCCATGTTTATGCAATTTACCTTTTAAGTGAATAGTGTGAAGATTAACTCCTCACACCTCTGTTTCTCTAAGCCAGCCTATTTATATGCCAGTTCTTTCATTAATTCTACTCATATTGAGTACCTTCTATATATGAGGTTATGGGCCTGGTACTCTAGCATTGTGTGAGGAAAAACAAGCATGGATAACAGCCCATCCCTACCCTGAAAGAGCCTGCAGTTGTAACACTGTAATAGGCAGTATGCTAGCATGTATTTTTTTCAAATCAACCTAAAAACAGTCTGAGATTCTCCATTTATGCTAAAAGTTGACATTATTATGGAAAACATCTGGCATTCACAAGGCAAGAATTCTATATGGCCTAACATAAAATATGAAAATGATATTAGCTATTAAGATTCAGTTATGTGTGAAAATACCGTATAGTTCTTTCAAATGTAATGCCTAAGTAACTAGATACTGTAATATAAAGTTTATAATCCTTTGTCCTTAGCTACAATGTTAGTAAAAATTAATTTTCCCCAGAATACTTTAGCTATCTTTCAACACTTTGAATGTGTATAATACTATATCTCCAGTTGTATTCATAGTAATTGTTTCAATACATCAGAAATCCCTACAGAAAGACATTAGTGCAAGCAATGGGTACCTGTCAGATTTTTTCCATCGATGATTCCAGTTAACTTTCTGTGGGTATTTGCCATTGGAAATGTATAGTTTGTCGTATACAATATGTGTGTTTCAAATGGCATGTTCAAATGTGAGCAGTCAAGTTTTATAAAACCATGTGCATATGAGAATCAAAATGACAATGCTTCATTGCTTTTTATAGCACACACAGATGTAGTCATTCTTCCTCAGTGGCCATTCTAATTTATTTAAGAACAAAATTAGAATAAAATAATCCTCCTTATCATGTAATTAGGAAGATAAACAGTAGTGGGAAATTGGATAGCCAGCTTGTGCTTATCCATAAATAGAGAATTCACTGACCCCTCCCAGCTAAATAATTTCTTCTGCAGGACGCTTGCTAAGCATCTCTGTGTCCTTCTGGAAGATTTGTATCAGACAGGCTTCTCTCTCATTTCTTGCTCCCACATCCTGCTCTATTGTGCCACATTTGGTGAAGCTGGCTGCTGTCGTTCCTGTTGCATTGTGGCAGGTGGAGGCAGAAGATGTTTTTGTCACAAGATAGAATCTCTGGGAAAAAAAAAACTTGGCTTAAAATCTAAGTGCCATAAAGAGAGGGATATTGTCTTTCTTGCTACCATATCCCCAGTGCCCAGAATAGTGCCTGGTACATAATAAGTGCTCCACAAATAACTGTTAAAGATGTGAAGAAAGGAATACAATTTGAATCAACAGGTAAAAACCCAAGAGATGTTTCAGATTGCTGGAGAATCTCACGCAGAGAGACTGGAATGACATGGACTAGGTTAAGCCCAAGATTGGGCACAAAAGGACTGAGGGAGAAGAAACTCCACAGTGCAGGGAAGAAAGCAAATCAACTGGACCACAAACCAAACAGATGTGTCCATCATTATTCATTCAGCAAACATTTATTGAATGCTTATTATGTGCTAGGCACTATTCTAATTGCTAAGATACAGTAGTGAATGACATTGACAAAATCCCTTGTCCTTACAGCTTACATTACATTACATGGGAGACAGGCAATAAATAAGATATATGAATGAAACATGTATTATATTAGATAAAGATAAGTGCTAAGAAGAAAACTAAAAGCAGGGAAGAGTGACATAAAATGACAGACCAGAAGGAAATGGAGTTTTAGAGAAGGTGGCCAAGACAGGTCTTATGAAGAGATTGAATTTTTTGGAAGAACCTGAAGAATGTGAGAAGTGATCTTTGCAGCTACCTGGCAAAAGTGCCTTCTAGCCAGAAAAAAGTGGCATGTGCAAAGGCCCTGAGTTGGAAGCTTGCCTGGCATGCTTGAGCAACATCAAGTGAGCAAGTATGGCTAATTCAGACAGAATGAAGAGTAAAGAAGTAGAGGATGAGGTCAGAGATATAAAAGAGCACAAGAGCATTAGGTTGGCAAGCCAATGAGGGATTATACCCTGGCAGGGTGTTGTTGGTGATAGGACTTTTGCTTCTGCGTTGTGCGGGATATGAAGGCACATAGGCCTTTTCTTACCCTCTTCCACCTTAGAACTCTCCTACATGTCTTCCCCCTATGCTTTGGCCAACATCCACTCATCTGAGAGTCTCTGTTGTGTCTCAGATAGACCTTTCCTGATGTTCCTGTCTAAACTATTTCTCACCACTGTCAACCCCATTCATTCTCTCCCCTACCAGCTGTTTTCCTTCAAAACACCACAAATTAGCATTATATATTTATTTGTATAATATCTGTCTACCTCAGTAGGCTACAAACTCCATGAAGCAGAGATTGTTCCATTTTATTCACTATCGAATACTCTGTGTACTTTTAAGTAACAGCCTTAAAAATAGTCACATTTTCCTATCTTGCATTTTTGAGTACCTGACTCTCTACCTGGCCTGAGGCATTCACCTGCTTATTGGAAATGAGGAGAAGATATTAAGATTATTACCTTAGGAATGGAGAGAGAATCAAATTAATTTTCCTTTTCTCATGTTCAAAAGAGGGCTTTTTGCAGTAAGGCAATAGGCTGAAGGAAGTTAGTATGTTCTAAATTCTTTAGCAAACCAAGAAACAAGCACTTAGGATTCAGATCACTGCTGCTGTAAGAGAGGAAGCCATAATAATGTTGGGTAAATCTTGACCAGAAAAGGGAGAAAGCCCAATTCATGCTCCATCTGATTCATAGGAATCTGAGGATGGGAATTAGGAGCAGGTGGAAGCAGGGGAGTCTACAAAGCCAGTGAGCACCAAAGTGGCCCAAAGTGGCAGGAAAAATGATGAGGCCACAACCAAGCTGAGTAAGAAATGGACCAGGATATGCTGGTGTTAGGCATCAGGAGCACACACCTATAAGATGACCAGGAGCTGGACCATCAGCCTTCAATGGGCACAAAGCCAGGGAGCATCCCTTGCTAAGACATATGTGTGTTATAAACAACAAAGAGCATTGTGTGTGCAGATAGATAGATAGATAATATATCAATACATCTACAAAGTATATTTATGTGTGTATGAATTAAACATTTTGTATTTATTGTCACTGTATTTATTATTTATGAAGCAGTATATATATCCAAGCACACCATCTCCTCTTCATTGCTGAAGTCACAACATTCTCCAAATATACGACACCCTCTTTGACAAGAGCAATGTGGAAATATGACAAAATGTACATTTTTACAAATAGATACTAAGTGTTATCCCAAAGAGCTGTGTAAATGATTGCATCATTTAAAGTTTCTCCAGAATTGAGGGATGTGGATGAAAGCTGAGCTAGAACCAGAGGTTCTGACATTGGATATACTTGGGCAAAGGATTGAGGTGGGACACCCAAACCAGAGACAAGTGGAGGAGTCTCAGAAGAGGGGCTGAGTGAGGCGGTGTCAGCCAGGGATTACTTGAGGCCTAGCCCAAGTCAAGAGAATCAGGACCATGACCTACACCAGGCACAGATCATCAGCTGGCACCCACAGAAACATCAGGGATAGGATCAGTCCTAACTTAGCGGTCACCATCCAGAAAGTAACCCAGGCCAACCACTTCACAGCTGACACCAGTGAGGGACTAGTGGCCACTGCATGGATTTAAGGACCCATCTCTTCTCCATTACAATGATTACATGGAAGGCTTAAGTCCTTACCATGCTAACTTGTGAAGTGGAGTGGGGAAGGTACACAGTGTTGAAATGTTCTTCATGGAGCTGGACTTCAAATTGGCTGAATACTTACATGAAATGAGAAGGTTTAAAATAGGAAGGGACTGAAATGATTTTAATTGACAATTTTAAACTTTTCACTCTATTAATTACTCCAGCTGGTGGAAGGCTTATGAAAATACAATCAGTTATACAAAATATAATAAAACCTAATTTTGTCTCCATATCCAAGTGCAGATTGGATTAACAGGACAGAAGACATAGTTAGTGTTCAATAACTATTTGTTAAATGTATGAATACTTCAGTCCAAATATCTTAGTTTTCTAAGTTGTGGTTTAAACAATATCCTTTTATTTTCTGGGAGTTTTTGTGGGTCAGAAACCTAGACATAGCTTCACTGAGTCTGCTTAAAGTCTCACAGGCCTGCAAGCAAGGCGTTTCTAATGCTATGCTGTCATGTGAAGCTCAAGGACCTTTTCCAAGCTCATTCAAGTTGTTGGTGAATTTACTCCCTTGTAGTCATAGGACTGTAGTTCCCAATTTTCTGGGTGACTGTTGGCCAGGGTTGATCTCAGTTCCTAGGGATGTCCTCAGGTCACAGACACATGACTATCTCAAAACATGGCAGCTTACTTTTTCAAAGCCAGGAGAAGACTCTCTCTCTTAGGGCTCACCTGATTAGGTCAGACTCACCCAGATAATCTCCACTTAGATAAACTTAAAATCGACTGATTGGGGGATCTGGCAAAATGGCCTAATAGGAACAGCTCTGGTCTGCAACAACCAGCGAGACCAATGCAGAAGGTGGGTGATTTCTGCATTTCCAACTGAGGTACCTGGTTCATCTAATTCAGACTGGCTAGAAGTGGGTACAGCCCCTGGAGGGCAAGCAGAGCAGGGTGGGGTGTCACCTCACCCAGGAAGTGCAAGGGGCCAGTGAACTACCTCCCTTAGCCAAGGGAAGCCATAAGGGACTGTGCCATGAGGGACTGTGCTATCTGGTCCAGGGCCCCAGATTTTAAGCACAAAACCAGGCAGCTGTTTGGGCAGACACCAAGCTACCTGCAGGAGTATTTTTTCATACCCCAGTGGCACCTGGAACCCCAGCAAAACAGAACCATTCACTCCCCTGAAACGGGGCTGAAGCCAGGGAGCCAAGTGGTCTTGCTCAGTGGGTCCCACTCCCACGGACCCCAGGAAACTAAGATCCACTGGCATGAAATTCTCGCTGCCAGCACAGCAGTCTGAAGTCAACCTGGCATGCTTCAGCTTGGTGGTGGGAGGGGCATCTGCCATTACTGAGGCTGGAGTAGGTAGTTTTCCCCTCACAGTGTAAACGCAGCCACTGAGAAGTTCGGACTGGCTGGAACCCACCACAGTGCAGCAAAGCAACTGTGGCCAGACTGCCTCTCTAGATTCCTCCTCACTGAGCAGGGCATCTCTGAAAGAAATGCAGCAGCCCCAGTCAGAGGCTTATAGATAAAACTCTCATCTCCCTGGGACAGAGCTCCTGGGGGAAGGGGCAGCTGTGGGCGCAGCTTCAGTAGACTTGAACATTCCTGCCCGCTGACTCTGAAGAGAGCAGTGGATCTCCTGGCACAGTGCTCAAGCTCTGCTAAGGGACAGACTGCCTCCTCAAGTGGGTCCCTGTGCCCTGTGCCACCTGACTGGGAGATAACTCCCAGCAGGGTTTGACAGACACCTCATACAGGAGAGCTCCAGCTGGCTTCTGGAGGGTGCCCCTCTGGGATGAAGCTTCCAGAGGAAGAAGCAGACAGCAACATGCTGTTCTGCAGCCTCCACTGGTAATACCCAGGCAAACAGGGTGTGGAGTGGACCTGCAGCAAACTCCAGCAGACCTGCAGCAAACTCCAGCAGACCTGCAGAAAAGGGGCCTGACAGAATGAAAACTAACAAACAGAAAGCAATAGCATCAACATCAACAAAAAGGACGCCCATGCAAAAACCCGATCCAAAGGTCGTAAGCATCGAAGATCAAAGGTAGATAAATCCACGAAGATGAGGAAGAACCAGCACAAAAAATGCTGAAAATTCCAAAAATCAGAATGCCTCTTTTCCTCCAAAGGATCATAACTCCTCGCCAGCAAGGGCAAAAAACTGGACAGACAATGAGTTTGACAGATTGACAGAAGTTGGCTTCAAGAAGGTGGGTAATAAAAACCTCTTCCAAGCTAAAGGACATTTTCTAGCCCAAAGCAAGGAAGCAAGGAAGATAAGAACCTTGACAAGGAAGATAAGAACCTTGACAAAAGGTTACAGGAACTGCTAACTAGAATAACCAGTTAAGAGAAGAGCATAAATGACCTGAAGAAGCTGAAAAACACAGCATGAGACCTTCGTGAAGTGTACACAAGTATCAATTGCTGAATTGATCCAGCAGAAGAAAGGATATCAGAGATCGAAGATCAACTTAATGAAAAAAAGCATGAAGACAAGATTAGAGAAAAAAGACTGAAAAGGAACGAAACAAGCCTCCAAGAAATATGGGACTTTGTGAAAAGATCAAGCCTACGATTGGTTGGTGTACCTGAAAGTGACGGGGAGAATGGAACCAAGAAGGAAAACACACTTCAGGATATTATCCAGGAGAACTTCCCCAAACTAGCAAGACAGGCCAACATTCAAATTCAGGAAATACAGAGAACACCACAAAGATACTCCTCAAGAAGAACAACACCAAGACACATAATTGTCAGATTCACCAAGCTTGAAACGAAGGAAAAAATGTTAAGGGCAGCCAGAGAGAAAGGTCGGGTTACCCACAAAGGGAAGCCCATCAGACTCACAGCAGATCTCTCTGGAGAAACCCTGCAAGCCAGAAGAGAGTGGGAACCAATATTCAACGTTCTTAAAGAAAAGAATTTTCAACCCAGAATTTCGTATTCAGCCAAACTAAACTTCATAAGCAAAAGAGAAACACAATCCTTTCCAGACAAGCAAATGCTGAGGGATTTTGTCACCACCAGGCTTGCCTTACAAGAGCTCTGGAAGGAAGCACTAAATATGGAAAGGAAAAACCGTTACCAGCCACTGGAAAAACATACCAAAATATAATGACCAACAACACTATGAAGAAACTGCATCAATTAATATGCAAAAAAACCAGCTAACATCATGAGACAGGATCACATTCACACATAACAATATTAAATTTAAATATAAATGGGCTAAATGCCCCAATTAAAAGACACAGACTGGCAAATTGGAAAGAGTCAAGACTCATCAGTGTGCTGTATTCAGGAGACCCATCTCACATGCAAAGACACACATAGGCTCAAAATAAAGAGATAGAGGAACATTTACCAAGCAAATGGAAAGCAAAAAAGCAGGGGTTGCAATCCTAGTCTCCAATAAAACAGACTTTAAACCAACAAAGATCAAAAAAGACAAAGAAGGGCATTGCATAATGGTAAAGGGATCAATGCAACAAGAAGAGTTAACTATCCTAAATATATATGCACCCAATACACGAGCACCCAGATCCGTAAAGCAATTTCTTAGAGACCTACAAAGAGACTTAGACTCCCACACAATAATAGTGAGAGACTTTAACTCCCCACTGTCAATATTAGACAAATCAATGAGACTGAAAATTCACAAGGATATTCAGGAGTTGAACTCAGCTCTGGAGCAAGAGGACCTAATAGGCATCTACAGAACTCTCCACCCCAAATCAACAGAATATACATTCTTCTCAGCACCACACCACACTTATTCTAAAATTGACCATATAATTGGAAGTAAAACCCTCCTCAGTAAATGCAAAAGAATGGAAATCCTAACAGTCTCTCAGACCACAGTGCAATCAAATTAGAACTCAGGAGTAAGACACTCACTCAAAACCACAGAACTACATGGAAACTGAACAACCTACACCTGAATGACTACTTGGGTAAATAACAAATTTAAGGCAGAAATAAATTAGTTATTTGAAACCAATGAGAACAAAGACACAATGTACCAGAAGCTCTGGGATACAGCTAAAGCAGTGTTTCCAGGGAAATCTATTGCACTAACGGCCCACATCAGAAAGTGGGAAAGATCTATAATCGACACCCTAACATCACAACTAAAAGAACTAGAGAAGCAAGAGCAAAGAAATGCAAAAACTAGCAGAAGACAGGAAATAACTAAGATCAGAACAGAACTGAAGGAGATAGAGACATGAAAAACCCTTCAAAAAATCAATGAATCCAGGAGCTGGTTTTTTTTGAAAAGATTAACAAAATAGGTGGACCACTAGCCAGACTAAAAAGAAGAGAGAGAAGAATCAAATAGACACAATAAAAAATGATAAAGTGGCCAGGTGCAGTGGCTCATGCCTGTAATCCCAGCACTTTGGGAGGCTGAGGCAGGTGGATCACTAGGTCAGGAGATCGAGACCATCCTGGCTAACATGGTGAAACCCTGTCTCTACTAAAAAAAAAAAATACAAAAAAATAGCCGGGCATGGTGGTGGGCACCTGTAGTCCCAGCTACTTGGGAGGCTGAGGCAGGAGAATGGCACGAACCCGGGAGGCGGAGCTTGCAGTGAGCCGAGATCGTGCCACTGCACTCCAGCCTGGGCAAAGGGAGAGACCCCCTCTCAAAAAAACAAGACTAAAAGAATAAAAAAAGGATAAAGTGGATATCACCACAGATCCCACACAAATACAAACTACCATCAGAGAATACTATGAACACCTCTATGCAAATAATCTAGAAAATCTAGAAGAAATGGATAAATTCCTGGCCACATACACCTTCTCAAGATTAACCAGGAAGAAGTCGAGTCCTTGAATACACCAGTAGCAAGTTCTGAAATTGAGGCAGTAATAAATAGCCTACCAACCAAAAAAAGCCCAGGACCAGATGGATTCCCAGCCGAATTCTACCACAGGTACAAAGAGGAGCTGGTACCATTCCTTCTGAAACTATTCCAAACAATAGAAAAAGAGGGATTCCTCCCTAACTCATTTTATGAGGCCAGCATCATCCTGATATCAAAATCTGGCAAAGACACAACAGAAAAAGGAAATTTCAGTCCAATGTCCCTGATGAACATCGATGCAAAAATCCTCAATAAAATACTGGTAAACCAAATCCAGCAGCACATCAAAAAGCTTATCCATCATGACCAAGTTGGCTTCATCCATGGGATGCAAAGCTGGTTCAACAAATGGCAAATCAATAAACATAATTCATCACGTAAACAGAGCCAATCACAAAAACCACATGATTATCTCAATAGATGCAGAAAAGGCTTTCGATAAAATTCAACACCCCTTCATGCTAAACACATTCAATAAACTAGGTATTTATGGAACATATCTCAAAATAATAAGAGCTATTTATGACAAACCCACAGCCAATATCATACTGAATGAGCAAAAGCTGGAAGCATTCCCTTTGAAAACTGGCACAAGACAAGGATGCCCTCTCTCACCACTCCTATTAAACATAGTATTGGAAGTTTGGACCAGGACAATGAGGCAAGAGAAAAAAATAAAGCATATTCAAATAGGAAGAGAGGAAGTTAAATTGTCTCTGTTTGCAGATGACGTGATTGTATATTTAGAAAAACCCATTGTCTCAGCCCTAAGTCTCCTTAAGCTGATAAGCAACTTTAGCAAAGTCTCAGGATACAAAATCAATGTGCAAAAATCACAAGCATTCATATAAACCAATAATAGACAAGCAGACAGCCAAATCATGAGTGAACTTCCATTCACAATTGCTACAAAGAGAATAAAATACCTAGGAATACAACTTACAAGGGACATGAAGGACCTCTTCAAGGAAAACTGCAAACCACTGCTCAAGGAAATAAGAGAGGACACAAACAAGTGGAAAAACATTCCATGCTCATGGACAGGAAGAATCCATATCATGAAAATGGCCATACTGCCAAAAGTAATTTATAGATTCAATGCTATTCTCATTAAGCTACCATTGACTTTCTTCACAGAACTAGAAAACCCTACTTTAAATTACATATGGAAACAAAAAAAAATGAGCCTGTATAGCCAAGACAATCTGAAGCAAAAAGAACACAGCTGGAGGCATCAGGCTACCTGACTTCAAACTATACTACAAGGCTACAGTAACCAAACAGCATGGTAATGATAAACTCACACACACACACACACACACACACAGATATATAGACCAATGGAACAAAACAGAGGCCTCAGAAATAATGCCACACATCTACAACCATCTGATCTTAGACAAACATGACAAAAAGAAGCAATGGGGAAAGGATTCCCTATTTAATAAAAGGTGTTGGAAGAACTAACTAGCTATATGCAGACAATTGAATCTGGACCCCTTCCTTACACCTTATACAAAAAATTAACTCAAGATAGATTAAAGATTTCAACATAAGACCTAAAGCCATAAAAACCCTAGAGGAAAACTTAGGCAATACCATTCAGGACATAGGCATGGGCAAAGACTTCATGACTAAAATACCAAAAGCAATTGCAAAAAAAGCCAAAATTGACAAATGAGGTCTAATTAAACCAAAGAACTTCTGCACAGCAAAAGAAACTATCATCAGAGTAAACAGGCAACCTACAAAATGGGAGAAAACTTTTGCAATCTATCCATCTGACAAAGGGCTAATATCCAGAATCTACGAAGAACTTAAACACATTTACAAGAAAAAAACAACCCCATCAAAAAGTGGGCAAAGGATATGAACAGAAAGTTCTCAAAAGAAGACATTTATGTAGCCAACAAACATGGAAAAAGGCTCATCATTACTGGTCATTAGAGAAATGCAAATCAAAACCACAATGAGATACCACCTCATGCCAGTTAGAATGGTGATCATTAAAAATTCAGGAAACAACATATGTTGGAGAGGATGTGGAGAAATAGGAATGCTTTTACACTGTTGGTGGGAGTGTAAATTAGTTCAACCATTGTGGAAGACAGTGTAGCAATTCCTTAAGGACCTAGAATCAGAAATACCATTTTACCCAGCAATCCCATTACTGGGTATATACCCAAAGGATTATAAATCATTCTACTATAAAGACACATGCACACGTATGTTTATTGCAGCACTATTTACAATAACAAAGACTTGGAACCAACCCAAATGCCCATCAATGATAGACTAAATAAAGAAAATATGGCACATATACACCATGGAATACTCTGCCGGTATAAAAATGAATGAGTTCATGTCCTTTGCAAGGACATGGATGAAGCTGGGAACCATCATTCTCAGCAAACTAACACAGGAACAGAAAACCAAACAGTGCATGTTCTCACTCATAAGTGGGAGTTGAATAGTGAGAACACATGGACACAGGGAGGCGCTGTTGGGGGGTTTGGGGCAAGGGGAGGGATAGCATTAGGAGAAATACCTAATGCATGTGGGGCTTAAACAGTACCATGGCACATGTATACATATATAACAAACCTGCACATTCTGCACATGTATGCTGGAACTTAAAGTATAATGAAAATAAAAATAAAATAAAGTAAAATAAAATAAAATCTTGAGGACATTTTAAAAATCAACTGATTAGGGACCTTAATTATATCTGCAAAATTCTCTCACTTTTGCCTCATACTGTAACCTAATTACATAAATAATATTCTATCATATTCACAGGTTTTTCTCTCATTCAAGGGAAAGTGATTACATAAGGCATATATACCAGTGGGGCAGGAATCATGGGGATAATTGGGGACAATCTTAGAATTCTGCCTACCATACCTACTGAGTCAACAATAACAGGTCTACCATCATGATCACCTAAGCTTATGAAGTGTCCTCCACACCCTGCCTGGTAATATGTAGCCCTTTGAAGATAAGTACACAAACTCTGACTTCTCTACACATAACCATAATGAGCCACTGCTTCTTGGGGTCTTATGCCAAGAAAATTATATGTGGAAAAGTTTTCTTTCTCTCAAAGTTGTCTGACACCCTAGTCCTTTAATGAGTCTCTTTTCTTTAAAATAATCAACACATTAAGACCCACGTCTAAGTGCTTGAGAAGCCCAAGCTCCATTGATCTATATCTCTGTTTTGGTACCAGTACCAGGCTGTTTTGGTTACTGTAGCCTTGTAGTATAGTTTGAAGTCAGGTAGTGTGATGCCTCCAGCTTTGTTCTTTTGGCTTAGGATTGACTTGGCGATGCGGGCTCTTTTTTGGTTCCATATGAACTTTAAAGTAGTTTTTTCCAATTCTGTGAAGAAAGTCATTGGTAGCTTGATGGGGATGGCATTGAATCTGTAAATTACCTTGGGCAGTATGGCCATTTTCACGATATTGATTCTTCCTACCCATGAGCATGGAATGTTCTTCCATTTGTTTGTGTCCTCTTTTATTTCCTTGAGCAGTGGTTTGTAGTTCTCCTTGAAGAGGTCCTTCACATCCCTTGTAAGTTGGATTCCTAGGTATTTTATTCTCTTTGAAGCAATTGTGAATGGGAGTTCACTCATGATTTGGCTCTCTGTTTGTCTGTTATTGGTGTATAAGAATGCTTGTGATTTTTGTACATTGATTTTGTATCCTGAGACTTTGCTGAAGTTGCTTATCAGCTTAAGGAGATTTTGGGCTGAGACGATGGGGTTTTCTAGATAAACAATCATGTCATCTGCAAACAGGGACAATTTGACTTCCTCTTTTCCTAATTGAATACCCTTTATTTCCTTCTCCTGCCTGATTGCCCTGGCCAGAACTTCCAACACTATGTTGAATAGGAGCGGTGAGAGAGGGCATCCCTGTCTTGTGCCAGTTTTCAAAGGGAATGCTTCCAGTTTTTGCCCATTCAGTATGATATTGGCTGTGGGTTTGTCATAGATAGCTCTTATTATTTTGAAATACGTCCCATCAATATCTAATTTATTGAGAGTTTTTAGCATGAAGGGTTGTTGAATTTTGTCAAAGGCTTTTTCTGCATCTATTGAGATAATCATGTGGTTTTTGTCTTTGGCTCTGTTTATATGCTGGATTACACAAGCTCATGTTAGTCCATCTAAATCCTGGGAAAATCAATACAGGAAAGACCTGGAGATTCCGGATACCTCTCCTTAGGTTGGAACTGATAGAGCTAGAAGGTAACAGGTAAATAAACCAGTCAAGGTACATCCCAATTCACATTCCCCCCACTTCCAATTACTTCCCATTGTTGAATATAAAAATGCTGGGTCTGTCTGTATAAATATATTTTCCATTGGTATGACATGAGTGGCTTACCATTTATGCCCAATTACCATGCAGCACAACAATTAGCACATCATTAAATATGTGTCAGATAAACTTTTCTGTGTATTTTATTTGAACACTAAACTCTGTTTAATTGAGCACAGTCTTCATATTTGTAGATGATATAGCATGAACATTTGATGACAGTAAAAAATTAGAGAGAGCATTTGTATGCAAAAAAGAAAGTGTCATTGAGTAAGTCAGTAGGAATGTCTATGCATGAGTGATTTCTCGTGCCCAATCAAAGAAGCAAACAAAAAGCAGAGCTGCAGGGTATTTTCAAAGAGGTCAAATGAAGGCTATCAAATAAATGAATTTCAAATAAAATTGCTCAGCTTTCAGAATGCATTTATTATTAATTATGTACAGATGAAAAAACTTTAAGTAGTTCAGGTCAATCAATTTATTCAACCAGCCACAGTTACAGGAATATTATATGGATTCTATTTTCTTTCTTTCATGTGAAAGGCTAACATATTAGGTAACTTTATACATTACACACTGAAATGCCAACCATTACCAAGAACATCTGTCCATTTTTTTCTTTTCATTCTTAGTGAAGTGAATGTGAATCCACTTGCCCTTCAGGGGCACTGGGTGACTGCACAAGTCACCACAAGTACCACAAGTAGAAAGTCAGTAATAGATTATGTGCTATGAGTTGATGAATAAACCCCGAAAGACTGTGACTGAGTGAAGACTTACTAGCATATGATAATACCTCTAGCATGGGCAGACTTTTATTAAAATGTGTATTTTAGAAAAGCTGGGGACTTTCTATCTATATCACCTTTTCAAAGAATAATAAATATAAAAAAACTCACCATAATGATTCCCTTGAATATCCCAAATTATGAAATTACTGAATCTTGCTTTATCTATATAAATAAACAAAAATACTGTAACCTGGTGTAAACATCTACATTTATTACTCTAGGAATTGCAGTACCTGAGAAAGGTCCATGGAAAAAGGAAAACAACACCCTAGTGGGGCAATGGGGAGAAAAGTATTTGAAAATAAAAAGAAAGATGAAGTCTTTTGAAAATAGCACATGTTCTGCTTATCTGCTTAATGTACCATATATATGTGTGATTTGCTCATTGTGTGCCATTCATTTTTAGGAAATTCAGATGAGGAGTATGGCACCAAACAGAGAAAAGGAATATCTTAAAGTCTGAGGAGAATGTCACCACCAAGAATGCAGTTTTGATGCTATAATATATGAGATTACAAAAGACTAAGCAGAGTTCCAGATCAGAATCGATTGCAGACCATTTTGTACCTATTCAAAAAACATCTCCAATTCCCTTATCCATTATCTGTCACCTACAGACAGAAGGGTTGGAAAACCTATTACTTATTATTATTCTTTTTAGCTGGGGTAGCATGAAACCCAGTTCTGGCCAATGAAGTGTAAGAGGAGGCAAAGGAAACTGGGACTCCTTTGAGGGATATTCCTTATGCCTGGTTAAAGGGGAAGGGAATGCGGTGTAAGCTCTCTGCTTGCTTCTTCCGCTATCTGAACTTGAACATGGGTGTATGAGAATAGGTTGCTGGGAACTGCTTGTGCTCCAACAGCCACGTGGGAAGAACCATGAGAATCAGAGACACCAATTCCAAGACCTCACTTTGTGAGCCACTGAATAAACATCAGCAAACAACCACCTCCAGACTTCTTGTTATGTGAGAAAAATCATCTCCAGTTTAAACAACAATCAGTCAGACAGTCTGTTATTTGGAGAAGAATGCATTCCAAATAGAAACCGAATTATCTGAGATGCTGTGAATAAAAGGAAAAAAGATTAATTGGATGGTTACCAGAGGTAACGGGAGAGCCAAGCAAAGGTTTCTTGGTTTGTTTATTTAGCTTAGTTTTGTGTCCCAGGATAGAGAACGCTAAAGTATGCATCTGCGGTGTGAAGCCCCATCTTTCTGACCAGTTGAGCCCAATATGTGATGGCTTTTATTATGTTTTGTCATACTAAGAGGAGATCTTCTGGCTCCACAGTAATGAGTACTAATTAATCTGTCTAATCTTTCCCCTGCGACATGGTATAGCATAAGGATTGAGTAGCAGCTAGAGGGCTCTGGGCTGATATCTATTGCTTATCTAGAGGTTGCCCTTAACCAGATTTCTGTCTGTGGCCATCCAGAAGCAAAAAGGAAACAAATCAGGAAACAAATCTCCCCAAATCTCATTAAATTGTGTTGTGGGAGTGACAGAAGGTGAAAGTGCCTGTATAGAAATATGAATGGGTTTAAGCAGTTGTGAAAGGACACTGTCCTAGCAGTGCAAAGCCCCAAAACCAGAGAGTATTTGTGAGAAAATAAGTTTTGCCTTCAAAAGAATACAGAATATTTATACAATCAAATGAACTTTTCTTTACAAAACAAATTACTATTGAACTATTTTAAATATTAAATTCCCTTGGCAATGAACGAAGTATGAAACACAACCTAAATTGATAAGGAATAAAGCCAATAGAAAGTTGATTAGAAATGAAGTCAGAGAATCTCACAAATTCCAGGAGGAGACAGTGAGGACATATTTACAGATTTATTAATTCAGGAAATACTGATTGACTGTCTACCAATCAACGACCAGGTGCTACACTCTTGAGATATGGTGCTTGCCCAGCTAGAGCATGTGGTTGAACGTCAGAGAGGAACTTTTAACAAATACGAGATCTTAATATATAATAATGCATTATATTCTTCTACATTTACATATATTTCTATACATATATTTCTCTGAAGGAAAGAAACAGGGTCCTAAGAGAGAAAAATGTAATGGGATCCTAATTTAGATTTAGGAGTCACATATGCTTTCCTAGAGAAAGTCACATTGAGCTTAGACCTGAAGAATGATTAGGTGTTAGTCAAATGAAGAGCCAGCATTCTAGGTGGTAGGAACACATATTCTAGTGTTCCTAGAACACTAGTATGTGTTCTAGAACACATACTCAGCTTTGCAGGAATACCTCCACTGATGCAAAAATACATCATTCAACATGAACAATATTGAACTTGACATTAAGAAGCAGTTGGAGAACATGAACTAGCATCCACATGGATCCCACCTGCCCTGGCCCTTGTCAGCACCATTTCAAGCTTGGCTGTGTCTCCATCCTACCCACCTCCCGCTCCCCCACTAACCCTAAGGAACTTGTCTTCTTTAAGCTAAAGACAGTATGTGAAGGAAAAGTGGGAATCTTAGCTGATAATTTTTAGCAATTGAGAAGTGGAACCCACTCTTTTGCACTAAAATTCTTTCAAAAATTGTTCTTCTCAACGTACCTCTTACATGGAAAAAAATAAAGAAAATATACAGGAAACTCAACTTCTTTGAATCGGAAGCACAAAGATTGCTCTTTCACTACTCATCTACAAATTATTATTTTAACCTTGATATAGCTTTGCATCACAAGGCATGTAAAAAGACTCCATTATGCCAGCATTGTTAATTCAAGAGAATTCGAGAAATTCTGTTCTATAATTAGAGAAAATAGCATGTGTGTGCATGCGCACGCACACACACACACACACATACACACACACATACTCTGAGGGTGCAACAGACATTGAGAAAACATTCTGTCTAAGGTTCAGTCCTTATCCTCCTAAAAGAAAGAAATCCTTTTTCAGACAACTCCAAAAAGAGAATCCCTACAACTTTCCTAAGTGCTTTTTTCAATGCTACATTCTAGGGGTTTAATGAAATCTAGAGATTTTTAGTTTACTTCCTGCTAATCAAACTGACCAGATTTGTCAGTTTTATAGATATTTTGAGATACAATATTGGAGTTTAATTTCTAAAGCGTAAAGCTATCATTTCCCCCAAAACCTTAATTACCATATTTGCTATTGGGTTTATTGTTTATTCAGTTTATTCTTATAGCAGTATAAGATTCTTTATGGTAAATTGAACATAAAAGTAAACAAAAACAAACAAACAAAAAGCCCTTTTCTCTAAAGGAGTTATCCGTGAGCACCTCCTGGCCTCCGCAAGGTATCAATGAAATGAGCCGAACAGTTAAGATGATAAAGGACCAGGGCTCTTAATTTATTCGGTTCCATCAATTTTCTTCTATAATGTCGGAGAAAAGAGAACAAGAACTGAGTGTGAAAAATAATATACCCAGGAAAGAGAATGTCAGTACATGCACCTGGATTGTGGAAATTCTCCTTAAGAAAAATTCTCTTCCTAGGAAAGTTTGACATTCCAGGATAATAAAATGCTCTATGCCATAGTTTCAGGCTTGATATTAATGTACATTGCAGGCTACATTGAGGGAGAGAGAGAGAGAGAGAGAGAAAGAATCAATAATGCCCTGTATTTTCAAATATCTAAAATGTTGAGAGAGAGAGAGATAATCAAATTTACATTCTACACCAATGTACCTAATGTGTAATTCTGGCACGCTGCCAAACCCATCTATCCTCAGTAGAAACATGAACTTGGGCTTAGGATGTATCAGAATGGAGCAGCAAAGACCCAGGACTAGACTTTCCCATCTCTATATTGGGTTCACTGGAAGGAATCTGAAATACATTTTTTTTAAGAGATAAGGTCTTACTGTTGCCAGGGCTGGAGTACAGTAATGTGATTACTGCTCACTGTAGCCTGGAACGCCTGGGCTCAAGGGATTCTCCCACCTCAGCCTACTGAGCAGCTAGGACTACAGGTTCTTGCCACGACACCCGTCTTTTTTCTTTGTTTTTTTTTTTTTTTTTTTTCCTAGGAGACAGGGTCTTGTTATGTTGCCCAGGTTGGTCTCAAACTCTTGGCCTCAAGCAATTCTCCTGCCTTGGCCTCCCAAAATGCTGGGATTACAGGTGTGAACCACCATGGCCAGCCAAAAACCCACTTTAAAGTGAGCATTGTAATCTTCCTTTTCATAGGAGTGTGTACTTCAAAGTTCTATGATATTATCCCTTTTGTGATATTCCTAGTTTCATATGTAAGTGTAAATTGATATTGTAGAATTAACTTTTTGTATTTTAAATTTTTATTAATCTTTGACTGAAATTAAAACCAGCAGAAATGAGCATGTTCAATGGAGAAAACTTGAAAGACTAAGCAGCTTTGAGCTGGTGACATAAAATTTTGAGAGCACAAGGCATCAAATGAGTTATTTTGCCTGTTATGAAGTTAAAAGACAAGGAAGTATTTATAAATTAGATTTCTGAAGATACTAAAGATATCATTCATAGTTGTGTGGTGAAGGGTGTTTTTCATCAGATTTTTACCTGCTTTGTGCTTTATTGTTAGATGAGTGGCTAAACTTTAGTTTTTTTATTTAAAAAAAGTAACAAAGCAATACCACTAAGGACTGGATGGGCAAGTTCTCTAATTCTGAGATTTAGTATTTCAAAGTTCATCTTTTGCAAGGGACCAAGCCATGTGCTTAAATTTTGCTTTTCTCAGTATTAAACACTGAATGTCTGTGTCCCCATGATTTATATGTTGAAACATTATCCCTCAAGGTGATAGTAGTAAGAGGTTGGGCCTTTGGAAGGGAATTAGAATTAGATGATACCATAAGGTTGGACCCCTCATGAAAGGGATTAGTGCCGTTTTAAGAATCACAAGAGCCTGGGTGTGGTGGCTCATGCCTGTAATCCCAGCACTTTGGGAGACTGAGGCAGGTGGATCACTTGAGTCCAGGAGTTCAACACCAGCCTAGGCAACATGGCAAAATCCTCTGTCTCTACAAAAAATACAAAAAAAAAAAAAATTAGCCCACCATGGTAGCACTTGTGCTTGTAGTCTCAGCTACTCGAGAAGCTGAGGTGGGAGGATTGCTTGAGCCTGGGAGGTTGAGGTTGCAATGAGCTGTGATCGCACCTCTGCACTTAAGCCTGGGTGACAGAGTGAGACCCTGTCTCAAAAAAAATAAAGATAGAGTTACAAGAGAGCTTGCTTCTCCTCTCTGCTGTCTGTCACAAGAGTATACAACAAAAAGTTAGCAATCTGCATCCAGCAAGAGGAACTTCACCAGAGTCTGACCATTCTGGCCACTTGATCTTGAACTTCCAGCCTCCAGAATTGTGAGAAATAGATTTCTGTTGTTTATAAGCTACGCAGTTATAGTAGCCCTAACTAAAACATTCAGTAATAGATCCGATGTTCTGAGTGCAATCAATCATGACCTCTTTGCCTTATCTTTCAGTTGCTTCTGAACTCAAGTAGGGAGGAGAGTGTTAATATGTTAGGCCCTCTTAGACCCCAGCAGTGATTAAAGCAGATGGATTTTAGAAACAATGTAGAATTGGAACTTTTCTTTGGATGTTACGACCACTGGTAGCCCTCTCTCTATCACCCTGCTTCAGTTTCTTTCCACTTTCTACTATCTGAAATTATCTTGTCATTAAAATTGTCTTTTAAATGTGTTTTCTTGATAATTCTCTCTTCTCACTAGAACTCAAAACTCTGGACAGCAAGGACCTTGTTTTTATTTTTCGGTTTTGTTATGTTTGCAATGTTGTCCTCAGTCCAAGAACAGTGCCTGGTAATATAATAGGAGCTCAACAAATCTGTGAGGAATGGAGAGATTAAGCAATTTCCCAAGGTTGCACAGCGAATCGGCTTAATGTGGCAATCTGGCTCCAGACTAAGCTATATTGCCTGAAGACTCCCGTTTGTTCGTTCCCACCATCAGCACTCTGCCTTTCCCTTTTTCTCAGTTTGGTACTGGCCACCTTGAGGTCTTCTGAAACAACCAGTTTAATCTGGATCTTTTGCCTTTGGTCTGGCTTCCATCATCTAACAGAAAAATCTTAGCAGAAGGTGATGTAAAAAGACTTGGAGCATAGTTATCTCCTGCTAAGGCTGCCATTGCAGAATCAATGCTTACAACTCCTTCATTTGGAGTTGGTACAGAGGTTTTTTTTTTTTTTTTTTCCTGATACAGGATTCCAGGTAACCACTCAGACAACTGAGATTGCAGATGCCAGGCAGAAAAGTCTGTTTTTAATAGAGCTATATTCTCTTCCAACTTTATCCCTAGATTTTCTGGCCTGTGTTCACCTCTCTTGAGTGAGACTTTGCTACAGACAGCAAGAAGCACTTTCATTAACATCATCCAGTTTCTCTTCCTTTTCCTTCAACCCTGCAGCCTCTATCAGTTTGTGGTCTGCCTTTCAAGGCAGAGTAGGGACCAAGGAACCAAATAAGGCTCATGAACTTTCTAGCCAATAATATCTGATCCTTTGCTCTTCACCACCTAACTACTTCTGCCAAGTCAACAGCACACGATCTGGTTCTGCTATTTGCTGCAATTCTAGAATTATTACCAGTTGCAAGTCACAGAAAACTTCAAAATAATAGTGGCTTAAGTAAAATTCAGATGCATTTCTTTGTCAAGCAGAGGAAAGTGAACCAGAGCTAGTATGGCACTCCATGGTATTAACACTTGGGCCTCTGTGTCTTACTGCTCAGTGTGCCTGGTCCCAGCACTGTGGTTGATGAGGGTGTCATCTACATTACAGACAGAAGGATAGAGGGAGGGACAAAGAAAGAGAGACTCAAACAGTACAAACTAGCTGTTTCTTAAAGAAGGGAACTGGGAGATGTCTCAGACACTTTTATGCACATTTTTTGCCCAGCCTTTAGTCAAGTGGTCACAGCTAGCTGTTAGGGAAAGCAGGAAATGTAACTTTATTTTGGGTAGCATATGCCCAAATAACAATTCCTCTATCAATAAAGAATGGGGAAATGACTACTGAAGTCAACTAGAATTTACCACAGAAACATCTCCAAAATATGATTCCTCTGCTGTAAAATGTACAAACATTCTCACATACAAGTAGAAACATATCCACATAAACTGTATTTATAAATCATAAGAAAATGTCTAGGAAAATACACACCAAATTGATAACAACAGTTGCTTCTGAGAAGAAAAGTTGAATGAGACATAGAAGTTTTGAGGAAGAACTTTCACTTTTTACTTGAAATATTTCTAAATTGTTTAAATTTTTATACTGAAAATACATTTATTATTTGTGTTCATTTAAAATTGATAGAAATAAAGACACCTTGGAGTTCCAAGTAAAGGGCTTGTCCAAAGTGTAAAAACACTATTTAACCAACTGTAGGGCAGTTGGCTGGCTCTGCTCAATGTACTCAGTCTTCTCCTGGGGCCATGAGCTAGCTGGGACATTTGCTTCTTGTGATGCTGGCAGAGGTGCAAGAGGGCAAATTGAAACTTAGGCACTGGCAATAGAGCCAGAAGATCCTGACAGCCATTTACCAATTATGTCAACTTAGGTGAACTCCTTGATCTCACTGTTCCTCAATTTCATCTTCTGTCAAATGGACCAAAAAATCTCTACCTTTCAGCGTTGTTGTGGGGAATGTTTGAAATAATGTTAGTGAAGTACACAATGCTCATCTCTCTTTTACTTATGTCTGTTTTCTAACTTTTGCAACAAACATACAGTGTATGTATAATGAAAATAAATGCATAATCAAAACTTTATAAAAGACACCCACTATAAAGTGAGTATATAAGCTACTGTTCTGAATGTAACAGGTGATAATTGATCAAGGCATCAAGGATTAACTAATAATATAAGAGAAAGCCTTATAAATATGGCTGACTCACTACAGACAAAACACCTGATGTCTAATACAAATGAAATAGTCACTGGAATCCCTCAAGGCAATGGAGGTAGCGTCTCTCTTGAAAACCATGTCTTCAGTAGCACTTTGCTTTAAAGTAAGATTAATATCCTAGTTTTCTTTTTTTTTTTCTTTTTTTAAGACGGAGTTTCACTCTTGTTGCCCAGGCTGAAGTGCAATGCCGCGATCTTGGCTCACTGCACCCTCGGCCTCCCGGGTTCAAGCGATTCTCCTGCCTCAGGCTCCCTAGTAGCTGGGATCACAGGTGCCCACCACCATGCCCGGCTAATTTTTTGTATTTTTAGTAGAGATGGGGTTTCACTATGTTGGCCAGGCTGGTCTTGAACTCCTGACCTCAGGTGATCTGCCCACCTCGGCCTTCCAAAGTGCTGGGATTACAGGCATGAGCCACAGTGCCCGGCAATATCCTAGTTTTCATAAATTAAGCTTTTGAACCAAGTGTAATTAATGCTCAAGTGAGTGTTGTTATTTAAGGCCTAGAGAAAAAATCTCCAACTCTGGAAGTTCAGCTAGGTGACTTGGTATCATGGGCACACGGCTCACCAGCTGGTATGGGTACAGCTGAGTCATATCTCGTACAGGGTACAGGTTTTCAGGTCAACTGCTAAGTCCACGATATCTCAAAAATATTTTAAATCATTTATTAAGCATGGCAAATGTGTGTATAGGGAAGGGGGGTAACTTAGTAGATAAATTATTGATCCCAATTTTTCACCCCATCCACATTCATGCTCTTGCCAGAGTCTCGCTGTGAAGAGCGCACTGCCCTGCCTTTTGACTTTGGGTTTAGCTGTGCGCCTTCCTTTGGCTAATGACATGTAGAGAAAAGGGACTCTGGCAGTTCCAAGCTTAGGTGGTAAGAGATCTCATAAGTTCTGTTTGCCCTCTTGCACCTCTGCCAGCGTCCTGAGAAGCAAATGCCCCAGCTAGCTCACGGTCCCAGAAGACAGAGAAGTACACTGAGCAGAGCCACCGAGCTGCCCCACAGTCTAAAGCAGAGAAGCACCAGCTAACCAGCAAACTCATGAGGGAAAAATAAAACCCTATTGCTGTGTGCTGCTGAAATTTTGTGGTGCTTTTCTAGAGAGCATTATTGTGGCAATAGCTAATGAAAACATTGATCTTATGTATAGGTACAAATGTATATGATATGCGGTATTATAAAAGAGCATATAAAAGTATAAGTATTTTTAACTTACTCTAAGCATGACTAGACGCTCACATGAGAAGAAGCACCTAGGTATGACAGGCACGATGCTCACTGGTGACAAGTTCTTCAAGGGGGCTTTGGGATGTATCTGAAATCTGAAGAAAATCATTGGCTCCAAAATATGGGAAGGGAGGAACTTAACACCATTTAATTAAACATCTACAAAATAAAACCTATGTCAACTAGTCAAGCTCAATTCAGTTCAGTTGTGCTATATGTACATGCACATGTATCTATATACAAATTGTGTATAATTTGGGCTATGGATACATTGTAGTACATTCAATTGAAAGTGAAGTGGGAGCTCAAAAGTAGCATTCATCCCTGTGCCTAGAGAATGTCTTTAAGCATCCCTCAGAGGAAACTAAGACTAACTGAGGTAATGGATTCAGTTCCCCCATTCTGTGCTCACTCACTAGTAAGTAGTAAGAATCCCCACTTTCTCTCTCTCTCTCTCTCTCTCTCTCTCTCTCTTTCTGTCTGTCTCTCATAGATGCATCCACACATGGGTGTGTGCACACACACACGCAGAGAAAATGTGTTTTATATAACTTACAAATAAAGAGAATCCCCTATTGGGTCCGATACTCACATAGACCACCGTAAAGAAGGATAATCTCTCCCAAGAGGTGTGGCTGTTAGTGGAAAGTTCTCAGGGAAGCATGAGAAGATCTAGGGTCCAGTCCTGATTCTGCTACTGACTGGGAACATAGACCATGCAGTGTGGGCTGGCGAGGAAAGGTAAACTTTATTTTCTAAGCCTCCTTCTTTTACAAGTCATTCTTTACAACCCTATGTTGGAAGCTCTCCTTGCTTTCTAAACAGACTGTGTATATATTCATTATAACCTTAACATGACTGCATTGCAATTACAATTTTGCATTCTTCTCTAGTCCAGAAGTCTGTGATTTCCTTGGAGAAAGATTATCTCGTATTCCTCTTTGTGTTCTCAGCTTCTAGCACAGGCCTTGGATGTACTGTGCATTAATATGTGTTATGGACTAAAAATCAGCCTTGGAACAACTTGGACACAAACTTATGCAACCAGGTGGAAGTAGTCACAGTGGAGACACTGCTGTCCTTTTGACACCACACTTATAACAATCACATTCTTGCAAGAGTGAATGTTCAATTATTCTCTGGAACACACTGAAGCTAGTTGACATATGAGGTGATTTACCATTTGCTTTCTGTGGTCATTTCTGTGGTCATTTCCAAAATGAGATTGTTTATTGGCCGTTTTAATATCTCTGAACGGTAGACTTCCACTATAATGGATGTATAATTTCAGAGGTCGAAATGAAAGTTATGACCCTATCTCAGAAAAAATAACTAGATAATTTTGACTGCTTTAATGATAGACTCTCCTTTGCAGAGACAGAAAAAAATTCTAATAGATTTCATTTTCTAAGCAGAATACGAACTATATCACAATAATAGAAATAACAATGGCAAATTAAAAGAGTTACTTTTTATTGCTTTTAATCTGTTGTGTAAAAAATGGATTTTGACAGCTCTGATAATCTAGAGGCAACCTTCAGCCATTCAAACATTATGTGGTGATTCATGTTCCAATAAAAAATCATCTACAGGTGCCCCAAGACATAGAGTACGTGTCATCTATATGATAAAGTTCCTCAAAATAACTGAGAAATTACAAGCTACTTGGTCCAAAGAGCATTCGTCAATATGTTGTATATCATCTGACTTATAACCATTACAAATATTTATAATAATGGAATGTGTTAACAAGATGAAGTCTGAAAAGGCTCATTAAGTCTAAATTTGATTCAGTATCTCCATTTCTTTTCATTTGCAGACTCATGATTCCATAGTTCTGTAACATTATCTTAATTATACGAGCAGTGAGCCATCCCTAAATCTAGACTCATGTTTAGTTTAGAGCAAGATAAATATTAATGTTGGGATTTTTATTTCTAAAATGCTTTTCCGAATAAATTCATCCATTTCCTATATTTTTCTTCTTGGGATTTCTAGACTACAGCACAAATTAGAAATTGTAGAGTCATGGAATTTTAGGAGGTGAGGACCTCTGAGATCAAAGAGATTAGAAAAAAATGTGTTAAATGACTCATGACTCTGATAGGCTAAATTGTTCTTGTAAAAGTAGCAGAACTATAATTAACCTCATAAATGTAAAAAAAAAAGAATGGCAAATATTACAACAAAACAAGGGCTAGACCTAAAAGGTGAAAATGAGTAGAATAATAAACAATTAGAAAGTTAAATTTAATAAAATAACTTGAAGTGAACTCAAGCCTGAAGAGATCAGCCAAATGAAGATGAAGCCCATGTCAGGCATACTTCCTTAAAGTTAAAAATTAACTTTTTATTGTGATTCTTGGACCTTTTCCTGTTTCTCAACATGTGAGTATTTTGTTTCTCCTTCCTAAAGAATTACTCTGATTCTCTGCCAAACTATAATTATTAAAAATTACTTAAGAAATAGTTATGTATTGATTGTATTTGTCAGTTCTCTGCTATAAAGAAATACCTGAGACTGGGCAATTTATAAATAAAAGAGGCTTAATTGGCTCATGGTTCCTCAGGCTGTTCAGGAAATATGATGCTGGCATCTGCTTAGCTCCTGGGGAGGCCTCAGGAAACTTACAATCATGGCAGAAGGTAAAGGGGAAGTAGACACGTCCTACATGCCCAGAGCAGGAAGAAGAAAAAAGGGGGCGGTGCTACACACTTTTAAACAGCCAGATCTCATGAGAACTCACACGCTATACAGTACCAAGAGGGGATGGGGCTAAACAATTGGAAATCACCCCCATGATCTAACCACCTCCCACCAGGCCCCACTTCCAACATGAGGAATTACAATTCAACGTAAGATATGGGTAGAGACACAGATTCAAACTATATAATTCTGTCCCTGGCCCCTCCAAATTTCATGTCCTTCTCACATTGCAAAATACAATCATGCCTTCTCAATAGTCCCCCAAAGGCTTTTTAAAAATTATTATTATACTTTAAGTTCTGGGATACATGTGCAGAACGTTCATGTTTGTTACATAGGTATACATGTGCCCTGGTGGTTGGCTGCACCCATCAACCCATCATCTACATTAGGTATTTCTCCTAATGCTATCCCTCCCCTAACTCCCCACCCCCTGACAGGCGCTGGTGTGTGATGTTCCCCTCCCTGTGTCCATGTGTTCTCCTTGTTCGACTCCCATTTATGAGTGAGAACATGCGGTGTTTGGTTTTCTGTTCCTGTGTTAGTTTACTGAGAATGATGATTTCCAGCCTCATCCATGTACCTGCAAAGGATGTGAACTCATCTAGTTTTATGCCTACATAGTATCCCATGGTGTATATGTGCCACATTTTCTTTATCCAGTCTATTACTGATGGGCATTTGGGTTGGTTCCGAGTCTTTGCTATTGTGAATAGTGCTGCAATAAACAAACCTGTGCATATGTCTTTATAGTAGCATGATTTATAATCCTTTGGGTATATACCCAGTAATGGGATTGCTGGGTCAAATGGTATTTATGGTTCTAGATACTTGAGGAATCACCACATTGTCTTCCACAATGGTTGACTAATTTACAATCCCACCAATGGTGTAAAAGCGTTCCTATTTCTCCAAATCCTCTCCAACATATGTTGTTTTCTGACTTTTTAATGATCGTCATTCTAACTCGTGTGAGATGGTATCTCATTGTGGTTTTGATTTGCATTTCTCTAATGACCAGTGATGATGAGCTTTTTTTCATATGCTTGCTGGCCACATAAATGTCTTCTTTTGAGAAGTGCCTGTTCATGTCCTTTGCCCGCTTTTTGATGGGGTTGTTTGTTTGTTTTCTTGTAAATTTTTTTAAGTTCCTCATAGATTCTGGATATTAGCCCTTTGTCAGATGGGTAGATTGCAATAATTTTCTCCCATTCTGTAGGTTGCCTTTTCACTCTGATGATGATTTCTTTTACTGTGCAGAAGCTCTTTAGTCTAATTAGATCCCATTTGTCAATTTTGGCTTTTGTTGCCATTGCTTTTGGCGTTTTAATCATGAAGTCTTTGCCCATGCCTATGTCCTGAATGGTATTTCCTAGGTTTTCTTCTAGAGGTTTTATGTTTTTAAGTCTTACATTGAAGTTTTTAATCCATCTTGAGTTAATTTTTGTATAAGGTGTAAAGAAGGAGTTCAGTTTTAGTTTTCTGCATATGGCTAGCCAGTTTTCCCAACACCATTTACTAAATAGGGAATTTTTTCCCCATTGTTTCTTTTTGTCAGGTTTGTCAAAGACCAAATGGTTGTAAGTGTGTGGTGTTATTTCTGAGGCTGTTGTTCTCTTCCATTGGTCTATATATCTGTTTTGGTACCAGTACCATGCTATGGTGGTTACTGTAGCCTTGTAGTACAGTTTGAAGTCAGGTAGTATGATGCTTCTCACTTTCTTCTTTGTTTAAAATTGTCTTGGCTATATGGGCTCCTTTTGGTTCCATATGAAATTTAAAGTAGATTTTTCTAATTCTGTGAAGAAAGTCAATGGTAGCTTGATAGGAATACCATTGAGTCTATAAATTACTCTGGGCAGTATGGCCATGTTCATGATATTGATTCTTCCAATCCATGAGCATGGACTGTTTTTCCACTTGTTTGTGTCCTCTCTTATTTCCTTGAGCAGTGGTTTGTAGTTTTCCTTGAAGAGGTCTTTCACATCCCTTGTAAGTTGTATTTCCTAGGTATTTTATTCTCTTTGTAGCAACTGTGAATGGACGTTCACTCATTATTTGGCTCTCTGCTTGTCTATTATTGCTCTATATGAATGCTTTTGATTTTTGCATATTGATTTTGTATCCTGAGACTTTGCTGAAGTTCCTTATCAGCTTAAGGAGATTTGGGGCTGAGATGCTGGGGTTTTCTAAATGTACAATCATGTCATCTGCAAACAGAGACAATTTGACTTCCTCTCTTCCTATTTGAATACCCTTTGTTTCTTTCTCTTGCCTGATTTCCCTGGTCAGAACTTCCAATACTATGTTTAATAGGAGTGGTGAGAGAGGGCATCCTTGTCTTGTGCCAGTTTTCAAAGGGAATGCATCCAGCTTTTGCCCATTCAGTATTATATTGGCTGTGGGTTTGTCATAAATAGCTTTCCTTATTTTGAGATATTTTCCATCAATACCTAGTTTATTGAGTGTTTTTAGCATGAAAAGGTGTTGAATTTTATCGAAGGTCTTTTCTGTATCTATTGAGATAATCATGTGGTCTTTGTCATTGGATCTGTTTATATGATGGATTATGTTTATTCATTTGCATATGTTGAACCAGTCTTGCATCCCAAGGATGAAGCTGACTTGATCATGAGTGGATAAGCTTTTTGATTTGCTGCTGGATTTGGTTTGCCAGTATTTTACTGAGGATTTTTGCATCAATGTTCATCAGGGATATTAGCCTGAAATTTTCTTTTTCTGTTGTGTCTCTGCCAGGTTTTGGTATCAGGATGAACATAAAATGAGTTAGGGAGGAGTCCCTCTTTTCCCATTGTTTGGAATAGTTTCCAAAAGAATGATACTAGCTCCTCTTTGTACCTCTGGTAGAATTCGGCTGTGAATCCATCTGGTCCTGGGATTTTTTTGGTTGGTAGGCTATTAATTACTGCTTCAATTTCAGAATTTGTTATTGGTCTATTCAGGGATTCAACTTCTCCCTGGTTTAGTCTTGAGAGGGTGTATGTGGCCAGGAATTTATCCATTTCTTCTAGATTTCCTAGTTTATTTGCATAGAGGTGTTTATAGTATTCTCTGATGGTAGTTTGTATTTCTGTGGGATCAGTGGTGATATCTCCTTTATCATTTTTTATTGTGTCTATTTAATTCTTCTCTATTTTCTTCTTTATTAGTTTGGCTAGTAGTCTATCTATTTTGTTAATCTTTTCAAAAAACTAGCTCCTGGATTCATTGATTTTTTTGAAGGGTTTTTCATGTCTCTGTCTCCTTCAGTTCTTCTGTGATCTTTGTTATTTCTTGTCTTCTGCTAGCTTTTGCATTTCTTTGCTCTTGCTTCTCTAGTTCTTTTAATTGTGATGTTAGGGTGTCAATTTTAGATCTTTCCTGCTTTCTCCTGTGGGCATTTAGTGCTATAAATTTCCCTGTAAACATTGCTTTAGTTGTGCCCCCGAGATTCTGGTACATTGTACCTTTGTTCTCATTGGCTTCCAAGAACTTATTTATTTCTGCCTTAATTCTGTTATTTACCCAGTAGTCATTCAGAAGCAGGTTGTTCAGTTTCCATGTAGTTGTGTGGTTTTCAGTGAATTTCTTATTCCTGAGTTTTAATTTGATTGCCCTGTGGTCTGAGAGACTGTTTGTTATGACTTCTGTTCTTTTACATTTGCTGAGGAGCATTTTAGTTCCAATTATGTGGTCAATTTTAGAATAAGTGTGATGTGGTGCTAAGAAAAATGTATATTCTGTTGATTTTGGTTGGAGAATTCTGTAGATGTCTATTAGGTCTGCTTGGTCCAGAGCTGAGTTCAAGTCCTGAATATCCTTGTGAATTTTCTATCTCATTAATCTGCCTAATATTGACAGTGGGGTGTTAAAGTCTCCCACTATTATTGCGTGGGAGTGCAAGTCTCTTTGTAGGTCTCTAAGAATTTGCTTTATGAATCTGGGTGCTCCTGTACTGGGTGCATATATATTTAGGGTAGTTAGCTCTTCTTGTTGCATTGATCCCTTTACCATTACGTAATGCCTTTCTTTGTCTTTTTTGATCTTTGTTGGTTTAAGGTCTGTTTTATTGGAGACTAGGATTGCAACCCCTGCTGTTTTTTGCTTTCCGTTTGCTTGGTAACTATTACTCCATCTTTTTAGTTTTAGGCTATGTCTGTCTTTGCATGTGAGACGGGTCTCCTGAATACAGCACGCTGGTGAGTTTTGACTCTTTATCCAATTTGCCCGTCTGTGTCTTTTAATTGGGGCATTTAGCCCATTTACATTAAGGTTAATATTGTTATGTGTGAATTTGATTCTGTCATTATGATGTTAGCTGGTTATTTTACCTATTAGTTGATGCAGTTTCTTATAGTGTCAATGGTCTTTACATTTTGGTATATTTTTGCAGTGGCTGCTGCCAGTTTTTCATATTTAGTGCTTCCTTCAGGAGCTCTCATAAGGCAAGCCTGGTGGTGACAAAATGTCTCATCATTTGCTTGTCTGTAAAGGATTTTATTTCTCCTTCACTTATGAAGCTTAATTTGGTTGGACATGAAATTCTGGGTTTAAAATTCTTTTCTTAAAGAATGTTTAATATTGGCCCCCACTCTCTTCTGGCTTTTAGGGTTTCTGGCTCAGAGATCTGCTGCTAGTCTGATGGGCTTCCTTTTGTGGGTAACCCAGCCTTTCTCTCTGGATGCCTATAACATTTTTTCCTTCATTTCAACCTTGGTGAAGTGGTTGATTATGTGTCTTGGGGTTGCTTTGCTCGATGAGTATCTTTGTAGTCTTCTCCGTATTTACTGAATTTGAATGTTGGCCTGCCTTGCTAATTTGGGGAAGTTCTCCTGGATAATATCCTGATGAGTGTTTTCTAATTTGGTTCTATTCTGACTGTCACTTTCCATATACCAGTCAAACGTAGGTTTGGTCTTTTCACATAGTCCCATATTTCTTGGAGGCTTTGTTTGTTCCTTTTCATTCTTTTTTCTCTAATCTTGTCTTCATGTTTTTTTTTCATTAAATTGATCTTTAATCTCTGATATCCTTTCTTCTGCTTGATCAATTCAGCTATTGATACTTGTGTATGCTTCACGAAGTTCTCATGCTGTGTTTTTCAGCTCCACAGGCCATTTATGTTCTTCTCTAAACTGGTTATTCTAGTTATCAGTTCCTGTAACGTTTTATCAAGGTTCTTAGCTTCCTTGCATTGGATTAGAAGATGTTCTTTTAGCTTGAAAGACTTTCTTATTACCCACCTTCTGAAGCCTACTGCTGTCAATTCGTCAAACTCATTCTCCATCCAGTTTTGTTCCCTTGCTGTCGAGGAGTTGTGATCCTTTGGAGGAGAAGCATTCTGGTTTTTGGAATTTTCAGCATTTTTGCACTGGTTTTTCCTCATCTTTGTGGATTTACCTACCTTTGGTCTTTGATGTTGGTGACCTTTGGATGGGGTTTTTGTGTGGATGTCCTTTTTGTTGATGTTGATGCTATTGTTTTCTCTTTGTTAGTTTTCCTTCTAACAGTCAGACCCCTATTCTACAGGTCTGCTGGAGTTTGCTGGAGGTCCACTCTAGACCATGCTTGCCTGGGTATCAGCAGCAGTGGCTGCAGAACAGCAAAGATTGCTGCCTGCTCCTTCCTCTGGAAGCTTCATCCGAGGGTGGCACCTGCCAGATGCCAGCTGGAGCTTTCCTGTATGAAGTGTCTGTCAACCCCTGCTGGTAGGTATCTCCCAGTCAGGAGGCACAGGGCCCAGAGACCCAGTTAAGGAGGCAGTCTGTCCCTTAGCAGAGCTTGAGTGCTGTGCTGAGAGATCCACTGCTCTTTTCAGTGCAGGCAGGTGGGAAAGTTTAAGTCTGCTGAAGCTGTGCCCACAGCCACTGCTTCCCTCAGGTGCTCTGTCCCAGGGAGATGGGAGATTTATCTATAAGCCCTTGACTGGAGGTGCTGCCTTTCTTTCAGAGATGCCCTGCCCAGAGAGGAAGAATCTAGAGAAGCACTCTGGCTACAGTGGCTTTGGTGAACTGTGGTGGGCTCTGCCCAGTTCAAACTTCCCGGTGGCTTTGTTTACACTGTGAGGGGAAAACCGCCTACTCAAGCCTTAGTAATGGTGGGTACCTCTGCCCCAACCAAGCCCGAGCATCCCAGGTCAACTTCAGACTGCTGTGCTGGCAATGAGAATTTCAAGCCAGTGGATCTTAGCTTGCTGGGCTCCGTGGTGGTGGGCTCTGCTGAGTTAGACCCGTTGGCTCCCTGGCTTCAGCCCCCTTCCAGGGGAGTGAACAATTCTGTCTGCTGGCATTCCAGATGCCACTAGGGTACGAAAAACACTCTTGCAGCTAGCTCAGTGTCTGCCCAAATGGCCACCCAGTTTTGTGCTTGAAACCCAGGGCCCTGGTGGCATAGGCACTTGAGAGAATCTCCTGGTTTGTGGGTTGCAAAGACCATGGGATAAACACAGTATCTGGGCTGGATAGCACTGTTCCTCATGGCACAGTCCCTCATGCTTTTCCTTGGCTAGGAAATGGAGTTCCTTGACCCCTTGTGGTTCTGGGTGAGGCAACACCCCACCCTGCTTCTGCTTGTCCTCCATAGGCTGCACCCACTCTCTAACCAGTCCCAATGGGATGAGCCTTGTACCTCAGTTGGAAATGCAGAAATCACCCACATTCTGCATTGGTCTTGCTGGGAGCTGCAGACAGGAGCTGTTCCTATTCAGCCATCTTGCCAGAGGTCCCCCACAAATGCTTAATTCATTCCAGCATGAACTCAAAAGTCCAAAGTCTCATCTGAGATAAGGCTAGCCTCTTCTGCCTATGAACCTGCAAAATCAAAAACGACATAGTTACTTCCAAGATGCAATGAGGCGTAGGCATTGGGTAAATAATCCCATTCCAAAAGGGAGAAATCAGCCAAATGCAAGTGGTTACAGGCCTCATGCAAGTCCAAAACCCAGCAGGGCAGTCATTAAATCTTAAAGATCCAAAATAATCTCCTTTGACTCCATATCTCACATCTAGGCCACACTGATGCAGGGAGTGGGCTCCCAAGGCCTTAGGCAGTTCTGCCCCTGTGGCTTTACAGTGTATAGCCTCCATGGCTGTTCTCATGGGCTGGCGTTGAGTGCTAGAGGTTTTTCCAGGCATGTGGTGCAAACTGTCAAGGGCTCTACCATTCTGGGGCCTGGAGGACAGTGGCCCTCTTCATAAAGCTCCACTAGGCAATGCCCCATTGCGGACTCTGTGTTGGGGCTCCAATCCCACATTTCCCCTCCACATTACCCTAGTAGAGGTTCTCCATAAGGACTGTGCCCCTGAAGCAGGCTTCTGCCTGGACATCTATGCTTTTCCATACATCCTCTGAAATACAGGCAGAGGCTCCCAAGCCTCAGCAATTGTACTCTGTGTACCCACAGGCTTAACACCACATGGAAGCTGCCAAGGCTAATGGCTTACACCCTTTGGAGTAGCAGCCTGAGGTGTACCTGGGCCCCTTTGAGCCACAGCTAGAGATGGAGCAGCTAGCATGCAAGGAACAGTGTCCTAAGGCTGTGCAGGACACTGGGGCCCTGGGCCTGGTCCATGAAACCATTATTCCCTCCTAGGCCTCTGGGCCTGTGGTGGGAGGGGTTGCGACAAAAGTTTGTAAAATTCCCTGGAGGGCTTTTCCCCATTGTCTTGGGCTATCAGCACTTGCTGTCCTTTTAGTTACACAAATTTGTGCAGCCTGCTTGAATTTCTCCCCAGATAATAGGCTTTTCTCTTCTACCACATAGCCAGGCTACAGATTACCTAAACTTTCACAATCTGCTTCCCCTTTAAATATAAGTTCCAATTTTAGGTCATTTCTTTGCTTACACACATGTGCATAGGTTGTTAGAAGAAGCCAAGCCACATCTTGAACACTTTGCTGCTTACAAACTTTTTCTGCCATATACCCTAAATCATCACTCTCCAGTTCAAAGTTCCACAGATCCCTAGGGCAGGGGTACAGTCAAAACAGGGGTTTTTGCTAAAGCATAGCAAAAGTGATCTTTACTTGAGTTCTCAATAAGTTCCTCATCTTCATCTAAGACCTCATTATCCAGGACTTTAATGTCTATATCACTATCAGCGCTTCGGTCACAACCATTTAACCAGTTTCTAGGGTGTCCCAAATTTTCCCTCACCTTCCTATCATCTTCTGAGCCCTCCAAACTCTTCCAACCTCTGCTCATTACTCAATTTCAAAGTTGCTTCCATATTTTCAGGTATCCTTATAGCAATGCCTTACTCCTCAGTACTAATTTTCTGTATTAGGCCACTCTCTCATTGATATAAAGAAATACCTGAGACTGGGTAATTTATAAAGAAAAGAGGCTTAATTGGCTTACAGTTCCACAGATTGTAGAGGAAGCATGATGCTGGCATCTGCTCAGCTCCTGGGGAGGCTTCAAGAAACTTTCAATCACGGCAGAAGGTGAAATGGCAACAGATATGTCTTACTTAGCTAGAGCAGGAAGAAGTGGGAGGGGGAGGTGCCACACACTTTTAAACAACCAGCTCTTGTGAGAACTCACTCACTCTATAGTACCAAAGAGGGGACGGTGCTAAACCATTAGAAGTCACGCCCATGATCCAATCATCTTCCACCAGGCCCCACCTCCAACACTGGGGATTACTATTTGACATAAGATTTGGGCAAGGATAGAGATCCAAACCATATCATTGATAAATTAATTAATTTTGTTATTTTATGTTTTTCTATGAGTTGACATACTTTTAGATTATCTGTAAAGTTTCACAATGATACTTTGCAAAGACACTTTATACAAAGTTACATACATTTAGATTTATACAAATATACAATAATGATGCTTGGGATAAGATTTATCAGCCTGCCAACCAGCATTTCCCCAGTAATGCAGATTTCTAATTCCTTCAGTCACTTCCTTCCTACAGACTTCCTTTCCATACTTATTCTTGTAACAGTTGATTTGCCTTAGCCAGATAATCTGTGATAACTTCCATTTTCTTTCCTTTCCTTATCTTATGGTATGTTAAAATTTTGATTGGAGCTATGTAATAGTGATTTTTCAAGTTTTAGCATGCATCAGAATACCCTGGAGGACTTGTGAAAACACAGATTGCTGAACCAGCTCAGTAGTTCTGGGGTGGGGCCTGACAATTTGCATTTCTTACCAGGTGCCAGGTGACCCCACTGCTGATGACCTGGGGCAGAGCTTCTAGAATCACAGCTGTAGAACCTTTGGGAATCAAGGATTCTTGCAAAATTATCACAATTGTTGCGAATTGTAACAGACAAAAGTAGGGAGTTTGAAAAAAAAACACACCAGTAAGGACTGGCATTTGACAATGGCTGAAATATTACTTGAACAAATTAGAAAGAAGAAAGACAGGCTGGGCGCAGTGGCTCACACCTGTAATCCCAACACTTTGGGAGGCCAAGGTGGGTGGATCACTTGAACCCGTAAGTTGGAGATCAGCCTGGGCAAACATGACGAAACCCTGCGTTTACAAAAAATACAAAAATTAGCCAGGTGTGGTCACATACAGCTGTAGTCCCAGCTACTTGGGAGGCTGTGGTGGGAGGATCACTTGGGCCCAGAAGGTGGAGGCTGCAGTTAGCCATGATTGCGCCACTGCACTCCAGCCAGGGTGACACAGCAAGGCCCTATTAAAAAAACAAAAAACAAAAAACAACAAAAACAAAAAACAACAACAACAACAATTAGGGGTCAGCAAACTCTAGCCCACAGCCCAAATCTTGTCTGCTGCTTGTTTTGGTAGAGATTGTGAGCTATGTACAAAACTCATATGGCTGAGAGTTTTTAGATTTTAAATTGTTTGGGGAAAAGCAAAAGGAGAATAATATTTCATGATGTGAAAATTATATTAATGTCAAATTTCAGTGTCTACAAACTAAGTTTTGTTGGAACACAGCCACATTCACTGATTACATGTTGTCCAAAGCCACTTTCAAGCTACAATGGCGAATTAGATTAGTTCCAACAGAGACCCTAGATGACCCACAGAGCCTAAAACATTTTCTTACCCAGTTCTTTACAGAGAAAGTTTACTGACCTCTGGTCAAAAATTTGGAAACAGCTTGTTAACCAAAATAATACCAGCTGTTGAACTTCTCTTCATTTAAAGTGATAATGTGGTTTTCTAGCTCCAAATAGGGGCTGTAGTTTACAGCATTTTCCAGATTGGCTTGGCTGAGAAACACTTTCTTTTATGAAACGATTCACACCATACATATTTTAAAGAACACCAAGTTGGGAACTGCCATTTCAAAGCACCCTCAAGATGGTAACATAAACTTAACAAAAAGGAATGAAGAACTAATGGCAAAATTTCAGATTATCTGTGAATAAATTGGAAGGATGGTTCAGGTAAAAAGAGGTTTTGAGTTCTAAATGTCTCACAAATTATACTCACAGGAAATACTGATAGTTCTTCCTTGGAATATAACAATGTGGGTTGGGGTGGTGGGGGCGGGGTAGGGATAACTTTGAGGAAAGAACCTTATCTATTAACACTTCCACTATCTGTACATTGTAAAAATGAAATGGTAATGATAAATGAGCAGAAATGTCACAGAAAAATTTGACTATGTCAGTTCAGCAGAATGTTTGGTAAATGTTAATACACTAAGGATGAGCTTTCTATAGTTGTAATTCCTAAAGCCTTGGGAAATCAGTAAATGTTATATAACAACTATTACTACCATTTCTCTTGGATTTTTAAAATAGGATTAGGCTTTTTTTTTTTTTGAAAGAGTGACAAGTTCTCCTTTTGTGAAATAATAGTGACCTCCAGTGGCCAACTGGTCATAGTACTTTATATTTTCTCAACCTCTCCTGAAAAAAGATTACAGAAATGATAAGCACACTTCTCAGGTTTTTCTGTTGTTCTTTGTTTTGTTTTTGTTTTTGTTTTTGTTTTTGGATGGAATTTTGCTCTGTCACTCAGGCTGGAGTGCAGTGGCACTATCTTTGCTCACTGTAACCTCTGCCTCCTGGGTTCAAGTGACTCTCCTACCTCAGCCTCCCAAGTATTTGGGATTACAGGCATGTGCCACCACACCCAGCTAATTTTTGTATTTTTAGTAGAGATGGGGTTTCACCATGCTGGTCAGGCTGCTCTTGAACTCCTGACCTCGTGATCCGCCTGCCTCAGCCTCCCAAAGTGCTGTGATTACAGGTGTGAGCCACCATGCCTGGCCTTCCCCAGTTTTTAAATGTTAATCCATTTATCTAACAAATATGTATAGAGTTCTGAGCACTAGGAGGGGATAATGGAAAGAATATTGGGTGAAAAGACTGAGATATGAGCCATAGAGCAAATGCAATAACCTCAAAGCTGTTTGACTCTGGACGAGACACTTGACTTGCCTGAGCCTTGGTCTTTTCTCAACACTATTTTGAGTAACAGTGAACTGTTTGTAGAAGCCTTGTTTCTATATGTGGCAGTCTTGTTTATACTATAATGCACGTTGCAAATAGGAGGTGGTAATATGTTATCGTGTAAACTTCCTTAGAGTTTTTTAAACATGATAATAAAACCAAGACATATGGAATCAGTCTAAGAATGAGCAACAGAGGAGATCAGGCCCAAGAAAAGGAGAAATAGAGTGCCTTCTGAAAGCTAAAATATGAAGTCAACTTCAAATGGACTGGAAAAAAAGAAATGTAAAGTTTCCCTAGTCTGGCTAATTCACTGAGACAGACACCATTTCTTGCCACTTGCTTCCCAATTCTCCCTTACTGACAGAGCCCTAGTTTTGCTCTGAGGTTCAACCTGCTCTGTACTATGAATCACTGGTGGCTGAGTCAATCATAATTCTACTCTTCTTCTGAGGGATTGAATTTAGCCATGGTTATATATTATCAAACCCAGGCCAAAGGGATCTGACATCTTCTTCGGTGCAGCAGTATGGATGGCCATTTTAGGAAATATTTTTCTCACTATTTAAAAAGGGTTTCTAGGATGTGACACACCCCTACATTTTTGGGGGGGGAGATATTGTGCACGTGACACCTGAATCCTGCAGCTATCTATGACCATGAGAGGAAACACTGATGAAAACCTGAAGGTAGAAGAGCAAAGAGCAGAAAGCATCTGAGTTTCTGATGACAGTGTTACACTATGGACTCACCCAATCTCAGAAATGTCTACTTAGTGGACAACTTTTAGTTGTGAATTCTGATACTTGCAGCTGAAAGCATCCTTACATATTCACCACAAGGTGTTGCTGCTCTCTAGGCTTGGAAATGCCTGGACCTTAATTGATTATTTTAATCATCTATAGCATATGATCAATTTTTTTTTGAGATAATCTCACTCTACTGCCCAGACTGGAGTGCTGTGGTGCAATCTTGGCTCACTGCAAGCTCTACGTCCCAGGTTCAAGCAATTCTTATGCCTCAGCCTCCTGAGTAGCTGAGATTACAGGTATGTGCCAACACACCTGGTTAATTTTTTTTTTTTTTTTTTTTTTTAGTAGTAGAGACAGGGTTTTGCCATATTGGTCAGGCTGGTCTCAAACTCCTGATCTCAGGCGATCTGCCCACCTCAGCCTCCCAAAGTGCTGGGATTACAGGTGTGAGCCACTGTGCCTGGCCTGCACAAATATTTTTAATTAAATATAATATCAGCCAGGAGCAGTGACTCATGCCTGTAGTCCCAGCTACTTGGGAGGCTGAGATAGGAAGATCACCTAAGCTCGGTCATTCAAGACCAGCCTGGACACATAGAAAGACCTCGTCTCTAAAATAATGTCAAAAAATCAGTCAGGTGTTGTGGCACATGCCTGTAGTCCCTCCTACTCAGGAGGATGAGGCAGGAGGATGGCTTGAGCACAGGAGATCAAGGCTGCAGTGAGCTATGATTGCACCACTGCACTTCAACCTGGATGACAGAGTAAGACCCTGTCTCAGAAATAAATAAATAAATATACTATAATCTTCATATGCATGCAACAATAGAATTTAGACATGAGAAATAAAAATAAAATGTTCAGCTCCCCAACTGACTAAATGGACACTCTCTTGGCCAAGGGGACCTCAGAGAAAGCTTAGAAACAGGGTTTCCAGCCATGATGGGATGGAAGGTCCATGTTGCCTCCTTTTTCCTCCTCCTTCCAGCCATGATGGGATGGAAGGTCCATGTTGCCTCCTTTTTCCTCCTCCTTCCAGCCATGATGGGATGGAAGGTCCATGTTGCCTCCTTTTTCCTCCTCCTTCCAGCCATGATGGGATGGAAGGTCAGGCTCACCTACTTTTTCCTCCTCCCTCACTAACCACCAGACTTTTCTTTCCTAAGAGTTAAACAGAAACCTGTCCTTTTGAAAGACTTGCTCTGCTACTGATTTCAAACAACTGCCTGATACTGCAACCAGACTCCCCTTCGTTTTTGTGGTTTCGGCACAACAATTGACCAGCATTCCTGGCTGGTGAGAGACCACGCACCATGGACTCGTTCTGGCTGTTTACAGGACTGGGCACTGCATGTCTTTGTGTCCTCCATTTCACCTTTTGACATATACAGCCAAATTTTGATGCATTTAAATGTTGTCTCCACCCCAAAGTGAAAATGGGATGTATATAACATTCATGTTTGCTTACTACTCATACTTGCATACCCAATTTTGTGATTATTCCTAGTCCTGCTATACCCTGTTTAATATGTATACTTATCCAACCCATTCAGCATAAATTCCTGTCTCACCCTTCCTCCTTCAAAGTGCCCACTTTCAGTTTCTGCCAGAATCTATGCTTCTCGGCCTGTAGGATGGCCGGCTTGCAGGCTGCAACTCTTTTTAAGGAATAAAGCTCTCGGCCGGTCGTAGTGGCTCACGCCTGTAATCCCAGCATTTTGGGAGGCCGAGGCGGGTGGATCATCTGAGGTCAGGAGTTCAAGGCCAGCCTGGCCAACATAGTGAAACCTGCCTCTACTAAAAATACAAAAAAAAAAAAAAAAAATCAGCCGGGTGTGGTGGTGCATGCCTGTAGTTCCAGTTACTCAGGAGGCTGAGGCAGGAGAATTGTTTGAACCCAGAAGGCAGAGGTTGCAGTGAGCCAAGATCGCGCCACTGCACTCCAGTCTGGGTGACAGGGCATGACTCTGTCTCAAAATAAAATAAAATAAAACATAAAGCTCTCCTCTCCAAATGTATAGATCTCACAATTTTAAGTTGACGGACAAAAGAGGATTGTTTATGAAGAAGGAGCTAATGGTAAAATATCTGACTCTGACGAAGGATGACATCACCAAGCATTTATTTTAGTGAATAGGCATATTTCTAAAATGCCTGTCTCCTATCATTATGAGTCAGGCATGAAGGTAATTACCTCTACCCATCTTTAGGGTTACTGATAAAACTAAATGAGACACTGCATCTGAAACATAGGTTGTTGTTGAATAATGGTTTCTCTCTTTTCCTCATCTCTACCAATTTGTGTTCTTTCATCCTTCAAACCTTCCTGAGAGCTTACCTTCTCATGATACGATTTCTTTAAGTTAAATTCAGCTGTTAATTTATGTTCTTTTTGCACTCAAATATGTGGTCTGCATTTTAAGTATAGCTGCTTAAGTTTTCAGATGTGTTGCACAGGGGCATATTCTATCTCTCTAGAAACACACCAGAATTGCAAGGTGTTCAGCCAAGGCAGAGAAATTGGCCTCCACTTGTTCTCGAGTGTGTGTGTTCTCTGACTCTTCTCAACTCTTCCCCAGCCCCCCAGCATTTAGCCCACTGATCCAAATAGAGTCATTACCCAACAAATTGTGAGAAGTGCTTGCCTAACAGCCCCTCTAACTTAATAGCATTGTGCCACACAGGCACGCTAAGGAAGGACAGAATGACCTCTTTCATTATGCAGGCCTGTGATGTTCCTCATTAGTTTTATAAGAGCCAATTCCTTTCACCAGAGTGGGGAGGATCTGGCTACTTACGTGGGAAGAACGTAAGTTGGAAATTGGCCAAGGAACTGATAGTACTATCAACTGGACACAGAGTCTTTCTGCTTTATGTCAACTATTACAGCAGAGCTCCTCCTGTTGTTTACTCTGTGGGCAGTCTTAAAATGATGTGTCTAATAGCAAAGTCTTACTGAGTGCCATTTATGTACCTGGAACTATTCTAAGTGCTTATACATATATGGACTCATTTAGTACTCACAGCAAACTGATGAGATAAGTATAATGATTATCTGTTTTACACATGAAAAAACTGAGGCACAGAGAGATGGAGAAATTTGTCCCAAAGCAGACAACTAATAAGTGGCATATCTGGGATTCAATCTCAGCAAACTAACTCGAGAGCCTGCTCTCTTAGCCATACATTACACTGTGGTGTATGCTCACTGCTGCATACCTCCTCTATTCACTATGGATCAATCCTGTAGGCATACATGAACACCTATGAGAAAAAGTTTCAAAGACAGGTTAGACATCATTTCTACTCTCTGTGGTCCCACAATCTAGTTGGGAAACAAATAGAAAAATATGTAATGGAAACTTTATATCCTTCTGGACCATTTGAAACCTACTATATCATCTACCCACTCACTATCCTCTTTCTCTTTGGATAGGTGAATGCTCATCTGAAGATGTTTTACCATTATTTCTTTACTGTGTGGGTTAGTACACAGGGCTGCCATAACAAATTACCACAGACTGGGTGTCTTTAGACAACAGAAATTTATTTTCTCACAATTCTAAGAGCTTGAAGTTCAAGATCAAGGTGTCAGCAGGGTTGGTTTCTTCTGAGGCCCCTCCCCTTGGCTTGTAGATGGCCATCTTTCCCTGTGTCTTGACATGGTCTTCCTCTTACCCATCTGTGTCCAGACTTACTCTTTCTTTAGGGACATCAGCGAAACTGGATTAAGACCCACCTTAATGACCTCATTTTAACTTCATTACCTCTTTAAAAACCCTTTCTCCAAACACAGTCACCATCTGTGGTACTGGGAGTTAGGACTTCAATAAACGAATCAATAAATGAATTTTTGGGGAACACAACTCAGTCCACAACACTGTATTAACCCTCCCTCCCCAACAACTTCTCTAGAAAGTGCTCTGACATCTTTAATGACAATATACTCCCAGCACTTGAAAGAATTAAAAATTTTTCTCAGTCTGAGACAGGAGAAGAAAAAAATTATGTGTATTGCAAGCAAAGTGCATAATTAAGATGTTGCGAATGATTCCTGGGAATACCCTTCTGGTAACTCAAAAACACTGCCAGCATCAGGACAAATAGCTAATGCATGTGGGGCTTAATACCTAGGTAATGGGTTGATAGGTGCAGCAAACCACCATGACACACATTTACATATGTAAAAAACCTGCATATTCTGCACATGTATCCCAGAAATTAAAGTAAAATTTATAAAAACACTGCCTATAATTGCTTTCAAAGGCTAATTTAGTATTCTTCCCATTATATGATGTTACATATGTGTGTAAAGTGAAGTTTATCTAACAAAAAAATAGATTGCACACCCCAGCTTTTATCCCCCAGAAGTGGTTAGTACACCCCAAACATCTTCTGGGGCAGGATAAAATTAGGAGTGAGCCCTTATAATGGTGATAAAGTAAATATAAGGGTTGAGAAGATCTCATTACGTAATTCATAGTGAGAGTCATTATCCACTACAATTGACAGAATGCTTTCTGTGAATAAATTTTACCTTTTTTCATGCAAATAAATAATAAAATAATAAAATAAATACATGGATGGCACTTTATGTTTTGCAATGTGTTACATTAAAGTAACAAAGTCATGTCATAGGTCAAAATAATATTCAGATAGTTCATATTCGTTTTATCAAAAGGATGGAATATTCCCTCCTAACACTAGTTATTTTGCTCAATTCATCTCAAAAGTTAGTAATTTTGAAAAGGAATGCTTACATTTTCTTTTTATGTGACTGGACAAAATTCCAGTGTGGGTGTTCAATCCACCCTTCAGGGACAAAAGCAACATGGCTGAATTTTTAAGTGAATTGCTTTGTGGCAATATCTCACCCGTTGATGAATCCTTGTGGCATAATATAATTCTGTAATAAAATTTCACAGCTCAATCGTTCATATATTTCTAATGATTCACAGCACAATTTCCCAGATTGCTTGAGAGGGATTAACAGATTACATAAAAGCCATTGTTAAAATTGATCAAATGACAATTTTATCGCTGTTACTGAACTCCACATTTTTTTTTTTGGCTGTCAATGAAAGTTTTGTAAAAGAACACATGGCAGACCTACATCATGAATTTTTCCAAAAATTAAATATTTTCCAACCATAGCTATCTGGTAAATCAATTAGAACAGCTTTTCCATCTTAATGAAATTTGAAGCTGGTTTACTAAAGAAATTTTCTGTGAATAATTTTATTTTATCATGGGAACACATTTGCTTTCTTCAGGGAATTTCAAATTATTTGTAAATTTAAATGTTACAAAGATTAGGAACACTTCCTTGCTTATAGAATTCAAAAACCCTGCCAAACAAGAAGCCACAAAATAATATTTTTTTAAAAATCTCCCATAATTCTAGGAATTGTTCTATTCTAAGGTAAAATGTTAAATTAGATAATATTTACATTTTCTCCTAATTCTAATGTTCTTCGATTTTTCTGATCCTTTTAGATTACTATAAACCTAGCCAAAATAGTATATTTCAAATAAAGTGTAATAATTGTATATAACCATTTTAAAGAAAAACATTCCTACAGTTCTCAGTATTGACTTAAATTTGTGTGTGTGTCTGTGTGTGTGTGTGTGTGTGTGTGTGTGTGTGTGTGTGTGTGTGTGTGTGTGTCTGTAGAGATGGGGTTTCACTACATTGCCCAGGCTGGTCTCAAACTCCTGACCTCTTGAGTCCCTGGGATTACAGGGTAAATTACTTTCATAATACTATTAAATATATTTAACCATAAACTAGGTTTATTCTAACAACTCTTATACAACTATAAAAAACAAAACTTGGCTGGGCATGTTGGCTCATGCCTGTAATCCCAGCACTTTGGGAGGCTGAGGCTAGAGGATTGCTTGAGGCCAGGAGTTCTAGACCAGCATGGGCAACAAAATGAGACCCCATCCTCTACAAAAAAATATTAAAAACTTAGCCAGGTATGGTAATGTACGCCTCTAGTCCCAGCTGCTTGAGAAGATGAGGCAGGAGAAGCGCTAAATCACTTGAGCCTGGGAGTCTGAGGCTGCAGTGAGCTATGATTGTGCCATGACACTCCAGCCTCCCTGGGTGACAAAGCAAGATCCTGACCCAAAAAAACAAAGAAGAAAAGAAAACTTATTTGCCAATCAAATGATACAAAAAATTATTTTAATATACCAGATTCATCCATTCATTTCAGAATTGTTCATTGAATGTGTACTATATTCTAGGAACTAATCCAGGAGCTGGAGTTGCAGAAATAAAGAATGTGGATGAAAATTCCTGCCCTCTTAAGATTTACATTCTAGTAGGAGGTAGAGAGAACATGAAAAGTAAACAATATACTATGTTAAATGGAGATCAGTTGGGGGAAAAAGAGTAGAAAAGGAAGTAAGGCATATTAGAGGGACAGTGTCTCTTTTCCATTCATCAGGGGCCATATAGGCCAATCTAAAATCTCTGGCTTTTACTCTAAGAGAGATGGAATGCTACCGGAAAATTGAGGAAAGAAGTGACTCCACAAGACTTGTGTTTTATCATGATTGCTTGGCAGCTGTGTAAGGGAGGCCAGGGTAGACTAAAGGACCAAGTAGGAAGCTATTACAATAAGCCAGGTGCCACAGGGTGATGGCTCACACCCGTGGGTGGAAGCAATGTAGATGGTGACGGCGAGAAGCCATCGGAATCTGATGTACTTGGTGAGACATTGGATATGAGTATGAAAGAAGGCAAGGAGTCAAAGAGAGCTCCAAGGTTTTTTCCCTGGGCAACTGAATGGAAGAAGTGGCTATTATCTGATTATTTTGTTTTGCTGAAACTAAGATGCTGCTTGCAATATGAATATGGTACCAATTGCTAATATGTCAGCCCTTTTGGACTATTTTGTGATAGATGCACAAAATAGTATATTTTCCCACCATTTTTGTTCTTTCAGAATCATTGCAAAAACTTTATTGGCAAATGATGCTATGATTTTATTTGACCCCTCTTCAGTGATAATTTATCATTTATGCATTACACCTATTTCATTCTTTGGTCCTTAGACCAAGACAACTACAAAGGACTGAACTGCACCAAGGCAGTCAGAAATGCTGGTCCAAAAGCGAGGGCCCTGACTCACTCCTGCAAGAATGGCCATAATAAAATAAATTTTAAAAAATCGATGTTGGCATGGATGTGGTGAAAAGGAACACTTTTACAATGTTGGTGGGATTGTAAACTAGTACCACTGCTATGGAAAACAGTGTGGAGATTCCTTAAAGAACTAAAAGTAGAGCTACCATTTGATCCAGAAATCCCACTATTGAGTATCTACCTAGAGGAAAAGAAGTCATACGAAAAAGATACTTGCACACGTATGTTTATAGCAGCACAACTGCAATTGCAAAAAATATGGAATGAGCCCAAATGCCCATCAATCAGTGAGTGGATAAAGATAGGGTGGTATATATAAATACCATGGAATAGTACTCAGCCATATAAAGGAACAAAATAATGGCATTTGCATCAACCTGGATGGAACTGAAGACTATTATTCTAAGTGAAGTAACTCAGGAATGGAAAACCAAACATCATATGTTCTCACTCATAAGTGGGAGCTAAGCTATGAGGATGCAAAGGCATAAGAATGATATATTGGACTTTGGGGACTCTGGGGAAAGAGTGGGAGGGGGGCAAGAGATAAGAAGCTACACATTGGGTATAGGGTACACTGCTGGGGTGCTGGGTGCACCAAAATCTCAGAAATTACCACTAGAGAGCTTATTCATGTAACCAAACACCACCTGTTCCCCAAAAACCTATTGAAATAAAAAAAAAAGTGAGGGCCTTGAAACCTGTATCAGGACACTATTGCATGGTTGTAGGTTACCCAACTGATAATTAATATGCTTATATGTATTTTTTGATGATTCTTGAAATCCCCACAAAAGGATAAAATTTAAAAATGTTCAGGGATAGTTTCAGACCCTAAAGAATATTTACTTGACTACATGAATGTTTGTCTCTCAGTACCACACTGTGAGCTTCAAGTTAAACCTTCTGTTCAGTTTTGTTCCCCACTCAATCCCCAAGGCAAGGTGACTTCAATAAAGACAGGCTCTATGGATGGACTACCAAAAGCCAGGAGCTGAGGAGGAATGATAAAGCCACCAGCTGATGGAATCAACCCCCTTCTGCAGCTTCTGAGCCTAAACTGAGTTGGACTGAGATAGAAGAAGAAAGGAGACCAAAAATTTGAAAATGGAATGGATTAGACAGTTTTAATACCTGGAAAAAAAAGAAACAGGGACGTGGTACCATTTAAGAGTGAAAAGCGCTGGGCGTGGTGGTGCACGCCTGTAATCCTAGCACTTTGGGAGGCCAAGGCAGGTGGATCACCTGAGGTCAGGAGTTTGAGATCAGCCTGTCCAACATGGTGAAACCCTGTCTCTAGAAAATACAAAAGAAGTAGCCGGGTATGGTAGTGCATGCCTGTAGTCCCAGCTACTTGGGAGGCTGCAGCAGAATTGCTTGAACCTGGGAGGCAGAGGTTACAGTGAGCCAAGATGGCACCATTGCACTCCAGCCTGGGCAACAAGAACAAAACTCCATCTAAAAAAAAAAGTGAAAAGCTTTAAGAACCTGCTAAAGCTGTTGTCCAGGGGCAGTTACTGACAGAAATAAAAACATGTTATAAATTATTGCTCACAAGTCTACCATATTCAATAAAATGCTTACATGAGAGTTTTCTTTTTAAAGGGAAGCATAGTTTATATTCTAGGTCCAGGGTAACAGACCACTGATGATCTGAACTAACTTTGCTCATGCTCAATCTATAAGAGGAAGCCATCATCCTATATATTATTTTATTTTACAAAGATTTTCAAAAAATACATCCTGTATTTGACAAAGTTATTGAGATAGTATTTCAAAAGAAACACAAGTAGAGAGTCTCAAAGTTGTATTAAGACTAATTTTATTAGTAATTTAAATAATCTTTTGTTAATAATTTTAATAAGCCAATTATTATAATATATCCTAAAATTAAGGAAAGACACAAGAAAATATTTTAAGGATGTTACCAACCAATATATGGTTTTAAAGAATAAAGGATGACATGAATTGGTTTAAAAGTTTTTATTCAACTCCTGGGAGAAAACTTATTCTCTACGCCTCATATTTCTGAGTAGATGATTTTCCTAGAGTAGCACTTTTGGATTTTTTCTTCCTCCTTCAGTGATGAGATTGGAAGAAAAAATTAGTAATGTTCAATCAGCCTTTTCCCCTCCCCTCTGAAATCTGCCTGCCCACAGAGAGGGTGCATTCTGAGTTTCTCTCTCTCTCAGCTATGCTCTAAGCTTAGTGAGGCAGAGTCTACCCTTGTAGGAATGAGCTGTTACTGTTGAGGGATTAGTCTGCCTAAGTTTGGGAGGAAATATTTGCAAGCCCACTTGGCTAAGATCCAGTTATTTTGGCCAAGACTGCTATGTTTTCACCAAAATCCATTCCCTCTGCCTTGTGTACATAGAGATACACTAAATTTGCAACTTTCCCAACCTGCTTTACAGTTAGGTTAGGCCATGTGACTGGGTTCTAGGCAATGGAATATTAACTTATGTACACTTCTTCCAAATCTGCCACATGAAAACCTCCTGTGTAATCTTTCACGCTCTCTCTTTCCCAGTTATTAACTGATGTAGAAACTTCAGCATCAGACTTTGAAGCTCTAGGGATGGAGCCACATTATGGAAGGTCCATTGAATGGCCATGCTGAAGGCCACCTGCCAAGCAGGAACATCCTTACTGGACTACATATGAACAATAAATTAACTTTTGTTCAGTCCCTGAAATTTTAGAGTTGGTTTGTTGACAAACCAGTATTACTTATCATAACAAACACAGTCACCAGGCTGGGCAACATAGTGAGATCCTGTCTCTGTGAATAATACAATGATTAGCCGAGTGTGGTGACATACACCTGTAGGCCCAGCTACTCGGGATGCTGAGGTGGGAGGAGCGATTGAGCACGGGAGGTTGCAGTGGCCATAATCGCATCACTGCACTTCAGCCTGGGTGACAGAGCAAGACACTGTCTCATAAACAAAAACAAAAGCAAAACACAGTCACATTCTCTAAAGAGCTTTTATCAGTAATAAAGCTAATATATTGCTGCCATCTGTTTGAGTCCTATCTCTCAACTTGCTCTAATCTTGAGAGTGGAAAGAAGGTATTGTTGATTGATTCCTTAAACCTCCAGCAGATTGTATACTTCTCTTAGTGGAGATAACAAAGTTGCCTTGAGTGGGATGTAGGACCTACAAGATGGGTCCAGCAAGGTCATTTGGTGGGCTTCATATCTGAGAGTGTTCCAAAGTTTGGCTAATATTCAATGGCAACTTGGCAAAGGGATGAGAGTACAGTAACCTCATCACAAACCTTAACTTTCTTTTTTTTAAACTCTTCAATTATGGCTTCCCCAAGTTTTTCTGAGACATATTGCTGATAATTACAGCAGTTGTTGCATATTACTCTTAAATATTCCCAGGAGGCAGTCCATTTTCATAAATAAGAAGATGGCCCAACCTATGCTTTAAGAATAGTTGGCTCATGTTATGGGATCATACTCATATGCTGATTGTCTTTTCCCAAAGAATGCAATTAAAGTTATTTGCATGACGTAGTGAATGTTTCTTAAATTCAGCAAACAATAATTCTCTTGTGAATATTCTTACTGGAAGATAGGATAAAAAACGTTGAAGAAGGTTTCAATCTGTAAAAGGAATGTTTCTCCTGCAGACATTTTTCCTCCCTAGGAAAACAGGGTCAAAGGCTCTATTATTTGGATCTGCAATGTGACATGAATTTTAAAACCACTTTAGCTTAGTCAATAGAACCGATCCTATTTCTGATTTATTAAACATGTATCCATCCCAAAGTAACAGAATGTAGCAGATCTCATTGTTGGTTAGATCACATTTTCTCTTCCCAAGTCCCGGAAATATTTAACCAGTCAAGTTAAATTCTTCCTTGTAATGTAACAGGCAAAGGGACCAATGAGAAGCTTGCTATGTAGCAATGAACAGTAGGTGGAAGGCAGTGGGACACTGAACATGCTTGACTCCAGACACACACTGAGGCAGCCGTGTTTGATGCTATATCTGTCCTGACACAATGATACCCTGAGACACAACCTGACTCCTCAAAATCTGCACAAGATATAAAAGTGGGGAACCTGAACCATAGTAGAACTTGAACATTGGATCTTCCATAAGATATAGTCATCCAAGTAGGCCCTGACCCATGAGAGACTTCTGTCCTGGGTAAAGAGATGGGCTGGGCAATTGATACAATTCCTTTTTGGTTTATACATCCAAAAATGAGATTTTCTTTTTCTTTTCATGGCACCTCATTTCAAAGATTTTTCAGTTTAATGTAGCCATGCCAAGTAAGGCAAGAGAAACAGGCTGTAAATCATTGGTGAGCCTACAGAACTTATTCCATGCTAAATGGTCAGCTATACTATTCACATGAATACACACATGTGCATATACAAGTCCCTACACCTACATACTCACTCTGTTAACTGGAAATGATCTATGTATATTCAGTTATAGAGCCTGTTGAGATCCTTCTACAAAAATTTATCTTTATAATAGGTTATTTCTTTATTCCAGCATCATATTAAGCTAGCCTTCATAATATTCCACAGTTTGCTTATTTTTATTCATCTTAATGTTATGTTAAGTAAAAATATTTCTAACTCAATTTGTATTTATTTCTTCATAGGTCAATGTTCATTTTCTTTGACACTTTGAAGACATTTTGTAACTATTTAAATTCTACACCATCTTATTTGCCATTAAAAAACTTATGTAACACACTTAAGTTCAGGAAATTATTTAGCCAATTATAAACACTGACTAGTTTGGGAATTGAAGTGTTACTGTTATTACCCATTAATATTTTTTTAATCCTCATTTTTTCTGGAATAAGTGAAATGCAAATATGAGGTAAATGTCTTATATGACCAAGATTGTATTTTAATCTAGACGTCAGGGAAATTTCCAGACATGAAGTCCAGACCATGTGTTACTCTTTTGCCTAAGCTATCTGTCCTATAGATATAAATATTTTATTATCAAATTTAAATTATTAGCTGATGTCATAATTTTTGTTACTGGAGCATCTTGGTTCATTTAATCAGCATGCCTTTCCTTCCTTCCTTCCTTCTACGTTTATTGAGAATCTACTTCCAGGCCTTTTAAGACTTAGGAAATATAACTAAAGTCCCTGCTTTCATAACACTTGTGTCTAGTATCTAGGAAAGAACCACGAAGCCCTATAGAAAATATTTTCCAAAGTAAGGATTTTTTCCTACATTTCCTCTGATTAAGAATATTTATAATTAGCTCATCTTTACCTTTCCTCACTGAGGGGAGGAGTCGTTTTTGTTCCTAAAGTTTCTGAAGTCTAAGAGCATTCATGCTCCTAAAAACATTAATAAACATCAAGAGCAAATTGAGCTTATTAGCCACAAAGTCTGATTTCAAGGCAATTCTCCTGCATAGAATTCACGATCTCTCCACATAACTGGACTAGAATCCTCAAAAGCAAACAGTAACTCAGGCCCAGACTCCAAAGCGAGCAAATAGAGTTTGACAATTGCCAAATTAAAGACTAATTCAACAAAACACAGTCTTTATCAGTGTGGCATAGCTTCTGGCAAGAAGATTGGAAAGCTTAGTCTGATATGTGCTAGGAGGATAAGGATTATATTTTTGGAATAATGACTGTTGAGCAAATTTATCAAATTACAGATCACAAAGTCTTATTTAATCAAATAGTGGTTGGAATTCACATCCAATCCATATTGGATATACAGTAAATACTACCTGCATCCAATATGATAGGGATTTTTGGGTTTCCCTCACTAAAAGTTTTGTGGGTTTTTTTTCCCCCAGCAACTTCTGCTACTTGGTTTATTATGAGCCAGACCATGATAAGCATTGAATATAAAGTTCTGAACCCTAATTTCAATAAATACCATTTCAGTGGCAGAGAGTATAAAAAGCAAGTAAATAGGGTATATAGGCAAAACAATTGCATGCTGTTATTAAAAGCTCTATGAGAAAAAATAAGAGGAGTGAAATATAATAGTTGAAAGGAGATTTATTCTAGGGAGGGTGGTCAGGAAAAGTACCTCTTTGAAGGTGGCATTTAAAATAAAGGAAGAGGCATTAGTCCTTTGAAGGGTGAGGGAAAGAGCATTCCAGACACAAGGAATGCCATGTGCAAAAGCCCTGAAGAGAGTGGAACCAAAGCTTGTTGCATGTGAGGATCTGAAAAAAACAAAACAAAAACAAACCAGTGTGGCTGAGGTCATGAAAGAAAGTACCAGACTGAAGAAAAGGCAGGGGCAGACCGGAAAAGGCACAGGCTCACTTAAAGTGGGGGATTTACGTTTTAAGAAGTCCACTGACTTGCCGTGTGGAGACTCCGGGACCAGGGAAGCCCTTAGTCCAGTTAGAAGACTACTGTATTCACTGTGACAAGCGAGCCTGGTGGACTGAACTAAGGTGGTAATGGGGAGATGGAGAGAAGAGTAGGTTTGAGATTTATTATGAAGATTGGATTAACATAACAGAGCTGGTGATGGGTTAGATGTTTAGACGTGGGGCAGGGAGCAGTGAGGGAAAGCAAGGAATAAAAAACTCTTAGCTGGAGTGGGTAGCATTGCCATTTACTGTTTGATGAAGATTGGCATGAGAATAAAGTTCAGTATTTGACATAATTTTGTGATACTCATAAATCTTCAATATAGATATGTAAATTAGGCAGCTGGATAAGCGAGTCTGGGGCTCAAAGAAAATAAATTCAAGAATCATCAGTTTAAAGATGAGATACCTGACCAGGCGCGGTGGCTCACGCCTGCAATCTCAGCACTTTGGGAGGCCAAGGAGGGAGGATAGCCTGAGCTCAGGAGTTTGCGACCAGCCTGGGCAACACGGTGAAACCCCGTATCTACTAAAATACAAAAAATTATCTGTGCATGGCTGTGTGCGCCTGTAGTCCCAGCTACTCAGGAGGCCAAGGCAGGAGAATTGCTTGAACCTGGGAGGTGGAGGTTGCAGTGAGCCGAGACTGCACCACTGCACTCCAGCCTGGGTGACAGAGACAGACTCTATCTAAAAAAAAAAAAAAGAGAAAAAAGAGAGATACCTAGAATGGGGGTAGATCACCTACATAATATAAAATGAAGATAAGAGACCACAGCAATCCTTAGGTCAGAGCCTGAAGGAACCCCAACATTTTCCTAGGAGTACAAGGAGTAGCACTGAAGAAATCAAGAGAGCAGAGTGTGTCAGACAGGAGGCCGTGGTCAACCGCATCAGATATGGCTGAGAGGTTACGTAAGGTGAGGAAAGAAGTGTTCCCATTGAATCTGACAAAGCAGCAGTCACCAGTGACCACAGAAGTTTCGGTGAGTGGCCTGGGCAGAAGCCAGAATATACTGGGTAAAGGACGGAAGAGAGTGACAACTACGATAGCCAATGTTTTTGAAAAGTTTTGCTATAAAAAGGGAGGAGGAATGAAGTTGTTGGAAGAACAGGAAAGATTCTTTTCAGGTGAGACTAGAGCCTGTCTGTGTGCCGACAGGACTATTCCAGTTAACAGGGAGGTTACTGATGTGGAAGAGGGAGGAGATCATGGTAAGGACTAAGTTCCTGAGAAGGCCAGAGGGGACAAGATTCTGAGAAAAAGTGAGAGTTGGCTTTGATAGGCTGGAGGGTGTCTTTTTCATTTAAACAACAGAAAAGGATACATTGGGGTAAAAGTAGATGATAGGTTTTAGGATCAGGTGGTGGGAAGATGGGGAGTTTGATTCTAAAGGCTTCCTTTTCTAAAGAAAATCTGGTGTGATATCATAGCTAAGAGTAAGAAACTAAAGAGTGTGGGGAAGGCATGACAGGAGGGAAGGTATAAAACGTTCAAAGGAGACATTCTAGGGAACCCATTAAAAAAACACAGTAGCATTCCTACAGCTGCCAATGTGAAGTTTACATCATAAATTTAAAATAAAACTGATCAGCTCAGTGGTGCCATCTTGGCTAATATAAAAATAATTATATGAATGCGAGAGAGAATTGTCCTTAACTTTTGTCACCCCAATGTTCTCCATGGTGGAACTGGATGACCTGATGGGCCACACTGGTGTCATCTTTCTCACAGTTTTTTTATTATATTATTATTATTTGAGACAGAGTCTTGCTCTTTTGCCCAGGCCAGGCTGAAGTGCAGTGGCTCGATTGACTCACCACAACCTCTGCCTCCCTGTAACCTCCACCTCCCGGGTTCAAGCAATTCTGGTGCCTCAGTCACTGAGTAGCTGAGATTACAGGGGTGTGCCACCACGCCCAGATAATTTTTGTATTTTTTAGTAGAGACAGGGATGTGCCATGTTTGGCAGGCTGGTCTTGAAATCCTGGCCTCGAGTGATCTGCCGCCTTGGCCTCCCAAAGTGCTGGAATTACAGGCATGAACCATTCACAATCTTATTCTTAATAAGCTCAAGGAGGAAAACTTTTTCAAAGAGAGAGGAAACCTGTTCTTGTGTCAAGGGTATTGCATAGCTAGCTTCCTCAACCAGAATTTCCAAGTACCTTATCCAGATTCGTTTGTAGACTCCAATAGAGTCAAGCCTAGCAGCAACAGTAACAGAAATGGAAATACAAAATTGTACATGACCTCATTAACAGAATCACTAAGTCCACAGAATGTAAGTTTGAGAGGTCTTTAAACATCATCAATTTCAACACCTTCATTTTACAGAAGAGAAACTTTACAGAAGGTACTGCTCTACTAATTCAGTGTAGATAACAAACATGAAAACCAGCACAGGACCTGGCTTATGGGAAATAGTAAATGCTATTTTCTGTCCCCTGTTCCTTTCCAGTGTCCTTACTATGTGGTGAGAGAACTAGTCAATGGAAATACATTAATGCTGTAGTCTTGTGACTGGCTCTGTGTGATTATGGCTCAGTGGATATTTAGGAATTAGTACCAATAGGAAAGCATGACAAAATGAGTGATTAGTCATGCTGCAGTCTTGACCTAAATAGCAAATTAGGCACAGAGCTGGGATTAAAACTCTGACACCTGTGTTTGCAGTGCTACCGCTGTCTCCCTCAATTGTCCTAGATTGCTGTTTACCAGCCCTGTGGGAATGGGCCTCATCATAAAAGGGAAAGTATTTATGAAAACATCCTTCTAAACAACCAAATAGAAAGGGCAGGAAGAGGGCCTGGATTCTCTCCCCTCTTTTGTGGTAATTTTAACACAGTACAATTTACAGATGCTTGTGTCTAACAGCTGTCCGGCTCAGTCAGTGCACAGTGCTCTGAATGTCTTGGCTTTTAGTTCAACCTCCCTCATTCCAGCTTTTTGGCGAAAAAGGACAAGATGATCTTTCAAAGAGCAGAAAAAGAAAAGCAGATAGTTTTTAAAATGTACTCAATGAAAAGTAATGATTTAGAACAAAAAAAAATGAACAACTATGTGAAAAAATAAGAAGAAAAAGGAAACAGATGTATTGTGGTGAGAGTTTTCTGTGGGTTTTGGCTCAAGTCTCAAATGAGTTTTTCCAAGCTGACTTTCCATATCTAGCCTCCCAAAACATTTTATGACATAAAGTTGTTTGGAAGAGTTTATGATAAAAGGAAAGAAGCCCAAATTAAATGTCAAAATTGTATCAAAGACTGAAATAAAAAGAAGTCACTTGATAATTCAAAGGAGCAAAAAAGAAAAAAGGATATTTTTAGCAAGGTATCCTATTGTTCTGAAATTTAAGAAGTTAGTAAGAGAACAAAGAGCAAAGAAGTGAATATTATTAGTTTCATGCATACTCTCTAAAAAAACGTTTCCAAAACCTTCCATTTCCATCTGCAGTACTTGTAGCAGAAGCTGCAGGGGTTGCTGGGCTCTTAAAGTTCATATACCTTGCCCGTACAGCAAGTACCTGGCCTCAGAGAAGCAACGCGCCCCACCACCAATGCTAAGAAAACTTACGAAAGCAAAAAATGAAGTGAAGGCTTGAGAGCTGAAATGAACAAAGAAATTAAGCAGAGGAAAAAGAAGTGAAGTTCAAATCAGAGTCAAGTTAATGAACAAGATGATGAATATCTGAGACAAAAAGACTACCAATGTGGTAGTATAGCCCTTAAAATCATACCCTAGAGTCAGACTTCCAGGATTACAACCCCCACTCTTATACTTGCTACCTGCATGGCCTCGGGCAAGTTACTCCACTCTTAACTTTTTGTTTCTTCATTTGTGTAATGACCTCATAAAATCATCCTGAGAATTAATTAAGACAGTCTATGTAGTTAATAAAGTGCTTAGAACAAATAGTGCCTGCATGTACATTAAGTGGTCAAAAACTGCAGCTCTTCATTACTATTTATTATTCAACACATTTACTGATGCCTTCTATGGGCCAGACACTGCAGCAGACGCTGAGAATATAGTCATAAGCAGGACATCTTTCTTGAACAGCTCTGCAAGCCTACTCCTTTGTAAGGCTATCTGGGCTAACTGTGATGCAGAATCGACCTGGTTCAATCATCCCTAAATGTTTTCATTTCTATGTGGAATTACTGCTCTCACTGAATTCTTATATGTGTGTTTTAAAAATGACCACACTCCACCTTCACAATTCACCTAGATGATTACATCTGTCGCTAAAACTAGATTCTAAACTTGATGGGAGGAGCCCTGCCATTCCTCTGAGCGTCAGCGCAGGGCCTAACACAGAGATGGCAACCATATAAACATAAATGAATACCCTACTTTATTTTTTCGAGACAGGGTCTCGCTGTATCATCCAGGCTGGAGTACAGTGGCGTGATTGGTCATGGCTCACCACAGCCTCGAACTCCTGTGCTCAAGTGATCCTCCTGCTTCAGCCTCCCAAGCAGTTGGGACTACAGGCACTTGTGCCACCATGCCTAGCTAAATTTTTCTTTGTCTTCTTTTTGTAGAGACAGGGTCTCCCTATGTCGCCTAAGGCTGGTCTTGAACTCCTGACCTCAAGCAATCCTCCCGCTTCCACCTCCCAAAACTGATATTACAGACTTGAGTCACCACACCCAGCCTAAATTGACTTTCCTTAAATATTTTTGGATATTAAAATTTTTAGACTCTGTTCCCTCCTACTCTTCTTGTCCTGACCCCTCCTTGAAATCTCTTCTCTTCCATGTGGCCAACATATATGTCCTTTGGAATCTTCCAATAATCCTGGGAGATGTAATCACTCCACTTTGAAGAGAAGATTGTGGCTCAGCACAGTTAAAATTGCCCATGTGGCAGGCCTGAGATTCTAATCCTGGATTGCCTGGCGCCAAATGTCCTGGTGCCAAATGTCCAACTCCACCACTACAGCACTGTACCTCCCCTTCCAAACAAACATGGAAGACTGGGAAGAGGAAATATCTTTAGGACAGGATATATGAAACTAAATGTCACAGTATGTTACTTCAAGGAAAATTGATTAAAAAAATAATAATGCCAGCCTTTACACATAAAGTAATGTGAATTCTCTATTATATTTTGAGGATTTCTTTCCCTATTTGCAGTTATGTGGAATATATTTTGAAGAGTGTTCCCTCTTTTCAGGGATGGGGACAGTTATCTAGGAGCCTATTGTGAATAAAGGACATATGCTGAAGAATTAAACAGGCATCAAAAAATGCCTGTTTGATTGCATTAAAAATGCAATCCACCAATCAATTAATGTAAAATGAAAAATATAATACAGATCAAACCCTGTATGTTGAATCTTCTCCACATAAAATTTTAATTAAACCATTAAAATATGTATGTGTAGGAGGAATTGTATTTTTAAATGTTATGATTCATTTTTTAGAAGTCTAAGGTAGAATTCCCTTTGAACATGCTGTGCACATTAATGGCAAGAAGCAAAAGCAGCGTCAAGGTTGAGAGTTTCTTAAAGAAAGTTCAATTTGCTGACACTCAGAGAAATGGGCACTGCCATTCTCTGCTGTGGCTGCTGTTGTTTCTCAGAAACGTATGCTGTATGTATTTAAGTCAAATCTGCCTCTACCTCTTATGAAATAAGATCTCTGTACACCAAAGAGCCCTCTGGAAACCTACTAATTCCATCTTATCTGGGCTGCCTGGCTGGTGGAGAAAGTCCCCCAAAGGCCAGGACTCACCACTAAGCTGTCTTCTGGGTATATTTTAAAAACTATTTTAGGGAGCTCACTTTACTTTGTTGCATGGTGAGGCAAACCTTTGGAAAAGTAATTTGGCGATTGTGTATGTGTCGATAACTTAAAAATTATTCATGTGCTTTCATTCAGTAATCTTCCCCCCAAGACTCAATGCTGAAGCAAACTGCATGAAATTGCCATTTTGGATGTCTCTCTAGGCACCTTGAATAGAACCTGTCCAAACTCTCGATTCTTTCCCCAATCAACTTCTCTTGCAATCATCTTCATCTCAGAAAATGACTATTCCTCCATTCTGCCAGTTACTTAGGCTCCAAACTGTAGTGTCTTTCTTGGCTCCTCTTCTTCTTCCATACTACATGTCAAATGCATCAGAGAATACTGTTTATCCCACCTTCAAAACATATTGAGGATCGAATCACTTCTCACCATGCTCATTGCCACCTTCCTGACACAGGTCATTATCCTCTGTTTCCTGAATTACTGTTGAGTTCCTAATTGCTCTACTTGCTCCCATACTTGCTTGGATACAGTCAGACTAAATCTTTTAAAACACAACAGACCACATATACTTCCTCACTCAAAAATCTCCAAAGTTTTCTCCTCTCACTCAGAATAAAATGCAAAATGTTCACACCTTTGACTGCAAGGCCACATATGATTTGCTCCCCATCTTTCTGATCTTATTTTCTTCACTCAGTTTCTACTTTCATCTCCATCCTTAATGGTCTTAATGGTTTCTTTGCTGTTTTTCTGCATATCAAATACAATCTTGCCTCAGATTGTACTTGTACTCATACACTTGTACTCATGTACTTGCCTCAGATTGTACTTATACTCAGATTGTACTTGTACTTTTCCTGGTAAAACCAGTCCCCCAAATAGCCACATAGAATCCTTATTTCTTTCAATATTCTGTTCAAAAGTCACCTCACAAAGCAGCTGACCCTGACAGAAAATACCTTATGTGACATAGGTTACCCTTCCATACTCTGTTGCCTTTTTCTTCATAGCAGATGTCATTATCTGACATAATCTAAAGCTTTTTAGAAATTTCTGTTTTTTTCCAACTCCAGAATATAAACTCCATGAGAGCAAGAATCTTATCTGTTTTGTTTCAGTTGGATGCCCAGTGCCTGTAACACCAATGCGTTAACAGGTGCTCGATAATTATTGTTGGATGAAGAAATGAAATACAGAGATGTTTTTATCTACAACAGTATTATATATTTGGGGGGTGGTATAGCAAGCGCTCATTGCTCTCCCCAAATACCACTTGTCAGTTGTTCAAGAAGTGCCACTGGAAAAAAGAGTAGCAGGGTTGCCAGAAAATCATTAGCACAAAGCTGGAAACATATTAATGTCCCCTCAAAAACTGAACTTTTGACTTATTAAAAATATCATGAATTGGGCTCAAATTCTCTGAAAGTGTAGCTAGTGGAAACCAATATGTCATAGATAATCATTTTTTTTTCTGAACCATTTAAGAGTAAGTTGCAGAAAGAATGTCTCATCACTGCTAAATTCTTCAATGTACATAGCCCCCCAACCACAGACATTCTTCTACAAAACTACAATATAAATATCCAAGTCAGGAATTCACCATTGATAAAATATACCATCCAATCTACCAATTTCACTGAATTTTTGCCAAGTGTTTATTTTTCCTTTCTGGTCTAGGAGCCAATCTGGGATATTTATTGTACGTAATTGTCACATCTCTTAAATCTCTTCAATTTGGATCAGTTCTTCTGTTTTTCTCTGTCTCTCATAAGTTTAAGAGTTTTAAAGAATATAAACTTTTCATTTTGAAGGTTGCCTCTCATCCTGGGTTTATCCATTGTTTCCTTATGTCTAGACCATGCCGTGTATTGTTCTTTTCAGGAACATGACAGAAATGACACTGTAATTCCAGTGCATTTCATAAGGAGGTACATGATAGGACTCATTCTACAAATGGTGATGTTCACCATGATCACCTGCTCAACTTGGTGTCTTCCAGGTTCCTCTTCAATAAATTCACCATTTATTGAATTAATAAGTATTTTTCAGAAGATACTTCAAGACTAGGCTAATATCCTGCTTCACATCAAACACCTACTCATCAGCCTTAGTATCCATTGATGACTCCTGCCTAAATCAAACAACACTCTTGTCAAATGGTGACTTTCTATATCCATTAATCCTTATCAGTAGGTATTTCTACCATAAGGAAGAGCTGTTCCTCCCTATTTATTTACTCCATCATTTTTCTGTATTAACATTAGCACGGATTCATGCCTTATTAGATAGGTTGTAATCAGTTACTAGGATCATTTATTTTATGTTCAGACTGTCCCAGATTTGGCCAGTGGGAGCCCTTTCCAGCTGGCTCTTCTGTCTTTTTGACATACTCCCATCATGCTTGGAGCATTTCCTTTCAAGAGGTTATGGGCTCACTCTGTACTTTCCCAGTGTCAGCCCTATAATCAGCCAGCTTGCTTTTCGTGGAGGATGCTATTTAGAAACGAAGATCTTCTGGCCACTGGATGTGCCTTTTGCTTTTGGCCTCTGAATGGAGAGAGCTATGGTATATATGTGTGCACACACATAAATATATATACATATAGTTTTTGAAAAATTATTTCATACTCATTGTTAATCCACCCTAAAGCCTCAAGGTTATTTACAGCTCTCTTTCTTTCCATATTTGTAAATTCCTTCTCCAACAGTAAGAAACCTCGCTCCTATTTTACTCAGTGTTTTACTTATTAGCCCAATGGCCCTGTAATTAAGCAATCTTCCAGCCATGCTATTTCCTTGACCCTGTCATCTCTTTAGCACCTAACTTTTCCAAAGGAAAGAAGGGGTAAGGGATAGTCACACATTCTTAATAACATAGCTTCTCCAAGTCTTCCAGCTGGAGAAAAAAAATGCTAAGCGATAAAGAAGACTGGGGAAACACTGTGGGTTGCTAAAGGCAACTGCTCAGAACCTAGCCGGGGGTTTCTAGCAGTGGACTCCTCCCTCAGATCTCTGGTGGTTCAGGAACCAGCAGCCAGGTGTCTCCACTTTTGCCTCCTTGGCAGTAAGCGCTATAAAAAGCACTGTCCCAATTGCCTAGAAGCCTATTTTCTAAAATGAATAAGCTAGGAACACATACAAATTCAGCACATCAAATGCCATAGAGACAAATTCTTCTAAGTAGTTCTTCTTGTGCCTGCTTCTAATTTGGGTACAGCTGAGGCTCTTTGCCCTCCCTTAACAGCCATCAGCTGTTTGTACTGCTGCCGGAAAAAGAGAAGTTGTACTGGTGGACGTTCATTAACGAAGAGCTGTAAACATGCTAAAGTCCTGGGGAAAAGGCAGCCTTTCATTTTTTAAATTTAAATCATGAATGGGTCCTGGGTTCTCTGAAAGAGCATCAGGTGGGAAACACAATGTAAATGATAGAGAACCATCAAACAAATATTTTTAGAGACTATATGGCAGGCATCTCAAGCCAAGGGAAAGGATATCCACCACCAAAACGTCTAATTGGTAAGGCACTCTGCTGTACTACAGTTTTAAGAACACTACACTAGGGGGACTGTACTGTCTGCTGACTACTGTAATCTCTATGCACAGTTGGAGAGCGCACTATAAACAATAACCCAAACAAACCTCCCTTGCCTGTTGGTGCTGCGAGTCCCCTGTTCCCAGCCATGACAATCAGAATAAACACAGTCCAGAAATGTCTCACCCGGTTTCTCTTCTTACAGAGTGACAAAACACCTATTCTATAAGAAAACGAATGTTAGATGTTTGCTTCCAGGTGGGCAGTAGGAAGCCCATTGTTATACCCATCTTAACAGAATGGTTGTTAGACCAGCAGCATCAGCACCACCTGGGAACTTGTTAGAAATGCATATTTTTGGGGCCCTACCACAGATCTACTGAACCAGAAACTTTGTGGCAGGACCCATCGGTCTGAGTTTTAAAACTAAAGATTTGATAGCCACTGCCCTAGGTATTCCAGAGGTAGCTTTGGAAGGACCTCAATACCAAACCACCTTACACTTTGGCCTTAGGACAGGTAATCAGGGAGCTCACGGCAGTACTTCCAGCAAACGGGAGGGTCGTTTACGAGAGGCACATACATTTGCTAAATGTAACGCTCAGGAAGTTATTCCCGTACTCAAAGGTCGAGGGGTCGCTTCCTCTTTACCTCCACCTAGATTAAGTCGCCGATTGAGGTTGAATTTGAGACCCGACAGGGGTCGCTGCTGCCCATAAAGAGAGACCAAGGGAACATGGCAAGAGAATCCCAGGGGCTTTGACATCACACTAAGCTCCTCCTTGCACGCACACATTATACACACACACACACACACACACAAACATACAGACACACACACACGGACCGCTTACTCCGCTCTGCCTGCTCGCTCCCACTGTCCCCAAGCCCGCCCCGCCCGCGGCAAGTGCGTGCCCAGGCGCAGCCACCGGCGAGATCAGGAGCGCAGCGCCCGCAGCCTGAGGGAACCGGCGCAGGGCAGCAGCGGCTGCAGCTGGATTCGCGCGCCCCAGCGCTCAGTGGCGGCGGCCGGGACACCCTGGGCAGCACCCCGCACCGCAGCACCCCAGACTACGAGCAATCGTGCCCGTCCCCGCCGGGGCTGGAGGGCGCAGGGCCGCCACCCTGCAAGTTCGTGGGCCCCCGGCCACCCTTATGAGAGAAGGCGAAGCCGGGCGAAGGAGCAGGACGCTCGGCAGCAGGACTCCTCCGCAAGCCCCGCGGGCCCTCTGTTCCCGCGCCCCCCGGGCGCCCAAGAAGCAAAATGCAACCACCGCGCTACAGCTGAGAGGGGAAGGGGCCAGCGCCATCCGCTCGCCCGGAATCCGGTCCCCGCGGCGGCTGCGCGTCCCGGCCGCGGCCCCTCCGGCCCGGGAGTGAGCAGCAGCAGGAGGAGAGGCAGCGGCCCGGGGTTGGCCGGGGCTGGGGAGGAGGGACGGGACGGAGGGAGGGCGCGGGGGCGGGGAGGGGGCCCCGGCGGATAAAGATGGCAATGTCTCTCATCCAAGCGTGCTGCAGTCTGGCTCTCTCAACATGGCTGCTTTCCTTTTGTTTCGTGCATCTGCTCTGCCTGGACTTTACCGTGGCCGAGAAGGAGGAATGGTACACCGCCTTCGTGAACATCACCTACGCCGAGCCCGCGCCGGACCCCGGGGCCGGGGCGGCGGGCGGCGGCGGCGCGGAGCTGCACACGGAGAAGACGGAGTGCGGGCGCTACGGAGAGCACTCGCCCAAGCAGGACGCCCGCGGGGAGGTGGTCATGGCCAGCTCGGCCCACGACCGCCTGGCCTGCGACCCCAACACCAAGTTCGCCGCCCCGACCCGCGGCAAGAACTGGATAGCCCTCATCCCCAAGGGCAACTGCACGTACAGGGATAAGATCCGGAACGCGTTCCTGCAGAACGCCTCAGCCGTGGTCATCTTCAACGTGGGCTCCAACACCAACGAGACCATCACCATGCCCCACGCGGGTGAGTGGCCCAGCGGGCGCGGGGGAGGGGAGCCGGCGGGGACGGAGGTGCCTAGAGGGATCCAGCGCCTGCCTCCAGGCTCCTTCTGGGAAGTCCGTGCGGCGCGGAAGACGTGTCTGGGTTCCCTGGACCGATTAAGTTTTGCTCCGCGTCACTTGGGGGGTTTACAAAGAGGAGAAGATTAACTGTATTGGGTAGGGGAGAGGCTGCCGGAGAGCTTGGCATAGCGCCGCTTGGACAGGGGTTCAACGTGGCGGGCTAACTTTTCCGAGGGGGACCTGGAAGGTGGGGTTTGGAGGGTAGGGCTCAGATACTGTTCTTGGTTAGTGACCGGCCCAGCACCTGTTTGGAACCAGTAGATCTGATACCACAGCACTGCCCTTGGGTCTGTGCATCAGGTATACCCTGATGCAGGCGCTATATCAGGAGAGGGGTAGGGTTACCTGCTGGCAGCTCACCACCGCGAACTTGCACTTGGGAGAGTTTCCCCTTTTGGGTTTACGCACTTCATTAATCATATTAAAAGTACTATGCTCTGCCAGGCTGTCATCCAGAGAAACTGACAGGTGGCCACGATGGTAAATAATAACAATCCTCAACAAGCCAAGAAGAGTGTGATGGCCCTAAAGTTATAACTACTTTTCTAATTATTGCATTATCCTTTGCCTGATTGGGAGGTTAAATATGCTGAAGGTTTTCTTTCTGGCTAGAATGAAGGGATTTCAGACTAGAGAGAATAAGCTTTTGTTAATGATCGCAGGTACCAGGACTAGAAATGCATTACTGTCCCAAAACTCAATACCGCATATGCCTGACATAAGCAATGTTTCCCTGGTGGTAGGAACACCCTCCCCCCAAAAAAGCCATCCCCAGGCTTGTTAACATAAGTCCATAAGCCACTAGTTTTAGCAAGCTAGCCTCCTTATGTCAGAGCTTGCTGCTTGTATTTGTGTGCCTGAGAAGTGGGCCCTCCTTCCCCAAAGGGGTTTCTGGGCCGAGACTGTGGCATCCAGTGCCCGGAAGGAGGGGAGAAAATGACAGATGCATTTTCTGAGTGGAGTCTCCTAATCAAAAGCATTATTTTCTTTAAAAACCAAATTTGAATAAATAGTTACGCTGCTGAAATGGAACACCAAGCTCTGGCTACATTTGTAGGGGTGTTCTCTTTGGGGACAAGTTTCCATTCCGAGAGCTCATGTCACCTATTAGTGAAATATTCAATTGGTTTGCCTCCAGTAATCAACACCAGCTGTTTTAGTCAGGGAAATTTGTCAACCTTAACACAAACAGGTGGGGAGGGGAAATGTTCCAGACTTCTAAAACACAGGCCAGAAAAATGTAGTGTGTTAATTAATGAAGAGGAGGAGAGGCAATTACTTAGAAAAGTTACAATACAGCACTTTCAGAATATTCGATATATTTTCTTGAGCTCGACAGTTTTCTAAGGGAAAAGATTGTGCTCTCACCTTGAGTCTTAAGAGCACTACTGAAACTTTGATATTCAAGGATGTTAAGGACTATGGAAAGCACTGTAAGTCATGTAAAGCATCTTTAGATAAACATGTTACTTAATATTTAAAACCTCAGTGGAGGAGGGGTGAAGGAAGCTTTTTTGTTTTTGTTGTTCTTTAAACTCCAAGAAGATTGTTAGCTGACTTTGTGAGATTCTTTGTTTCTCTGTGCATATGCATGAAATCTTGAACTCAACTTCTTTGAACATAAAGTAAGAGGCATCATTTGTTCCTGTCTAAAAAGGTTCTCTAGAACTGCCAACACATTGGATCAATTAATGGCTTGCTTATTTTTAAAGAAAACACTAAGCAGATTTCCCACACAAATGATGCTTGATTAAGATAGTGGGAGTGGAAGTTTAGTAATACTGTAGTTTGAACGTTAAAGGAAAAAAAAAATTGGAAATTGTCTATTATCTAATTGTTCTGTTTCCAAAAATGTATTCATGCTGTATCTGCCAATGGCCAGGAAACTCCATATTATCTTCTGACATTTTGCCACATTAGGAGACTCTGTTCACTTCAGTCAGAGGCTAGCATTGATTTCTGCTAGAGTGTCATTATGAGCAGATACATGACAGGGTAGCATGGTAAACCCTTGACTATACTCTGAAATTCTTCTGCCTAAATCTCAAACACTGCCAGCTCTTGTCTGGCTGTCAGTGTCTTCCATGTAGTCCAGATCTTGAAAGCTTTACTTTTCCTAGTTAAATTTGAGGTCAGATTTCTGAATTCAGTTTGAGAAACTGCACATTTTAGATGCTAATCAAATATTTTTATTTTGTGAACTTGGGATACCATACCAGAAAATCTGCATATTTGTGAACTTTTAAATTCAGTTTTTAAAAAGTTTTAAAAACTGCAAAAGCTGATGATATATCTATCACCTTTCCTTAGATGCTTTATTTTTGGAACTGATAGATTTCAGGTGAGAAGGTCTGTATTTAGTGTTATGCAACCTGTCGTTTAACATCTATGCATTTGTGTATCTTGAAATTCAATTAAATAGAAATTGTTTTGTCCTTTTCATATACGTTTTCTGTTTTTTTCTTTTCCTGCTTAAATAATTTTGATTTTCTGCCACTTATGTAACTATAACTTCTCATTCAAAAAGACACCACTTCTCCTGGGATAGACCAGTAGTTTTGCTTTATAACAAGTCACTTTCCTCCCCAGTATAACAGCTTTACTGAAATATAAACATACTCTGCAGTTCACTCATTTAAAGTATGCATTTCAATGGCTTTTAGTGTATTGACTGAGTTGTGCAGCCATCATCACTATCTAGTTCTAATAAGAAACTCTTGTACTTCCCCAATATTCCCCAACTCCTAGTCACTCCCCATTATTCCCCAACTCCCAGCCCTAGGCTAATCTACATTCTGTCTTCATGTATTTAAATGCCTCTTTTGTACCTTTCATATAAATGGAATCATATAATATGTGGACTTCTGTGATTGGCCTCTTTGATTTAGCATAATCTTTCTAAGGTTCATCAAGGTTGTAGCATGCGTCAGTACTTAAACCCTTTTTATTGCCAAATAATATTTCGTTGTATGGATATATCACATTTTGTGTATTTATTCATCAACTGATGGAAAATTACGTTGTTTCTACCTTTTAATTGTTATGAAAAATAGTGCTATGAACATTCATGTACAAGTTTTTGTATGGACATTTCTCTTGATTATATACCTAGGAGTGGAACTTCTGAGTCATATGGCAACTCTATGATTTAATCTTTTGAGGACCTTCTAGACTGTTTTCCAAAACAACTGCATCATTTTGCATTCTCACCAGCAGTGTTTGAGGGTTCCAATTTCTCCACAGCCTCATCAACATTTGTTACTATCTTTTTTATTTTGCCCATTCAAGTGGATGTGAAGTGGCATCTTCATTTTGTTTTAAATTTTCATTTCCCTGATGACTAACTGTTACTTTTTAACATAGTCTTGTTTTTTTCTGCTATTCATTTTATTCCCTTTCACCTTACACCCACCATTATTTATTCTTTTCCAGACTTTCAACTCATACACTTTTATGCTAGGGAAGAGAGAGTGATTAATAGAGAGAATCTGCTTCTCTCACTTTTTTTTTAAGTCTATGGACCAGAGATTTATATGTCCCCTATTAAGGGACATAAGGCTGTATCTTTAGTGCAAGAGCACCAAGAAGGCCATAGCAAAAAGCTATAGAGAAATGCATCTTCCAAGTAGTAAAAGCCCCAGAAGTGAACTTTCAGTTATAGGCAAAGGCAGTGAGACTCAAATTACCTCCTCAAAGCTGGTCTGATGCCTGCCTGTGAAGCTTCTTTCGGTGTACCCTAAGGAAAATGATGATATCAGAAATTTCTAGAGGCAGTTTAGGGCACTAATTAAATAGGAGTGTAGCCTCTAGAGCCAACCACTTGGATTTGTGTCCTGGTGGCACTACTTTCTCACTGTGTATCTTTGTGCAAGTTAACCTCCCAGGTCTTGGGTTTCCTCCTTTGTGAAGTGGAGGATAACACCATACCTCGATTGCTTGTTATGTGAATTAGATGGATTAATGCATGTACAGTGTTTAAATCTGTAGCTGGCACAAAGCAGTCAAAAAATGTTAGCCCTTCTAAGCATTGGACCCAGTGACACACAACGACATGCAGGAGCTACACACTGGATCATCATACCTCTGAGGCTCACTGAGTTCCTGGCAGCCTTGGGAAAGAACTCCTTATTTACCCTTTCATACTGAAGAGGCCAGAGCAGTGGTGCCAATTTGTTTGTGGCTCAGCTAATTGAAACAGGGTGTTCCAGTTCCCTTTGATTGATGAACATTTAAGATTCTCCTATTGAGTTTGTACTTTCTTTTGGCTTAAATTGAAATCTCATCGTAGCAAGGGCATGTATGATAAACGTGGTAGTCTGTGTATGCAGGCTGTTTGTGACTGAGTTGTGATGTTGAGGAAATGGTATGTTTTATTTTTTTCTTTTTTAAAGAGTGTGTTTGATATCTTTCTGTTTGTCTATTGCTAGTACATAATCAACAGGAAATGAAACATCTAGCTGTCTAGGAAGAACTTTTGTGAGGCTAGGTCCCTAAGGGCAACTTGGAGATGGAGGAAGGGAAGAAATGGTTGCAGTAACTCTGGAGAACATGCTAGGCCCTTGGAAAGGAGGAGCCTAGGATGGAGTATATCTGTGTATTCTAGACTTCTCCAAGGTTGGAGGCAAAATGTAGTAGATCTACTGAGGCTCTTCCTCCATAGGTGGGTGCTCAGAGTTCAATGTATGGATTCATGCTACCTTTATGGCCGTTACTTTGATTGCTGAAGTCTACCTATGCCTTAAACTCTGTAAAGGACCTAGCTGCTTTAATTTAATAAAGTTTTCTTTTTTCTTCAGGACTCATTTTTCTAGAATATTTATGTGTACTTTTGCTGTACATTTTCCTTTAAGTGATAAGATTAGCTCTCTCTTTTATTTTTTTAGCATGCTGGGTAATAATAACATTGACCAAATAGTGCTTACTCTGTGCCAGGCATGTTCTAAGCACTTTATATGTATATAAATTTAATTCTTACAACAACACTGTGAAATAGGTACCCTTACTGTCTCCGTTTGATAGACGAGGAAACTGAGGCAAACTGTCTAACTTGGTCACACAGACAGTAAGTGGTAGATCTCGGCTTGCAACCCAGGTGGTCTGTCTGCTGGTCTGTGCTTAGAGCTACAGCTCTGTATACCCTTTCAGCTTGAAAGGGTATTCTGAAGGCTAGATGTGAGCAGTGATTACTTAATCATAGATATAGGAAGCGATCTAAGGCTGATTTCCTGTTTCAGAGTATGTTAACAGATGCATCGTTGACTTGCATGAATGCATCTCTATTACGTAATGGGAGAATGGGACCTTATGTTTGGGCCTTTTCTCTTCCAGACCTCCCTCTGATTCACCATTTGACTTTGAGTCAGTCACTTTTTCTCTTCTCACCCTCAGTTTTCTTATTTATAAAGTACAAGGTTTGGTTTAGTTGATCTCTAAGAGGTATTTCAGCTCTAAAATTTATTCTTTATGTATTTAAAACTTAGAATACTTCTAGTAAAATTCCCAATTTCTGGCTTCTTGATCAGAAAACCCAGTAACTGGGGCCTGCATTTCCCAGTGGAAAGAGTACCTGGAGGTGAGCAGTGGCTGACTGTTCCCATGTGCCCTCCAGTTGGTCCAAGTCTCCATCACTTTTTACCATCTGGCTCTTGGCCTGCCGTGTTCATTTATAATTCCTACCTCAACCCCAAGGTCACAGTGCATGGGACTCCATCTTTATGTAGCCAAACTTGGGGTAGTGAGGAGATGTTACGGAAACAGACTTGGTTCAGCACAGGAAAAACAAATTCATAAGAATAGAAGTGTTTAGAAATGGAAGAGGTTTTCTTGAAAGGGTAAGCTTTCTCTGGCATTCAGGTTGAAACTGAGTGGGAACATTGTGGAATTGCTGATCCCAGGATTTAAGGATGGACTTCCAGTGGGTGACAGCTTTAAGGGCCTTCCCAAGCATTGAGAGTATGTGATTCTCTATCACTTAGATATTTAAGAAACATGTTTTTTAAGAGCCTCAGTTCCCACTTCATTTTTCTCACAAGATACATGCAGTCTGGCTATCATTTATGCTTGGTCTTGATCTTCCATGCCAAAATAATCTCACCTTCTCACTTAGTATGCATGTGTGTGTGTGTGTGTGTATGTATTTATTTTGCACTAAACTGTAACTCTTCACCTGTCTACTAGCAGAAATTCCAATAGCCAGGAATTCTAGACTCTGTTATTAAAAGCCATAATTCATCAAAGTGTTAAATAACATTCTTGGCAGTGTAGCTTAAGATGACCCGGGCAAGAAACTGTATGACTTGTTTATACATTTTAGGTCATAGAAGTACATATCTAGAGGATTGGGAAGGAAACTTACCTTCTGTCTTCTAATCTTTAATAAGAATTCAATCATCATCTCTCCTAGTGGCTGTGTCTTAAAAATCTCCTGGCTTCTCAAAAAGGAAGTAATTTTATAACCATGAAATCTGGAAAGGTCCAGAAAGAACCTGGAGCTTCTTATTTATAGCTCATTCTTCCAGTTTTCAGAAAACAGTGATTGTGCCTCTGATATGAAGTTAATTTGTTTAGAAAACCAGTCTCAACTTTTGAAAAGTTAACCGTTATTGTTGCTTAACCATTATTGTTGCATTTCTGGACATTAAGCATAGCATATAAAGAATTTAATATTTTGATAGCCCTGAAAGTCTTCAGTTTATCCCTAGAAGAAATATTTCATCTTTTATATACTGTAAGGAGCATTTTACTTGTTGCTGAGAGATTGAAGTGATGTTAGTGTTGTGTATTTGATAATGTAATTTGTCAGATGCTAAATTTAAATTGAAATTCAAATCCTATGCAGATTATCTTAGTTCTTGAGGGTTTTGGTGGTAATATAAAACCCAGAGAAACAAGGCAGCGTTGTGCTGTGTAATTCTTCTACTAAGTTGCAATTTACAATCGTTCTATTAAATAGAAACCTTGTCTACAGGTATAATATGACCTTTACTCTTGTTTTAAACTTTGAGGTATTCATTGCTAGGCTGTTTAATGTATGGTAGGATAAATGTGCTTTGTATATTGAAGCCAAAATATTAATGACCATGGTTAGATCTAGGTCTCAGTTTTCTATAATAAAAGAGGAAAATTAAATTTATTTTACCATTTCACATTTGTGGTTATAAATTGCTTTCTATAAGTAGTCTTCACTTTTTTACTTCGCCCATTCCATAATATATAGTGGTATTTAGAAAAAGATTTTCACTAAAAGTAAGTGTCGTTTGTCAGAGAATTTAAGCTTATGCATTGGCATGTTAGGCATTTTCATATTCAATTTGTGAACATATATTTCATAATAGAGATTTTAAAAATATTTTAGAAATAATTCTGTATTAAATGTTTGGTTTGTTCATGTGTTTTCTAGGCAGACAGATATGAGTACATATATTAGGTAAGAAGGATTATCAGGAAATGTTTTGTTTCTTAACCATTTCTGTCTGGAATCTCTGTTATAAATGGCTTTTTATGGGCAGATTCCACTTACACACTATTGAAAATGCAAAGATTGGAGGTTTTTTGGAGGGATTGTCAGGAGGCATACAAATGCTTGTTTCCCCCTTTTTCTCTTTTCTGTTCCCCACTATCTACAGCAAATATTCATCTGGACCATTCTGTAGCCATGCACTGATGAAACCCACATCAGAAATGTAACTCCAAATGACCCAAAGAATAGTGGATGAGGAAAGATGTTTTCCGCTTCATTTATCAGGAAGATGCATGGAATGTTCTTCCTCCCAGAAATCCACAGAGCTGGCTGCCTCTTCAGTTCTCTTTACTAATGTGATCTTATCAGGAAGGCACTCCCAAGCTACTCTTCCCTGAACTAGTGGCAGCCTCCTCCTGCTGGTCCCCAGCACACCCCTGCTGCATGTTACCCACCATTAACATGTTTATTGTCTTCTCCCACCACAATGTAAGGGCCAGGTGAGGTGTCAGAGCCCTGGCATCAGAAAGTAGTAGACTTGTGGGGAGTAAGAATAATTTACTGACAACAGTATAGGTTTGAAAGAAAAGTTTTATTAGATAGAAAGTACTCTGCATAAGCAGCAGAAGAGTGCAGTGGGGCGCCTCAGCAAGAGAGGGCTGAGCACACCACAGTGGATTTTTCCTTCGGGGTATTCATGGACCTTAAAGCAGGAGCTGAAGGGTAATTTGGTCCATATTAGCCATGTAGGTCCTGACAAATATTGCAGCACTATTCACAATAGCAAAGACTTGGAACCAACCCAAATATCCATCAATGATAGACTGGATTAAGAAAATGTGGCACATACACACCATGGAATACTATGCAGCCATAAAAAAGGATGAGTTCTTGTCCTTTGTAGGGACATGGATGAAGCTGGAAACCATCATTCTGAGAAAACTATCTCAAGGACAGAAAACCAAACACCACATGTTCTCACTCATAGGTGGGAATTGAACAATGAGAACACTTGGACATAGGGTGGGGAACACCACACACCAGGGCCTGTTGTGGGGTTGGGCGGTGGGGGAGGGATAGCATTAGGAGATATACCTAATGTAAATGATGAGTTAATGGGTGCAACACACCAACATGGCACATGTATACATATGTAACAAACCTGTACGTTGTGCACATGTACCCTAGAACTTAAAGTATAATAAAAAAAATAAAATGATTACATTTGTAGACATTTGGTGCCTTGATGTCAGCAAGGGTTGCACAATGAGGTTCTATATGCATGCATTCCGGAGATGTATAGAAATTCTAGTTACTTATAAATTTTTTGGAAGGAAACCTGGAACCAGATGCTGGCTTTACATAATAGAGAACTCTAATTACTTCTGAATTCCTTAGATAAGGAGTTTTGTCTCTGGATGGACTGCTTGATGGTTACCAGGTGATCTTTGCTCTTCTCAGTAAGCTCCACAAGAGTGGGGCATTTAGACAATATTTTTGGTCCACAGTTAAGTTCCCCAAGCCTAGAGCAGTCCCTGGCACGCAGAAAGTGCTCAGTACCTATTGCTAAATAACCTGGAACCTGGGAAGATGGACTATGTTCATATGTTCATCTCTAATTTCATAAAAATATTCTATGCCATTAAATATTTTTTCTTAGCATTTGACTCATAAAGTGGGGGAAGTTCTAATTTGATTCTCCCATTACAAATGTTTATTCATCTTGTAGCATGTGGCATGAAGTGGGTGCCTGGTTTCTGTTCTTGGTCTAAGGGGAAAAAGGCATACTAGTAATGAGCAGAAGGACATAGAGTGTCAAAAAGGTTTGTAACCAAATACAATTCTGTGCATGTGTTTACTGTCCTGCAGCTTTAAATATGTATTAATAAAACGTTTTTCTTATTTTAAATGAAATACATATGCTATATAGAAACATTTGAAAATATAGAACATTTAAAAAGAGATAGTAAGAACCATCCACACTCTAATATTTTTTCATTACATTTACTTTTATCAAATGGGTAATATATTGCCGGTGTGTTTTTATAGCTTTTAAAAATTTAATCATACATTTTGAAATTTCCTTGGTTCTTCCAAGATATTTGTGTGATGTTTCCACTTTTCTCTTACATAAACAGTGCTGCAGTAAACATTCACATATAGCTAAACATGAGTGCATATCCATGAATACTTCCTTAGGTCAAGTTCCAGAGTATGGGATTAGTCAAAGGCTATTCATGTGTAGCTGTAGAGCAGTTATCGTTTCTTTTATAATAGCCCGTATGATGAAGTCTTCAGATGTTTGCTCACTCAGGAGCATGGTGCTCCTTTGAAGGAGAAAAGACATCTGTTGGATATTGGCGGTGCTGCTGCTGTGGGGTCCTGTCACAGCTTTTTAGCATTACTTTGCTCCAAGCTACACTATTTTGGCAGCTGAGGCAAGACACCACCGAAGGTGGCGAATCAGGAGAAATGAAGTGTCAGAGATAGAATCATCATGATTACTGATGGTGAAACTCCACCTCCTCCCTTACACTCCTCTGTGTCTGGGGGATGCTGAATGCAAATTGAACCAGCAGTTAGGAAACTCGGGTTTCAGTTGTGGCTCTCTCTCAAATTGGCTTTTCGGTTGGCAAGTCACTTCCCTCCTCTGGGGCTCATTTTCTTTCATTTGAAAATGGTGAGCAGGAGGCGCCTGGAGGGGAACTTGGTTGAGATCAGTGATCTCCACCCTGACTGCATATTGGGATCACCTGGGGGAGTTTAAAAGTTAGGGCTGCCCAGATCCCACCTACAGAGATTCTGATGTAAATGGTCTGTTGCAGGGAGGGGACTCCCCATATGTTTCTAGAGTGCACTCAGGTCTGACAGCCACTATGCGGGATGAATCTGAAATCTCCCTCAAGTTCTTATACCACGTGGTTCTTTATTAATTATTTAAGGAAATGATGTTTTTCCTTTGAAGGCATCAAAATCCTACGTGAATAAAATTTTAATTTTTTTTAAATTTCCCGAGAACTATAAGGATCGAAATTATGAGGGCAGGGACAGTGTTGCTTAAATCATGAATTAGTGATTCACTGATAATAATGGTTTTGGTGACCAGCAAGAAGGCAAACACATGGCAAATGCAGCAAGTGCAGGAAAGCACACAAACTTCTGTAAAACAGTCAAGAATAATACGATAATGAGTCAGAAGTGATTAGACCTTGTAATTTGATTGGGTGAAATTTCATCTATATGCTAAATGTTGATTATTATACGAGCAGTCCTCCAAGCTTAAGAGGTAGAGACACCGTGCTGTTTTTACCAAGTAGGAAGTACCCTCTTCTGCTCATTGTGGTTATTACTACCCAGTTTGGGAGGCAGAATAGGGTAATGGTGAAAAAGAAGATTCTGGTGCATGGTTGACCTGGTTCTGAGCCCTGATACAGTCACTTGTCTGGGGAGAGAGAAAGCAGCATATGGTTGAGATAGCAGTCTGAAGTCATTCTCTTGGTGAGGATGAGCTTCCACTGTTCTAGGAAGAACTGCAAGTCCTGCTGGGCAGAGAGGGTCTGGGAGCTCAGGAAGCAAGTGTTTAGGCTTTGGAGTCCTCATCTGTAAAGTGAGCCTCCTATGCTGTCCATCATAGATGTTGTGTGTGACCTCTTACATTACATAATGCAGTAAAGGGGTGACTCTGAGCATGTAATACATGAAAACTGTAATTATTGTCCACAGAAACACACTCTGAATCTGATCGCATCTTATCACCATTGTTGTCACCAACTGAGTCCAAGCTATCATGAGCTCTTGCCTGGACTGCCACTGTCACCTCTAGCTGGTGTTCAGCTTCCCTTCCTGCCCCCTGCCATCTGCTGCCCATACAGCAAACAGAATGAACTTTTGAAAATACAAATCAAAGGCAATCACTCCTCTGCTCAAATCTTCCAGGGATTCCCCATCATACTTGGAACCAAGTTAAAGTTCTTGCCATTGTCCTCAGGGCCCTCTTCCGTGGTTTGGCCTCTGCTTCCAATCCAGTCCCTTTCCTACCCCACTTCCCTCACTTACTACTTCCCAGCCCATCATGTCTTCTTGCTGGTCCTCAAATGCTCCCAGCCCAGGACCTTTGGAACCTCTTTTTCCAGATTTTTAAAAAATAATTATCATTTAAATATCCCTTTATGCTTTTAGAATGATTCCCAAACAAGAAAGTCTAGTAGCCATTCATCTATTTCTCTCATATTTAACCAACTCATTATTTTTTAAGTTCAGTTTGCTATGCCACTTGTACTCCAAGAGAAATATCTTCCAGCAAAGTACAATTTGGCAGCGTTTTAGAATCATGGGGTTTTATTGCTCAAGTGAGCAGGAAGAGTACCCAGTCACCACCCTCAATTTTTTCAGATTCTCCTATCAGTCTTATTTACATCAGTCACCTTTTCCCATCATCAGTCACCGTTTCCTGTCATCATCGCCCTTTACCCCCTTTGTCAGTTTTCTCTGGCCACTGTGAAAATATTTCATCTGCTGTTCATTCTCTCTTCTCTTATTCTCCCTTATCTTATCACTACTAGAAATTTCTATATAATTTCATTTGTTAATTTGTTCCATTATTGTCTGTCTCCCACATGGGAATATAAACTCCATGATGGCTTGGTTCTTGTCTTCTTAACGGCTGTATTTATAGAGCCTGGCGTAGAAAAGGCATCCATTGCATAGCTATTGAAAATATGAATGAATGATACAATAGGTACCATCCATAATTCTCAGATGTACTGCTCACTTAAGGAATGAAGTAATGAATTTTTATTATATACACTTTTTCTGCCTTATATTGAAGGTATGGAAGGTAATATTTAATTTGAATGCTTAAAAACTTGATTCTATATCTTGTGCTTAGCAGAGCTATTCTTGCTGGGACTGTGGTAAGAGATTCATCTACTCGCTAACCTGACTTTAACCCCTTATAAGGTACCTCCTGTTAGGCCCTTACCAGCTGCTGAGAATAGAGAAGTAGGAAAAGGGTGGTGCCCTGTGCCCTAAATCCTTGGGCTTCTGTTCAGGGATGGTGGGAGGTCTGGAGCAGGAAGCCAGTTGTTATTTTTCTGAGATCTTCTATTATCACGCCAGTGTTTCTAAAGAGGCCTGGATGCTACCTGTGAGTATTTACAAGCAAATCCTTTGCTTAGGAGGAGCTTTCTTTTGGATGTCAGCAGGGGGACTTTCTATAGATAACAGAATGGATATGTCCTTTGGAGTCAGCTGTTATCAAATACAGAAAGTAATCTGAGAAAAGTAGTTGAGCATAGTGCTGCCTGGATGATCTTACTGGGATATGGGCATGTGGTAGACCAGATGCCTCAAGGGGCCCTGACTGTGGCTAGAAGGAATTGTATAGTTTGATGGTAAATCCTACCTGTCTAGATGTGTTGTATGAATCTGTCTCTTTGTATATGGACTGCTTCATTCCAGAAGAATGAAGAATTTAAAATCAGTGGGCCAGAAACAGGTTGTCAGAATTCCTCTAAATGAAGGAAATAGCAAACGGCAAATGACCAGTAAAGTAGGTCAGGTTGTGACCTTTTGAGCAATGAGAGAACTATGAGAGAAATCTCAAGTTTTCTCCTTAAACCATAATGTCATTAGTTAAAAGTAGCATTAGCCTTTTGTTATAGTAATTGAAGTGTGCTCCAAAATGAATTTAATCTCGTGTGTATATGGCTGGGTGCGGTGCCTCATGTCTGTAATCCTTGCACTTTGAGAGGCCTAGACGAGTGGATCACCTGAGGTCAGGAGTTTGAGACCAGCCTGGCCAACAAGGCAAAACCCTGTTTCTACTAAAAATACAAAAATTAGCCAGGCATGGTGGTGGGTACCTGTAGTCCCAGCTACCCGGGAGGCTGAGGCAGGAGAATCGCTTGAACCCAGGAGTCGGAGGTTGTAGTGAGCCGAGATCGAGCCACTGTACTCCAGCCTGGGCGACAGAGTGAGACTCTGTCTCAAAAATCAATCAATCACTCACTCAATCAAACAAACAGAAAAACACGTATCTCAAACTTTAGCCCATGATTGGTGGTTTGATTTAGCAACTGAAATGGGGCATCACTTTGCAAAGGAATGGTGACCCTGAAATAGGCCATTACCTTGCCTGGCCAGTTTGGTAACCACCATATTGCTTAAAAGGAATGTTTTGTCATGCAGGTAGGCTGATTGGGCCTGATTGGGGCCCAGTGTTTTTGAGCATTTTTCTACTGCCATATATGACAGCCTCAGTCCCAAATTCCATTCATCATTTTTGAGGAAAGGTAAAGCAGACATACTACCCTTCCGTTAATAGCAGGCAGTTTGAATAGATACCATCTCAACACCATGTAGTAGGTCTTCCAGGAGGGTACAGTGTTTGCAGTTATTTGAAGTGCTCCAGCCTCAGAAAAACCTGAGAGAGAAGGACCCCAGGAACATTCAAAACCTATGTTCAATTGCCAAGGTCATAGGGCAGCAGCCTCAAATGCAGGTGGGTATGACCTAACCTTCTCCAACTGCCAGTGACTGTTGTCTAAGCAGCCTATCAATTGTCAAAGTCAGACCATGCCTCAGTATTCATGAGTTTGGGGCCATGTAACGGGTCTGACACTAGCTCCCCAGGAAGCAGAGCTTGTGTGGCTCTGATAAGAGCCTTAAGTGAGATGACCAAATGATACTGGGGGAGGGGAGGGGGCTGTCAGCAGCCACTGTGAGGGACAGATTGGCAATTCTAAATAGCCATTGAGCTCTGCATCTCACATAGTCTATTTTCTCTTCTCTTGGGAGAACACACTATGAGGAAAAAGTTTTTCATTTTTTGAATAAGCCAAGGCATTCTTTCTACAAATCACCTTTCCAGTTCCAGACTTATTTATTAAATTCATCACCTTATTCACTAGAGGAACTCAGCAAATCTTTGTTGGATGGAATAAGTAATAGAAGGACGAGAATTGCCATTTGTTCTGAACACACAGACTCTAGGCACTGCATTAGGTGTCTTCGATACTTCACTTGCTTCACAGACCCTGTAACCCCAAAGTTACAGATGGTTAAAAGCAAAACTGGGATTTTAATCCAGAGCTATTTCTTACATAGTCATGCATTGCTTAATGATGTGGACATATTCTGAGAAATGTATCATCAGGCAATTTTATTGTTGTATGAACATTGTAGAGTGTTCTAGATGGTATAAATGATGTACAACAGACCATACCATATACATTTGTTCTAGATGGTACAAATCTAGATGGTACAGTCTGTTGCACATCTAGGATGTAGGTTATAGCCTATTTCTTTTAGGCTACACACCTGTACAACATGTTTCTACACTGAATACTGTGGACATTTATACCACATATATAAACATGTCTAAACATAGAAGAATTATAGTAAAAATAGGGCCTAATACACTGTCTGGAAACATTGTTTCCCACAAAAATTGATAATTTGCCATTGTTATTAGATATATATTTGTAGCAATGCAATTCTTTGTGTTGCACAAGAAACACTTCTTAGTGTAAGTTATAAATTATTATGGATTTAATTATTCCACAAGTCAAGCCTTGCCACCTATGGATATGGTAATCTCTTTTGTACGTATATATTTTTTTATTATACTTTAAGTTCTGGGATACATGTGCAGAACATGCAGGTTTGTTACATAGGTATACACGTGCCATGGTGGTTTGCTGCACCCAGCAACCCATCATCTAATTAGGTATTTCTCCTAATGCTATCCCTCCCCTCCCCTAGTCCCCCCACCCCCTGACAGGCTCCGGTGTGTGATGTTCCCCTTCCTGTGTTCATGTGTTCTCATCCTTCAGCTCCCACTTATGAGTAAGAACATGCGATGTTTGGTTTTCTGTTCCTGTGTTAGTTTGCCGAGAATAATGGTTTCCAGCTTCATCCATATTCCTGCAAAGGACATGAACTCATCATTTTTTAATGGCTGCATACTATTTCATGGTATGTATGTGCCACATTTTCTTTATCCAGTCTATCATTGATAGACATGTGGGTTGGTTCCAAGTCTTTGCTACTGTGAATAGTGCTGAAATAAACATATGTGTGCATGTGTCTTTATAGTGAAATGATTTATAATCCTTTGGGTATATACCCAGTAATGGGATTGCTGAGTCAAATGGTATTTCTGGTTCTAGATTCTTGAGGAATTGCTACACTGTCTTCTACAATGGTTGAACTAATTTACACTCCCACCAACAGTGTAAAAGCATTCCTGTTTCTCCACATCCTCTCCAGCATCTGTTGTTTCTTGACTTTTTAATGATTGCCATTCTAACTGGAATGAGATGGTATCTCATCGTGGTTTTGATTTGCATTCCTCTAATGACCAGTGATGATGAGCTTTTTTTCATATGTTTGTTGGCCGCATAAATGTCTTTTGAGAAGTGTCTGTTCATATCCTTTGCCCACTTTTTGATGGGGTTGTTTGTTGTTTTCTTGTACATTTGTTTAAGTTCCTTGTAGATTCTGGATATTAGCCCTTTGTCATATGGATAGATTGCAAAAATTTTCTCCCATTTTGTAGGTTGCCTGTTCACTCTGATGATAGTTTCTTTTACTGTGCAGAAACTCTTTAGTATGGTTAGATTCCATTTGTCAATTTTGGCTTTTGTTGCCATTGCTTTTGGTGTTTTAGTCATGAAGTCTTTGCCCATGCCTATGTCCTGAACAGTATTGCCTAGGATTTCTTCTAGGGTTTTTATGGTTTTAGGTCTTACGTTAAAGTCTGTAATCCATCTTGAGTTAATTTTTGTATAAAGCTTAAGGAAGGGGTCCAGTTTCAGTTTTCTGCCTATGGCTAGCCAGTTTTCCAAAACCCATTTGTTAAATAGGGAATCCTGTCCCCATTGTGTGTTTTTGTCAGATTTGTCAAAGATCAGATGGTTGTCGATGTGTGGTATTATTTCTGAGGCCTCTGTTCTGTTCCATTGGTCTATATATCTGTTTTGGTATCCGTACCATGCTGTTTTGGTTACTGTAGCCTTGTAGTATAGTTTGAGGTCAGGTAAAATGGTGCCTCCAGCTTTGTTCTTTTTGCTTAGGATTGTCTTGGCTATACAGGCTCTTTTTTGGTTCCATATGAAATTTAAAGTAGTTTTTTATTTTAATTCTATGAAGAAAGTCAGTGGTAGCTTGATGGGGATAGCTTTGAATCAATAAATTACTTTTGGCAGTATGGCCAATTTCACGATATTCTTCCTATCCATGAGCATGGAATGTTTTTCCATTTGTTTGTGTCCTCTCTTATTTCCTTGAGCGGTGGTTTGTAGTTCTCCTTGAAGAGGTCCTTCACATCCCTTGTAAGTTGTATTCTTAGGTATTTTATTCTCTTTGTAGCAATTGTGAATGGGAGTTTATTCATGATTTGGCTCTCTGTTTGTGTATTATTGGTGTATAGGAATGCTTGTGATTTTTGCATATTGATTTTGTATCCTGAGACTTTGCTGAAGTTGCTTATCAGCTTAAGGAGATTTTGGGCTGAGATGATGGGGTTTTCTAAACATACAATCATGTAGTCTGCAAACGGAGACAATTTGACTTCCTCTCTTCCTGTTTGAATACACTTTATTTCTTTTCTTGCCTGATTGCCCTAGCCAGAACTTCCAATACTATGTTTAATAGGAGTGGTGAGAAAAGGCATCCTTGTCTTGTGCTGGTTTTCAAAGGGAATTCTTCCAGCTTTTGCCCATTCAGCATGATTTTGGCTGTGGGTTTGTCATAAATAGCTCTTATTATTTTGAGATATGTTCCATCAATATCTAGTTTATTGAGTGTTTTTATCATGAAGAGGTGTTGAATTGTATCGAAAGCCTTTTGTGCATCTTGTGAGATAATTATGTGGTTTTGTCATTGGTTCTGTTTATGTGATGAATTACACTTATTGATTTGCATATGTTGAACCAGCCTTGCATCCCAGGGATGAAGCTGACTTGATCGTGGTGTGTAAGCTTTTTGATGTCCTGCTGGATTTGGTTTGCTAGTATTTTATTGAGGATTTTTGCATGGATGTTCATCAGGGATATTGGCCTGAAATTTTCTTTTTGTTGTGTCTCTGCCAGGTTTCGATATCAGGATGATCATAAAATGCATTAGGAAGGAGTCCTTCTTTTTCTATTTCTTACGATAGTTTCAGAAGGAATGGTACCGGCTCTTGGTAGAATTCGGCTGTGAATTTGGCTGTGAATCCGTCTGGTCCTGGGATTTTTTTGGTTGGTAGGCCATTAATTACTGCCTCAATTTCAGAACTTGTTATTGGTCTATTCAGGGATTTGACTTCTTCCTGATTTAGTCTTGGGAGGGTGTATGTGGCCAGGAATTTATTCATTTATTCTAGATTTTCTAGTTTATTTGCATAGAGGTGGTTATAGTATTCTCTGATGATAGTTTGTATTTCTGTGGGATCAGTGGTGATATCCTCGTCATTTTTGTGTCCATTTGATACTTCTCTCTTTTCTTTTTTATTAGTCTGGCTAGTGGTCTATCTACTTTGTTAATCTTTTCAAAAAACCAGCTCCTGGATTCATCAATTTTTTTTGAAGGGTTTTTCATGTCTCTATCTCCTTCAATTCTGCTCTGATTTTAGTTATTTCTTGACTTCTGCTAGCTTTTGAATTTGTTTCTGTTGCTTCTGTAATTCTTTTAATTGTGATTTTGGGGTGTCAATGTTAGATCTTTCCTGCTTTCTCCTGTGGGCATTTAGTGCTATAATTTTCCCTCAAAACATGGCTTTATCTGTGCCCTGGAGATTCTGATACTTGTGTTTTTGTTCTTTTTGGTTTCGAAGAAGTTATTTGTTTCTGCCTATTTACCCAGTAGTCATTCAGGAGAAGGTTGTTCAGTTTCGATGTAGTTATGCAGTTTTGAGTGAATTTCTTAATCCTGAGTTCTAATTTGATTGCACGGTGGTCTGAGAGACAGTTTGTTATGGTTTCTGTTCTTTTGCATTTGCTGAGGAGTGTTTTACTTCCAATTATGTGGTCAATTTTAGAATAAGTGCAATGTGGTGCAGAGAAGAATGTATATTCTGTTGATTTGGGGTGGAGAATTCTGTAGATGTCTGTTAGGTCTGCTTGGTCCAGAGCTGAGTTCAAGTTCTGAATATTCTTGTTAATTTTCTGTCTCGTTGATCTGTCTAATATTGACAGTGGCATGTTGAAGTCTCCCACTATTATTGTGTGGGAGTCTAAGTCTCTTTGTATATCTCCAAGAACTTGCTTTATGAATCTGGGTGTTCCTGTAATGGGTGCATATATATTTAGGATAGTTAGCCCTTCTTGTTGCATTGATCCCTTTACCGTTATGTAATGCCCTTCTTTGTCTTTTTTGATCTTTGTTGGTTTAAGGTCTGTTTTATTGAAGACTAGGATTGCAACCCCTGCTTTTTTTTTTTTTTTTAACTTTCCATTTGCTAAATATTCCTCCCTCCCTTTATTTTGAGCCTCTGTGTGTCTTCGCACATGAGATGGGTCTCCTGAATACAGCACACCGATGGGTCTTGACAAATTGACAGAAGTAGGCTCAGAAGCGGGGTAATAACAAACTCCTCCAAGCTAAAGGAACATGTTCTAACCCAATGCAAGGAAGCTAAGAACCTTGAAAAAAGATTAGAGGAATTGCTAACTAGAATAACCAGTTTAGAGAAGAACATAAATGACTTGATGAAGCTGAAAAATACAGCACGAGAACTTCGTGAGACATACTCAAGTATCAATAGCCAAATAGATCAAGCGGAAGAAAGGTTATCAGAAATTGAAGATCAACTTAATGAAATAAAGCGTGAAAACAAGATTAGAGAAAAAAGAATGAAAACGAACGAACAAAGCCTCCAAGAAATATGGGACTGTATGAAAAGACCAAAACTACCTTTGATTGGTGTAGCTGAAAGTGACGGGGAGAATGAAACCAAGTTGGAAAATACACTTCCGGATACCATCCAGGAGAACTTCCCCAACCTAGCAAGACAGGCCAACATTCAAATTCGGGAAATACAGAGAACACCACAAAGATACTCCTCAAGAAGAGCAACCCCAAGACGCATAATCATCAGATTTACCAAGGTTGAAATGAAGGAAAAAATGTTAAGGGCAGCCAGAGAGAAGATTGGGTTACCCACAAAGTGAAGCCCATCAGACAAACACCAGCTCTCTCTGCAGAAACCCTACAACCAGAAGAGAGTGGGGGCCAATATTCAACATGCTTAAAGAAAAGAATTTTCAACCCAGAATTTCTTACCAGCCAAACTAAGCTTCATAAACAAAGGAGAAAATAACATCCTTTACAGACAAGCAAATGCTGAGAGATTTTGTCACCACTAGGCCTGCATTACAAGAGGTCCTGAAAGAAGCACTAAATATGGAAAGGAAAAACTGGTACCAGCCACTGCAAAAACATACCAAATTGTAAGACCATCGATATTATGAAGAAACTGCATCAATTAATGGGCAAAATAACCAGCTATCATCATAATGACAGGATCAAATTCACACATAACAATATTAACCTTAAATGTAAATGGGCTAAATGCCCCAATTAAAAGACACAGACTGGCAAATTGGATAAAGACTCTTCTGTATATTATAGTCCTCATCTGTATATTTTGGCTTAAAGAATAGTTATAGTTTTCATAGTATAATTTATTCCTCTTAGTCAAAAATGATGATGTTCTCAGAGAATTTAGACAGTCACTTGCCTGCCAATGCTATTAAAGGGGTCTATGCAAATTTTTATGCCACTAAATATTATTTTTAGTTTTATAAATAAATCAGTTCTTTTGCATTTCTCCTACTGTCATCATCCTAAATTTGCAGACTATTAGCATTTGCAAACCAATACCAAATTCCATTTTACAAAAAAATGTTATTTTAAGGTCAAAATAAAAGCACGACACTCTTATTATTATTACAAGAATTTAAAATATGTCCATATACAGGTATGTAAAGTGTATATTTTGTTTAGAATTTTAATTGGCCTCGGATGATGCCCGATTCATATAAACCCAGAACAGTTTTACTTACTCATTAAACTGCTACAGCCTTGATTTTAAATAACATTTTCTTTAATTGCATTTGTGGTTCCTCATGCTCAGGAATTCGTTTGTCTATTTTTAGTGTTCCCTTTTGTTGCGATTTTAACATAAATCCTAGTACTTTCACTTGTAAGATTCTTATTAGAAAGCTTTAGTATTCCTTTTTTCCTCTGAACACAAGTGTGGATCTCCCCAGTTGCAAGTAAGCCAAGAAGGCCCTCGCAATGCAAGCTTATACATTATGGTTAATGGATTTATAATCTTTTTCCTGCCTATATCATCGAAATTATCCAGATAATACTTACTTTTTAATTAACCACAAAATAAAATGAGACTTTTACTGAAGGGAAAGATTTTAGAGCTAACCAAGTTTAGCCACTTTATTGGTTAAAAATAATGAATTAATTGTTTATTTTGCCAATGAAAAACATGAAGCCCTAAAAGTTTATTGCCTTAGTCAAGGTTATCCCAGCAGGTGAACAATACAGTTGGGAGGAAAACTCACTTAGCTGTTCTATGTGAAAGATATACAGACCATTCCTCAGGATCAATGGTTCTCAACCTTGGCACTGTTGACATTTTTGTCCTGATAATTCATTGTTGCCCTGTACATCATTCAGCTGTGAGGGCTGTGTAATTCCTGGTCTGTCCTTACTCTTAGGACATGGCTCTTCAGATGATTTACCAGATAACCCCCTCCTAGATGGGTTCTCAACAGCAGGTTTTGTCCTGTAGTACACTCAGATTGCCGAAATCACTGATTAGCTTTTTAGTCTCTTAACAGCTGCCTTCTGATTGAGTTCAAGGCATCTTGCCCTGATAATGAGTAGGAGTTGCAGGAGAGAAAATATAATTTATTTTCTTTACCTTTTTTAGGTTACTAGTTGTGACATTTTCCCGAAACAGAAGCCAAATTAACAAAAGATAAACAAATGGAAATTTATTAACACCTGCTGTACCCATCACTTGGAAGAAGCCTCAGTGAAAAACTGTTGGGCCAAGCAAGATGGTTCATGCCTGTAATTCCAGCATTATGGGAGGCCAAGGTGGCAGGATGGCTTGAGGTCAGGAGTTTGAGACTATCCTGGTCAACATAGCAAGACCCCTTCCTCATTAAAAAAAAATTAAAAATTAGGTGTGGTGGCATGGACCTGTAGTCCCAAGCTACGTGGGAAGATCACTTGAGCCCAGGAGCTTTAGGCTGCAGTGAACCACGATCACTCCACTTCACTCCAGTCTGGGTGACACAGTGAGACCCTACCTAAAACAAAAACAAACAAAAAACTCTCTCAAGGCAGTGGCTTAGGGGCCTTGCTTTAAAAATATTTTAAGAAAGAGCCGTGAATCCTGTGTAGTTACAAAACAAAGAGAAGAGCAGTTCTCATCCTTTAAAGGGTGGGAAAATGTGGGAAGATAGTAGAATCTGTTCCCAGATTCCTCTCGGGTCTGCTGGTGCCTTCTCTGGGCCCATAAGCAAGTGCTGTCTCCAGTAAGGAAGGATTGACGTCCTGCCATTAGGAGGCAGACCGAGGCTGAGGCAGTGTTCCCCTGCATTTTCAGTGTCTTTGACATAACAGTCCTAAATATTTTGGGGTGAAATATTTTGTTTCCTTCAGAGCCATCAGATGCCTCAAGAAGAAATTGCCTGCAGATTGTTCTTACTACTCTCTGGTTCCCTGTTGTCCTGGTCCTTAGTCTCTCATATCCTGGCAACTTTGATAGCCCTGAACTCCAATTTGTTTCTCCCCAGATCAGTAAGACTTCAGCAAGCCAGAGGCTACTGCTTTCTGTTTGGGCACTATGTTTGGAGACCTAAATTGGCAAAGAAACAGAGGTAAATACAGGATTCACTTTACTGTATTTTCTTTCTTTCTCGAATCTTGGCCCCTCATGTCCTTGTTTTCTTAATTGCTATCATGATCTTAAATAGGTGTTTGTTAGATTTTTAAATATTCACATTTTATTGTAGTTACTGGGAGGATTATTCTGATATATGCTGCTCCATCATAGGTGGAAGAGGAAATCAGCCTGTTTTTGCTTATGAAGTTCTCTGTTCTTAGGATTGCCTTAGGATCTGCCGTATACTGTCTTCCCTTCAAGGCCCATCTTAAATTTTACCTCTTTTCTAAAGAATTTCCTTATGATCCCATCTAAGGGATGGGATATAACCTTTTCCTTATTTGTTCTCTGATTGCTTTTTTGTCTGTAGTTGTCTAAAAGCATTTATCATATTTTTTTTACCAAGAATCTTCTGCTTGTATATACTTATCATTGCCCATTATACTTAAAATGATATGAAGGCAGGATAATTCCTTATTTCTCCTTGGCTCCTTTGTACCAACTAATACAAAGAACAGGACTTTACACAAAGGAGATACTCAGAGTATGTTTTATGAATCGGAATGGCTTCAGAATACTAGCTAGAATAGGTGGTGAACCTCTCACCACATTTGGAATTGAAATTTTACCATACAAAATGTTGGTGCAATAGGAACAAAGAGATTATAGTAATGATATTGTATTATTTGGAATAAAATTGGGCTGGGGGTAAATAGCAAAACAAATCAAATCAGTTAGTTATTTCTTACTTATTGTATTTTATGAAATTGAAGTGACCGCTAATGTATCTCTCATTGTGTTCTGAGCGTTAACATGGATTATCTTACTTAATCATCTCAGAAACCTTCTGGGGTTACTGTCATTATTCTGACTTTATAGATGGGGTTAATACATTCAAGCAATATGCCCAAAATCATATATTTAAGTTTAGTGATAGAAATGGCACTTGAACCCCAGTGAAATTTCAGAGCCTGAGCTGCAGCGGTTAAGGATGCATATTATGGGATGGATGCCCTGTCTTTATGCTACAGTGAACTGTTAGAAAGAAAATAAGTCAATAAAGTCTCTTATTGATGTTTATTTAGCTTATTATGTAAATGCAATTAATTTTGGGCAAATCCCTTAACGGACTCAACCTCAGTTTTTTTAACTTTAAAATAGGGATAAATATGGCACTCACAAATTTCATTGAACCTAAATCACCACTGGTTTTAAGATGTAACAATATTTTATGTACACAGAAAAATATGTTATCACAACTTTGACATGGTATAGATTGTCAGAAGCATTCTGATTTCAGAGATGTTAAAATGTTTTTTTTAAAAATCATCTTAGAAGTAATGAAATACAATGTTGTAAGTTTGTGGGACTCTTATGTGGTAATGTATGTAAAGCACTTAGTATAGAACTTGGCACATGGGAAGTGCTAAATAAATTATTATTAACTATATAACTGTAAAATATTGATAATGTACCAGTACGTATTCTAAGAAGCTCTATGTAGCTGACAACGGAGAGATGGAATTTATTGAATTGAATACAGTATTAAACTAGAAGAAAAATTTTAAGAAAACAGTGCTGGTCCTAACTGCATTATGTAAGAATTGTAGGAATATGTAAGAATTAACCCAGTTATGAGAACTAGGAAGAATGCCGGTCTACCCCAATAGTTGTAATGAAATGTGCTCCTCTAAGTCTGAAGCAGCCAAGGGAGCTGCAGAGATGTGAGCTATATTTGGAGAGAGTGCTTTCACACCATTTCTCCCTGAATGATATGCTAAAGAGGGAACTGCGACATCTCCACTGTAGGAGAGTCACGCTTTGGAGATTACCAATGGGGAGGGAGAACTGAAGAAGTTAATACAATGTGAACCATTGGAATTGTAATAAAAAATGTAATCAATGTCCTGGATTTTGTCAAAGGACAACCAAAAGATATGAAAGAATAGAACTGGCAAATTCTCTACCTTTGTCTCAGCCCAATGTAATGACATTTTAATGATGCAATGAAACTATATATATATTCTAGCTATAAATGAGGCCATTCAAATAGGATATATCCCATTTGAATGGCTGCCTTAATAGCTAGTTAAAATGGTTTGCTCTTTTCTAGTTTTCTTGGAAGATTTTAATATGGAGAGGAGGGTAGTATACAGATAAAATCCCCTTTTTTACAGAGTCCATGTGGAATGGGAGCATTGTCAGATGATGTAGCAGACCTCATGACAACTTGCATGTATCATCTTTGTTGCCCGAGCACCATTATGTACAAAAGGAAAGGAAACTAACATCTATCAGTAATTCATTTTGGGTCAGGCATTGTGCTACCTTGTCATATTATTTAGATATAGACTATATGGTTTAGTGGTTAAAAGCCAGACTAGACCCAGACTGCCCAGACACAAATCACAGCTTGGCCTCATAATAGCTTTGCTACCTTGAACAAGTCACCCAGCCTCTCTGCTTCTGTTTCCGTGTATGTAAAATGCAAATAATAGTAATAATAGGACCAATATTTTTAATAGGATTCTAGTGAGATGTAAATGGGTTATGTATATGAAGCATTTACACACATATATAAAAAATGCTATAAAAGCATTTGCTAATAAAGCAAAGCAATAGGTAGCACTAGAATTCACACTTATTTTAATCCAAAGTCTATGTTCTTTATAATGTGATTCTCTATAACTGTGATTCTGCATGCTAACTAATAGTTAATATGATGTGGTAGAGATCACTTTAAATTGATGTCATCCTTTATTTCTAGGAACATTAGAATGTAAGATAAAGTGTTTATTTTTCATTGTGTTTATATTTATCCTCAATTTGGACATTGGCCTTAGAATCTTAACCTTGGATATTTTTCAAGTGAAAGAATAGAGATTTAAAGATTATACTCTAAGATTATACTAAATATAGCAGTCTATATTTGACATAGTGCTTTCCTCTACCTGATTTCATTTGATTCTTAGACTAGAACATTGTAGGTGGAAAAGAACATTGTAGATGGAAAGACTAGAACATTGTAGACTAGAATATTGTAGATGGAATAATATATATATATTATTTTTTTTGAGATGGAATTTCGCTCTTTTCACCCACACTGGAGTGCAATGGCACGATGTCAGCTCACTGCAATTTCCGCCTCCCGGGTTCAAGCAATTCTCCTGCCTCACCCTCCCAAGCAGCTGGGACTACAGGCGCCCACCACCATGCCCAGCTAATTTTTTGTATTTTTAGTAGAGATGGGGCTTTACCACATCAGCCAGGTTGGTCTCGAATTCCCAACCTCAGGTGATCCACCTGCCTCGGCCTCCCAAAGTGCTGGTATTACAGGCGTGAGCCACCATGCCTGGCCGGAAGAGATATTGTTATGTCATCTTACACATGAAGAAATTGAAGTTTGCAGAGTTTGACTCCTACCTTGGCTAGCCTAGCTAGGACTCAAACTCACATCTTCTTACTCTTAATTCAAAAGTGTTTTTCACTGTGTGTATATATTTACTTAGTGGTTGTTAATCGAACACCTACTATGTACCAGGTGTGTGAAATCCTAGCTAGAAAAGACAGCAAGACACCACTGTTTTCTTCAATAAGGTTATAATCAATTAGGGAGGAAAGAAACAACTGACAAGGGTACAGTGGATATGTGATATTATTTGTGTGAACAAAGTACTGTAGGAACACCTGGGAGTGATTAAGTGGCCTGGAGATTTGAAGGAGGCTTTGCAGATGTGGTGATGTTTTAAAATAAGCAGTTATCAGAGAAGTAGAAGATGTGAACACTTTGAGAAAAGGAAACAGTTTATTTGATTGTTAAAGTAAGGTGAGTGGGCCAGAGTGACAAGTAGATGGGTTGTGTGGTGAAGTGAAACTGAAAAATAGGTGAGATGGGAAGGGTGCTAAAGAGGTTGGGTATTTTCTTCTGGGTAATAGGGAGGCATTAAAGGTTTTTGAGCAAGTATTGTCAGAGCTATATTTAAGAAATGGCTGTGCTAGCTGCACTGAAGAGTGTGTATAGGAAACATTGGTTTTATGGAGTACTAATTACCAATAACAATAGTCTGGAGATTTTGGAAATAATTTCTAGAAACTGATGTTTAAATATGAGGGTAGATTGAAAAATAATTGACATTTTTGAATGAGTAAATGATGGGAGATGACCTAAAAGAATACAAGAAAGAGAGGATGTATGGAAGGAAAATGTGGATTCAGTGATGGGCATTTTAAATTTGAGATTGCTGAGGCTTGGCACAGGTTTGGTATTACTAGCATGGCTCTGATATGAGGATGGAGGGGACCAACACAGGAGAAGGTGTAAGCTAAGGATAGAGACCTGGGCAGGGGAGAGCATTTGGGAGATTGGTGGCAAGAAAAGAACATTTTGGTTAGAGGAAAGCTAAAACAAGTTAAATTATGGAAACCTAGGAATGAGAGAATTTCAGTAAAGATGTATATTACAGTGCCAGTGCTGCTGAGAGGTCAAGAGGCTGAGGTGCTGGATTTGACTTGTAATAAAGTAGTTGGACTGGATGATACCAAAAATCCAATTCAGTTATCACATTGGCCCCTAATTTGGGAAGTTTTCTGTAGATTTTTGAAAGGGAAAATGATAATATGAGGTAAGTAGGCCAATTTGGAAAAAGCCTTTAATTCAAAAAATCATCACCAGAGGGTTATTCCCACTTATATACAGGCATACATTTGGTACTTTCATTGTTAATTCTGACATTTAAATCTCTAGAAAGAATTTTGTGAATGGTTGGTTGTATAGAATATGTACAGTTCAGAAGACTCTCTAAATTTAACCTCCTAAATAGGTATACACGATTGAGATTATGAAAATGAGGGCAACGCATAGTCACTATGTTAATATTTGGATGTTAAATCACGATGGGGTTAATCAATGTCTGGAGGCTGCAACTGGGATATAAGAGGTAGGGATGTGTGTGTGCACAAGAGAGAGAGAGAGACAGCCTCATCACCATGAGGGAGTTGGAAGTGCCAAAATCTCTATTCAGGTCTTACTAGAATGATTTCAACTTATACATCCTTTCCAAACTCACAAATGTATAAACTGGTGTACTTTAGAATCTTCATGTTTTGAATGATTGTCAGTGTTTATGCCATTGCAAATACATTTCAGCAGTCATTATTTTTCTGGCAAAAGGAAGTTGACGATTCAGCCTCCTCTAAATATGGCAACCAATTTGGATTTGGGACATTGAATAGAATCATCAATTGCTGTTGTTATTCAGTGTATCATTTGTTGTCGGCTTCAGAGATGGGGAAGCAATGTTTTGCACAACATTGAATGTACCAATCTAATCTTAATGTTTAAAGGGATGCAAAGGTAAAATCTAGTCACTGGTACCTTGCAGTATTTTAATTGACTCCTTTCCTCCTCAAAGAATGAGAGCCTTTCATTCTTCTTCTGCCATCAGTTGCTGCTCAGCTCTGACTACCATTAGCTTTATTGGAGATGATTCAAAATGGATGAAAGAAAAAGGTTTCTGCACTGAGAATTTTGCCAAGTGATGTTGTAAGCAATTGCGAAGATGGCTCTTTATGGTTATGCTTGACACCCACGATGTAGGGATGGGTAGAAACCTTTTGGGATCTCAGCTATTGAGCTCTAATACATTGGAGTCATCTTCATTCTTCATTCGTGTTCAGAGCAGCAGCCTCTGAACATTCTCCACAGGGCTTTGGGGTGAGCCAATGAGGCGATATGCACAAATTAAGGAAACTTGACCTTCACTCCTTTCCCCTAGAACCCCAAGCCTTATCACCTCTTGCTTCTCTTTACAATCCCCGATTAGAACACACGATCTCCATTAAGTATATCCCTATTGCAAAACCTTAATAAATATGGGTTGACTCAGAATTGAAGAAAAATGAACTACTTTTTCTCCTGCAATATTACTGTCTTGCCCTTTAATAAAAATTAAATGGGCATTCCTAGACCTTTTGTGTTTTGAATTTTTGAAAATAGAATCATCCTAGTGCCTGAAGGAACAGAATTTGACCTCTAAAACTTCCACACTAGTGTTTCTGAGATTCCTTAGAAATCGATCAATTTAAATATATTTCCACCTGTCTCATTAACCTTTTATATTAGTTGTTTTTCTAACTGTAGTTCAAAAAAAATTCAGAGGGTTATATAATACTTTAAAAAATGAAGTAGAGGAAACCATTATAATTCATTGCATGTGATATGGGTAGCTATTGTTCCGTGAAACTTTTGTTTCACACATGCTGACATGCGTGTGTGCGAGGTCATGATGGATTTAAAAACTACAGTCTTAGATAATAATATCCCAGTGATCCATGATGGTCTTTTCTCCGTTCTATAAAAATACCCACAGTAGCAAGCATTATGACTCTGTATAACTCCCCCCATGTTATCCAACAGTTAGGTAGCTGGCTGATACCTGCTGCGGCCACAATGTTTGCTAATAGAAGCTATTTTTCACTTTTATTGTTACTTATTATTTCTGTTTTTAGCTCATAGAAGCCATCATTAAAAGGAAGGGCTCTTGGGTTAAGGAGGAGAGTCTTCACAACTCGGAGGCTAGTCTTTTCTGACATAAATCCATGAGGATCTATAACAATTTTCCTCAATTGTGCAGATGAAGGCTTTGATAGTTTTTATTGGAGGCCAAGGGCTATGGGTTCATATTGAAGAACGGTTTCTAGCAGTCTTTATCTCTCATGTGACTTAGCAAATGGGATGCACAATATCTAGAGCAATATGAGTACAACTGATGGAGCCTACACAGTTACGGGGAGAGGCTATGCTTTCATTTCCAAACCACAGGGGATGGTGAGTCAAAGATTTTGTGATTGGTGTCTCCGTTTTTGAAAGCACCTGACAGATGGAAGTGCATGAGTATATGAAAAGAATCAGAAGACAAGAAGAAAAAGCTGTGGCATCCATTACCACCCTGGCCCCTCCAGGCTCCATTTTAGTAATACCTAGTGAAGACCCACGGTAGTAACACTGGAACCACATTCTAATTATCTACAGTTGCTTTTAATACTTTTTATTTATTCAGTTATTTACTTTTGCTGGAGACAACCGCTTAGGAAACCATGTACAGTTCCTAACATGGTATGAATTAAAATCTTGCCCACAGCTGTGTAGATATGGACATTAAAAGCCCGCCCTTGTGAATTATCAGCAGGCCTCCGAGCCATGGTCATCTGTTGCGATAATCATGGTGCTGATGCCTGATTGAGCAAGGGAAGCAGGACTGTCTGTAGAGTGGTTTGAGGATAAGGTTATTCTTGTTAGTGGACACTGCCTCTTATGTAGAAATTTCCTAACCACAGGGTGAATGTGACATTATCTTCCTCTCTTTTAATATGAGAACAGCAAACCTGTAACTGCTCCCTGTGTTGCCAGGGAAAGTAGATGGTGACTCACTTCTTGAGTATTTGTGCTGAAAGGCTGACATGTTAATAACCTTTAGGAAAGGAAAGGATCAGGGAAAAATTATTTAATATGTGAGTTTATTGCCTTTCCTCCTTTCCTATGTCCCATGTCTACTGGCTACTCTAATTTTTTAGATGGGTAAACTATGCAGTGAGATCCTAATCAAGATTTTTTCTTCTTGCTAACAGCATTCGTATTGAAGAAAAGACTAAAATGTGGTTTTATTTATATGCCTTCTGTGGATATACTTGAAAGCTTACTATAAATACGGTCATATGCCACATAACGACATTTTGGTCCATGAAAAACCACATATATAATGGTGGTCCCATAAGATTATAACGGAGCTGGCTGGGTGCAGTGGCTGACACCTGTAATCCCAGAACTTTGGGAGGTCAAGGCAGGTAGATCACTTGAGGTCAGGAGTTCGAGACCCTCCTGGCCAACATGGTGAAATCCCATCTCTACTAAAAATACAAAAATAAGCCAGGCATGGTGGCACATGCCTGTAGTCCCAGCTACTAGGGAGGCTGAGGCAGGAGAATCGCTTGAACCTCTGAGGCAGAGGTTGCAGTGAGCCGAGATTGTGCCACTGCACTCCAGCCCGGGCAACAGAGCAAGACTCTATCTCAAAATAAATAAATAAATAAAAGATTATAATGGAGCTAAAAAATTTCTACAACCTGGTGACGTTGTAGCTGTTGTAAAGTCATAGCATAACACATTACTCATGTGTTTGTAGTTATGCTGGTGTAAACAAACCTACTGAGCTGCCAATCCTGTAAAAGTGTAGCACATACAATTATGTACAGTACATAATAATAAAGCTATGTTACAGATTTATGTATTTATTGTACTATTTATTATTATTTTAAAGTATACTCTTTGTATTTATTTCTAAAATTAACCATTTGGGCAGGTGCTTCAGGAGCTATTCCAGAAGAAGGCATTGTCATCACAGGAAATGACAGCTCCATGCATGTTATTGCCCCTGAAGACCTTCCAATGGGACAATATATGGAGGTAGAGGACGGTGATATTGACTATCCTGACCCTGTGTAGGCCTAGGCTAATGTGTGTATTTGTGTCTTTGTTTTTAACAAGAAAGTTTAAAAAATAAAATGAAAGATTTAAAAATAGACAAAGTATAGAATAAGGATATTAAGAAAATATTTTTGTACAGCTGTACAACATGTGTTTTAAGGCATTATTACAAAAGAGTCAAAAAAGTTAAAAAGTAAGCTTATAAAGTAAAAAATTTACAGTAAGCTAAGGTTAATTTATTATTGAAGACAGAATAATTTTAAAATAAATTTAGTGTAGCCTGAGTATATAGTGTTTATAAAGCCTACAATAGTGTATAGTGTTTATAAAGCCTGCAATAGTGTATAGTAATGTCCTACGCCTTCATATTCACCCACCACTCACTCAAAGCAACTTTCAATCTTAGAAGCGCCATTCATGATTAGTGCCCTAAACGGGTGTACCATTTTAAATCTTTTATGGCATATTTTTACTGTACCTTTTCTATGTTTAGATACACAAATTCTTATCATTGTGTTACAGTTGCCCACAGTATTCAAAACAGTAACATGCTGTACAGGTTTGTGGCCTAGGAGCAATAGGCAATACCATATAGTCTAGATGTGTGATAGGCTATTCCATCTAGGTTTATGTTAAGTACACTCTATGATGTTTCCACAATGATGAAATTGGCTCAGGACACCTTTCTTGGGACCAGTCTCTGTTGTTATGCAACACATGACGTACATCTCCTTCCCTAGCATGCCTCTTTGTATAGTACCCTTAGTCAGATCCATCCCAAGTTAGACATTGTTGAGGCTGAGCAAATGTTAAAAATGGAAAGGATGCAATAAAACCGTTCCTGCATTGACTTTGCAATGTATTAGATCAATCTACAGAATGAAAGTGTGAACGTCCTTGATAGCATTACTTATTTAGTAGTAGATGTACAGTACTTGTGATCAGCAGTGTTTGGGTTTACTGTCACTTGGATGTGGTAGAAGGAAGAATATTATTTTTTTCTATTTGTGGAATCCATTCCAGAATTTCATCTCCAGTTGAAGAGGAGAACTCCTTACCTGTTCTTCTGAGACAGAATTATATATTTAACTCTTCCTGGAAGTTACTGCTTTTCTTAGGAAAGACTTAGAAGCAACTTAGAGATGTTGATTAAATATATAAGGACTAGAACATAATTACCACACTAAAGAGCTAGGCAAATAGCATTTGGGTAAAGAAGCAAAATCTGGGTATCAAGTGGGAACTCCTAGTCCCTTGAGGTCTAGATTATGTTGATTTTAACCTAGTCCTATAAAAGTAGAAATGTTTCTGTAAAATTTTTTTAGCATTCTAAGGGGCTTATATTTTCATGTTTATCAGTTATCAGGAGATCTTTTGCGATGTCTCTTTCACACTGCATTGATCAAAACCTAATCAGCTTTCAGAGACAGGTACACACACACTCCAAACCAAATACCCTACTAAAACATACATAGTCACAATCACAGTATCATTTAATGTATAGAATTTTATTGAAAATCTGAGGGTTCACATCACATACTGTATGGCTCAATACTGTATTTTAGAGTTCCTTGTTCTTAAAGGTTTTTTTTTTATATATATAACTTGGATGTTTTGAGGGGCCATCCCACTCTTTACCATCATGTCAAATCACTCCCTGGTCTAACCTTGTGTTCAGACTGACATCTCTAATCTCTCATTTATCCATCTACTCCCCTGAAATAAATATTTTGCCTCAAAAGTCAAAATAATTACTTTCTTATTTAGTTTCTCAGCAGGAGAAACTTTCCAGGAGCCCAATTTTCCTCACTTTTGGTGAAGATACACATGGTTGGGGTGAAGTTTCCATGGTGGCCATGCAATACTTTGACCATTAGTCACCAGAAGTTTCTTTTTGCCCTTCTCCTGTACAGAGTCCAATTTTGTTTCCCCCAGCTTCTCTCTCCTCCCTGTCTCTTCTCTTTCTTTTTCTGCTTTCTGAGCCAGAAAAATGCCTTTTGATCCAGATCAATCTGATATTGATAACTGATCAATATCTTCTGATCCGGGAGGTAAATAATTTCTCTACTGCTTGGTTGCAGAGCACTTTCTACCTTTTTCCTGAAGCTCTAGATGTGTTGCTCTTGAGTTCTCTCATTTTCTGCCCCACCAAAGGCATTTCCTTCTTTTAGAGTAATTACAGTGCCAGCTCTTTGGAAAGTAGTATTTTTTCATCCTTTTATATCAGCAATAATGAGAAGTGTTATCATCCTACAAAATCATATTAAAATTATAAAAAATAAATTATAGGATTAATTTTCAGTATAACTATATAAGAGTGGCAGAAATAATGAGATGGAGACAGGGAGAAGAATCACCAAATCGCCACATTTCAGGAAGAACCTCCTATTTGAGTTTGGTAATTATAGATTTTTTAAGGAAGTGCTCAAGGAACTCCATTCTCGTGATTGTTAAAAACAACTAGAAAAATAATTAGACATGCTTTCAGAACCATTTTCTGCATTGGCTAAGGTGTGTCAGAAGTCTAATAAAACTTCCTGATGTCTCTATCCTTGACTTTCAAGTCAACCCAGTCCTTGTACAATGAGGAAGGAAAACATTGAAATCAGACTGTTACTGCTAATGTAAGAGAGACAATGTAGCAAAATGTTTTAAGAACAGCAGCTTTGGAGAAAGACACACCTGAATTTATTGTTGTTTTTATTATTGGGACAGCAAGTGTGTAGAGTTGAGATTAGATATGTATAATAGAACCAGAATATAGGCATTGGAAAAGACCTTAGAGATCATGGGATTCCAAGTGCCCCCATCAAAAGATAAGGAAAATTGGAGATTCAGAAAGGAAAAATTATTTCAAGATCATATCTCTAGTCAGTGACAGAGTCAGGGTTAAGACCTGCAACTCTTGACTCCCAGTATGAGGCAAACACCCACCACACCAGTGGTCACACTGCACTGTGGGCATCATGGCGTTTTGCATTACGGAGTCTTGGCTGTGCTTGTGTGCCAGGACTGTCCCAGGGATGTCTGACTGGCCTGCCCTAGCACTTGGAGGCCTGTGCACTGGCAAGGGCAGAGGCCGAGAGCTGGAGGGTACAGAAGAGTAGCCATTAGGAAATATTTCTTATGAGATAGACTTTGGGTTGCTTCTGCTTATCACATTATTATATTACCAGCAAGCAGCCTGTGAAGGAACCCAAAGTAAGTGCTGTCTGGGAAGACCTAGAACATTATTCTTTGGGAGAAAATGTGATCAAAGGCAGGAAATTGGCTGTAGATTTTTAGTGTTTTATAATTTTGAATATATACTGATGCTAATTGGAGTTATTTCTAGCTGTGTGACATATTTATATGTGTATGATTCCTCCCACCCCATCTACAAGGGATTTTCATAAGGGAGGGGGGCATCTGAAGGAGATGGGTAAAATTTGAATTCACTGGCAGCTTTTACTAGTTGAATTTGTCTCAAATCTCAAGGAAAACCACTACTAACAAAGTTAAAATGATGGATAAACTGAGAAAAATGTTTGCGTGCCATATATCAAACAAAGATTTAATATTTTTAATTAATAAAAAACTACCGTAAAAAATAGCAAGGTCAAACATCCCAATAGAAAAACATCTAAAAATATAAAAACAAGCAGTTTACAAAAAGGAATATAAATGGTTCAAAAAATGAAAGGAAAAAAAGGCTATCCTCATTATTAATCAAAGACATAAGTTAAAACATTTTATCATTTTTACATAAAACTGGCAATGATTAAGAAAAACAGCACAATATCTAGTATTAGATGGAGCTAGGGACTCTGGATTCTCTCTCATGGAATCAAAATTACCATAAATTTTAAGGCCCACCATTATTTGATGTATTATTAAGAAAAAAAAAGTCACCAATTAAACTATGACACAAGGCTATCTTATTACTTAGTATTTTATTTTATAGTTATTATAAGCTATTTTCTGTATTTAGATACAGACTTTAACCACTGATTATGCCCAACTATATGTATGAAGAAAATATAAGCAAAGTTTGCAAAATGCATGGCTGGAAGTCTGAAATAAATTAATTGTCTGAGCTGCAAAGCAGAGAAATGCATTCAATCAACAGCTGTCAGGACCTAGGGTGTTTCTGACACTGAACGAGGCTCTGGTGGTATGGAGGTGCACACAAGAAGGTCCTTTGTTTTATGGAACTCACATTCTGTTTGGGCAGAAGTAAAAAAAAAATCCCAAACAACACAGGTCTGCAGATTATGGTCTGTTTTGGTAAATAATAGTTTGATATTGCAGATGCTAATCTCTTATAAAACCACATGAAGACAGTGTTAATTGGATGATCATTTTTCCGTTGAGGACATGGCTGTCTTTAAATGAAACCTGAAAGATTTTCAGACCTGGAAAGAGCATTAGAGAATATCAAGTCCCATATAAAGGTCTTCTCACTCTGGTTATCAGCCATTGTGAACAAACAAAGGAATTTTGAAGCCCATTTAGGGATAAAAGAAATACAACACTGGTGATTCTTGAAGTTTCTTGGAATTTTAGCCAAGTATTCAGAGCACTCTGTCCACTTGCTTAAGCAGGACTTTGAGGTCCCTTGTCTGTGTAACGGAATATGTGGTTTTGTAAATCACTGTGTTACCTTGTTCAGAGTAAAAATAAAAGAGGGATTGTTTGATCACAGTAAACTTAAATTCCATCTTTTCTGAAGTGAATAAATATTAAAGTATCATTAGGTATGATATCTTTAATTGTATTGCATGACTTACATCTTAGCAAAATGAAAGCTGTATAAACATGTTCATCCTTCGGAGGCACTTTGAAAATGTAGTAGAAAAATATCTTCCTAAAATGGGTATAATTAATTGTTGTAGAAGCTAAAAACTCTTGGCTGGGCACGGTGACTCACGCCTGTAATCCTAGCACTTTGGGAGGCCGAGGCGGGCGGATTGCCTGAACTCAGGAGTTCGAGACCAGCCTGGCCAACATGGTGAAACCCCATCTCTACTAAAATTACAAAAAATTAGCCAGGCATGGCAGCGGGCACCTGTAGCCCTAGCTACTCAGGAGCCTGAGGCAGGAGAATCGCTTGAACCCGGGAGGTGGAAGTTGTAGTGAGCCAAGACTGCACCACTGTACTCCAGCCTGGGTGACAGAGTGAGACTCCATCTAAAAAAAAAAAAAAAAAAAAAAAAAGAAAGCTAAAAACTCTCCTTGGTATTAAAAAAGAATATGAATGCACACCACTCCTGTGTTACCAAATGTACCAAAACAAAAACAGCAGCATATCAAATAAGAAGTAAATGTGGCCATTAATCCTCTCCTGCACAGGTAACTACTCATTTCCCATCATAGAAGTAGGTAACTGCTGTTAACTGTTATATGTATACATGCACAGAACTTTTAAAAAATATATAAAATACATCATGTTTGTGTAAGAGTGCATGTTTATGTAACATGTGAAGTTTAAAGACTAATGATAAGCAACTACAAATAAAAAATGTTCTCAGCACTCAGTATCCTAACTAAATTATTAAGAAACAGCACATTAGCAACCCCTGGATTCCCTCAGTGATTATATTTTTCTCCCCTTCCCAGAGGCAGCCACTATCTTGAAGTTTTTAAATAATTCTTTTGGGTTGGTGTTTAATTTTTATATATGCAACCATAAGAAAAAATATATAAATACATATGTTTGTTTTACCTGCTTTATGTACTACACAAAAATGTGTGGGTATATATATCAGTGCTCTCTCTATAAACTTGATATGCAAATTGTATGCAACCAAACAGGTTAATTTTACATAATGGAATTATTTTGTGTCTGATTTTTCCCTTAGAATTATGTTTTTGAGATTCAATCATTTTGACGCATGTAGGATATTCATTGCATGAACATGCCACAATTTATCCATTTTATCAATTCTCTAGTTGACTGAAATTTGAGTTCTTTTTTTTTGTTGTTTTTAATTAAGGCTTTTGCTCCTTATGAGAGAAGCACCTGGGTGAGGAGTGGGCAGCTGATTCCTTTCTCTACATAGGGCCTTCTTCCTGTCATATTGCCTGCCCCGGTCTTCTGGGGAGAACTCAGTGGACCCTCATGGAAGAGAGCTCACTACTGAGTACAAAGCCGTCTGTGTTTGAGGCCCCCAGCTATTCCAGACTGAGGTATCAGCCCACATTTGGCCTCCAACAATTTCTTAAAATTGTAGCTGATTTCTTCTTACCCACTCTTGGGGTGGGTGGCCCACCTTTGGGTGAGCTAGTTTGAACATGTCTTTTCTTCTTAGAGGAGCCTCTTCCTCCTTGGAATTCATTCTTTTTATTTGCTCTATGTCCTCAACTCTCAGCTCTCTGATAGGGTCAACGAAACTTACAATTTTATAGTTTTTTTCTCGTTGTTAAGTGGGAACAGCACTCTTTCCTGCTTTCCAAATCATATGCAGAAGCAGCAGCTCCATTTTCTAGCATTTTGGTTCTATTTATTTGCTTTTCATTGCATACATTAGATACATACTTTATTATATAGATAATGTTTATCTGGACTGTCACATATGTTTACCAATGCTTGATGACTTCTTGTATCTCAGACCATTTGGTGTTATTTTGCATCTTTTTGAAGTTTACTCTTGAAATTTCTCTGCTGAGAGTCTGTGGGCAAATGTCTTTGTTAAAATGTCCTTACTTCCTGACAGATAATTTTGTTGTCTCTTTTAGGGGCTGGCAAACTACGGCCATGTGGGCCAAATCTGGCCTGAGGCCTGTTTTTGTACAGCCCCAAGCTAAGCATGGTAAAGTGTTATTTTTACTATTTTAAAAGTGGTATTAAAAAACAAATCCACTACCACGGTAACAACAAAATAAGAATATGTTACAGAGATTGGCCTGCAAAACCTTAAATATTTACTATTTGGCCCTTTGCAGAAAATTTACTAATTCTTGGTCATATTCTATATTAATAGTTACTCTTAGCATTTTAAAGACAATATTCCATTGTCTTTCAGCTTCCACTGTTGCTGTTGAGAAATCAATATACAGTTACTAGTCACTACTTGGTAGAAGTACGATTTTTTTCTCTGGCTACTTTCAATATCTTCCCTTTGTGTTAGATGCCTTTCAGTTTCACTTTGAATTTATGGGTGTAGATCCCATTACTCAGGAAATCCTAAGTTATTACCTGAGGATATTGCCTCTTTGCACATCTGTCTGTATTCTTCTGATGAGTAAATGTTGAATATTTTCATTTTATATTCCATTTCTCTGAACCTCTTTTTACATCTACATTTACAACATTTTCTCTGCATTCTTGTGCTATATCTGATCCATTTCACTAATTATCTCTTTAGCTGTATCTATATCATCTGTTGAGCCTGTCCATGGACTTTCAATTAGTATGTATTTCATTTCTGCAAATTTGCTTTTTGTTCTTGTTCAACTCTGTTTAGTCAACTTTTATAGCCTCTTGACCTTTCCTCATATTTTCAGTCTCTTCTTTCATTCACTTAAAAATAATATGCCTATTAATTTTATATTCTCTTAATATTGTCAGGCATTTCCTATTTGATTCTGTATTTTGTTTTTTCCAAGTCTCACCCATGCAGGCTTGTATTTTTCTGTGTTTAATGAATTTGGTTGAGTTTATGTTCTTTAGAACTTTGTCCATGAGAATTTCTCAAGGCAGATGTTTATAGAGTTCTCCTTCTAGGAGAATATGGATTTGCTTCTGCTGAAAGCCTTGATGTACTACCCAGGACCACTTTAAAATGATCTGGGGAGTGAGGTGTTATGGGTTACCCCAGAGGGTCAACTTAAGTCCCGTCCATGTAAATCTGTGCCTGTGGTGGGGAATACCCAAAGGAGATCATTTTTCTTTTCTGTCACACTTAGCCAAAACCCCAACTGCTAACTCTTCTATAGGACAGGATTTTTGTTTTTTGTTTTTTTGTTTTTCTATTTCAGAGCAGCCCTGCTGGGGCTTCAGCTTCACACCAGTTCCCTTTCCCCCCCCTTTTTTTTTTTTTGAGATGGAGTCTCGCTCTGTTGCCCCAGCTGGAGTGCAGTGGTGTGATCTCAGCTCACTGCAAGCACCTCCTCCCAGGTTCACGCCATTCTCCTGCCTCAGCCTCCCAAGCAGCTGGGACTACAGGCGCCTGCCACCATGCCCGGCCAATTCTTCGTGTATTTAGTAGAGATGGGGTTTCACTGTGTTAGCCAGGATGGTCTTGATCTCCTGACCTTGTAATCTACCCGCCTTGGCCTCCCAAAGTGCTGGGATTACAGGCATGAGCCGCCGCGCCCAGCCACCAGTTCCCTTTTTTATCCTCCTATCCTACAAAGCCCCTAGGCTTTGTCTTCTTTCCCCCATGGGTCTGGCTCAAGGCCACTAGGAGTAGTAGATGCCCTCAGGGCAATGGCCCTTCAGTTTTAGCTTACCTGTGTGGAATCATACTGTCTTCTTGCCTTTTTTCCTACTCAGACATGTTTTACAAGAGATGTTTAATATATTCTCCAGCATTTTCAGGTGTTTTATATAGGAATTAATTTCTTTTCCCATCTAGTATAGGAATGGATAAGCCAAATGCTTTTGTATTTACCTATTTACAATAGGTATGCTTTTATTCTTCTCAAAAAGGATAAAGCTATTTGACCGTTTAAAAATACAATGTGACATGATGGAAAGAAGATGGGATTTGGAATTAGAAGACTCTGCATTACCATTTACTCACTTTATATCCTCTGGGACCCAATTTTCTGGTCTATAAAGTGGAAATATAATCTTTGTTCTAACCACCTCAGGATGTATTATAAGAAAAATAAAATAATTTGTCTCTCTGAATATAATAAATAATCAAGTACTCTATAAATGTATAGTATTGTTTTTAATAAATGATGCTAAGGATAAACATTACAGGTACCTAATACCAAAGGATTTTTAAAAAAGGTGATGAATACAAATTTTTTTAAGATATTGCTTGTATTTCCCTTTTGCTTGATGCCAACAAAATAAAACATTAGATCTGAGAGTTTTTTCCTTTTTTTTTTTGTACAGGGAGTCTTGCTCTGTTGCCCAGGCTGGAGTGCAGTGGCGCAATCTCAGCTCACCACAACCTCTGCCTCCCAGGTTCAAGTAATTCTCCTGCCTCAGCCTCCCAAGTAGCTGGGATTACAGGCACCACCACCATGCCCAGCTAATTTTTGTATTTTTAATAGAGACAGGGTTTTGCCATGTTGGCCAGGCTGGTCTCTAACTCCTGACCTCAGGTGATCCTCCCTCCTCAGCCTCCCAAAGTGCTGGGATTACAGGCATGAGCCACTGCACCTGGCCAGATCTGAGAGCTTTTATGGTCACCCTAGCTTGACTTAAGTCAGTATAATGAATAACAGCTTAGTATACCTACTGAGATTGCAGTCAGATATGTTGGCCTTGGATATTGTGTATATGTGTTTGTTGTGTATCTCTGTTTGGCACCATATATGTGTATATTGTGTATCTCTGTTTGGCACCATCAGTGAAACCCGTGGTGGTGATTCCTTTTTGGCATGTCTGAATTACTGGCCTATTCTTGTAGTTCTTTTGTGTGTTGGTAGCTTGTTTCATATGAGTCAGTGGGTCTGTCTTATAGGATGTCTGAGAAATTGAATGTATTTGCCTCCTTGTTACATCATCACTGAAGTCTCAGGGTTGGAAAGGACCTTAGGTCATCTAGTTGGTCTAATTCCTACACCTACTCTAGCTCAACACTTGATCCCCCTCCTGTGTACCGGTCCAGTGGTTATCTAATTTAGGTTTGCTTTCCTTCAGTGAAAAGGAAACTACCTTACTGTTTTTTGAAACAGTGGAGTCTACTTAACTGTTTGATCATTTCTTTTTCTGGATCCAAATGTCTCCCCTTTAACTGTTATCCACTGTTTCCCATCCTGCCCTTGGACCTCAGACACAAGGCTGAACAACCTCCACAGATATTTAAATATTTGAAGGCAAATATCATGTTGTCATTTGATTTTTTTTAACGTAAAGAAAAATCTCAAATTCCTACAGTTCCTTATAAAACCTATTTTTGAGTTGTCTCACTTCCTGTTTAGCATAAAATGTGTCCAGCATGGGCTTAGCTCATTAACTCATTTAATCCTCACATCAGTCCTAATTGGGTAGATGCTACAATTATCCCCCACATTACAGATAAGAAAGCTAGACCTTCCAGAGGCTGAGAAAATTGCTCGAAGCTACATTGCTAGTAAGGAACAGAGCTGGAATTCAAACTGTGTTTCTCCCTGACTCCAGAAACTAGACCTCAATCGCCTTTACTATTTGCCTCTATTCCTTCTTAAGATTTTTCCTTCAAGTTACTACCCAGATGTGATATTCCAGGTGTGGACTCACCAAGTAGAATAGAGTGGAGCTTTCAGCCCTTGCCATCTGAAAGGTTATCTGAAAACAAGCAGCCAACAGACCTCCTATGGCTTCTTATAGTATCTGTAGCTTTTATTTAAAATTTTCAAATTAATAACCAATGTTTGGGAAAAGTGGAGATGTTACATAGAAATCCAGATTTCCAGCTTCTCTGGAAAAAAAAACAAAACAAAAAACCATTGGCCATCGTTCCTGAAAAGCAACAATCACCAGGGGCTGAGCAGCTGCTCCGTCTAAAGATAGGGCAGGCATTCACCAGTTACGTTGTGTCTTCTTGACTTACTCCCTACATTTATAGACCCTGTAGCCATCTGAGGCCATGAACCCAGCACTTAGGTATCATGTTTTATGTGTGTAACTTGAAGACACATTGGCTCTCTGGGCTGCCACATCACTATTATTTTGAGTTGGTGGTCATGAGCCTCTAAAATTGCTTTCTAAGTATGCTGCTAAGATAAGCTTCCATCTCCTATGCTTATATGATAGGCTTTGTGCATCAGTAAATGTAGAGGTGGGTTTTTTCCCATCTATCTCATTAAATTTTGTTTGGTTACATCCACCCATCTTTTCTGCTACTTAAAATTTTATGTCTTTTTATATCCTGATTTAGTTATCCGCCATATTAGTTATTAGTCTTAAGCTTAGGTGCACTACAAATAACAGAAAATCCAAGTAATACTGACTTAAACCCAGTAGAAGCTTCCCTCTCATGAAAATGAAGCATAGAATTTTACTCTCCAGGGTTATTCCAGCAGCTTTGTGATGTTCGATGACCCAAGCTTTTCTTAATGTTCTTCCTCCTCTATCTTCAAGGCACATTCTAGGGGCTGCTCAAGCTGCCCCCTGGGACTAGTAAGAAGTCACATGTTAACATTGTCACACTTGCCTTTTGTCAGCACCTAGACCAGCACTGAGCTACAAAGGAGGCTGGAAGATGCTGATTTTTTTCAAGATGTCCATGTGCCTAGGTAAAGATGTGCTCTATTGAAGAAAGATATTGCGTGAGCACTAGCAGCCCTGTCTCCAGTTTTTTGTCATCTATAAATATGATGGTGGTGGCATCGATGTGTTACTAATTAAAAGCATGACAATAGGCCTGAGAGCAGAACTCTATGACATGTTGCTGTAGATTTGCCTTCAGGTATCTTGAGTAAAGTAGAACGAAAGTAAGAGTTTGACAAGAAGACAAAAAATATTCTGGGTATAATTTGGTAAATATTCCAAGATTAGAGAAAGACAAATTAGATTATGGGAGTATCCTGTACTGTTTCTTCTAATAGGGGCACTCCCAGTGGTCTTCTGTACCTTCACACGATTACAAGGAGTTTCTTCATTATGAATTGGGTAGATATCTACACAGTAGGCTTCACACTGCCAAAATTAGGTCAGAAATGCAGTGAGTTATTAGAAAATTAGTAGGTCTTTTCTACTTGTAAGTCCCCAGGACACTTTTCCTTGATCATGTTTGTTTTCTTGACACAAGTCGTAAGTTTTCGGTCACTTTTATTTTCCTTTTAGAGCTGTTCCTACCGTCTTTCTTGCTCAGGATTCTTCCCCCTCCCCCCAGTTGGCTGGGAATCCAAGACCCCTCTCCTCTGCCCCTCTAAACAACAAGTACCCATGCCCTTAACTAAGGTTAAACCAGAGTCGCTGGTCCATAGTTTCTGACTCTTTCAGAGGCAATAGTAGTAGGAATCCTACCTATTATCTCTTGATTTGACGTATTCCTAGAGGCAGACAGAGCCCACCAAATCCCATGGTGGAAGAGCTCATTACCCACTCCTGCTGTCTGCCTGCTATGTCAGATTTATCTGTCTTGAGGTTTCTGGAGTCCAACCTAGGCAACACAAGAAGTAGCAACTAGCTTTTCTTCCTTTGCATTTCTGAGGGCCTCTGGGCCATAGAACACCTCACTGGACATTGCCTTCCTAGAGACCAATCTTCAAAGAGGTTAGGTCGGCAAGAAAATTCATCTGAGTGTTTCCTAGAGACTTTGTTAGCAATTATGTAAAATACTAGAAGCTGAGGTCTGGTTTTCTCCCTTGTGTCTCAGAGAATTATGGAGTATGTTGTTGGAAGAGTTTTCATCCCTAAGAAAACATATACATCTAGCCCGGAAGGTGAAAACTGTGGTTCTGGACATGTAAGTGTGTTTTACTGCTGACCGGTGTAGAAGCCTAGTAAGGATTTATATATTCTTATACTCTCTTGCCCCCATTTCTCCCCGTTCTACCTTCCTCCCCTCTCTTCCTCTACTCTCTTTTCAAGTGTGTGTGTGTGTGTGTGTGTGTGTGTGTAAAAGCAAAGTGTTTCTACACTTTATATTTCTGAGGTGATATTACAGCAATTCTTGACAACTGCAGAGTTGCCAAATTTGCAGGTAACCAACATTTAAAAAAAGACGTAGTTGAATTTCCCGTTGAATTGCTTTCCTTTATTTTACTTTTTAAATGCAATGCCTACCAAGCAAATTTCTTCTAAGGTTTTATCAGTATTATAAGATAAGAAAGGACATTAAGTTGTCATGCTAATATCTAATATAACTTACACAAACAGGTTCAGGTTCTTTCAAGCCCAGTTTCTCCTTCAAGTTGGCTTTAACCTCCCCCAAATTCTGATCATTCTGATAACCTAATCGTTTTATCTGTCATCTTTTCCTTTCATGGAGTAAGAAGAAGAAATCAGGAGACTGGATCGCTCAGATGAGTTTCAGGACACAGTGTATATGCCGGGGGGCCGAGAGTGGGAACAGCTACTGTACAATAAATGCCTGCTATGTGGTAGGCACGTTATGGACATTAGGTAGCATATTTGATCCTTACAATTCACTGAAAATGAAAAGTAGTTTTTGACATCTCAGTTTATATATGACCAAATGGAGGCTCAGAAAGTTTAATTAATTTGTCTATAGTTTACTCATCTAGTAAGTGACAAAGATGATATGAAAACCTACTCTGGTGGACTTCAGAGCTCATCTTCCTTCCACTAAAGCACACTGCTCTGTAAAGGGCAGGCACATGTCCTCAAATGAAGGGACATTGCCCGCCACTGCTGGGACTCGCTAGAGGATGCCTTGATTACCAGACTGAGGAATTCAGAATTGATCCTGTAAGCACGTACTTTTTCCTGTTAATAAAAAAAAAAGTCCATGAAACAGTGTTACAAAAGATGTAACTACCCTCATTACAGACACATTCTTCCAGTCCAACTTATGTTGGGTGAGGAATTTTTTCCCAATGCAAATCACTGACCCACAGTAAAAAAATTAATCAAGGGCTATATGGAAGAAAAATAGCGCATTGTGATTTTAAAAGTAAACATAAACGCTTGAATGATCTTAAAAATGAGAGCAGGACCTATAAAACATTACTTATTAGCTACTGTACAACCAGCATTTCAAAAAAGATGTGATTTCATTATGTTGAAAGTTAAAAGAAATGGGGGAAAAAGAGAAAGAAAAGGTAGATAGAAAGAGAAGTGAAAGAAGTCATTAGAGATGTAAGGTGAAAGTAGGTAATTAGCCCCATAGAGTAGGATAAAGGAGAGGCTGGATAAAGATGGAGAGGGAAAGGAGGAGGTACAAAGGAGTAGTAGAAAAATATGCACATGGAAAATGCAGTATATATACACCATGGAATATTATGCAGTCATAAAAACCATGGTCATGTCTTTTGCAGAAACATGGATGAAGCTGGAGGATGTCATCCTTACTGAACTAATTCAGGAACAGAAAACTAAATACTGCATGTTCTAACTTATAAGTGCGAGCTAAATGATAAGAACTTATGAACGCAAGGCAACAACAGACAACTGGCGTCTACTTGAGGGGGAGGGTGGGAGGAAGGAGAGGAGCAGAAAAGATAACTATTGAGCACTGAGCTTAATACCTGGTTGATGTAATAATATGTACAACAAACCCCCATGACACATGTTTATCTATGTAAAAAACTTTCACATGTACCTCCAAGCCTAAAATAAAAAATTTTTAATAAAAATAAAAAGCAATAGCTAGAAAGCAAATAAAACCTTTGAATTTTATTAACGCCAAAAAAAGAGGAAAATATGCACATACAGAGAAGAGAGAAAGAAAAGGAAAGGTTTCCTGAAGTACCACTCCTTGGCCTCCTGTTCAGCTGGGCTGTTGATTTTGTATTATTGTAACAAGGAAGTGTCAATTCTATTTAAAATAAATATGGTAGTTTATTTCTATAAACCAGGATAAAGAGCATAATTTCAACTCTGGCTATCTAGTATAGGTATCTGTCTTCAATACCTGAAGAATTCTGTGTTTTAGTGGGGCATCAAAGAGGGGGCATTAACATTAAATAAATATTATAGATGTATACAGATCTGATTTAGCAGTTTAATATAAGCCTTTATTTACTAAACCAGGAAGTAAGATTATTTGCATATAGTTCATCTGTAGTACTAATTAAGTTGATGTCAATACACTGCTTTTGTACATACCCTCTACTAATTAAAAGCAAGCTGGCCTTATCAATAACAGAATACTGAACAAAATTCAAATTAAAGCAAAAGCATTAATAGGGATAAAGTCAGATATTATTATTAACAGGGGTATTCCACTAAGAAGATGCTCCAATCATGATTGTGCTATACCTACATGGTAGATCTTAAACAAAAAAAGAAAACCTAGTAGACTCACTATGAAACTTTTAGAAATCTATACTTATAGTAGGAGATGTTAGCACACCTTCATCAGAGATAAATAGATCAAGCAAAGTAAATCATTTGAAGGATGCAGAAAATTTGAACAACATATTTACTAATTTTATGTATAGAGAGAGCATGGGGTAAGCAAGGTGGCAAGGTAGGTTTCTTCTCCCACCCCTTGGCAATTGGTTGCCCTTTCTGTTTGTCCTGCTTGCCACTGGCACCTAGAAGGGTGTGTGTGTGTGTGTGTGTGTGTGTGTGTGTGTGTGTGTGTAACTCTTCTCACTTATCGTTTAAGCTCCATTAGCATTAAGCTTTATTGACTCTTCAAACTCTTCCTATTAAATATATCTTCCCTCCTTCTCTTTCATCTCCTCCCACTGAAATGGCATTAGACTAGGCCAATACTAGAATTTTTAAAAATGATTTTTCTTCTTAACTTCTTTCCTCTAGTGTCTTATACTCTGATTACAAAATCACCTTGCTTAAGAATCTAACATGATTTCTCATTACACCTTTTAGTCTGGTCATATATGAATTCCAATACTTGTCTCACCATAGGTGTCTGTTCCAGTTACTTTTGTTGTATAAACAACTGCCCCAGAACCTAAGTGCCATAAAACAACCAATTTTTTATGCTCACAGATTCTGTGGGTCAGGAATTTGGACAGAGCATAGTGGGGAGGACTTATCTTTGATCCCCAGTATCTGGGATCTTAGAGAATACTCAAGAGCTTGGGATGATTTGATGGCTGGGGCAGTCTGGCACCATCTTCACTCACATGTCAGGCAGTTGGTGCTGACTCTCCACAGAGACCTCATCTGGGATGTTGATTGGAGCACCTCTATGTGGCCTCTCTGTATTGTCTGTCCACCTGGCTAGTTTGGAATTCCTTAGAGCATGGTGGCTACGCCCCTGATATGGTTTGGTTGTGTCCCCACCCAAATCTCATCTTGAATTGTAGCTCCCATAATGCCCACATGTCGTGGGAGGGACCTGGTGGGAGTTAATTGATCATCGGGGCCAGTTTTTCCCATGCTGTTCTCATGAGAGTGAGTAAGTCTCACCAGATCTCATGGCTTTATAAAGGGCAGTTCCCCTGTACATGCTGTCTTGCCTGCCGCCATGTAAGACATGCCTTTGCTCCTCCTTCACCTTCCATCATGACTGTGAGGCCTTTCCAGCCATGTGAAACTGTGAGTCCATTAAACCTCTTTTTCTTTATAAATTACCCAGTCTCGGGTATTTCTTCATAGCAGTATGAAAATAGGCTAATACAGCCCCAAGGATGAGCATAATGAGACAGCAAGCTATTTTTATGGTCTAACCCTCAGAAGTTACAGAACATCACTTTGCCATATTATATTGGCAAAGGAAGTCACAAAGTTCTGCTCAGTCAGGTGGAAAGAGAGGGCTGTAGACCTCTCCTCTTTATGGGAAGAATGTCTTTGTCACATTATAAGGAATGTCTTTGTCACATCCTTATACATGAAGGATGTATAAGATGGGAGATACTGTGATGACATTTGTCAAATACAATCTACCACACTGTCCAACCCAAATTTTGACAAAGTGAATCTTTATTTCACCATCATTTCACCTCTTTGTTCTCCAGGCTTATTCCTAAGTATACACTCTAGTTCATGTGACCTCTGTACTAGAATTGTCTGTGAGATGCTTCTCTGCTGATCAGAAGCCTGCGCGTCCTTTAGGACCAATTCAGTTCTCAGGCATTTGAGAGCAGACTTGCTGGGGGAAAAAAGTGTTTTTCGTTATTTTGAAGGTCCATTTTGTTTCCATGGTTGACATAATTTAATACTGTTAGAGTTAAAATAGTTATTGACATTATTTTTGAAATATTGTATTCCTAGTATTTACCTTGGTTTTGAATTAATCTATTTTCTCTGCAGATTTCCTCTTTTAAAAAGGGTAAAACTCTTTATTTGGTTTTGTTTCCTGAGAAAAAGTTATATCCTATATATTCGTCATCTTTCAGAATATATAGCTTGAACAGATATTTTGGAATATATAATATTGCTACAAATCCGGGTGAATTATAAGAAAATGTTTTCAGTTATTTGGGAAAATGTAATAGTACTCAAGGTCGTGGAAACGGTTATCTGCTAAGCTGATATTGTCATTAAAATGATGAACATTCAAGAGTACTGAATAGTATTTGTTTGTCATTTATTTCTGGTTTGTGCCTAGGAATGAAATGGGTGTATTCTATTTGAATATGCATTCTACTTAAATTTAAATATCATGATTCAAATTAGGGACAGTATTACCCACATCACATTAAACTATTTATTAAGAAATAGAAATTAGGTGTATATGTACAGACATAGGATTGGGAGGCAGGGGTATAAAATCTGTTAACTTGATTTTCTTTTACATTTCCAAAGAGCATAATTTTAATCTTTATTCAGTCTCCATTTATGCATATTTTAGTAAAGCTTTATTCAGTTGCCTTTGTAGTTTCCATAGATGCCCAGAAAGGAATCTGAGTCATGTGAGGGATTTGAACCACGTAGCTTTGTGCATATTCCTATGAATCGTGTGTACACATTCTGCCACTCTGACCAGTGGGCTTTACAACCAACGTTGTGGCCATTCTCAGAGGTTTTTTTTTTGCCTTTGGGGAAAAAAAGAAGGGAAAAATGGACTGTCTTCCTGTGACATCAGTTTCCTACTGATCAGGGTCCTCATTTTGCCCTTCACACTCACGTCTTTTTATGATGCTGTGTCTTAGTTTGGTTCAACACCTCCTGTGACTTCAGCTTTATAATTTCCAAACAAGGTAAAGCCAGCATTCCTTACTAAAACCAACACCACCAACATGTAAATCAAACCTGTAGATAGTTCTGAGTAGAAAAGGAAGAGGAGGAGGGCAAGAGAAAAAAGGGCTTAATTTGAGATTGTGGTGTTGAGCCTAAAGAATTTCCAGTGAGAGTCATTCAAATTATTTTTTGAGTATGGTTATTGATGATGTTTTTCCTGTTAGGGGAAAAAAGTGGTTATCTAAAAATCCTATTTCCTAGTTATACAAATGCAAAAGAATTGGCTCTGTGTGCTTTTTGAGTTTCTGGGAAATCGCCCTATGGTTGGAGGGGGAAATTATGTAGTACTATTATTTGGTTCCCCATCTGTGATGAGCCATTCTGGCAGTTCATTTGGAGTATGCCTTTCATGGCAGTGTCTTAAAAGTCAGAAAACATAGGATACATTTGTTTTTGGATAATATAATTAAACATCTTCAGGGGGTCTAAAAAGGTTTGAAAACAAAAAGAAAGTGGTATATTATTATATTTACTATACATATATTTTTCAGATTACCTATTGTACCTGCTGTTTTAAATGTAGAGTCCCTTCATCTGAAGATGGAAGAAGAAATATATTGGGCATGATACTTATAAGTGTAGCTAACATACTATGTAAAAAATAATTTCCTTTGGGAGGCCGAGGCGGGCGGATCACGAGGTCAGGAGATCGAGACCATCCCGGCTAAAACGGTGAAACCCCGTCTCTACTAAAAATACAAAAAATTAGCCGGGCGTAGTGGCGGGCGCCTGTAGTCCCAGCTACTCGGGAGGCTGAGGCAGGAGAATGGCGTGAACCTGGGAGGCGGAGCTTGCAGTGAGCCGAGATCCCGCCACTGCACTCCAGCCTGGGCGACAGAGCGAGACTCCGTCTCAAAAAAAAAATAAAAAATAAAAAAAATAATTTCATCCTGTATTTCTTGACCCTGCTATATTAGGCTATGTTTCTTCTTCCTGCTCTGAGGTAGAAAGGCAGGATTAGGAGCACATTGAGGGCTGAGGACTGTCATAAAATCATTTGTCTCAGGAAATGAAGACCAGAACAGTCAGGAAATGCAAGGAAAACCAGTAATGGTGCATATAACTATTGAACAGGAACTGAATTGAATCCCTCAGTCACCTTGTGCATTGGTTTCAAAATTACGTTGTTGTTTCCAGGAAACAAGGTCCGTAACGTTTATAGCCGTGACGCAGGAATCACTATTTAATCCCTCAGTTATTATGTATGTTGCCTTTAGGCTTTTTTCCAAAGAAGAATAAGCCTTCAGGGAATTTGGCCAATAATATGTATAACTACTTTGGATTATTTTAGTCCCTTTTCTCTGAAGAGTTCAGAACAGCAGAGAAACTCAGAGCTCAAATTATTGCACTGCAGTGGTGCCTCTTGCCCATGTGTTGTGACTGTGCAATTAACGTAAATGGCCAAACTGAAGCAAGCTTTTGGGAAGCCGACTGCGTTTGCTTTCTTTGATACAAACACGTAATTATACTTTGACAGTGAAACAGTATTGAATGCAGAGTGACCATAAAGTTCTGAGAGCCCTAGGGCATAAGTGGAACAGTTTACGGTTTTGAAAATTAAACTGAATTCTCCACAGGGTATAAACAAAACAGCAAACCTTTTCTATTCCGTTGATATTGAATGAGGGTGTGTGCAGGCACTGTTGAAGGAATCAGAGTAAGTTGTTCTTTAAACATACATGAAAAGTGTCTATCTCTAAAGGAATAACTTAAAAATCTATCAGTTAATTCTCTAAGTAGGTACACACACGCGTACTTACATACACACATTAAAGAATAGTTCAATTATTATTTCTCTGTTCTAAAATATTGTGGACCTCACAGACCTCTATTTTGTCTTTGCCTATATTTTTATATTCCTTTAACCAGTATTCAGGGTTTTTCACCAATAATTTTTGGAAGATAAAAATGCAACTGTTTTAATAGGGAAATTTTGTAAATGTAAAGCTGCCAAACATGAAACACATGAAATCCCACCCATGCTGAGATTTGGTTTGCAGTGCTGTTTTCTTGCCCCTGTCCGATGGAAGCACTGGTCTTTAGGTTCTTCCATTTTGGAGAGTATGAGTTTCTTTTTGCCTCATTTATTTCCTGCTCTCTATCAGTAGCATAAGAAGCTCTCTTCTGTGTTTTCTTTGCTTAGAGTGAGTTGCTTGGCAGATGAAGTTAAGATGGAGCACTGAGAAGGCATGGGAAACAGAAAATTTACCTAGCTTAAAGTAACAGTTCAACTAACATCTAAAGGCCATTTATTTCAATGACTGATAGGGTTTTTTGTAAAATAAAATTGTCCCAATGCAGACATGTCCTTAGCCCTGGACTTCTTTTCAGAAATTTGAGCAGTACTGATATTATGGCAGTAATGGATGCTTGCATCTGACAGTGACTGTCCATCCATACTGGCCACTTATCCAAAAGTAACATTTTAGAAGTCGTGCTGCTCTGCAATGGTGACAACCGCATTGGACATGTGATCCGGTAAACAGGTCACTCCACCCAGAGCCGTACCTGCAGGTCTCGTTTGGCGATCAGACTTCTCACATTCGGCCCACCGGCTGTTCCTTCCTTGTGGTAGCCCCCTGCTTCTGGAATTCCTACTGATTTCCTGCCTCAGCCTCACTGTACCTTTGCCTCTACTGGTGCCTTCCCTGGGGGACATGTGCAGCTCCAGAATCCTAATATCTCCAATTACTGTCATTCTGTCTTGAGGACTGATTCTAAAGCTCCATAGAGCTAAGCTTAGATGGTGACAGCTGACACATTTTCCCCTTGCCCTTTCTCACACAAATCTAATTAATATCCTCATAGGCTTGTTTAGAGACAGAAAAGAACAAAAAACATGCAACTTCAGCTAAGCAGTTGATTTTTCACAGGAATGGACTTCTTCTAGGAGACGTTGTTGAAAGGGGATATATTTGAGAAAAATAAGGAATATGAAATGAAACTAATTAAGAAATTAGAAGACATGTTTTAAGCACTCACATCACTGTATCTTGACAATGACGAGAGAAAATTTAAACTGATTATAGCAGCCAGTATTAGATTGGGTGAGGAAGACACAGTGACTAGAATGCAGACAGGTGATTGCAAATTGGATGATGAACCAGAGGTTTTGTTTCGTATTTGTCATTGTAAAAAATACAAACAAAATAGTAATAGACTGGATGAGAAATTAGTGTAGGAAAAGGAGAATAGATGAATTTCAGAGATTACAAAAAGAAGAGGCAGTGGGATTTTGTGAATGATTATGGAGAGATTGATTTTGCAGCTGCAGGTAAATCTTCCTGTCACAGCTGACTACTCTGGCTTCCCTAGGAAGAGGTTTTCTTTCAAGAGCAAGTACTTTTTACTTTTTTGTTTGTTCAAATACTAAGTATGTCTTTTTTGAATTAGGATTTTTTTTTTCCACTTTTCAGTGTAATGCACACTGGCTCTTGGAGAATAGTGCCTGTCTTACAATTTTAAACAACGTTTATGGAGTCCTGACTATGCTTTCTGTGCTTTATTTCACATGGTCATCGTAGCAATGCTGTGAACTCCTTACTGCTTTTACTGCCATTTACTTATAAGAGAACTGAACCTCAGGAGGGTTAGCAATTTGCCCCAAGTCCCACAGACGTTCTGGCTCCAGGGCCTGGAGTTCGGCCTGCTACCACACAGTGTTAGGACATAAATGCCAGACATGAAATCTGTCTATAACAGTTCTGCTAGGAGGTGTTACTAGCCCCATTTTTCAGATGAGGAAACTTCATGAAGTAAATAAGTGGTAGGATTTAAAGTCAGGTCTGTCTGACCTCCCTCCAAATCATTCTTCCATTGCTGTCTGTAGTGCTCAGCCAGTGTTGGCTTAATAAAGCAACAGCAGCTGCTCACAGTTTTACAGTACTCACCTTGTGCAAGGCACTATTGTAAGCACCTTACATATTATTTTTTACATGAGGAAATTGAAGCTCAGAGAGGCTAAGTAACTCGCCCAGGGTCACATAACTATGAAGGGATGGAACTGGAATTTGGGCCCAGGCAGTCTTACTCTACCAATTGATCACTATATATTCTTCTCAAAGAAAGAAAATGAGTGAAAGCAAAAATAAAAAAGGAAAAAAAGCAGTGTTTAGCCTTCTTAGGAGTTTTAATGGCCTACTATTGTTCAGAATGAAGCAATGTTTAATTTGATCATTTAAAATCTGATAGGGTTTGTCAAATGCAGGTAACTGGGGTTGGAGAAGCAGAAAGCCAACATTCTTAGCCAAAAGACCTGACCTCTTCAAGCAGTCCTCACACTAAGAATGCATCACAGCAGCTAAATACTCCTTATCACTTTTTTCCAGTGAATTGGGCATATCTCTTCATGCATTGTCTTCATTAGAACTTGGCAGAACTGATTATGATGATGAAACAATATAGTTCTTCTGTAAATAGCACAATCCAACCCAATGCTGTCACTGTGAGCTTGCTGAGATATTTTGCATTTAAAGTGGAAAAAGGCTTTCTTATAAACATATATATGTGTATATATATGTGTGTGTATATATATGTATATATATGTGTATATATGTATGTGTATATATATGTATGTGTATATATGTGTGTATATATATATGTATGTATGTATGTGTGTGTGTGTGTGTATATATATATATATATATATATATTTTTTTTTTTTTTTTTTTTGAGACGGAGTTTCGCTCTGTCGCCCAGGCTGGAGTGCAGTGGCACGATCTCGGCTCACTGCAAGCTCCACCGCCTGGGTTCACGCCGTTCTCCTGCCTCAGCCTCCTGAGTAGCTGGGACTACAGGTGCCTGCCACCGCGCCCGGCTAATTTTTTTTTTTGTTTGTATTTTTAGTAGAGACGGGGTTTCACCATGTTGGCCAGGATGGTCTATCTCCTGACTTCGTGATCTGCCCACCTTGACCTCCCAAAGTGCTGGGATTACAGGCGTGATTATGAACATATCTTTAATCTTCAACTCTTTTTTAAAAAAACTAACACAGACTCCTCTGATTTTGAAAGCAAGCCTGGTAATAGATTAACATGGGATACAGTGAAATCTTCCTTCCCTTGCAAAACAGAGAAGCATGTAAATGGAGCCCCACTCCTCCCCCAGTACACCGTTTCAAAATTGCTCAGTCTTCTGAGATTTTAAGAAGAGGGGAAGAGAGAAAAAGGATTGCAGTTGCTTTTATTCATTGAAGTCCCTGTTGGCCTAGGGCATCCCTGTCACCATTCACAATTTACCCCATTCACTGAGGGAATGGTTAAGTACAGGCATCTCTTGGTTGCACTGGGTCTCATTTTGGACAAGGATAAATTCCCAGAGAATTAATTTATGCCATCATTTTTAGAGCATGATGACATTTTATTTAAAAAAATTTAGAGCAGACTGCTCTGCTTCCCTTGGGACTCTTAGGTTTCAAGAAAAAAAAAATGATTCTTTTTCTTTCCAGGTCAAAATCTCAGAGATTAATACAGGCAACAGCTGCTGCATTTTTGCTTTGTTTTGTTTGAATGCTACTGCAAGAAAACATCAAAGCCTTCATAATTTACATTAGAGAAACAACCATAATGGGCAGAAAAGCAGGACAAAACCCCGAACAAAGGCCATCCCTGGCATAGGCCTCCAGAGCCTCAGAAGTGGCCTGATAATCTGCCTTCAGCATGGGCACAGGGCCAGGATAGCAAAACCTTTGGAGGTGCAGAATCCTGATTTGTTTGTAGTCAGAACCCTAGGCTGGTTGGTCACTTAACCAGGTAGAGGAAACATAAGGAAAAGAAGGCTGGAATCTCCCTCAAGTTATAAACAATGGTAGAATTTAGTGAAATGGTGGAATGTGGGCTCTGTTCTTGCTTCCACAGCCAGGAGGAGCCCACTTCATCTCTCCCTTCTCTCTTTTAATTTGCAAACAAATTTTTTAACATTTATTTTTTATCTCACATATAATTAAATTTATTTTTTGTACAGGCCGATGAGTTTTCATAAGAGTTACATAGCACCATCACAAGCAAGATACAGAACAGTTCCATCAGCCCCAAAATGCTTTTGTGCTGCCCGTTTGCAGTCACATATGTAGCCTTTTGCATCTGGCTTCTTCTACTTAACATAATATATTTGATATTCATCCATGTTGTATCAACAGTTCACTCCGGAGTAGTATTTTTCTGTATGGATGTGCCATAGTTTGTGTATTCATTCACTCATTGAAACTATTTGTTGATTCCACTTTGGGGCCATTATATGTAAAGCTGCTGTAAACATTTGTGTAGAGGGTCTTGTGTGAACATGTTTTCATTGCTCTTGGGTCTGCTCTCATTTTGAGTGGGTATAACACATTGATTTCTATCCCCCTTTTTTACTTCTTCTCCCCCAATATGATAGAAGGAGGTGTAGTGAGTAGAGCTGAAAAGTGCCACAACCCTAAACCAGGTGACTTTTTCAGGATCATGACCAGCCACTTCTCAAGCTTAACCCTTGAAACTTACATTTTAGGATTTGGGAGGCAAGAATAGCAATTCCATTGATATCAAGTGCCTGGAATGGGGATAGAATCAAAGCTGCCCTGCAAACAGGATCGTCTAGACCATGCGAGAAACTGCCCTTCACTAGCATAGGAATATATTAAATATTTTAAAATGAATACAATTTAAATGAAAAAAACTAAACTATTTAGTATTTACTATTTGAAACATTTTTGTGAATAATATTTGCATTGTATAGGCAATGTGTTTTTATTCAGAGACAAGTAAAGGTCTCAAAAGGGCTGGTTATGTCAGTTTGATAGAATTTTCAAAGATGGTCAGGAATGACCATCTTTTATAAGGGAGGTCAGGAATGGAGGAAAATCAGGATCTACCCACAAAGGTGCTGAAATTTAACAGGTAAGTATGTGCAGGAGGAATACTAGATGAAGAACAGTAAAAAGCTCAGTTTGAAGGCTTGACATTATACTTGAGCCTTACATTATTCTGAGACACTGGGGAGCCAGGCCCACAGTGGCTGGTTAAATCAGATCATATTTGCATGTGCTTCAGAACCTGTGGCCTGATCTTCCACTCCAGATCAAGGAAGAGGTTACAGGCAACTGTTTTCAGAGAGGATGAAAAGGAAAACTGAATATCCTGATCTAGTTGTTTATTATTTTTTAAAAAGCAATTTAATTTAGAAATGGGAAATATGCCTAACTCAAGGGTAGTAGAGAGGCAAAATGAATTTGGAGCAAATGACAAATGGAGAAGGGCATTAGAACAAAGCATGCAAGGTCTGGAAGATACTGGAAATGATTTTTCCTGTACATGTCATCTTTTAGAAAATATTTTTATGCAGTTTTAGAAAACTTCACAGAAATCTTTAGAGTTGTTCCTGTTTGCAGTGTTATAAAAGATATGTAATGTTTTAATGTATATTATGTCCCTATACATTTTTATTGAAATTATTGACTGGATAGTATGATCACTTATCTATCAGATCTTTAAAAATATGTTTTGAGAGAAAATTGTCTTCATTTATTTTTATTTTATTTCACTAGTTTTGGGAGAACAGGTGGTTTTTGGTTATATCAAGTTCTTTAATGGTGATTTCTGAGACTTTGGTGCACCTGTCACCTGAGCAGTGTACACTGTACCCAATGTGTAGTCTTTTATCCCTCACCCCACTGAGAAAATTATCTTCTGCTAGAGATTTTCCCAGCAAACCTCACTTAAGAAAAATTAATAAAGAATGACACAGCAATTTTAGTAAGTACAAGAAATGGAAATATTTTGAGAAACTAAATGGAAAAAATTTAAGTCCTATTTCAGTTTTAATTAGCTGCAACTCAAATGATGTAGAAAAACAGTATTTCAGAAGCTGCAGTGAATATAAAAATTGTGTTAAAAGAAAAGAAACTAGAGAGATTTTCTAAGTAATTTATGATAAATAATTCAGGGGAAAATATAGCAATATTCTGAATTTTGATTAATAGACTGGGATTAGAGGCTATAATTCTAATTAGTAAACATAACAATGGATATCAGTGCTACCCTCAAATTTTTAACTACTATTGCTACATTTTGAAAGTTACTTCCAGATAGGCTTTCCTTAATTGGCCAACTTTGGTGTAGACCAAGGGTCAGCAAAGTATGGACCTGCCTGAGGACCAAATCTGGCTGTTTTTGTGAATAACGTTTTACTGGAACACAGCCACACCCATTTGTTTAAGTATCGCCTATAGCTGCTTTCGCATTACAGTGCAGAGTTGAATAGTTGCAACAGATAATATGGTCCATGAAGCCTAAAATACATATCTTCTGATTCTTAAAAAAACACTTGCCCATTCCTCCCTGCTCTAGAGTCAGCTCTGAAACCGGCTTCCCTTAGTTGGGTGACTTTGGTCTGTATTCAGTTCCTCAGACCAAGATCTTGATTGCATTGAAGGAGATTGAATCACACTAACAAAACTCACGGGACAGTATATTTAAGACAAAAGAGTTCCACTTTATTAATTTATAGTCAGAAATGTAGCTCCCAAGGGAAATAGAATATGTAATGTGCTGGTTAGGGAGTAGTTTCCATTCACATGGTATTTAGAAGGTGGTTTGGTGTGCAAGGTCAGTGCAAGAGGTTAACTGGATAAACCTAATGGCTAGAGTCTTGGTTGCCATCATATGCTAGTTTGCTCTCAGATCCGTCGCTTGCCCTTTTCTTGTATCACAAACAGCATTACAGTCCCTCTTGCCAGCTGATTTCTGGGAAGGTTTGGCAATGAGAGGCACTGATGCAACATAGTGGTAGAGGAGAAGCCTGAGAGCTGTATCCTGCTTTGGGTGGCATCTCTGGAGTGGTTATGCCTGCCTTTTTTGGTCTAGATCCCACAGACCAGTCCTAGCCTCTGGGCTTTAGTACCATACCCCTTCCTTTTATTACTCTAGTCCTCTAGGGGTGGTAGAACCTCCTACTGATGCTAATCCCTAGGTTGCCTTCATCTCCTCTGTTTGGTTTTTCAGTTTTTTTCTTGTGAACCAATTTTCTTTGTTTGAAGTATTATTGTGGTTTCTATTTTTAGTTATGACCCAGACTGAGACAGGCATCAAGCTTTCTGTCAAGAAGAATTCTGGAATCACTCTTTCCCATTCTGACTGTGGTCAGAATTCCCCTTTATCTAGTGGCCAGGCATATCTGTCCTGTCTTATTAACACTCCGTGGTAATGCTACACAACCAACAGGGCCAGACTTGTGTGTCCATCATTGTGGTTGTGAATTGCATGGCACTGAAACTTGATTCTCTGCTCGCAGGATATTGCTTAATATCAGCCACTTCTGTGACTGAAAGATTTTATTCATTATATATTTTTTAAAAGAATCTGCTCTCAAAAGTTCAAGATTCATAATTACATTAAATTCTACCATGGTCCATATATATTGGTTATACCTTCCTCCATTGCCTTCAAACTACCAAATTCTTCTGCTGGCCCAGAAGTCCAGGATGGGGGAGTCTCAGGAACAGTCCTCTACCTCAGGAATCACCCCCTTGCTTGGCTTCCCCACCTCATGCTGCAGCCCTCTGAACTGAATGCAACATCTGGCTCCACTCCCCGCTCCCCAGTCCATTCCCCAGACCCTTTTCCTTCCCTCTCTACCTGGACAGTTATCTTTATCCCTTGCGTTTTAGGTAAGACTTAATTTTCTGTCATCTCCACCCTTCCTTATAGCTAGGATTGTAGAGATGACCAAGCCCAGCTGGTCAGACATAAAAACAGGAATTACATTGAATTTAAATTTTAAAATTATACTTGCCTGCCATTTTTCCCTAGACTTCCCCCCCCGAGCTTGATATTGTATTAATTGCTGGCCACCTTAGGTCAGTGTAGCAATTCAGGAAATAAATTTGAAGAGCAGTAATAATAAGTATTGTGAGTAGTAAGTAATAGCGAATGACATAGTCCTTCCTCTTTCCAGAGTCCTCTTCGCCTGTGTTACTATCTCATTTTATTTTGCATCCCCCATGAAATGGAAGCGGGGAGATTATTGCCACTATAAAAATTTAAATACTGAGGCACAGGGATCTCAGAAAGCAGATAAGAGTTGATCTGTGATATTTTACTCTGGGGATGAGGCCTGTGCTGAAACCTTTGTTTTGGATTGGAAACATGGGTTAGGAAGAAAGCAAAGGAGATAATGCCCGGTATCTGTGGCTTACCCCTTGTGTGCCTATCTCTGGGATAGTCACTGCCATTTTCCTTGACCCTTCGCAGAAAACTGATGAAAGACTGGCTGTAGCCATGAAGAGTCCTTTCCCCTTCATCCAAGCCTATTTCCACTTCTTCCATTGCTCCTTTTTACTTCTGTCTTCTACTTGGTACCATGTCCCTGGCTCACCTGATGTAGCTGGGATTAACATGATGGCTGATCAGGCCGTGGTGCCGTGACTAAATATGATGCCCTGAGGGATCACAGATAATGGAACTTGTGTGGGTACTTCCTCTAGTGATGGTTTACCTATCAAGCAAGGTAGATGACATTGACAAACTATAGCTGACAAATATAGCATGAGGTGGGAATTTCCAGTGTAGAAAGCATAGTGATTCAAAAGAATATAAAATAATTGTTTTTAAATATGGAAGCCTTTTTTGTTTTGAGACTTTGATTCTGGGAGGTGATTTAGCTAATTCAAGAAGCCAGACTGAATATGATGCTATTCTGTTAATAAATTATAGTGGTGCATCAAGTACAAATAAGACTGAGAACTGAAATTACTTTTCATAGGGATGGTAAATTCAATGTGCACTTTTCACATCTACCTGTCTATGTTATAATTCACAATTTTCAAATATTTATACAAAAAGTTTTTAAAGATGTAATTATATTTGTGATTGCCTTTTTGTATACTACTTGATGCTGTGAGGATGTTTACACTCTTATATCACTTGCTACTATACAATTAGAATGTTCCATAACAGCAACCTAGAAAAGATGAGATAAATTTTAAATACATGTGTGAATCTTCCTTTCCTTTTTTCCTTTTGTCCCACTGAAAACACACATGCCCAAACCACAAAACACAATGGGCATTAGAATCTTTTTCATCATTCTGTACTCTGTACGTCTCTACTATCCTATGGCCACCTATAATAACTCTGCAAAGAACTTCAGCCACAGTCAAAGTTTATGGTAATGCAGTTTCTGTTTTTCAGAAGTGGTCAGTGGGTAGAAGATTGGTTAGTGGTCACAAAATTTCATCCTTTCGTTTTACCTGGCTCTTTCATAATATAAAACACTTAACCTGTTGCAATAGTTCTTGTGATGCTGTTGCATGGTTGTAGGTGGAAAGGCCCTCAGTGCTCATGCACTGGAATTTTGCTGCTCACAGTGTGTTTGTTCATGCAGCAGCAGATCATTATCCACACTCTGGGATCTTGTTTAGCACGCAAATCTGAGGCCCCAGACCTAGTGCATCAGAATCTGCATTTTAACAAGTTTCCAGGGTGATTGATATGCACAATTAAGTTTAAATAGTACTGCCCTAGAAATTGCTTGAAAATATGGCAGAATCTCACATCTGCACTTGATTCTTTTTCCCCCACAAAGAATAAAAAATAAATGTTACCAGGACTTGACAATGCCAGCCTTGGCATTATAGCTTTTGGTCTTTGGGACTGTACAAATGCAGTGCTGTCAAGATTTTCTGAATACCTTTATTCTGAAGGAATAAGAGCTCCCATCATTATCTCTTTTGATTCTGTCTGTGCTTCCCAAAAGTGTGTAGGTAGCTCTGTTACCCATAAAATTATCCCAGTGCCTCTTAACATATGTCCTTTCAAGAGTCATAGGATGTTGTATTTTCATTGGAGAATGTAATCACACTCAGAAACCACGTATTTAGATTTGTACCATATTTTAAATTAATTACACTCCAGGCCAAAATGTTTCACGTTTTTTCCAGCAACAAATTTCCTCCTTTGCTCCCTCCCTCAATCCCTCCCTGCTTGTTTTTATTTTCTTCCTATTTCCTTTTTTCTTGTTGATAATGCAAAAGTATTTGAGGTCTTCAGCTCTTAAAAATTAAACTGGAAATACTACCCAATTTTCTTATTCCATTTTTTTTTAATTATACTTTAAGTTTTAGGGTACATGTGCACATTGTGCAGGTTAGTTACATATGTATACATGTGCCATGCCGGTGCGCTGCACCCACCAACTCGTCATCTAGCATTAGGTATATCTCCCAATGCTATCCCTCCCCCCTCCCCCCACCCCACCACAGTCCCCAGAGTGTGATATTCCCCTTCCTGTGCCCATGTGATCTCATTGTTCAGTTCCCACCTATGAGTGAGAATATGCGGTGTTTGGTTTTTTGTTCTTGCAATAGTTTACTGAGAATGATGATTTCCAATTTCATCCATGTCCCTACAAAGGACATGAACTCATCATTTTTTATGGCTGCATAGTATTCCATGGTGTATATGTGCCACATTTTCTTAATCCAGTCTATCATTGTTGGACATTTGGGTTGGTTCCAAGTCTTTGCTATTGTGAATAGTGCTGCAATAAATATACGTGTGCATGAGTCTTTATAGCAGCATGATTTATAGTCATTTGGGTATATACCCAGTAATGGGATGGCTGGGTCAAATGGTATTTCTAGTTCAAGATCCCTGAGGAATCACCACACTGACTTCCACAATGGTTGAACTAGTTTACAGTCCCACCAACAGTGTAAAAGTGTTCCTATTTCTCCACATCCTCTCCAGCACCTGTTGTTTCCTGACTTTTTAATGATTGCCATTCTAGCTGGTGTGAGATGGTATCTCATTGTGGTTTTGATTTGCATTTCTCTGATGCCCAGTGATGGTGAGCATTTTTTCATGTGTTTTTTGGCTGCATAAATGTCTTCTTTTGACAAGTGTCTGTTCATGTCCTTCGCCCACTTTTTGATGGGGTTGTTTGTTTTTTTCTTGTAAATTTGTTTGAGTTCATTGTAGATTCTGGATATTAGCCCTTTGTCAGATGAGTAGGTTGCGAAAATTTTCTCCCATTTTGTAGGTTGCCTGTTCACTCTGATGGTAGTTTCTTTTGCTGTGCAGAAGCTCTTTAGTTTAATTAGATCCCATTTGTCAATTTTGGCTTTTGTTGCCATTGCTTTTGGTGTTTTAGACATGAAGTCCTTGCCCATGCCTATGTCCTGAATGGTAATGCCTAGGTTTTCTTCTAAGGTTTTTATGGTTTTAGGTCTAATGTTTAAATCTTTAATCCATTTTGAATTGATTTTTGTATAAGGTGTAAGGAAGGGATCCAGTTTCAGCTTTCTACATATGTCTAGCCAGTTTTCCCAGCACCATTTATTAAATAGGGAATCCTTTCCCCATTGCTTGTTTTTCTCAGGTTTGTCAAAGATCAGATAGTTGTAGGTATGTGGCAGAGCAGAACTGAAGGAAATAGAGACACAAAAAACCCTTCAAAAAATCAATGAATCCAGGAGCTGGTTTTTTTGAAAGGATCAACAAAATTGATAGACCGCTAGCAAGACTAATAAAGAAAAAAAGAGAGAAGAATCAAATAGACACAATAAAAAATGATAAAGGGGATATCACCACCGATCCCACAAATACAAACTACCATCAGAGAATACTACAAACACCTCTACGCAAATAAACTAGAAAATCTAGAAGAAATGGATACATTCCTCGACACATACAGTCTCCCAAGACTAAACCAGGAAGAAGTTGAATCTCTGAATAGACCAATAACAGGAGCTGAAATTGTGGCAATAATCAATAGTTTACCAACCAAAAAGAGTCCAGGACCAGATGGATTCACAGCCGAATTCTACCAGAAGTACAAGGAGGAACTGGTACCATTCCTTCTGAAACTATTCCAATCAATAGAAAAAGAGGGAATCCTCCCTAACTCATTTTATGAGGCCAGCATCATTCTGATAGCAAAGCCGGGCAGAGACACAACCAAAAAAGAGAATTTTAGACCAATATCCTTGATGAACATTGATGCAAAAATCCTCAATAAAATACTGGCAAACCGAATCCAGCAGCACATCAAAAAGCTTATCCACCATGATCAAGTGGGCTTCATCCCTGGGATGCAAGGCTGGTTCAATATACGCAAATCAATAAATGTAATCCAGCATATAAACAGAGCCAAAGACAAAAACCATATGATTATCTCAATAGATGCAGAAAAAGCCTTTGACAAAATTCAACAACCCTTCATGCTAAAAACTCTCAATAAATTAGGTATTGATGGGACGTATTTCAAAATAATAAGAGCTATCTATGACAAACCCACAGCCAATATCATACTGAATGGGCAAAAACTGGAAGCATTCCCTTTGAAAACTGGCACAAGACAGGGATGCCCTCTCTCACCACTCCTATTCAACATAGTGTTGGAAGTTCTGGCCAGGGCAATTAGGCAGGAGAAGGAAATAAATGGTATTCAATTAGGAAAAGAGGAAGTCAAATTGTCCCTGTTTGCAGATGACATGATTGTATATCTAGAAAACCCCATTGTCTCAGCCCAAAATCTCCTTAAGCTGATAAGCAACTTCAGCAAAGTCTCAGGATACAAAATCAATGTACAAAAATCACAAGCATTCTTATATACCAACAACAGACAAACAGAGAGCCAAATCATGAGTGAACTCCCATTCACAATTGCTTCAAAGAGAATAAAATACCTAGGAATCCAACTTACAAGGGACGTGAAGGACCTCTTCAAGGAGAACTACAAACCACTGCTCAAGGAAACAAAAGAGGATAAAAACAAATGGAAGAACATTCCATGCTCATGGGTAGGAAGAATCAATACCGTGAAAATGGCCATACTGCCCAAGGTAATTTATAGATTCAATGCCATCCCCATCAAGCTACCAATGACTTTCTTCACAGAATTGGAAAAAACTACTTTAAAGTTCATATGGAACCAAAAAAGAGCCCGCATCACCATGTCAATCCTAAGCCAAAAGAACAAAGCTGGAGGCATCACACTACCTGACTTCAAACTATACTACAAGGCTACAGTAACCAAAACAGCATGGTACTGGTACCAAAACAGAGATATAGATGAATGGAACAGAACAGAGCCCTCTTATTCCATTTTTAAAAGACCATAAAATTTACCAGTAATAACCTGGGAACTACTTTTTTCTTGTTTGATCAACATCAGTGCTAAAACTTGCTATATAATTTGAGTGATAGGAGCCACTTTAGTTCACTGAGAAGAATGTATCTTGGCTGGACATGGTGGCTCATGCCTGTAATCCCAGCACTTTGGGAGGCCAAGGCGGGCAGATCACATGAGGTTAGGTGTTCAAGAGCAGCCTGTCCCACATGGTGAACCCCATCTCTACTAAAAATACCAAAATTAGCTGGGCATGGTGACGCATACTTGGAGTCCCAGCTACTCAGGAGACTGAGGCACAAGAATTGCTTGAACCTGGGAGGCAGAGGTTGCAGTGAGCCAAAATCATGCCACTGCACTCCAGCCTGGGTGACTGAGTGACTCTGTCTCAAAAAAAAAAAAAAGTATCTTGACTCTGTTCCAGTGGTAGAAAAGATATTTTATACATGATTTGTTTTCAATAGAAATACTTAATTTTCACCTGTATCCATGTATGATTGCAAAACCCTTCTATTTGCCTTCTTCTCTGGGCTTTTTGACATGTATGTTTCCTATCTTGACATAAAAAGTCTTTATGAGAAATTATCCTCTTTGAACTCAAAAATAGGAATCATAGTGGAAAGCTCTAAAAGACCACCTTTTAGTAATTTATAGTCATATCCTTTGGCAAATAACCAAATAATTATGAGGTGGTATTGATTGGTCGAGAAAACCAATGTAGATCATTAGGAACAAAGATTTTTCTTCCTCAACAATAGGAGATGATATGCCCTAAATGTTATCAAAGTACCCCATCTCTGATCATATAAGACAGACACTAAATGCTTGGCCTAGAACTCTCTGGTTCTTTCATATTGGGCTGATTGTTTCTGCTATGTAGGCATATCCAGCCACAGACTTTCATTTGATGAGTCCAAGGAATACCCTGGCAACTCATTGCAGGAGCTACAATTAAGCTGATCTGTTTGGACTCTATTAACCCAGAGTTTGTGGACTTCTTTTCCTGCTGATTTGCACTTTCTCTGCTTTCTCTCTGAAGAAAAATTTGACTTAGCAATAGCTTAAGGATGATTTCACATTCTTGCAAAATGGTAGTTTTTTAGATAAGTTCAATTACTCTATATACATGTTTTCTAACAACAGATTATCTATTCTTAAAGCAATTGCACATAAAAACTGAATTAGGCATGCCTTGATGTATTTGCAAGTACAGTCCTGTGCCATATAACATTTTGGTAATGATGGACCACATATATGACAGTGGTCCCATAAGATTATAATACCCTATTTTAATTGTACCTTTTCTGTATTTAGATGTGTTTAGATACACAGATAACATTGTGTTATAATTGGCTACATTATTCAGTATAGTAACATGTTATACAGGTTGGTAGTCTAGGAGCAATACGGCATACCACATAGCCTAGGAGTGTAGTAGGCTGTACCATCTAGGTTTGTATAAGTACATTTTATGATGTTTGCACAACAACAAAGTCAACTAATGACACATTTCTCAAAATATAGCCCTGTTAAGTGACGCATGACTGTAATTAATCTGAAGTTATTTAAAAACATACATGGTATATTTTCAGTACATATTACTAATAATTCAGACTTTATATTAATTTACGTCAGTAGTCAACCAAACAGGCTACATTATTTGTTTTGTGCTTTTGTGTATCTTTAGTGTTTGGGGAAAATATGCTTTGCAAAAAAATTTGTAGAAATATCGTCAGCTTATTTCATAGCAGAATGCTTACTAAGGTACTATAGCTCTTTGCTTAGAAAATTGTAGAACATGTATATTATTGATATACATAACTCATTTAATATCAAGACAGATTTGTATTTGTGTTTAAAAGTTATTAGAAGTGTAAACTCACTGAAAAATTATATAAGGTGGCATCATCATTTTTTAAGATTAGGCTTCAGTGTCTAATTTCTGTTTGCTTATTTGTTCACAGTACAATGATCTCTTTTGACACCATCCCTGTTGAAACATTGCTACCCTTGCAAAAAATGAGCTAATCTTACAGATGATGGAGATATATGCTTCTCATATTTAAAGTATAATTGATAGTGTGAAAATTACTGAGGAATGGTTTTTTTTTTTTCGCACATATACTGAACAAATGATAGCTTTTAACAATTGCACCCTGTTCTAATGTTCTTGCATCCAGAGGGGAAGGGTCATAAGGAAAAAGAATTTAACAGTGGGAGGAGGAAGTTTTTGCTGATTCATCCCTCTCCAAATGGAACACACTGGGATCAGATGAGTCAAATAGTGTTGAGGGCGAAGGGTTAGAAGACAAGTAGAATGAAAGGTCCGGGGATGTGAACCACCCATGCACAGAGAATGCCTGCAGTGTGTTACCTCAACAGGAGCAGCTTCAGGAAAGAAGCCTTTTCTGATTTTACTGCATAAAGAGAGAGGATTCCAGCTGATTTCAACATCAAAATAGAGATAGATATGCTGATTCCACATCATCTCTATTTGGGGGATCATATGAACCTTCCATGAGTGTGTGGGTAGACAGAGGTCATCCAAGCGGAGGGAGTCGGCATTTAGTAGACCGAGAAAGGTGAATGTTAATATCATACCCCACTGGTCTTGAGGACATCAAGGTCAGTTTTTCCTCATGACCAGAAATATTTATTATTATTAAGGACTGGACTCAGTAACTTAAAAATTACGATGAATTTCAATGAATTTCTTCCTAGCACATATACAGCTCATCTTACTACCTTCTAAAATTCGCCTTTCTTAGGTTTACAGAGACTACGCAATGTAAAAAAAAAATTACAAATAAATAAAATTTGCCTTTCATTAGGAGCTACCTCTTAAGTTAACTAAGCAGTTACCCCTGGTATAGAACACTTGAAATATATTACAAATAGGAGGATTTTTTTCCCTATATTTTGTAAACTCTTTCTAATAGTTTCATATAAATTTTTTAGTAGAGTCAGAAACATTCAGAAATCAATAATCTCAGAAAATTCCTTCATATTGTACATTTCTCTCTGTCACTTTTCTTCCCTATCCCTGCCTCTCACGCACAGATAGCATGTTTGTGGCCAAATCTTAGATAGTAACCCAGGACGTAAGGGTTAATTGCTGATTGTAGACAAGCAAGCTGATCTGGAGACATCAAGCCCTATGGCATGCTTAGAACTTATTTAAGAATTGTCAGGGCCAGGTGTGGTGGCTCATGTCTGTAATCCCAGCACTTTGGGAGGCCGAGGTGGGCAGATCACCTGAGGTCAGGAGATCAAGATCAGCCTGACCAACATGGAGAAACCCCATCTCTACTAAAAATACAAAATTAGCCAGGCGTAGTAGCACATGCCTGTGATCCCAGCTACTTGGGAGGCTGAGGCAGGAGAATCGCTTGAACCTAGGAGGCAGAGGTTGCAGTGAGCGGAGATCGTGCCATTGCACTCCAGCCTGGGTAACAAGAGTGAAACTCCGTCTCAAAAACAAACAAACAAACAAAAATTGTCAGGCTGTTCAGTGTGTAGCTTATAAAGCTACATCGTAGTGTCAAACCCTCTGCCTTGCCTTTAATTCAACAAATAGCGCTTGAAGGGGTACTACCTCTCCCTTCAGTGATACCTACTCCCCTCCCTTTTCTGCCCATCACCAAGTTACCATTTTGTTTTTGTCTTTTATTTTGCTGTGGTTTTTAATATGAGTACAGTGTAAACATAATTATCTTTATATTTTTTAATTTTTTGTTGTTGTTGTTAGAGATGGTGCTGTGCTGTCCAGGCTGGAGTGCAGTGGCTGTTTACAGGTGTGATCATAGAGCATTACAACCTCAAACTTCTAAGCTCAAGTGATCCTCCTGCCTCAGCTTCCCAAGTAGCTGGAACTACAGGAATGCACAACTATGCCTGGTGATTAGCTTTATTGTAATGGAGAAAAGCCAAGCGGTGTTCAAGGCATTCTAGACAAAACCATTGACCTCATAATATTTACAAACTATAGGCCAAAGCGGAAACATACACAGACAATAATGGTTAAGATTTTCCAAGCGCCTGTCATATACCAGGCAGAGTAGTGTACGTTTTCTTACGGAGTCCACGACGTTCAGATCTCACCTTTGCCATTTACTAGCTTTGTGGCCTTGGTTTTGTCAGATGTAAAATGGGAAAATTAGTAGCACTTAATTCATAAGGTTGTTGCAAGCACTGTATTAGTTAAGCAAATGTTTAATATATGTTTTATAATTATTAAGTAGAACTTTTAAAGTAAAAAGGAAAAATAAAGAAATGTTGAAAGGCTTTGGTTTAACTAGGAGGCCGTTTTTTAACTTTCATTAAATCTGTTTATGAAGCCATCAGTCCTTTTTTTTTTTTTTTTTGTAGAACTTTTTGTCGTTGATTCATTACAAAATGGTTCTTATAGTTTAATAAGCAGGAGAGGCTAAGGCCAAAACCTTTGGCTAGAATAAAGGGTCTGACTACTGGTTATATAACTTTTGTAATTATAAACCCTACAACTGTCACCAACACACACATAACCTGCATACAAATGCACAGACACACACACATACGGGCACACACATGAAACTGTGAGAATCTGTAAAATCTGCAAAGGATTTTTGTATCCCGAGAGTCTAGCATAATAATTTGTGCGTAGTATGTTCTAAATAATTAGTTGGTTCCTACTGATAGACCCAGTTTTGTCTGGTCCTTCTTGAAAAGCTATAATAAAACAACGTCCACCCCCATCCAGCCCTTTCCCAGGTGGCTACTGGAAATGTAAGGTGGCACAATGTTTCAGAAAAACAATTTGCTTATTTTTATCAAGAATCTTTTTTAAAGGTCCATATAATTTGTCCTACTAATTTAACTTCTGAGACTGTATCATAAGGAAATAGTAGCTTTACCATAAAGATATTTATGTCTGTATCTGCTTATTCAAAAAGAAAAATTTTGGCATAACCTAAATGGCTGTAAGAACAGAAAGGAAGATAATTAAGTAAACCTTGGATGCTTCACTAAATTTGGAAATCCATGTCCTTTTGGAAGGGAATTCCTTCAACTTTGAAATTTTGTTTATTTATATCATTGAGATAACATCTGCTTAATTCAGATCCTTCTGTGAGAAGGTAAGATATGCTATAAATAAAAAAGTTGCTAAACGCATTTCATATTTATAGTATAAGTTCATAAATTGTTAAAATTGTCTTTAAAAAGATTCTTTAAACAACAAATATTATGTCATCTGAAAAAGGAATACAAAATCGTCTACAAAGTAGAATCTCATCTATCTAAACAATGCATAGGAACAAGATCAACTGGCTAGATGTCATGTTGTTCAAAGATGCTGCTCAGCCATAAAAAAGAATAAAATCATGTCCTTTGCATCAACATGGATGCCATCATCCTAAGCAAATTTACACAGGAACAGAAAACCGAATACCACACATTCTCACTTATAAGTGGGAGCTAAGCACTGGGTGCACATGACCATGAGGATGGGAACAGTGGACACTGGGGCCTACTAGAGGGCGGAGAAAGGGAGGGGGACAAGGGCTGGAGGACTGCCTGTTGGGTACGGTGCTCATTGCCTGGGTGACAGGATCATTCATACCCCAAATCTCAGCATAATACAATATACCTATGTGACAAACCTGCACATGTATTACCAGAATCTAAAATGCACGTTGAAATTATAAAATTAAGAATATAAGATAATGTGATAAACAACAATAAGAAAAGAACAAATCCCTGCCTAGGAATCTTATGCAGAAGCTCTTGATAAGGATATTTTCATATTCTGCAAGCTTAAAGCGTTCAGAGAACACTATTGTGTATTAAACTATCTTGTATATGTAAAGGAAAAAAAAACAAAGGTGCTGCCTCTAAGTGGTAAGATTATGAGTGATATTTTTTCCTTCTAGATGCTTTATATGCATGTAGACCTTTCAGACTTGCTACTGTATGTGCGTGTGTGTGTGTAGACATACATATATATACACATACATATATATACATATACATACCTATATATGAGAGATATATATAAGATGCATGTTTATCTTTATATCATGTATAATACAGACATGTATAATACAGACATAAAACAAAGAGAATTTTACGCAAAGACTCAGAAGGAAGAGTAATAATTTCATGCATTGAAGAAACAGATTTGAATATAGTGTTTCTTCCACATCTTATGTTACCTGAGCATAATGGATATAATTTCCTTGTTTTAGTTTTAATAAGGTTATTTCTCTGCTGTAGTATGAAAGTGTGTCTCCTAAGTCTTCAAACTGTATGAAATCAAAAGATAACTCAGTTACAAGTTGTTTGGGAAAAGTATTTAGTGTACTTAAAACATTTCTACTTTAATTTTTGTGTCTCATAATTATCAGATTTATTCTCTTTCCTGAAATATTTTAATGGATTTTAAAATCGATGTACTTTTGGGAGGCGATTCCTTCAATTTTGAAATTTAGTTTATTTATGTCAGTTGAGGTAGGACCTACTTAATTCAGATCCTTTTGTGAATCGGTAGAATATGCTATAAGTTAAATCTGTCAATGACTCAAAGTCAGAGAGGATATTTTAAGTCTTATATTTTTATGAGTATATTATGTCTTAATTTTTTTGTGTGTAGTTGCTACTGTGCTCTTTAGGCAGAGTAAGTCTAAATTTGCAAGGCTTCCTTGGAAGCAAAGATAAGAATTTGACATTTTTCTTTGATATGCTTGTAACTAATTTTCTCTGAGAAAAGTCAGATGTCTCTTGCAGTGAGTATGGTGGCATTTTCCCACTTATGTGTATTGTGTTAATTTCTCCCATCTTTTAGAAGAGCAATATTGCATATTGTTTATTGTAGGCCATACTGGGTTAAATAGTGCATACCACTAGTCTGATTATTTTCAAGAATTGTTTCTGTTGCTATCACATAAATAGAAGCTAATATTTAGCGTTAGTTGATGAGTTCTGCTTCCAAGCATTCCTTTTTTAAAGAGTATATTTTATTTATCTCCAATGTGTGAACAAATAGCTCAGAATTGCTTTCTGAAATGGTATGGAAAGAATAATGAAGCCTCCATGCAGTCATAAAAAATGAAAATTTAGGCTAGTATCTGCATGGAATCTTCTGCGAATGTACATCCATGCAGTACCAGGATATCAGAGATGATACAAAGCATTTTTTTTGCCTTGGGTTTTTAATATCTTTTTTTTTTACTTTTTTTTATTATTATACTTTAACTTCTGGGGTAGATGTGCAGAACGTGCAGTTTTGTTACATAGGTATACACGTGCCATGGTGGTTTGCTGCACCCATCAACCTATCACCTACATTAGGTATTTCTCCTAATACTGTCCCTTCCCTAGCCCCCGACCCCGCAAAAGGCCCCAGTGTGTGATGTTCCCCTCCCTGTGTCCATGTGTTCTTGTTGTTCAACTCCCACTTATGAGTGAGAACATGCAGTGTTTGATTTTCTGTTCTTGGGTTGTTTGCTTAGAATGATGGTTTCTGGCTTCATCCATGTCCCTGCAAAGGACATGAACTCATCATTTTTGTGGCTGCATAGTATTCCATGGTGTATATGTGCCACATTTTCTTTATCTAGTCTATGACTGATGGACATTTGGGTTGGTTCCAGGTCTTTGCTATTGTGGATAGTGCTGCAATAAACATGCATGGGCATGTGTCTTTATAGTAGGGGTTTTTCATATCTTTTTATAATTCACATTGGTAGATAATACAAATGTAAAGCTAAAAATGAATTAAAAACCTTTGTTTACATTTTACCCTGGATATCTATGTTTAATTTCAGATTTGACTATTTATCACATATTTGACTATTATCCACCATAACCCTTATTACACAGAATCTTGGAAGCCAAAATAAATTTTCTTTTATTTTCTTTTTTCTTTTTAGTTTTTTTAGGGACAGAGTCTTGCTCTGTCACCCAGGCTGGAATGCAGTGGCTCAGCCATGGCTCAGTGCAACCTCAACCTCCTGGGCTCAACCAGTCCTCCCGCCTGAACTTCCCAAGTATCTGGGACTGCAAATGCATGCTACTACGCCTGGCTAATTTTTAAATTTTTGTAGAGATGGAGGTCTCACTATGTTGCCCAGGCTGGTCTTGAACTCCTGGGCTCAAACACTCCTCCCTCCTTGGCCTCCCAGAGTGCTAGGATTACAGGCGTGAGCCACTGTGTCTGAACATAAATTTTATTTAATACTTTTGTTATAGCCACCTTTTTCAGTCATGAAGATGAATGTGTTTGCAATAAAACATGGACTTGTTTGAAATGAAATATCAGCTATTTAGAAATAATATTTGATGGCTGTAGAAGCTTCAATCAAATGTTTTTAAAGTCTAGATTTTTATTTCTTTTTTTATATTTCCATCACCTAATTCATTTGGAGATAGAATTTACCTCTTCACATAGCAAAGTATATATTTAGAGTTTTATAGTATATAAACTAGGTTCTGTTGTGAATTTTAATTTTAATCAAATAGTTCTCTGAAAACTTTTTTTAAATGGCTGAGAATATTAGAAACCAGAAATATAAACACTAAAGACTGTTAAAGTTTTCTGTTTTATTCTAAGGAGGGATTACTTAGATAGAAGGTTTCTTTTTTGTTATGAAATTCCTCAAATAGATTCTTTAAATCATACATTTTCAGGTAAATTGTCTCAACTTTCCCTGTTACTTTTTACAGCTAAAGCTAAATTTTTTTATTAGAATTCTTAATGATTAATTGATGATACTCAATACAAGGTTTTTAATGTTAGGAAAGAAATTACTGCAAAAAAAATAGAGAATTGCAACTGGATGAATTCTAAAAAAAAATGCAGGAAAATTGGACCCTGGAGCAAAACCATCAAACTTCTGATTCAAGCACACATTGTTTTAGATTTTAAAAAATGTATATGACTTTATGGTTGAAAGCAAATAGGCAAGAGAACATTCCATTTGATGACTGATTATAGGCAGTCAACTTTTTTTTAACCTAGTTTATTTAGACTGTGGATATGATGCAAAACCAAAATCATTGGAATGTGTATCTGGAAAAGACCAAAGAATGATAGAATTACAGTCAAGCAGACATAGCGATTCGACTAAACATACAGCCCATTGGCTGTGTTGTTGATGGCCAATAAAATCTCAGTGAGAAAAGGACTGCTGAGAAGGAATGGGTCCTGTAGGAAAGACTTTGGAGCCCATCTTTGGAGAAAGATCATGGATGTAAAGTAGAGAGAGCAGAAGAACAAACCACAGGATACAGGATAGGGGCAAAATATTGTCTCCTGTTGCTCTCAGTTTTGTGAAGAAACCTAAGCTGACATGACAGTCCTCTCCAAATGTTTAATGATCTTCCTCTGTTGTCTAAAACTGACCACTTAACTGGTAAGGGCCAGTTAACACAGTCATCCAGCCAACCACTTATTCATTTGTTGATTCATTCAACACAGTTTATCATGTGTCAACTCTGTTGCACTGGGACCTTATGTAAGGACACAATTGGTGCCTTCCAGACACTTTATCTAGTCGGGAGTGGTGGGGGCAACTATGGCAAATGGGAAAACCTAATGGTTAACATTTATTAAGTAAATGATTGTACAGCAAGCCCCATGCTAAATATTTTATCTATAACATCACACTTAATACTCATAACAATCCTTTGAAGTAGTTATTGGTGTTCCCCTATTTTGAAATGAGGAATTCGAGGGGTAGGACAGTATAATAATTGTCTAATGTGATATTGCTAGTAACAGATCAAGCCTGGACTGAGACACAGTACAGTCTGATTCAGCCCCATGCCCTGCCTACCACTACATGAAGGTGGAATATTCGGCAACTGTTACTAAACATGATTTCAGTGATTATGTATTGGCCAAAATATGTTCACAGAATATTTTGTGGGAAAAGGCAGACTAAAAATCAAAGGGTACACATATTCTCAATTTTAAAAAGCTACCAAAATTTTCAGTCCCTGGATAGGAAGATTAAGGGTAAGGGATTTTCTTCCTTCTCTGCTTCCTTTTTTCTTCTACCCCTCTTCTTCACCCTCCCCACTCCTCTTCATCCCTTTCTTTCTCCTCCCCTTCCACCCTTCTTTCTTTATGTATTTTCCAAATATTTATAATGTGTATATAGCAGTCTTATAATATGCAACATATTATTAAAGGTTTACTTTAATAACACAATTCCAATATATGAGGAAATAAAATAGATATTTAGTCATTTTAACAGGGATGTATCCATTTGGTATATCAAGATCAGAATAAAAATTGTGTATATGCATTTTATTGGTAATATATATTTTAAATTTTTATGCATGGATTTGCTTCATCTGGGAGTTCATAGCACCCTAGCCACAGTAGCTTGCTATTAATGCTAAAGGCTTATTATTTTAATTTTATTAAAGAGTAAGCAGTGTTGCATTTCATTAGGAGAAAACCTCTTTGAGTTATTATGTCCAACATAGTGAAGTTTAGTCTTTATGTCCACCACTTTCAGAGCACAAGGGCTTCTGCACATGGGGTTTGGTCTTATCGATGGGACAGGGTGTCAACAGTAGGGTGTTGGTCTCTTGCCGAGGTTTGCTATGTGTGAAGTAAAGAAGAGCAGATACCAGAATACAGGGGGTCCAGCAAAGAGACAGCTGATGCATGTCAAAGAGGTGAGAGGTTATCAGGAAACCAAGGAGGTCCACTGGGAGGCTAGTAGGGTATGTATTTCTCACTCATAAGTGGGAGCTAAGCTATGAGGATGCAAAGTCATAAGAGATATATAATGGACTTTGGGGACTCGGAGGGGAAGGTTGGGGAGGTGGGAGATGAAACTACTTATGGGGTACAGTGTACATTCTCGAGTGATGGGTGCACTAAAATCTCATAAATCACCACTAAAGAACTTATCTATGTAACCAAGAACAATCTGTACACCAAAAACTTAATTTTTTAAAAGAAGTAACACCATGAACCTTTTTGCTGATAGCTTTCTAAATCATACCTAAAAAATTTTAAATTGTTTTACAATTATATATAATAATAAAATTATGCACATAATTTTAATTATGTAAAATATAATTTAGATATAACCTATTACATAAATATAATTTTAAAAAATAAGAATTAACATTTATTGAATGTTACCATATGCCTGCCATATGCAAGGCACTGTTTTAAGTACTTACTATCCCAAAATCAATCTCAGAAGCTAAAATTGGGGTCAGTGGAGCCTGATGGTACACCAGTTTATGCTTCACAAGTTCTTATCAGATAGTTACCAATTTTTACCTCCATTTTATAGATGAGGAAACCAAAACACAGAGAGGTTAAATAATTTGCAAAGAACATGCAGCTAGTATTTGGATAGTCAAGGTTTGTCATAGCCCTTCATTCTTAAGTAACTACACTATTATCAATCATATATAATATTTTTAAAAAAACAGTTATGCATTTTAGATAGATTTTCTTCTTTCCTCAAGCCCTGGGCCCTGTTGACTGTAATCATCAAAGACTACAAGAATGAGGAGTAAGGGAAAAGAGAGGAAGCCAAGAGCCATTAATAAGCCGTGATTCTCTAACCTAGTCCTGAGACCAGGGCTCCCAGATGGGAAGGGGAAGAAGCTGAGAACAAGAGGCGTTTTTCCCTCACGCCTTCATGTCTTCAGCTACTGAGGAAAGAGCTGAGGATTAGGTGTAGGGGAGGAAAGGAATGCAGAGGCTATCTCTTCCTTCTTCTGTTGCATATTTTAGCAATGTGCTACAAAGGCCTCAAGCAGAGGAGAAAGGAGAGGAGGAACAACCTGAGACTCTAAAGTATAAAAAGACCATGGGTGATCCAGCAAAGACTGTCAGTGCTGAATATTCAACCATCTCTCCCACCAGCCCACACCCCTGCCCCTCACACCCTTCTCTTTTAAGGACCTTGGGCAGGTGTTTAAGTATTTTGAAATTTATGTTAATTGTAAAAATAGCTACTATTTTTAAAAATAGAGATGGGAGTCTCACTATGTTGCCCAGGCTGGATTTGAACTCCTGGGCTCTAGTGATCTTCCTGCCTCAGCCTCCGAAAGGGCTAGGGTTACAGATGTAAGCCACCATGCCCAGCCAAAATAGCTGGCATGTCTGTTTATATCTAGTTTATAGAAAATGTAATATGCAAAAACTTACAGTTTCTTAAAATTTGGTTAATAGAATGATTCTCGTCTTTATCAAGGACCATATATAACAGGATATCTTAAAATAGGAATATAATAAACTGCCTTTAAAATATGATTCAGTACAAAATAATTTATGCAAAATTTGGAGTCAACAGTTACCCTCTTGATGTAAAGAGAGGAACACCTAAATTATGTACTGCTCTGGCATGTTAATACCTAGACTCGTTTGTAGCCCATAGGTATTTAATAAATGCTGACATAACATGCACTCCACTATTTTCAAAGTGCACACCTGTGTGTGGGGTATATGAATAAAAGTTTCTGAAGTGTGAATTCTTTCATCATTTAAAAAATAAGCATGATTCCTGTATAGCTGGATTTTCTTTTTATCAGTTGTAGAAAATCCTCAGATATTATACTTCAAATATTGCCTCCCTTCCTTTCTATTTTATTTTTTCCTTTTAGGACTCTCATTAAATGTACATTAAACCTTCTCATCCCCTGTCCTCTGTATCTCTTAACCTCTTTTGCATATTTTCTATCTCCAGGTCTCTGTGCTGCATTCTGAGTAATTTCTCCTGATCCATCATTCAGTTTATTAAGTCTGTCTTTAACTGTGCTTAAATGGTTGCTTAATCCTTAGAGTTAATTTTACCCAATTTTAGCATTTGAGTGTCTGTTATGAGCAATTCTAACTGCTTTTAAGAAGCATGAGGCTTTTATTATTTCTTAGAGGTCTTCCAAAAAACAAAAAGAATTTACAAATTTTAAAGGAATAAAACTCATTCTCTCTTGAAACTATCATATGGTTGCACTGGATCATTTTATCACTTTGCTCTTCTATATAGATGACTTATAAAAATGACTTTAAAATATGAGCAATGAAAGGATCCACTGTGTCCAGATGATAAGCGGGGATGAGTATTTTTCCAGCCATACTCTGGATTAAGCCATCAATAGAGTATTTTTAATTTCAATAGCTATGTTTTTTTCTAAAGGTTTCCTATTTCAATCTTCTAACTTACTAACCAATCTTCATTTTACATTGCCTGTATGAACCTAGACTTTGTGATTATTCCCAAACCTTTCCATCTTTATCAAGACATACCACTATTCCTTCCAAACCACTTTTTATTACCAATTTCTGAGCTAAAAACTATAGCCAAAGTTGTTTCACTTTAATTGTGCTCCTCAATAATAACATTGACATTTCTTTATGTGTGTGAATTTTAAAGTAATGGCATTTTACAAAATGCTGCCAGTTTTTTAACCTCAATTTTGTTGTTTGTTATCACATTTGCTTTAGCAATTTCTCTGGTACTCTGTATGATTGTAGTTTCAATTCGATATGTGCACTCACCTCATCGTTTTATTAAATTAATACCTAATACAGTTCAGAGCCATGTCTTGCTCACATTTCTCAGTATTGGATAATTCTTGTTTATTAGATTTATAGGCCTGTAGATTCACTATCACAGCTCTCTTGGGCAATTTATCTGAAGAGAGAAGGTTGCTATTTATGTCTTTACCATCAGCACATTAACTTGTAAGAGGAATTGGGGGTGGGGGAAAGACATGACTTGACATTCAGTTTTACTCTAATTAAAAGGCCAATTCATAGCACCCTTGTGGGGTCATAGAGCATTTTTAGAACTGAAGTGTGATTTGGTATAAATCACACTCCAGGCTAAGTGTCTTTGGTGGTACGTCCAAAATTCCCCCAATTTTCTTATAATAGCATTATAACCCATTCATGTTCATGTTAATATATATGGGCTAAGGGAGAATAAAAAGTTAATATATTTGTCTTCTCATTCTCTTGAATTAATCTACAGGAAATAGTCGAACAACATTTAAACTTTGTGCAAAATGATGCATATTGTAGCATTTTCTGTGACAGAAGTGAATGAACATTACTTAATTTCCGATATTAAATTATGAGGCATCAACTTGATGAACTATTATGCAGACATTTAAGTACTAGCGATAACTATAGAAACCTAAGGCCATATTTTGATACATGGCAAGTGAACAAAATAGAAAATGCAATTGAATGCACTCAACGATTATAACTAGGCAAATCTGTAGACTTACGGACATAGATTAGACAAGAAAATATGAAAATAATAAGAATTGTGTTAGCTTTGGGAATTAAAGGTAATTTTATTCATTTGAAATATTTCACTTAGATGTTATTATGTGATTTTTTTACAGCAAATATGCAGTTTTTAGAAGGAGTGAAGAAAAAAAGTATAGCCAAATATAGGACATCTCAATTCTCTCACAGATCAGGTGCTTGCAGAGTTGTCATACTCCCTGGTGAGAGATTTTCAATGTGATAGTGAAAGGGACCATGTTTAAACCATATCTTTTGGAAAGAGAGAGAGCATTTTGAAGGGATAGCTTTAGCAGAGGAAATGAAGCTGGATCACTTATCTCGTTTTCTTTTTCATTTTTATCGTTGTTCACAGGTTTAATGTCTTCTCATGCCCAGCCCCTGAAGCTGATTTCACCATGCCCATATTCCCTTTCCTCAGGTATGCTTTAGCCTCTAAAATGCACGCTTCACTCAGTTTAATGACTTCCATGATATCTTCCTTAACTTTCTAATCAATTTTCTTTCCCCATTATATCTCCCAATTTAAATAACATTTCTTGTCTTCTTTTGAGCCCTGCCTAAATGCTTGTTTTCCTGAAGAAGCTACTCAGTGTGGCCTCATCCCACACTCTGTCCTGCCTTATAATCTATTATACCAACTCATATATCACTCCCTTCTCTTAATGATCCTAGTTTTTCTTATGATTTTGCTAATATCCATTTGAACATTTTTTTTAAATTTTGGTACATGTCCTTGGGTTGGTTTAATATACATTTACCCTGATTCTTCATTCTCATTTTATTGACAAGTGTAGGTACCTTGTACCTTCCTTTTCCTTGCCTATTTGCACAGTCCTCAGAGCAGTGATCTGTATCGAGTATGTATCAGGAAATATTGTCAATTGATTTAGAAGCTTTGATAGTTTTAAATGGAGAGATGCCAAGTGCTTATTTTCAGCGGAAAACTGATCGGGAAAGTGGTAACTTTTCAGCACTTACCGTGTGACTAGCAGTAATTTAAACACTTTTCATTTATCTTTAATTTATTCCTACCCACAACCTTATTAGGTGGGTGTGGTTATTATTACCCCATTTTTATAGTTAAGGAATCAAGGAACAGAGAGGCTAAGCAAGCCATGTACATGTCTGAGAGGGTATCCCAGACTCAAAAATGATCCACCAAATGGTGGAAATTGCCACAGGATTGTGGAAATATTTTATTTTATTTTAGTATTTCAAAACTTGGGAGATTTCAGATAAGCATGTGAGTTTTAGCTTTTCTTGAAAAATGGAGAAATCTGCCAACAATATGCTAGAGCTGAGTAGAATCTGTTCTTTTAGAGGGGAAATGCACTCCTCCCAGCACATCTCAGTTGGCTCATGTCACTTAAAATTTTTTGTACTATTTCATATTTAAAGATTTTGTTGTGACTGGGTGTGGTGGCTCACACTTATAATCCCAGCACTTTGGGAGGCCAAGGCAGGTGGATCACCTCAGGTCAGGAGTCCAAGACCAGCCTGGCCAACGTAGTGAAACCCCATCTCTACTAAAAATACAAAAATTAGCTGGGCATGGTGGCGCATGCCTATAGTCCTAGCTACTCAGGAAGCTGAGGCAGGAGAATTGTGTGAACCCAGGAGGTGGAGGTTGCAGTGAGCCAAGATCGCGCCACTGCACTCCAGCCTGGGTAACAGAGTGAGCCTCCATCTCAAAAAATAAAAGAATAAAAAATAAAAGGTTTTGTTGCTAATGTGAAATATTACGTATTTGGATGTTTATGACTGTTTAATATTTACAATGTTGAGGATTATGGGGAAAAGTTATTGTGAAATTCCAAATAGTTCAAGAATTTGAAGGTAATTGGTTCCTGGTGTGGTTTGGCTGTGTCCCCACCCAAATCTCGTCTTGAATTGTAACTCCTACAATTCTCATGTGTCATGGGAGGAAGTGGTGGGAGATGATTGGATTATGAGGGGTGGGTCTTTTCTGCACTGTTCTCATGATAGTGAATGAGTCTCATGAGATCTGATGGTTTTAAAAACGAGTTTCCCTGCAGAAGCTCTCTTTGCCTGCTACCATCCACTTAAGATGTGACTTAGTCCTCCTTGCCTTCCGCCATGATTGTGAGGACTCCCCAGCCACATGGAACTATAAGTCCGTTAAACCTCTTTTTCTTCCCAGCCTCAGGTATGTCTTTATCAGCAGCATGAAAATGGACTAATACCATAAATTGTGACTGGGACTAAGGCATTACTGAAAAGATACCCAAAAATGTGGAAGAAACTTTGAAACTGGGTAACAGGCAGAGATTGGAGCAGTTTGGAGGGCTCAGAAGAAGACAGGAAAATGTGGGAAAGTTTGGAACTTCCTAGAAACCTGTTGAATGGCTTTGACCAAAATGCCGATAATGATATGAACAATGAAATCCAGGCTGAGGTGGTCCCAGATGGAGATGAGAAACTTGTTGAGAACTGGAGCAAAGGTGCCTCTTGTTAATTTTTAGCAAAGAGACTGGCAGCATTTTGCGCCTGCCCTAGAGACTTGTGGAACTTTGAACTTGACAGAGATGATTTAGGGTATCTGGCAGAAGAAATTTCTAAGCAGCAAAGCATTCAAGAGATGACTTGGGTGCTATTAAGGCAGTCAGTTTTATAAGGAAAGCATAGCATAAAAGTTTGGAAATTTTGCAGCTGTACAATGTGATAGAAAAGAAAATCTCATTTTCTGAGGAGAAATTCAAGCCAGCTGCAAAAATTTGCATAAGTAATGAGGAGCCAAATGTTAATCCCCAAGACAATGGGGAAAATGTCTCCAGGGCATGTCAGAGGTCTTCATGGCAGCCCCTCACATCACAGGCCCAGAGGCCCAGGAGGAAAAAATGTTTTCATGGGCCATGCTGTGTGCAGTCTAGGAGGGACTTGGTGCTCTGCATCCCAGTCGCTCCAGCCATGACTAAAAGGGGCCAAGGTACAGCTTGGGCCATGGCTTCAGAGGGTACAAGCCATAAGCCTGGCACCTTCCCTGTGGTGCTGAGCCTGTGGGTGCACAGAAGTCAAGAATTGGGATTTGGCAACTTCCACCTAGATTTCAGAGGAGGTATGGAAACACCTGGATGCCCAGGCAGAAGTTTGCTACAGGGACAGGGCCATCAGGGAGAACCTCGGCTAGGGCAGTGCAGAAGGGAAATGTGGGGTTGGAGCCCCCACACAGAGTCCCTACTGGGGCACTACCTAGTGGAGCTGTGAGAAGAGGGCTGTTGCTATTCTCCAGACCTGAGAATGGTAGATGCACTGACAGTGTGCACCATTCACCTGGAAAAGCCATAAACACTCAACACCCACCAGTGAAAGTAGCCAGGAGGGAGGCTGTACACTGCATAGCCACAGGGGCGGAGCTGCCCAAGACCATGGGAACCCACCTCTTGCATCAGTATGACCTGGATGTAAGACATGGAGTCAAAGGAGATCATTTTGGAGCTTTAAGATTCAACTGCCCTGCTGGATTTCAGACTTGCATGGGGTCTGTAGCCCCTTCATTTTGGCCATTTTCTCCCATTTGCAACAGCTGTATTTAGGCAATGCCTGTACCCCCATTGTATCTAGGAAATAGCTAAATTGCTTTTGATTCTGCACATAGGCAGAAGGGTCTTGCCTTTTCTCAGATGAGATGTTGGACTATGGACTTTTGAGTTAATGCTGAAATGAGTTAAGACTTTGGCAGACTGTTGGGAAGGCATGATTCATTTTGAAATGTGAGGACATGAGATTTGGGAGGGGCCAGGAGTGGAATGATATGGTTTGCTTTTGTCCCTGCCCAAATCTCATCTTGAATTGTAACTCCCATAATTCCCACATGTCATGGGAGGAAAAAAAAATAATAAAAATCTCACACACACAACCAGTTTCATTTCTTCAAGCTCCCTACTGATTTTTGTTTCAAACTTATAAGTAGTTTTTATAATTGTAATATATGTACATATACTTATATATACTTACATGTATATATGTGTTTCTGCTGTTCTTTTGCTATTTTATAAATATTTCATATTTTGTTATTACTTATATTTAGCTTTTTAGTGGGATAGCATTCAATCTTATCTATAAATTTTAAATTAATTTGGCTATTGCATATACACACATACATATATGTGTACATAGTTGTACATATATTTCTACTTTTAATATTTTTATAAATATTTCTCCACATTTCCTTATCACATTTATCTTTTTAGTGGTGGCATGCTATTCAGTTACATCAGTATGCTCTAATATACTTGGCTTTCCCCTAATAGGGGGCTTAAGTTGTTTATAGTTAGTTTTTATTTAAGCATCACATAATTTAAAAAATTATATCCATAGATGAATTTACAACAGTGGAATCACTGAACATACTGTTTTCTAATTAGCAAATATTCTCCAGATATCTTCAATTTATAATGTCATTGGCACTGAATGAGTCTACTTATTTTCCCCACCACCCCCTGAAGACTTTTGTCATTAAAAAGTTTTGCTAAAATATTTCCTTTCACTTATATTTCTTTTAAGTATTCAAAATGTGTTAATTTTTTTCACCTTCTGTACTTCTTTTTTAAATTTCCTAACCGTTTACCCACTTATCCATTGAAGTTTTGATAGTAACCATTTTTAAGATTTTTTTATTTTACTAGAAATAAACCCTTGTTATAGTTCATATAAATATTTTTTCTTCCCCTAAGCTTTTTGACATTAATTTTATTGTTCCTCTAGCTCTATTTTTTACCATTTTCCTCTTGAGTATGTCACCTCCTTTTTTTTATCTCTGGATTCTACAACTTAAGTTTTTGTGTTTTTTTTTTTATTTTGTTGGCAAATGTCCTTATACTTATTTGTGCTGGCCACACTTTCCAATTGCCATTTCTAATACTTATTGGTAAACTATGTGTAATTACATTTTCACTTTAAGCAAAATATAAACCTTTGAAATACCTAGTTTCTTCTTATTGCCCTATTTGCTTTCTATTACTAAAGCACTTTCATCCCTTAGTTGAGGCACACCTGATATTAACAATATTTCATAATACTGGCTGCTCAGAATAGGCATACCCATGAACAACTGCACTGGCCATACCAGTGTTGAGCAGATGAACATCAGGCCTGACTGCTGCTCTCACTGCCAACCTTGGTGTCAGATTTTATCACAAAGGAGAGTTAGCAATGAGAGAAGTATTATGTTGGCTTCAATCATCTTGGTATACCTAAGTAGCTTCCACAAAGCTATATACGTGTCTAAAAAGCTACTAGGCAATATATCTTCTTCTTGTCATGTATTAATAGTTGCAACAGCCAATTCTTTCTCACTCACATACAGTTGTTTTTTGTTTGTTTATTTTTTAGAGACAGGGTCTCACTCTGTCACCCAGGCTGGAGTACAGTGGTCAGACCATAGCTCACTGCAGCCTTGAACTCCAGGGCTCAAGGGATCCTCCTGCCTCAGCCTCCCAACTAGTCAGGACTATAGTCACACACTACCATGCCTGGTTAATTTTTAAATTTTTTCTCTAGAGACAGGGTCTTGCTATGTTGTTCAGGATGGTCTCAAACTCTTAGCCTCATGCAGTCCTCCCGCCTTGTTCTCCCAAAGTGTTGGGATTATACCCATGAACCACTGCACCCAGGCTCACATACAGTTCTAATCCACCCTTGATGGCTGCATGCCAAGATGGATCTTCTTGTGGGCTTTGTTTCCCAGTGGTCCATGGCTGCATAACACTATTTTTGTATCATTTCTTCAGACATAGCCAAAGGGAGACGTCTCATTTCATTGTCTTTACAGCACCTTCTTTTAGCTTACAGTTTAGCCATTGCTGCGAATCATCCTGTACTTCTTCCCCACTTATGCTCAGCCAAGAGATGGCATGTTACAGCAAACAGTATTTTACTGGTTTCATTCATGACTTTGTTTTCCATGGAATATAAAATAGCTTTAAATGACATGGATGAAAGTGCCCTTGAATTTCGGTTAGGCAGGATCTTTGAGGACCCGATAGGAAGTGGGACACAACCCCTGTTTGTTCACTTTTGGTCTGCTACTGATTCTCTCCATAATGCCATGGTAGCACACTCACAGACGTGTTTCTTAAGTGCCATACTCTCATTCTCCTATTGACTTTTCCTCTGATTAATTGCTGTATCACTACTGGTAGGTGGCTGCCTGGGTAATTCTTCATTGCAGGTGATAACTTTGGCAATCTTTGAGTGCCAGGAGAAAAATAATATATTCTGTAGAGATAAATGATCCATTAAGTTTGTTGATTTAAAAAATATATATATAATTTTAAAAGAAAGAGGGATGGAAAGAATCAGTGTACCTCATAGATGAGGTTCTTTCAGGCTCAGCTACTACATAGCCTTAGTTGCCTTTGACTTGTGATCCTTGGAAAATCCTGTGCATGTGATTTGGGAACATAGTCAGTGGTATAAAGAAGTTGCTGGCATCCATTTTAACCACACTTAATAGGATTTTTGTGTTTGTGGAATATTTAAAAATTTTTATTTGGCCTCCATTTTCTGTTTTTCAAGGTAAAATGATTTATAACCAATTATCCTCAGATATATTTCTTAAATGTATTTATTTTGATGAAAAGTTTATCCTATGAGTCACCATCTGTGTGTGCGTCTGTCTTTGATCAGTTCTGGGAACGTGCACATTTACACACGACCAGATTCTTGATCTGGACCAGCCTCTGCCTGTCTCAGCTGCAAATGGAAATCCTGTTGACAGCGAGGATTGTGTGAGTGCAGGAAGGGGTCGAAATACCTTCAGTAGGAAAGGTTGAAGGCACTGGACACGTTCAGAATACTGTCATAGCGTTTTAACATATGTAAAAAACTAGCAAGTAAAGCTAGTTTTTCTAAACTAGCTTTCTAAATATTTTCAGATGCAGTAAAGCTGTGAAATATTAAAGCAGGGAAACACACACACACAATCTCTCACACATACACACATGTGCATTAGTCCTGATTGGCATTAGTCCTGATTTTTAGATGTGAACTAGTTGAGGGGGTACCTGGCTTCTGATCTGAGTCATAATAGATTTAAATTTCTATTCGTGAGCCTGAGAAGTTTTGGACTGGATTTCAAAACTGAGTTTGAGCATTTATTTTTTTCCTTTTGGTGTGTCGGGGAGGGAGTGTCTAGAGCCAATGTTAAGCCTGAAAAAATAAGACAATGATGGACCCCCAAAATGTACTTGCAAAGAAGGTGAAACATGCAAGATATCTCATTTTATCCTTATATCTGTTTCTAAAGAATGACAAACATACCTCCTCTTACCTAGGCCCAATAATTGTGAGATCGTATGAGGGAGGCACTCTCTTGTAATAATTCCCTAATCAATGGAATAAATGTGGAGAAAATCGAGCATGATGAATTGCCTTTTGAGTTGAATTAATCCTCAGCTGGCAAAAACCAAAATAAAACAAATGGTCATGGGTACAGAGCAACACAGATGTTCAGAAGCTGAGGAGGTAATCAGCAGTTTGAAAAGGACTCCTCATACGCCATGCTTCTAAAGATATGGAACCAATGACTCATAAAGTGTGAACTTCAAGTTTGGCCCTGGTGGGTGTCAGTAAATAACAGTTGTATGAGAGCAGAGTCTACTCTGCAGCTTCCTCCCAGACTCGTGGTTGTGTGTTTCCTAGAATGCTCCAGTAATAAGTTTACATAACTTGCCCCAAACTTTGGCAACTGAAGGATGTACTCTAGTCCAGTCATGAATGTGACTAACAGAAAAGAATGCGGTCTATTTAAAGAGGAGTGTTAGTATCTATGTAGGTAGAAGACAGAAAATGTGAAAGCTTTGTAGAAGTGTATTCCCCCATCTAAGGTCATGGAGAGACGAAACTTCATCAGCTACCAGTCAGACCAAGCTTGTATTTGACTACCTTTTGTTTGTCAAGCTGAATCTTATCTCGGGATCATAATTTCAATATTTCTATAATTATAAAACATTCCATTTCTGTCCATCTTCTATATGTCAATCTATACAATTTAGGCTCTTCTCTATGGCTTTCCTATGACGTCATTTTTCTTTTATATTTATCATTTATTTCAACTCAACCTTGTATGTGGAGACCTTGACCAAGAAGTGTGTCATGTCTAAATCTCAATTTCTTATAAAATGTATTGCATACATATTGATATGTAAAGTTAAGAAGATCCGTTTATTGGGATTATTTGTCTAAAAGTGTTTAGAATAATTAATAAGAATGTGTTCCTAGGCCAGGCGCTGTGGCTCATGCCTGTAATCTCAGCACTTTGAGAGGCTGAGGTGGGCGGATCACCTGAGGTCAGGAGTTCAAGACCAGCCTGGCCAACATGGTGAAACCCCGTCTCTACTAAAAATACAAAAATTAGCTGGACATGGTGGTGGACGCCTGTAATCCGAGCTACTCAGGAGGCCAAGAAAGGAGAATTGCTTGAAACCGGGAGGCGGAGGTTTCAGTGAGCCGAGATCACGCCACTGCATTCCAGCCTGGGCAACAAGAACGAAACTCCGTTTCAAAAAATAAATAAATAAATAAAAAATAAAAATAAAAAAAGAATGTGTTCCTAAATATAAAAAAAGAATGTATTCCTAAATTTAAAAGAGTCAGTAAACCTGTGTAGATTACTACATCAGCATAATTGCTTGAAATCAGGGACCTTACTTATAAATGCTTATTTTCCACAGCAGAGTGCTTTAGAGGATAGGAACCTAGTAAGTGTTCATTGAGTTAAATTTAGGCTTTGTTATATTTGTGAAAATGGTTTTTGCAGTACTTATCAAACTTCTCAGAAACAATGCTTATACACATTTGAGAGTGAAGGGGTTGGCATGACCTTCCAGGTGTTTCTGGTATTTTGATTTAAAGTTGTTGGCATTCTACTTCATTACATTAATGTTGGGAGTTTCAATATAGCTTAATGGTTCAGAACATGACTTTGCAGTCTGGAACTAGCACTTTTTAGCTAAATGTCTTTGCACAAGTTTTTTAACCTCACAAGGCTGCCAGTTTTTTTACATATATGATGGGAATACCATTGGGATGTACCTCATATGGTTGTTGTAAAAGTTAAAAGACATAATGCTTGTAAAATACTTAGCTCAATGCCTTGGCACATGGTAAATACTCCGTAAAGAAAAACTAAGAACATTAATATATTAAACTAACAAATTGTGCTATTCCCAGACCAAAACAGATGTTGAGATCAACTGATGCTCCAGTAAGATGTGCCACAGTTTTCAGTTTTGAAGTCAAGACCCTCCCAGGCTCACATGAATTGTGTGTGTGTGTGTGCGTGTGTGTGTGCGCTGCACACCCGCATGCATGAGCTCTTTACTCCAACATGTGTAGGGATTGGCATTAGTCCTGATTTTTAGATGTGAACTAGTTGAGGGGGTACCTGGCTTCTGATCTGAGTCATAATAGATTTAAATTTCTTTAGTCTTCTAAACTGACTGCAAAAACAGTATTTTCCAGTCCAAGACAAGGTTTTTTCCTGCCATTTTCTTTTTCACTTCTAAAATAATAATGTTATGTAAATATTCAGCATAGGTGATTGAGAGAATTAAAGTGGATATTAAAATTTTATGTATTCATTTTTTGTATATTAATGTTTGCATTACATGAAATTGGTAACTATTTCTCCATTTCCAGGATTTTGATGTAGACCCAGAGTTCATTTATAAAGATTACCATTTTGAGAATTTGAACAGTGCTCATCTATAGAATTTGCAGCTAGGAAGTACCACTGAACTCAGTTCTGTTCATGGGCTACTAAGTGGTTAAGATCATGACAATACATGTTGCTTGAAGGATGTGCTTTAATTAAAAGATTTGCATTTAAAAACTAATAAGACATTTAGCTAACATTATATGTGTATGTGCATGCCTTCCCGTTTCCAGAAGGCATCCTCTCTAATGTGTTTGATATATCACTTTCAATGTTAATGTGTCATTTAAAAATATGTATAGATGCTTTGCCTATGTGTGTTTAAATCACATGAAGAAGAAAAGGACATTTTGATAGATATCAATAGAATACATTTACTTCAACCCTATTATACACCATTCAAGGATGTTGTGAGTGTTAGATGAGACAATGTATATAAAGAACCTAAGTGCTTCATCAATATTAGTTCCTTGGATTCTCTGTGATCCTTCCAGATAACCATAACACTGGTGTGCATTGGGTAGGGAGATGATCTGTTTTAGAGTCTGAAATCAAGGTTGTGATTGATGAACACTGAGTATTATTTTTACCTCTGCAGGAGGTAAAAATTTTCTCTTGTAGGATTACCTCTTTAACTCTTTCCCATAATATAGAAGAGATGATTACAAATACCTTGTATTCAGAAACTTTCTGGTATTCATCCCACCCAATTGACCTACTTAGCTATTCCTTTTAAAGTGGCTTCCCTTAATTTTACATGTATATGGCTAGCCTGGTTAACAAAACAAGAGAATAGAAATCCAAAACTGGACTCAGATAGCAACAACATATTTATGAGAAGAAAGCACTTACATTTTTTTAGTCTCCCTATATAGAACTTCTCTCGACAAGATGTTAAAACTCACTTGTGAGTAATTTAGGCTTTCTCTTTCTAACACTACTAAGTCTTTCAGAAAAAATGTTTTTGCTCAGCCATTTTGCATTTTATGAATTTTTACATAAAGAAACAGTGACCATTCCTATATTAATAGCGAAACTCCTTCCAGAAACCCTTCTGTGTTGTCATCTAGGTATGGACTGGTATCTTGCTTTTATCGGAGATTCAGAGGCCAATTCTCTGTGTGGCCCACCCCTCTCCTTCACAAACGTACCATATTTTGTATGTCTGAAAAATGGTACTTTTCTCTTTGCTAATTACCTACCTATTCTGGGAAAGATTTCAGTTTTCTCTTTCCAATGGGTCAAATGTTAATTATTTGTAGACTTACTACCCAAAAGAAATTATATTTGAATTTTTTTGTACATACTGACATTCATATTATATTTTTCAATAAAAATAAGTCAAAGAATTTCCCACAAATGACTTGATCACTGAAATACATGTTAAATCTAAAAAAGATTGTCATACAGCTCTACCAAGTTTTCCCTGAAGTATTAGGTTGGTGTAAAAGTAATTGCAGTTTTTACCATTAGATATTTAATCCTTCTGACAGTTTACCTAAAATAGTATGCCGAAGACAAGGTTCAAGAACCTTAAAACCTCCCTGAAGGTCTTTATGTGTGTGCATTTGGAATGGAGGTAAAGACAAAAAGACAGATATCACCCCATCCCCAGAACACATGGGCGGAAGGGGAGAGAGAGAATAAGAATGAATGTGTGAATACTAGAAAATGAAGTAGAATATCTATCCAGGAAATAAGAAGCACTACCCCTTCAATAGAAATTGATTTTTAGTGTTCAACTTATATATTCTAGTGTTTACTTTTCTGTTTGGTATTGGTGGCACTTGTTAGTATCTTTTGTTTTCCTAGCAATTTTAGGAGTTGGTTTGTTTAGGGGCATAGTGAAAAATTATGGATTACAGTAATGGAACTAAATTGCATTTTTTTTCAGACACATCTCATCTTGCATAGAGAAAGCCTCAAGGAAGGAAGACCAATCTGAATTAAACTAGTTGAAATTTTAGAATGTAGCCAGCTTTTGAAATGCCTCAGAGAACTTTCAGAATAGTTTATTCCATTATAATTATGTCAAAGGAATTTGATGTCAAAGAGACCTGGAAAGTTGATTTGCCCTTTATTTAAATTTGTTGACTAAGTCGTATTTGTCTTGAGCAATCTAATTCTTTAGATAAACGAGTCTCACATTTTATACAAGAAGACTTACAATCTCCAAATGTAAAATGTGTCTTTTAACACACTGTTAAGTAAATTGAATCTGATTCACTAGCAATTGTTCGGTTTATTGATTTTTTTCCTCACTTTATTATAAACAAGTGAGCTACAAATGTCAACTGCCAGAGCATGTCCAATAAATACATGTTTAATTTTTACTGATGATTTTATATTCTTGAATCATCAACTTTTCATTGAGAAAATAGTCATCTTTCTAGTACTGGCCCCAGTGAGACCTGTGATTATATAATTCCTTAGTTATAAAGCTACAGGTTCATGAAGCATTCTTTGAAAATAAATTAGATTATATATTTTTCCCAGCATCTGCCATTTCCTAAAAATAAGATGTACTCACAATTAGTTATTTAGGTATATATACGTTCATGGTAGCTTTGTAGATGGTCTAAGGCTTGATCCCATATATTACTTTTACCGTTCATTTACATAATATAATGATATGCTCAAAAACATTCACTTATTTTACATTTTCTTACATTGTATTTGATTCAAAGCAAATATTTTTGGGCATATCATCAAAAGTAGCAATATACTATTAATTATTTCTAGTGGCAAGAAAAAGTAATCTGTAGACCTTTTTTAGGCAAAACAGCCCATAGAAGAAATACATGTGAAAAATTCTCCTCCTGGTCAGAGATTTTCCAGTTGTATTTTATAGAGTCTTGGATTCTGGGAACATTTGGATAGATGCAGCTGTGTATTTGTGTAAGAAGTATAGTTTTTTTGTGTGTGATTTAAGTAAGGAGATGATTTCTGAGTAATTTGTTCTCTTCCTCTGTCTGCTTTTGTTTTCATGGATGGTTGTATTTCTGCCATCCTATGGCATTCTCTTCCCCTTTTGTCCTCTTCTGACCCCCAGTTGGTCATTCTACCCTTTATGACCTCAGAGCTCTGTGTTTACATTTCATTATTGCCTTTGCCATGGTATGTTGTGATTTATCTGTTTAGATAAGACATGCATAGGACTTGCTGCTTGTACTTATATCACAGCACTTAACACAGTAGGTTATAATGATTTGTTTATTTCTCTCCCTAACTAGGCTTTGTGTATCTCAAGGATAGCAACCACATTCCAGTTTTTTGCTGTAGGCTTAGTACTACCTAGTAGAGACTTAATTTTTTTTTAAATGAATGTTTATAGTAATAGTCAACATTTACTAAACCGTTTGGTAAATACTTCAGATAACAGTGACCAAAAAGTGAATGAGTGCCAACACTTTTAAAAGTTAAAAGTTTTCTCAACCAGGCACACATAATGCTGATGGTATTCTTAGAGCCATTGATTGAGAAAATACATGATGATAAAAATCTATCATGAATTTTGTAATATTAAAGTATATTTGAATTTTGTAAAACATTATCTATAGACATTTTAAAATTAATGCTGCATATATAAATGTGCATATTATGTTTCCACCTACTGACCATACTTGTTGAGCATTTGGATTGCTGTAGTTGTAATAGTATTCCTGTGCCCCACTGTTTCCTGCTCATAGGTAGGAAACCACTGATGTGTTATTTAACACTTATGTGTAGAGGACCAGATTCCTTGGTTTGCTTAGGACTGTCCCAGTTTATGCCTGTTCTAGTATAATAATTAATAGTTTCCCCTTTTTCTTGCAGAAGTGCCTTGATTTGGACAATAAGTTATTTGATCACCCTACTTACAGGCAGATATTTGCATTGCATTAGTTTTGTCATGGCTCACAAAAAAATATATAAAAGAGAATGTTAGAAGTATATTATTATTTCCATCTCCAAGGAATTCATTACCATTAGTATTGTTATAATTTTGATTTCAGTTCTCCTCCTTGTTGTGCACAAAGTGATACACCTTTTGCCTTTTCATTTCTAGCCATTAAAATATTAGTACTTGACCAAATATGTGTTTATGTGTGTATTTCATGATTGCAGTGTTAGAAAATACCTATTCTGAGATCACATTTAGTTAATTCTTATTTCTTCATCTTCTGGGATAGCCTGATAGTCAACAAACCTTACTGGTTTTACCTGATTTTGCTCTACAACATGTGTGTGTGTGTGTGTGGTTGTGTTACCAGCACCCGGGGTTCTTGCAGTCTTCCAGGATAGAAATCGAGAGAGATCACCAAACATAGCAGCAAAGGTAAGTTTAAGTTTATTCCAGCTTGTGCATAAGGAAGATAGCATGGAGAAGGAAAAAGGAGCGGGCTTCTCTCTGAGGGCAGTTTGTGGGTTCATTTTCTAGGGTTTCTCTATGTGGGGAAAGGTTACATCAGGGCACGCAGGGGAGGAGTTTTTCTAGCACTTGCACATTGGCTCAACGTGCTTCTTCCTATATTACATGTAGTGGTAGCATTTTAAATCTCCACCCCTGGGCCTGAATTTTAGCATTCAGAGGAGTAAGAGGTAGCTTTAAGTTGGGGTTTTAAGCCTAACTGCTCATATGGGACTCTGGGGAAATCATCAGCCCCCTGAAATAGGAGCTTGCAGTTAATAACTTCTTGGGTCTCTTGTTACAGATTGGCTGAGAGTTAGCTAAGCTAGAGCTTGAGTGAGGGTCGTTTCTCCTTTTCCTCCAGACCATCTTAAAATAGGGAATCAACCACCCTGCCTGTCTCAGTTAGGGATGTGTGCACGTGCAGATTTTAGGAATTTTTACAAAGGATTCATCACCTATTTAATTTTATAATACATTCCCACTTTTGCCATGACTCAGTTCCTAAATGTATGGCCTTTCTTTAAATGAATCTATGCACTCCCTGTGCCCTAGCTCTGCTGTCACTCTCTTGTTCCCTCTTTTCTCCTCTCCCTTTTTTCTCCTCCCCTTTCTTTCTCTACCTCCTCCCTCCCCTTTCTTTCTCTACCTCCTTCCTCCCCTTTCTTTCTCTACCACCTTCTCCTCTTAGTTTCCTTCTTTCTCCTGCTAAAGAAAATTGTCCACTAACTTTCACCAGTTAGTCTCAAATTATCACTTACTCCATACCAATTTCTAGAATGTTGCGTTCTCTACTTAGATTTCACCTACTTTTCATGAAAGAGGCTCGTAAATTCTTATGCCCTCTTATAATACCCATTCTCAGCCCAAACACAGGTATTCTTCCTGAGACCTCTGCCTTATTTTCTGAATATGTTACTCCCACACTTTATTTCCCACCCACTGCACGTGGGCTTTTACATCCTTCCCAGGAGTAGCCTGTTTTCTTGGGAATGCTTGGTTACTACTGACAGGCGGTTACCTTAACCTCAGTCTATCAGCCACATTAGACCTTCGGGCTACCACCCAGAGCCTCCTCCCTTCTCCCCAAAGGCCTGGCTCCTCTGTGAGGCTATTGCTCCTATCTGCTCTGGGCCATGTTCTTCCTCTTCTGGCATTAGGGGGCCTCACTTGAGGACCTCAGCCTGTGGTGAGTAAAGGTAACCTCCACTCCTGTTCCTCCTTTCTGCTTCTATGATCATTGTCCCTGCCTCTCATTATTGCTCACTGTTCAAGTAATTCTGTTCTTGTTGCCATAAAAATGGGAAAGAGATTCTTTTTTTTTTTTGAGGGAGGGTCTTGCTGTCTTGCCCAGCCTGGAGTGCAGTGGCACAATCATGGCTCACTGCAGCCTTGACCTCCCATACTCAACCAATCCTCCCACCTCACCCTCCCAAGTAGCTAGGACTACAGACACATGCCACCATGCCTGGTTAATTTTTTAAAATTTTGTAGAGATGGAGTCTCACTATGTTGCCCCAGGCTGATCTCGATCTCTTAGATTCAAGTGATCCTCCCACGTCGGCCTCCCAAAGTGCTGGGATTACAGGCATGAGCCACCATGCCCGGTCGAGATTCTTTTTTAAATCTATTACTCGACGCCCAGAAGAAGCTGTCAACTCTGTTAATCACTTAGTTTTCTTTCTTGATTTCTTGGATTAAGTCCTCTGGGCAAGTTGAAGGATATTTAAGTGGTACTACCCAAGGTTGCAGTCTGAGGGGTGTAGCGTGCACACCAGCTATCTCCTGCACTTTCCAGAGATTGAGGGCAGTTTTTGTCTTGTTTAGGAATCTTATTCAGGACCTGAAAACCAGCCAAGCATTCTCTCCACCTGGAGCCCTTTAGGGGTACACATGTACATAGGACATAGGACTAGATGTGACTAACCTGATATCCCAGATTTCTCAGAGTGGGAATGCAAAATGGGGTCCCCCTTCTCTGCATATAATTATTTTATGTATAATTTAAATTCTATAACCTGTGACTAACTTAGTGAATAAACAATCATATATATTTTAACATGTTAGTGTATATGATTGCATGTTAGCTGTTTTAAAATGCAAACTCCTCTAAAATAGATGTATCTGGGTGGGAATGTGAATATTTTTATGACCATGGTTAAGTCTGTAAGTGTAGGTGTACATAGTGCCCCATTAACTGATTTGTACTGTTAATCTTCCATTGATTATCTTTTCTTTCATATACAAATGACATGAATTTAGCTACTACCAGCTTTCCCAAGAAAAATGAAATCTACTCTTACAGCTGGAGATAATTTAGTCCTTGGCATCAAGCTTTTTAGCTTTCTAACTTGGGAAAAAGGCTCTTTTGATCCAACAGTTTATTGCAAAACTGATTCAGGCTTCTGTTTACACAATGAAAAAACAAAATAAATGATATTATTTTATTGGGAAACTGGGACTAAAATGCCTTAACAGTAATTTGGAAATTCTAACATTTTTTGAGCAATTTCATTTCCTTCAGAAGAAAGTGCAGATTTAATATTCTCAACAGCTTATATTTATGTTTTCTGTCTTCTTCCAAATTTTCTTAAGGAAATTTATTCTTCTTATTGTTATTAGCTTATCCTCACATTAACATAAATATTCCCAGTAAATATTATGCATTGGTTTCTTAAAGTCCTTATAAATTACGAAGTATTGACTTAAGGAAGGGTAGTTTAATTTACACTGGCTATTTGAGTGACTAATGGAATGAATGTATCTGTGCTACATTTTATGCTTTCTAAAAAGCTAAGGACAATTTAGTAGGGAAATACCGAGAACCTTAGGTGAATATCACATTTTTAAAAAGAAACAGAATACTGTGTCCTTTAGAATAAATAAGCCATCTATAATTTTCTTCTACAATCTACGATCATGTGTATTTTGTGCCCTAATGAAGAATAGCATGCAAGATATAAATGAAATGCTGAAGAGTCTGTGTTAAATATTGGATCAAGGCCAAGGGAGTAAGAGGGTGAAAGCCTGGAACTCAGTCTGTTGGAGAATGGAATGCTTGTTAGAAATATTCACATCAACAGTCCATGACTTGCAGCAATTTTGAGCTAAGGGCCTTTTGGCATAACGTAAGTAAATTGCAATTAAGGATATGTTTAAGTTGTGCTATGCTGTTAGATATTAGGGTATTTTTGAGTGTTTTTTTAAATATTGAAATGAGCAAGCATTATCAGTATATTTCAGATAAATTTATATATCAACAATTTTTACATATGTTGCAGTTAGGATTTTCTTTAAAACAGAAAATAATCTATAGTCTAGTCTATTCACCGTACCAATCTACTAAACACCTAATGGTTTTCCCTTCATGCAGCCCACTGATGCTTTGGCGTACCCTTAGGTTACTTCCCAAAATGTAAGAAAGCCTTCTCAAAAAATTTCAGGAACACGTTATTACCCATAGAACAAAATCCAAATTCTGAATGTGGAGTCGTTCCGTGAGTATACAGTTTCAGTTTTGCAGTCTGAAAAAGTTCGAGATCTACTGCACAACAGGATGTATAGAGTTAGCACTACTATGCTGCACACTTAAAAATGGTTCGGATGGTCAATTTTATGTCATGTGTTTTTACCAGAAGGAAAAATAAAATCTAAATACCAAGCCTAGCATTGGAGGGGAATTGTGATCTGGCCCCTCAACTATCTTTCTGGCCTCATCTTTTGCCTATCCATTCAACAAATCTTAAGTACCTATTATAGGCCCAAAACATATAAAGCACAGCAATGAACAAGACAGGCACAACCCCATATGTAGAATTTAAAATAAACTATTGCTAGAGTGGAAAGGGAAACTATATTTGTTGTTGCTCCTTATGCTTTTGCCATAGATATCTTTAGCAGTCTCCACATGTCTGTCACATTTATGTACTTTTGACAGCTTTGTTTATGATGCTCTCTTAGTCATAAAGGCCCTCCTGGCTTTCCACTGTGGTTCTCAATCCTTCTTTCTTTCTAAACTTATTGATAATCCCTTTATCTTTTATATCTTTTAAGATGCTCTTCAAGCATAACCTCAGAGATGCAGCTTTTCCTTTGACTGCCATGTTATGTCGTGTTATTTCGTTTTTCAAATCCCCCGCCCCAGGCCTGGCCCCAGTGTTTAGGATGGTGTTTTACATAGTAACCAATATTAAAGAACATTTGTTAAATTGAAATGACACCATTAAAGTATCTTGAACAATCTTTTCCACATACCATTATTTTAATATTTATTCTCTTTTTTGGCTGTGAAGCTACAGTTGCATACCACTAAATATATATATGCCTCATCATTATTGTGTGGACTTAGACTCACAAGCTTAGGAAGAAGCTGAATGGGTACAAGGACATAGCCTTCAGCAGGGTTATTAATGAAGGCCACTGCCTTGTTATCTCGTGTTCTGATAACACATTTCCTGAAGTGATAGTGTCCTTGCATGGGATTTAGATATAGTTTACCACTTGGGGCATAGGATCGCATCGCATACATTTTTCCCCATTGATATTAAATGCATAATTGACTTCTGTTGTGTCCTCTTCTCCATTTATCCACTAAGTCATAGCATTCTTTTTAGGGTAAACTGTAATGAGGACACTGCATGCCTGATGTTGAAGGCTGTGAAGGTGAATCCGGTAGCGCCAGCAGAAAGGAGCACTTATTTGGAGCCTTTTTCATTCTGGCTCACACCAGCAGGACTCATAACATATGAACAAATGTAACTTCATGCATTCCTCAGACCCAGAAGGAACAACCTAATTTTAAGTAAACACTTCAGTATGTCCCTTGATTCTTCAGTCAGCTTTGGAAGGAAGAATGCCTAATGCCTTTGAAGTCGTTAAAACTTGTTGGAGCTATGGCTTTTTGAGTTAAATTGTAGAGAGTTTGTAAAGGGAAAGATACTGTAATTATACAAGTATACCTATTTTTGCTTTATTGCACTTTGCAAATATTGCATTTTTTACAAATTGAAAGTTTGTGGCAACCTTACATCAAGCATGTCTGTCAGTGCCATTTTTCCAACAACATTTGCTCACTGTGTGTCTCTGTCACATTTTGGTAATTCTCAAAATACATAAAACTTTTTCATTATTATATCTGTTTTGGTGATCTGAGTTCAGTGATCTTGGATGTTACTATTGTACTTGTTTGGGGGTGCTGCAAACCATGCCCTATATATAAGATGGTGAACTTAATTGGTAAATGTTGTGTCTTCTGACTGCTCTATTGACTAGCCATTTCCCTATCTCTCTCTCCCTCTCCTTCGGCCTGCCTGTTCCTTGAGACCCAAAAATATTAAAATTAGGCCAATTAATAACCCTACCGTGGCCTCTAAGTGTTCAAGTAAAAGGAAAAGTCATATGTCTCTCACTTTAAATCAAAAGCAGGAAATGATTAAGCTTAGTGTAGTCAAAAGCCGAAATGGGCTGAAAACTAGGCCTCTTAAACCAAACAGTTTACCTAGTTGTGAATGCAAGGGGAAAGTTCTTCAGAGAAATTAAAAGGGCTACTTGAGTGAACAAATGAATGATAAGAAAGCAAAACACCATTTTTGCTGATATGGAGAAAGTTTGAGTGGTCTAGGTAGAAGATTAAACCAGCTACAACATTCCCTTAAGCCAAAGCCTAATCCAGAGCAAGACCCTAATTCTCTTCAATGGTAGGAAGGCTGAGAGAGGTGAAGAAGCTGCAAAAGAAAAGTTTGAAGCTAGCAGAGGCTAGTTCATGATGTTTAAAGAAAGACACAATCTCCAAAACATAAAAATGCAAGGTGAAGCAGCAGGTGCTGATGAAGAAGCCACAACAAGTTTTCAGAAGATCCAGCTAGGATAATTGAAGGGGGCTTCACTAAACAATAGATTTTAAATGCAGATGAAACACCCTTACACTGGAAGAAAGTGCCATCTAGGACCTTCATAGCTAGAGAAGAGAAGTCAGTGCCTGGCTTCAAAGATTGAAAGGACAGGCTGACTCCATTTTTAGGGGCTAATGCAGCTGGTGACTTTAAAATGAAGCCAGTGCTCATTTAGCATTCTGAAGATCCTAGCCCCCTTACGAATTATGTTACATTTCTGCATGTGATTTATTCATGGAATAACAAAGCATGGATGATGGTGTATCTGTTTACAGCATGGTTTACTGAATATTTTAAGCCCACTGTTGAGATCTACCACTCAGAAAAAAAGACTTCTTTCAAAATATGATTGCTCATTGACAATGCGCCTGGTTACCCAAAAGCTCTGATGGAGATGGGGAGGGAGATAAATGTTGTTTTCATGCCTGCTAACACAGCATCTATTCTGTAGCCAGTGGATCAAGGAGTAATTTCAGTTTCCAAGTCTTCTTATTTAAGAAATACATTTTTTAAGGTATCGCTGCCCAGTGATTCCTCTGATGGATGTGGGTGAAGTCAATTGAAAAACTTCTGGAAAGGATTCACCATCCTAAAAGGCACTAAGAATATTTGTGATTCATGGGGGGAGGTTAAAATATCAACATTTACAGGAGTTTGGAAGAAGTTGATTCCAATTCTCATGGGCGACTTTGGGGGTTCAAGACTTCAGTGGAGGAAGTCACTGCAGATGTGGAAATAGCAAGAGAACTAGAATTATAAGTGGAGTCTAAAGATGTAACTGAATTGGTACAATCTCCTGATAAAACTTTAATGGATGAGGAGTTGCTTCTTTTGAATGTGTAAAGAAAGTGGTTTCTTGAAATGGAAACTGCTCCTGGTGAAGATAATGTGAACATTGTTGAAATGACAACAAAGGATTTAGAATGTTACATTAACTTACTTAATAAAGCAGTGGAAAGACTTGAGAGGATTAACTCCAATTTTGAAAGAAGTTCTGCTATGGAGAAAATGCTGTCAAACAGCATCACATACTACAGAGAAATCTTTGGTGAAAGGAAGAATCAATTGATGCAGCAAACTTCATTGTTGTCTTATTTTGAGAAGTTGCCACAGCTCCCGACCTTCAGTAACCACCACCCTGATCAGTCGGCAGCCCTCAACATCAAGGCAAGACCCTCCACTGGCAAAAAGATTATAACTCACTGAAGACTCAGATGATTGTAAGCATTTTTAGCAATAAAGTATTTTTAATTAAGGTATGTACATTGCTTTTTTAGACATTATGTTATTGTACACTTAATAGACCTCAGTATAGTGTAAACATACATTTTATATGCAGTGGGAAACCAAAAAATTTGTGTGACTTGCTTTATTGTGATATTTACCTTATTACTGAATCCACAGTATCTCTGAGGTGTGTCTGTACCTTAAAGGCCTGTGTTGCCTTAAGATTTTCTTTGATCAGATGAAAACCAACTAGCACTGTTCTTGGGGGTCCAGAAGATTCTTTTTTTTTCACAGAGCTTTATTTAGATATAATGAACAAATAAATGTTGTATGAATTTATGATATATAATGTGATGTTTTGGTATACCCTTTGTGGAATGATTACCACAGCCACAGAGGTAACATATTCATCACCTCACTTAGTAGTTACGTTTGTGTATGTATGTACATGCGAGTGTGGTGAGAACATTTAAAGTCTATACTCTTAGCAGATTTCAAGTACACAATACAGTATTAACTATAATCACCATGCTGTGCATTAGATCACCAGAACTTACTCCTTCTATCTAACTGAAGCTTTGTACCCTTTGACCAACATAATCCCATTTCCCTCAAGTTCCCTAGTCTCTGGCCACCATCATTCGACTCTCTGCTTCCATGAGTTCTACTTGTTTTAGATTCTACATATAAATGAAGTCATGTAATGTTTGTCCTTCTGTGCCTGTTTTACTTAGTGTTATGTCTTCCAGGTTCATGTATGTTGTCACAAATGACACAATTTCCTTCTTTTTTAAGGCTGAATATTTCACTGTGTGTGTATGTATGTGTATGTGTGTGTGTGTGTATATATATGTTTATATATATATGTGTGTATATATATACATATATACACATACTACATCTTTTTCCATTCATCCATCAGTGGATACTTTGGTTAATTTTATATCTTGACTATTGTGAATAATATTACAGGGAACATGGGGGTGCTCATCTCTTTCATTTCCTCTGCATATGTATCAAATGGGATTGCTAGATCATAGTTTTAATTTTTTAAGGAACTTTGTACCATTTTCCATAATGGCTCTACTAATTTACATTTCCACCAACATTGTACAAGGGTTCTCCCTTTCTCCACATCATTACCAAAACTTTTCTGTCATTTTTTTATAATTGCCATTCTAACAGGTATGAAATATTATCTCATTATGGTTTTAATTTGCATTTATCTGATTATTAGTGATGTTGAGCATTTTTATATACATGTTGGCCATTTGCATATCTGTCTTTGTGAAATATCTATTAAAGTCTTTTCCCATTTTTTAATTGAGTAATTTGGTTTTTTCCTATTGAATTGGTTGAGTTCCTTATATATTTTGGATATTATTAACTCTTTATCAGATGTATAGTTTGCAAATATTTTCTTTCATTCCATGGGTTGTCTCTTCACTCTGTTGTTTCTTTTGCTGTACAGAAGCTTTTTACTTTGATGCAATTCCATTTGTCTATTTTTGCTTTTGTTGCTTGTGTTTTTTAGCTCTTACCCAAAAAAAATTTGCCCAGACCAGTGTCATGAAGTTTTCCCCATGTTTTCTTCTACTAGTTTATTAGTTTCACATCTGAAACTGTTCAAAATCCCTTTTGAATTGATTTTTGTATATGGTGTGAGATAAGGGTCTAGTTTCATTCTTCTGCTTGTGGATATTCAGTTTTCCCAGCATCATTTATTGAAGAGACTATCCTTTTTCTATTGTATGTTCTTGGCATCTTTGGCAAAGATCAATTGCCTGTAAATGTGTGGATTTAATTATTAGTTGGAGCTACAGGGTTCTAATGGAGTTTTCATAACTGTGGTGGTTTCTTAGACTGGCCAGTAGGATTGTTTGCCAATAGGATTGTTTTTTAAAAAATATTTTAAAATTTTTTAATTGCGCTCAAAAAGCATATAACATAAAATTTATCATCTTAACCATTTTAAGTGTACATTTTAATACTGTGAAGTATATTGACATTGTTGTGCAACAGATTTTTAGAGCTTTTTTATCTTGCAAAACAGAAACTCTATATCCGTTAAGCAATTCTCCATTTGCTCCTCTCCCCTATCCCCTGGCAACCCCCATTCTGATTCTGTTTCTATAAATTTGACTACTTTAGATACCTCATTTAAATGGAACCATACCATATTTGTCTTTTTGTGACTATCTTATTTAGTATAATCTGAAGATATATCCATATTGTAACACTTGACAATCATGTGTTACATCTAATTTCCTTCATTTTTAAGGCTGTGGAATAGTCCTTTATATGTGTAAACCACATTTTATCTATTCATCTATGAATGGACACTTAGGTAAATTTCATATCTTGGCTATTGTGACTCCAGCTGCAGTGAACATGGGTTTGCAAATATCTCTTCCAGACTCTGCATTCAGTACTTTGGGGTGTATACCCAGAAGAATCATATCATATGATTCCTGGAGCATATGATAATTTTCAACCTCTTGGGAACTGTCAAACTGTTTTCCATAATGGCTGTACAATTTATATTTCCATCAACAGTGTACATGTTTTTAATTTTATATTCTCACCAACATTTGTTATTTTCTGGGTTTTTTTTTTTTGATAGCCATTATAATGGGTATGAGGTGATATCTCATAGTTTTGGTTTGCATTTCTCTAGTGATTACTGATACTGAGCTTTTTTTTTTTTAGACGGAGTCTCACTTTGTCGCCCAGGCTGGAGTGCAGTGGCGTGATCTTGGCTCACTGCAAGCTCTGCCTCCTGGGTTCCCACCATTCTCCTGCCTCGCCTCCCAAGTAGCTGGGACTAAGGCACCTGCCACCACACCTGGCTAATTTTTTGTATTTTTAGTAGGCACGGGGTTTTGCTGGGTTAGTCAGGATGGTCTCCATCTCCTGACCTTGTGATCCACCTGCCTCGGCCTCCCAAAGTACTGAGATTACAGGCGTGAGCCACCACGCCTGGCCAGGCATCTCTTTATATGCATGTTGGTATTTCATCTTTGGAGAAATGTCTATTTAAGTCATTTGCCCATTTTTTAGTTACTTGTTTTTTATTGTTGAATTGTAGGAGTTCTTTATATATTCTGGATAGTAATCCCTTATCCAATATATGATTTGCAAATATTTTCTCACATTCCATAGGTTGTCTTTTCACTCTGTTAACCAATAGGACTGTTTTTGACATTTGATTCCATAATTTGTAAAGGAATTCCCTTTGGCTGCTCTGCTGAGGCATACCCAGTCATTCCTTCTGCCCAAATTAGCATTGACTTTGAGGTCCAGTTGTGTGTTATGGTTATCCCATTCCCATAAAACCCATAACAATAGTAAGGGCAATGCTTTCAACTTGTTTGTACACTAAAGTTTAAATAAGAAACATATCTTACTGTTAACTGTACTAGTATATAAAGTACACTCTGATTTAAGTTCTTCATAAACTGAACAAGAGTTGAAGAGGGAAGACATACAGAACGACTGTTGGACTTTATGTCTCATATGCCAAATCCTGAGTTTGTGAAGGAGAATGTCTGGTTTCCCATGATTCTTGAAAAAATATAAGGTATACCAGCAGGAACCATCTGGAAGTTGCTTGGAATTGAATTGTGATGGGGCCTGTTTCTATACATTATCAATGAAGTGATATACCAAGTAACCTGTATAGAACCTAAGGAAAATACTTGCTTATTTTCTAGGAAATATGTGCAATCTGTAGTTTTAACAGAACCCTTCTTCTCCGGGCATATCAATGTATTCACAAGTTATATATAGTTAACTTCTTCATTAAAATGCAGCCAGATCTTGGGTGACTGTGAGAATAGCTGTAAAAATATCTAGGCCACCCATTCTTAGAATCAAATGTTACCTTACTGAGAAAACAAATAGTTTTTAATGATTATAGCATATCTTAATAAATTATGTTGGTTTTGGTAAATATAGATGTGAGTTTTGATTGTTAATTTCTGAATCTTTTCTGTATCAATGTTATTGTATCAAAGCAAGCTCAATAAATGGGCTTTTAGTGTGTGGGTTCTACTCTCAAGTTTTTTAAAAAATTATTTTCACTGTTGGAAAACATGAAATAAAGTGAGATGTCAGAATCACCTTTGGAAATATTATAGAGTTTTAAATTTAAGAAGCACTTTATTTTTATCATAATCCTAGCATCAGCACTAACATTCAGAGCCTCAAATACTCAACAGTTCTTGCTTGAAAATAAATTGCAAAGTCATAATCAATATTTAACTTTAAAGAAGAATATTAAAGAACATGATACATACTACACTGATGCTTTCTTTTCTTTGTTTTTCAGTGTTCTCTACTGACAGTAAAATTCATACTCCATTTGTCTAAGAGGCATAAAGCTGGAATTTACTGAGAGCACTGCCTATAACGATTATGGCAAAATTCCAAATTTTTCCAGTAGGGAACAGGCTTTTATTCTTTTTTAAACTGTCAAGCTGTTGGCAAAAGTAGGCACTCTAGTTAAATGACTAAGCAAATGGTTTATGAGATATGCTCCAGTCCTTAAGAAGGATCCATATGAAAAAGCTGGCTAAGTGACTGAACACCATTTATGGCCATGCATATCAAAGATTAATCACCTAGGATTCTGACTAATTTTAGCCACTACTTCTTAATGAATGCCAAATGTGAACCCATCAACCATTTTGCACATGACATCAGTAACATTTGAATGGAACAGTTGTCTAATGCTCTACGCAGTAATATGATTAATTCCACAGAGGGGTTGTTTAGTTCCAGCTTGTCCCAACACTGTGTATGTAGTATGCAAAGTGACATTTAAACAGAATTTCCATCAGTAGCAGAGTATTCTCAGCCCTGAAGTCCATCATCTGCTATATCCTAGCTTTAAGTTCCTGTCAGATTTTCTCTGCACTAGATATACATCTTGATCCAGCAGGATTGAAAAAAAAAAAAAAAAAAAAAAAAAACAAAAAAAAAAAAACAAATTCCAAGCTCATTAACTATCTAATGATCTTTAAGAACACTAGTGCAGGAAAGATTGAAAATCAATGTTAAATCCAAATGTCCTTGAATAAGAGACTGGCTTAATAAATTAGATTATATTCATGCAATCCAGGGCTACTCTGCACCATTCAGTCATTAAGGGGCTAAGTCTTATATAGGCCTCCCCTTCCTTATTCCATAGCTTCTGAGGTTGCTCTAGGTATAAACACTCAGCTGGAAGACAGGAAAAGAGAGGGAAGATGCAACATGAGAGATTTTTATAGGCCAGACTGGGAAGTGGCACATACTCGTCTGACCAGGATTTAGTCACATGGCTATATATAATTGCAAGAGAGATTGGGAAATGTTGTCTGTGTGCCAAGAGGTGTAAGCAGTTTTAGACACCAGCTACAAGTACCTGCTACAGAGGTGATAGGAGCTTGGCAGAGGAAGAACAAGAGCAGGACTGAGGCTTTTCACTGTGTAGATTTGTGTGTCTGTGTATAATTTGAACAATGTGAATATATAACCTATTCAAAAAACAAAATATATTTTTTCAAATAAAAGTCATTGTTTATATAACACTTAGAACCTATATCCTAAATCATGCATTCCAGGAAATTTTGTCATGTATCGTGACTTATGAACATACTCTATTCCTTTTGAAGCAAGAAGGTTCCAGAATCAGAGACACTTCTCCATGACCTGGATTCACTGCATTCCGGGGACGTTTTTCCTTCTTCAGTTGTCTGTGACTCCTCTCCTTGCAGTTGCAGACCCACTGAAGAGGAATGATTGCATTGTCAGCCGACAAGAGCTGAGTTGGCTGTGCCTGTATTTAACTGGGAGAAGGCATCGACCAGGCCCCTAGAAAAGTCGCTGTAAGGAACCCCTCTTCAGTCTGGTTTAGCGAGTGGCAGCCATAACACCTCATAGCTTCATGTGGCCACATCTGAAGCCAAGAGGCATTACTCCTCACTCCCCCTGCTCAGGTATCTTCAGAGCTTACTTACTATGTTGCTTACTATTGAAAGATCGCAACTTCTTAGCCTAAAAGACAAGCCTCTGGTCTGACATTTGCCTGTGTTTTCAACTTTACATCTTGCCATTTCCTTTGATTTTTCCCTATGACTGAAACCAGAGTTTCTCAAACTGATGTTCTACTGCCTATTTTTCAGGAAGGCATTAACAGGTATGTTGTAGACAAAAAGTACTAAATGAGCAAATACGTTTGTGAAACATTATACTACATACCATATTACCCCTGGGAGTATATGTGTGTTGAAGGGTCTAAGAAGCTTTGCAGCTTAGATGCTTGTTTAAGTTTGTTCATCCTAGTATTTACCTCACTCAACTGAAAGCAGAAGAAATGCTTTGCACACCCCACCTAAATTCCTTGGCCACAGCAATATGCAGAACATCAGGTTGGGAGCCCCTGTGTGATCCAGTGCAGTCGCCACTAGCCATAAGAAACTATCAAACACTTAACTTGTGCCTCACATTATATTTCTATTCAATAGCACTGCTATAAGATTCGTTGTTAATCCTTGCCTGAAGGTTCTATGCAGAATAAATCATTCTCTCCAATATATACTCATTTTTCTTTTCTCAATGTGTCTTTTCTCATTGTATCATAAATATTTCTCCTTGATCTATTCATTCTGGGGATTCCTGTGTCTTGTACAGTAGCTGACATGTAATGTTACCCTTGGGTTTACTTTGTCCCCTTGTTTACATAGACACATAAAAGCACCATAGACTGGATGACTTGAATAACAATTTATTTCTCACAGTTGTGAAGTCTGGAGAGTCTAAGATCAAGACGTCAGACAATTTAGTTCTTGGTGAGGTCCCTCTTCCTGGCTTGCAGACACAGCTTTCTTTTTGTGTACTCATATGGCAGATAGAGAGGAAGCAAACTCTCTCTTTTCTTAGGAGGACGCTAATCCAGTTCATGACGGCTCCACTCTTGTGACCTAATCATTGTTGAAAGGCCCTACGTCCAAATATCATCACATTGGAAATTCAGGTTTCAACATAAAAATTTTTAGAGGACACAAACATTCAGTCTGTAGTACCCCTCTTTCCTATCTTCATGCTTTAAAGATAAAAAGTTTTTTCAATGTTTCATTTGACCCTTAAAATTTTAACTTACATATCTGACCCTTAAGTATAATGCTAATAAACATCCTATTCTTAGAAGAAATTTAGAATGCTTTAACTCTAGTCCTCTTTCTCCTATGCTATTTTTTCTTGGTCTACTTTTTATGTATCTTCCAAGTAAGTGTTATTATTATACCTGTTTTAAATAAATTTATTTCTATGTAAACTCAAATTTACCAATTTCTTCCCCATTCCTTCTCATTTTTCATTTTTTTTCAGCTTTCACCTTTTTTCTTTCTAAATATCTTTGAGTACTTTTTTAAGCAAGGGTCTTATAATAGAAAACACTGCAAATGTTTGACTGAAAATGCTCTTATTTCAACATAATTCTTAAATGATAGTTCATCTAGTTATGGGATTACACACCATTTACCTCCTGCTCGGTAATCTTCTCTTCAAATTTGATTTAGGTAACAATTTAGTCTAGTTATTGAGGTTATTTAATTGAATAACTGATTGAATGACTATATTCATCATTTCAGGTACAATTTGGTTATTTGTTTTCATCTGCCTGGTATTTGTTCTTTTCTTGTGTTTTTGGCATTTCCTTTTACGACTTTAGTATTTTAGGTGTACTTATTTTATAGGCTCTATGATACTTCTGTAATCAGAATTTCTTGAAGAGTTCTAATCCTACTATTTATTTGCTTTATCAGCTATGTAAAAAGAAAATAAAATTTCAGGACCTTCCAAATTTATTATGCCAAAGAAAAAGTTAATCCCTGAAACTTGATTCACACAATACAACTATTTTTCTTCTCTGGTGCATGACTTTTTTCTTTTGACTTTTGCATTGAGATGTTATACATTAACCAGACTCCCTATTCTTGATTCAGACCTAGAGTAAAAGACATGGAGATAGAGATTCTTGTAACTGTTACCTCTTGAGAATAGAATGTTAAACACCCTCCTTAGAGTGTAATTAATAGTAGCCAATCAAATCTTATATCTTTATGTTAGCCTTTGTATGGAAAATGTACTTCTGGTCAGCACCTCCGTTTTGCCTGTATAAATGATCCTTATTTTATCCCATACCGGGAACCCTGATCACCATTCTTTGCTGTAGCTCTGCTCACCGGATTGCCACCCGCACACTTTTCACTTGAATAAACTCTCTTTTGTATTCTGACCCTTTTGATTATTTAGGTTGATAGCTTATTCTTGCTCAGAATACATTGTTTTCTCATTTTGTTTTTAATTTTGTATTATGAGTTCATGTTTTGTGTTTAACCAGCGATAATTTGATGTGCCTTGGGATGAAGGTATATCCCCCTGAGATGTTTGTACTTGCTTCTGCTTTCTGGGAGTTACTAGAACACATGTGTGTTTACATGTTTAATTAAATATCTAACATGTTAGTGCAAATTGGAACTCAAGCCTCAGTGGAGAGAGACCCACAGATAGGAATTTTAAGAAGAGATTTTTAAATCTCTTCTTAAGACAGCCTTCTTAAGCTAAGACAGTCACCCTTATCCTTGTCTTCCATGATAGAAGGAGTTTTTCCTCATTCAGTATTTCACTGTGGTAACACTATTCTGTAGTCCCATTGCTAGAGACAAATCTGAACTCCAGCTTAAATCTTGAGTATCTGACAAGCTGTATTTCTTAAAATGTGAAAACCAAGCTTCTCAGTTGCTTAGGACCAACCCATCGGCAGCTCAGGTAACAGCAACTCCAGCCTCATTCAGTTTTTAGTTTCCTCTTTAGCTTGGCTCTGGAAATTTTCTTTATGTTCCTATAATCCTAACAATGGATTTCAAAGAATATTTGTTACATTTTAGCAATAATTTCTTAGGGTTTCATTAGAAGAGTATTGCAAGCTAATTATCTTGCCATATTGCTATAAACTGAGGTTTAATACATGTTAAATGAGTGATTGAATGTATGGATGAAGCATAAGAACATTTTGGCAGAGAGAAGAGAGTAAACAAATAAAGAAGGTAGGAAAGCACCGTGAAGTTTGTTATTGTTCAGTTTGTCCAGAGACATGCTGTCCAACGTGGTAGCCACTAGCTGTATCTAGCAGTTGAGCACTTGAAATGTGGATGATGCATTGAAAGTATAAAATACAAGCTAGATTTTGAAGACTTAGTATAAAAAGAGAATGTAAACTGTCTCAATAATTTTTATGAATTATCTATTGATATAATATTTTGCATATATTAGGTAAAATAAGATATAAAAAATTAATTTCAGCCAGGTGCGGAGACTCACGCCTGTAATCCCAGCACTTTGGGAGTCTAAGGAGGATGGATCACTTGAAGTCAGGAGTTCAAGACCAGCCTGGCCAACATATAGTGAAACCCATAACTACTTAAAAAAAAAAATATGAAAAGTAGTTAGGTGTGGTGGTGCACGCCTGTAGTCTCAGCTACTTGGGAAGCCAAGGCAGGAGAATTGCTTGAACCCAGGAGGCAGAGATTGCAGAGAGCTGAAATCACACAACTGCACTTCAGCCTGGGTGACAGAGCAAGACTCCATCACTCAAACATCATCATCATCATCATCATCATCATCATCATCTCACCAGTTTCTTTTTTATGTGGCTACTAGAAAATTTTAAATTTTATTTGTCACACACATATTTTTATTGGTCAGTGCTAGAGTGCATTGTAGATGCACAACAAATACTGATTAAATAAGCTAATAAAGGAAGGCACTTAGTACACTCAAATTTTCTCTCATTATTTCTAAACTTGGTGTATAATTATGAATTTCACAAGATCTACAAACATTTCTCATTCTTTATCTACTAAGGATCAGATTCTTACACTTATGGAGGTATAAGTTGAAAAAATAGAATTTAGCTCACTGCAGAGTGGCAAATTTAGATGGAAAGTAGTTGGGGGAAATGAGTTTAGCTGAATGCTTTTGACAATTATTTGAGTAAAGCAACATCATCAATAATACTTTTCCAGAAAATTTTTTGTGACACTTTGTTTGGTGATACAGAAAAGTTTGGACATGACATATATGCACTTCAATAAAAGAAATTTCAAAAATGTAATAAAAATACTTTCTCAACTTGATGGTAGTTTTTCTCCAACATTTTAGCCAAGCTACTTTCCTAAATGAGCTTCCATTCATTCGTCATTTAGATATACAGAATGAAAAAGAAGGTGTTAGAATGAGGAAAATGCCATATGCTCAAAGTATTTGTTTTATACTGGAGTTTTTAACTTGCTTGGTCACTGAATCTGAATGGTATTTTGCCTTTGGGTTGAGAAATGAGCTGTAACTGGCAAAGTCAGCCAACCAAATAAAAAGTTTTCAAAGGCATCACCTTACTCCCATCTGTACAAAGCCATTAAGCCAATAATGTGACATTTTCAAGGGTTCTTTTGCATATTTTGCCTTTGTCACTCTATACATTCCTCAACGGCCTCTCAACAAAGTCCATATGTTCTTTTTCTAAGTGAGGCAGAGTTAGAGGGGGGATAAAAATCATGAAAGAGGAACATAAGCTGACAGATCTGAGGCTTCCAGAGAGCTGTTATTCCACCAGCCTGCAGGAAAAAAGAATAAAAAATAAAAAAAACCCAGTGCAAAGAGATTATAAGACTTGGTTCACGTTTTGTACCAGCTGACTGTCCCCAGAGACCATTTTTGCTTGTGTAAAGAGGCCTTTCTTTCCTGTCACCCCTTATTCTCTTAAATTGGCACCAATGTCTTTGCACATTTGCTGGGCCTCCAATTGCTACGACCACAGCAACTGCTGTCCCAGCATCTGCTCCGATGAGGCACAGAGCATGAGTTGCAGTGCTGATTCTCCTATGTACATTGGTTGCAGGGGCAAGCAAGCTGTGTGGATTAGCTAAACTCTCATGTTTTCCCTTTTGATTTCTGCACACTGCCACAAAAGTTTATTTGATTCACTGTTTCTCACATGTGTGGAGTATTGAGGCTTCAGGGACAGAGGGGCTTTGGCATGGGGCATGACCAATAGCCTGATTCCCACATGTTGGGCTTCTACCTGTAACAATGGGACACATCTGTTTCCTCAAGGGCCTGTGCTGGGGAGACAGGCATACAGACCAAATGATTAAAGCATTTGGAAATGGAAAGCACAGCTAACTTTGAAGTGGAATTATCTGTAACTTTTGTCAGATGTCCTCCTGATTCAATCCATATGTTTAGTGTTCCAGTTTGCAGGCACGAGATTACCCATATACCTTCATTGTTAGCCAGGGGAACAAAATGTCTAAACAGCTAAGTGGAGGGGCACATTGAGTGATTATGCCCCTTTTCCTCTGTTACCTTCTGACCCCTTAGATTTCTGATGTCATTCAGTAAGTGTTTGTGAGCAGATAGCAACACTTTGCTGGAGAACAAAGCCAGACTACAGGGATGAAAAAGTGTTTTTTTTCCGTTTGGTACAACTGACAAAGATTCTCTCCTTGACCAAACTCAACTCTACTCAGGCTCCCCTGAGCTCTTTTGCAACTAAGCCTAGATTTTTTTATTTCTATGATCGTCTTTGCATTGTCCTATTTTTAGCAAGAATCCTGTTACGTTGGCTTAGCCAGAATCCCCTGCTTGATACCTAATTGGGTTCCTCAGCCTCTACCATCCCCGGCTGATATCTGATCACCCTGGCCTGCTTTTAGCAAGGATCCTGTTAGGTGATTTTATCCAGAATCCCACCTTACCCCTGATGTTTTCTCTTAGTAATTTTCCATCCTCTGACCTCCAGTTAGCTCCTTGGCTATAAATTCTTACATTCCCATGTGTGTTTGGAATTGAGCCCAGTTCTATTCTGAGGTCTCCTTTCCTCTATTGCAGTAGTCCTGAATAAAATCTGTTTTTACCACTTTATGTTGTTTTTAACAGCTCTGGTTCTCCTTCACACAGCCTAACCACAGTGTTTATTTATTTTCACGTCCAATGCAATGGGTCTAGTTAGCCAGGATCTCATCCTCAACCCTCTGTGGATTTTACTCAATAATCTAACCAAATGAAACAACTTAGATCATGAAGAGGTTCTGAAATAAACACATCATGAAATGGTACATGGTCTAGCATCAGCCTGACTGTAATTGGCAGACTGAGCTGAGGAAGTAGGAATTGTATGGTTGGCCATAGTTTATAGAGTTTGCCATGTTTTCCTGACTATTTAGAAAGATCTTGATGAAGATGCCCATAGCCTTTTTTTAGGTCCTCTAGGCAGTAGGAAAGGGACAATAAACAGGATAAACAAAAGAACAGTGTTTTCTAGAGCCAGAACACTTAGGAAGGTGCCTCTGGGAGAATTCAAAGAATTCCCTGGACAGAACCAGCTCTGTGGACACAAAGCTTGGCTAGCAGAGATTAAGTTGGATTCTAGCACCTATTTTCCCCTCAGCCTGGTGCTCTTGTGCAGGTTATACCACCTTTACCTTACCTTAGAATGTGGAGTTGCCTTAGCTTAGAGTGTGGAGTTGCATCACATTTGCATGTGTGCATGTGTGTAAATTACCCAAATGAAACTCTTATTGGGGAAGAGGAATAAGAGAAAAATATCTTTTAATATTTCCACTGACCAGACATTCAGTGAAAGTACACCATAGGCAATGGAGCAGTCAAGCTAAAACGGTTAGAGAAACTTACAAAATGTATGTATTTTTCTTGAAGTTGACCAGTAAAACAAAGTAAAATGAAAAAAAAAATATCAAACCAAAAAAAAACTCCCTTGGCTAAAGAACTGAGAAGAGAGTGCTGTGTGGATGAGCAAGCTGAATACATGAGACTGTAGAGAAACACTGTCTAAGAGTTAATAGAGGTGATCCAATTTTTCAAGCGAGTGGTACAGTAGACACAAACCAGACGTTTGTATTGTACTTCATGAAGGATTCAAGGAGTGTACTGGGTAATTTTGATTTATAAGCTGAATTAGATCCTCACCAAAAACTGCTAAACTATGTTTACGTGTTTAAAGCTGCCTTCTCTGTCAATTTGAGAGGTCCATCAGAGGACCAAAAAAATAACCTTGCTGCCGGAAACATCTGTAACTTAAATACCTGTTGTTCTGAAAACCATTTGAATTGGTTAGCATTAAAGGCACATAAAAGAGATATTTGCTCTTACCAGACTTGGAAATGTGGAAAGGTTTTCATATGCATTTCCAGATGGCAGATATTTAAGTCTCAGTTTAGTTCTTAAACATATGCTGAGAATTTGGTGGTGGAGGGTGGGAGAGGTGATGGTAATAACGAAAGTTTAGCACATACTTCTAATCCTGAAAACAGCTCAATTAAGAAGTCGTTTCAAACACTATGTCTGGTTCTGGGATTTTCTAGTTCTGATTATTTTCCCCATCTAATAAGAATTAAATATAGTCTTTTAGTCAAAGACTCTTACAAAGAATGACAGTGATACTTTAAAAAATATTTTTTCATACCTGGAAAAAATAGTTTTAAATCAATTCCATAGAATTAGAAAGGTATCAGACACAAATACCTAAAGTTATTTTCTTGATGATTATAAGATATTTTATATTTGACTTGGATCTTTTTATTCTAGAACTTAATTTTATTTACATTCTGTGATTCAAGAGTATGTGTCTTTTCATAAACAAGATTAAAATGTTAATGTAGTCTATACAGAGCAAGTAATTATGTTTCAGGAAATTCTGAGCTCATTTTATTCATTGCTATGCATTTCTTTTAACATTCTTTTGTGTAAAGTTCCATATATATATATATATATATATATATATATATATATATATATATATATTTCTTTGCAGTAAGATTGCCTTCAAAGAATTTTTCTGTAACTCTATAGATTAATAGGAGAAGAATAAACCCCAGCAATGTTTATAATTAGGACAACCCTAGGAAAAAACCTGTATAATATTTCAGTGAATTTACTGATCTTCCCTCCTTATTTCTTTGAATCAAAAAATAAGGTCCTGTAGTTTTAGTGGCAATTTTACCTCCCTGCTTTTTATTTTTGGTTTATGTATGATCATAACTGCAGAATGCTAGGAAAGTGATTTGTGGCATTTTGTAAATTCCCCCAAATCCTTTTGTGACTACACTGGCAAGCAATGGACAGCTGGGGACCCTTTCTGAGCACTCTCATCCTCTGGGCCTCCTGGATCTGGATGGAAACTCTGTGCTGAAATCAGTCAGTGAAAGGAAAGGTGACAGGAAAGGGCCTGCATGGCAGATGACTTAGAATCACAGGCAAGGCCTATAAGACTAAGGTTATTACTGTGACTGTTTATGATATAAACAAATTTACAGGGACTAGAGGGAGTTATAACCATCCATGCTGAATGGCTTCAAGTGCCACAGTGAGGCATTTGGGCTTTTTTTCAGTAAGAAAGAAAGAAACACTGGGGGTTTCACAAGCAGGGATGTGATGGTATTGTCTATTTAGACACTGTATAGTGTAGTTGAGGGCATCAAGTTTAGAGGGGTTCTTATAGACCAGGAGAAGTGTATCTGATTAGGAGAGTGTGGTGAGGGTTCATGCAAAGAACAAGAAGTCTTTCTGAACCACACTGGTGGCAGTGGACATGAAAGGGTGAATTCAAAACACAAAATATTAGGACTGACAACCTAGAGGGATAAGAGAGATGTTTAAAGAACTTGAGTTGTTGCTCTTCCACCTCCACGCTATGTGGCCTTGGATGAGCCCTTCTTATCTTTGAGCCTGCTTTCTATTAATAGTTAGGAAATTATAATACATGCATCAAATGATAGTATATTTTAATTCTTTTAAGCCCCTAACTGTTATACAGATGTTTATTATGGGATGTGAGGTTTATAGAGGACTGAAGAGTCTAAAACCTTCACACAGATGTTTACAGCAGCTTTATTCATAATTGCCAAAACTTGGAGGCAACCATGACGTCCTTCAGCAGGTGAATGGATAAATAAATTGTGGTACATATAACCAAGGGAATATTTTTCAGCACTAACAAGAAATAAGCTATCAAGCCACAAAAAGGGATGGAGGGACCTTATTAAATGCATATTGCTAAGTGAAAGAAAGCAATATGAAAAGATTACATACAATATGATTCCAACTACATAACATTCTAGAAAAGGCAAACTATGGAGAGAGTTAAAAAGATCAGTGGTTGCAAGTGTTTAGAGAGAAGAAAGGATGGATAAATAGAGGGCAAAGGATCTTAGGATGCTGAAACTCTTCCATATGATAAATGGTAAATATATGTCATTATACAATTGTCAAAGCCTGTAAAATGTACACCAGAAGTGAACCCAAATGTAAACTATGGACTTCGGTTGATAATCATGTGCCAGTGTAGGCTCATTGATTGTAGCAAATGTACCACATTAATATGGGATGTTGATGATGGAGGAGGCTGTGTGTGTGAAAGTAGGAAGAGTGTGTAAGGGGGACTATGTGGGAACTCTCTCTTTCCTTCTCAGTTTTTCTGTGAACCCAAAACTGCTCTAAAAAAATAAATTATATTAATTTAAAAGATGTCTAAGGTGATCTCAAATCTTAAGCCTGTGACTAAAATAATAGTGGTACCTTTCACAGAAGTAGGAGTTTAGGAAAAGCAGCTGGTTTTTGAGAAAGTTGACAAATTCCACGTGAGGTATTTTAAGCCTGAGGGGCTTGAATAACAATCAGGTGGAGATGTGGAGCAAGCAATTGGAGATAAAGAACTAGATCATAATAGAGTTGACTTTCTTCTGGTACCTTAGAGTTTTCCAAGCAGGGTAGCACATGTTCACGTGTTTTACAGAGTAGAGAGGATTCATATGTGGAGTAAAGGGATCGACTAAATGATTTCTAAGATTTCCTTCAATTGTGAGATTTTGTGACCTCCAGGGAAAGGTTGGATTTGGAGTAGAAATGGAAGATACATTTCAAGATAACTGTTGAGGCATTGACAGTGGAGAGGATTTCCAGAGGGAGCAGAACTGGGCCGAAAGAAGAATCTGGACAGACCCCCTAATGTAATTAATGGGTGGAAGAGGAGATTTAGGGGGACAGTTAGAGAGGAGAGGAGAGCCAAGGCGGCCAGGGACAGGAAAAGCAAAGGCAAAGAGAGTTTCAGGCAGAAGTAGATTGTCAGCCAACTACAGAGATATTAAGCAGGATGAAAAATTGAGAAATGTCCAGATGATTTGGAAATTAGGTTATGTTTTTGATACAGGGCAGGTTCCTGGCTTCACTCAGGAAGGAATTCAAGAGCGAGCCAGTTGTAGAGGAAAACAGCTTTATTGAGGTGGTGACAATAGGTACATCTCTGTGACTGCTCCCGCAGAGCGGGACTACTCCATATAGGCAGTGTGCTGAGAGCAGCAGCTCAGGAACAGGTCTGCAGTCATATTTATACCTGCTTTTAATGACATGCTAATTAAAAGATGGGTGATTCACAATTTGCCAGAAAATGTACTGGTGTTGCTTCCAGGTGTTGCCATGGCAATGGTAAACTGTCTTGGTGCAAGTGGGTGTGTCTTATGGAGAGGTGCTTTCCATGCCTCTTCCCTGTTTCGGTCAGTCTTCAGTCTGGTCCAGAGTCCAGTCCTGTCTGCCTCCTACCTGATTTTCACCTTTGAGAAATCTGTTGTTTTCAATGGTGAGAGCAGGAAACACAACGTTAAGGGCTGAGTAAACAGCAGGTATTGTCAGGGACGGACGCAGTAAAAAGAAATGGACTAAAGGGATAAGAAGGTCATTAGAAGGTGGTTTTACAATGGGGAGAGATTGAAAACAGAAGAAACCAGTGGAGAGGTCACATAACAACATTGGAAGCAAGGAGAGTGGAATTTAGAATTCAGGACGTGGAGAGTGTTATCAGCAATATGGCAGAATAGGAGTTCCTTGGTTTCACACACCCCACCCCCCAAAATGTAACTAGCAATGATCCGCAGGCAAAAAATACTATCCTGAATATCCCAGAACTCTGGAGTGAGGCTGAGATACTTCCTTGGACTGCACAATAACCAAGAAAAACCACAATCGAACAGTAAGAGAAACAGTTCTTTGACCATGTCATCCTTCTAATATGCTAGCCAGAGCAATTAGGTAAGAGAAAAAAGTAAAATGCATCCTAATAGGAAAAGAAGAAGGAAAATTGTCTCTATTTGCTGATGACATGATCTTATATATAGAAAACCCTAAAGACTCCATGAAAAATTGTTAGGACTGATAAATGAATTCAGTAAAATTACAGGACACAAAATCAGCACCCAAAAATCAGCATCATTTCTATAGACTAACAGCAAACTATCTGAAAAAGAAATTAAGAAAATAATCCCATTTACAATAGCAAAAAAATTAAATACATAAGTATAAATTTAACCAAGAAGATAAAATACTTGTTTTCTGAAAGCTATAAAACACTGATGAAATAAATTGAAGAAAACACAAATAAATGGAAAGATATCCCGTGTTTATAGATTGGAAGAATAAATGTTGAACAGGTGTTCATACTACCCAAAGCAATCTACAGCTTAAATTCATATGGAATCATAAAAGATACCAAATAGCCAAAACAGTCTTGAGCAAAATGAAAAAGTCTGGAAGCATCATGCCCCCTGATTTAAAAACATTATGAAGCAATTATAATCAAACTGCACGATACTAGCATAAAAGCAGACACATCAATCAATAGGAGAGGATAGAAAACGAAGAAATAAACCCACACCTTTATAGTCACCTTATTTATGACAAAGGTGAGGAACACAAAATAGGGAAAGGACAATCTCTTCAATAAATGGTGTTGAGAATACCAGATATCCACACGCAGAAGAATGAAAATTGACGCTTATCTTATGCCATGTCAAAAAAATCAGCTAAAAACAGATTAAGAACTTAAATATAAAACCTGAAACTGTAAAATACTAGAAAAAAAAACATAGGGGAAAAGCCCATGACATTGGTCTAGGCAATGATTTTTGGATATGATCCTGAAAGCACAGGCAACAAAGGCAAAATTAGACCAGTGGGATGGCATCAAACTGGAAAGCTTCTGGACAGGAAACAACAAAGTAAAGGAACAACCTACAGAAAATATTTACAAACTGTACATCTGATAAGGGGCTAATATCCAGAAGATATAAGGAATTCAAACAACTCAATAGCAAGAAAACAACCTGATTTTAAAGTGGGCAAAGGACCTGAATGGACATTTCTCAAAAGAAGAGTTGCAAATGTGGCCAATTGGTACCTGAAAAATGCTCAGTTTCACTGATCATTAGGAAAATGCAAATTAAAACTGCAATGAGGTATTACCTCACACCTGTTAAAATTGCTTTTATCAAAAAGGTGAAAGATAACGTGTTGGAGAGAATCTGGAGAAAAAGAACTTTTATACATTATTGGTGGGAATGTAAATTATTATAGCCATTATGGAAAGCGGTGTGGAGGTTCCTCAAAAAACTAAAACTATAACCACTATGTGACTCGGTAACCCCACTTACAGGAATATATCCAGAGGAACGGAAATAAGTATGTGGAAGGAATATCTGCACTCCTATGTTCATCGCAGCCTTATTCACAAATAGTCAAGATATGAAAACAATCTAAGTGTCCACCAGCTGTTGAATGGATAAAGAAAATATTGCATATATGTACATAATGGCATACTTTTCAGCATTAAAGGGGGAGTGGGAATCCTGTTACTTGCAACAATGTAGATTAATCCAGAGAACGTGATGCTAAGTGAAATAAGCCAGGCACGGAAAGACAGATACCATATGATCTTACTTATATGTGGAATCTAATAAAGTTGAACTCATAGGAAGAGAGAATAAAACAATGGTTACCAGTGGCTGGGCTGGGGGCTCAGGGGAGGGAGGGAATGGGGAGTTGTTGATCAAAGGGTACAAAGGTTTAGTTAGACATAAGGAATGGGTTTTGAGATGTATTGCACAGCACAGTGACTATAGTCATTAATAATGTCTTATATATTTTAAAATAACAGTAAGTTTCAGATGTTTCACCACAAAAAAAGATAAGTAAGCAAGTTAATGGATATGTTCAATAGCTTGATTTAATCATGCCACGCTGTCTCCATCTATCAGAACTTCACGTTACATCCTGTAAGTGTATATTACTATAATTTGTCAATCAAAATCAGTATTATGATAATTTTTTAAATAATTCAGCATGCTTTTCTCTAGACTGAGGATTGAGGAGAGGTTGCATTGGAAAAAAACAAAAACTTCCTCAGAGACTGGAGTGAAGAAAGAGCAAATATTTGAAGATACAGAGAAATTTTGTGTAAAGAGGATAGCGTAGAAGACTTAGAAGAGCCACTCTTTGGAATGTAGTTTGGTGTGAACTCAAAAGAACTTTCAACACTGGGTCTGTGACCTTGGGCAAGTTATTTAACTTATAGATACCTCAGTTTCCTCATTTGTAAATGAGATTCCCTCTTTTAAAAAGCTTTCTATTTTGAGGGCTTTCAAACATACAACATATATAGAAAGAACAGTACCTCTTATCCCCATAATACAGCTTCAGAAATTATCAAAATACCATCATTGTATCATGTATCCACCACATACTTTTGTGGGGTAGAACAGTAATGGAGTATTTTACTGTCCATCCGAGCCATCACATAATCTCACCTGTCAATATATCAATATGGATCTCTGGCTGGAAAGGACAATTTCAAAAAGATACAACCACCATGACATAATCACATTTAACAACTTTTTGTAAAAAACATGCTTTAGTATCCTCCAACACTTCATGTCTGCTGGACAACTCATATTCCATTTTCCCCATTTGTCTCCAAGATGTCTTTTTACAGGCAGTTTGTTTTCAATCAAGATTCAGAGAAGGGCCAATGGTTGCATTTGGTTTTCTAGGACTGATGAAAATTAGGGAGCATGAATACAACTAGCCCAGGTCTGCCACTTCACAGGCACTCAATTAATATTACTTCCCTTTCTTACACCTGCTCTCTCCAGGAAGCATATTGGCAATTGAAGGTGGGAATAGGGAGCACAAGATTCAGTAGGGGATGCCTTTTTTTTTTTTTTTTTTTTTGAGACAGAGTCTTACTCTGTCACCAGGCTGGAGTGCAGTGGCACAATTTCAGCTCACTGCATCATCCGCCTCCTGGGTTCAAGCGATTCTCCTGCCTCAGCTTCCTGAGTAGCTGTCACTACAGGCACGTGCCACCACTCCCGGCTTCACCATGTTGGCCAGGATGGTCTCAATCTCTTGACCTCATGATCTGCCTGCCTCAGCCTCCCAAAGTGCACCAAAATCCCTTCCAAAGGGATTACAGGCATGAGCCAACACGTCCGGTCTATAATGATATTTAATATATATGTATGTGTTTATGTATTCTCCATTTTTCATGTGAATTTTTACATTTTGCTGAGTTGATAAACACACATACATACACACCATATTGTAATAGTACAAAGTGGGGGAGGCCCATTTATTTATCCAGTCCTAACCAGAGTTACATGTAGGGACAAGGAAATTGAATTCTTGCAACTTCACAGCCAGCTTCTTATTGTAACCCAGCCCGGTCAGGACCAGCAGCCTCCACCTCCGCTTGCCCAGGATGGGCAGGAATCTGTCTGTGTTTGCAGGCTGCTTTCCGGCAGTTCTCCAAGAGAAGCAGCTGCCTTGGGAGCTTTCATAAGCTCTTTGTAGGGCCCTGTGTTATGATGTGAATTGTGGCTTTTTGAAAGAAAAGATTCTTTATTTCACAATAATTTCAATATGATTGGCAGTGATTAGTGAAAAAGTAATTTCTAAAAAGAGTAGCTGTACTCAAAAAAGAATGAGGTTAACCAGAATGCAGCTATAAACTTAGAATATGAAGTCTTGGAGCTCAGTTTAATATCAAGAGTGTTCTTTGTTCTTCAGCATTACCCAGTACATCCCTTGATAAGCTCCCAAAATACTTTTCACTCTAAGGAGATTTTTGTGCATGTGAATCTGAAGTTTGGTTTTATATATCGTAAATACAGAATTTTATAATCACTGAGTGAATGAAAGTCACTTATATTCTAATTTGTGACTATTAATCTACTTTTTGTGATGACTTAGAAATTTGAGTTGAATGCAGTGGAGAGGAATAGAGGGGAAAGGAGAAGATAATGAATTTATTGAATGTCTTGGTACTGTGCCAAGTTTTTTTACATAAATGGTTTCATTTAATCTTTACAAACTTAGGAGCTTTGGGGTGTTACCCAAGTCCATCTCACACAATGATAAAATGACACCTAAACTGGAAATCAAATATACTTGACCTTAATGTTTATTTTTGAGTTATTTAGACATGTTGTCTGGACAGGAGCTATATAGGGTGGTATATTATACCTTTTGTTTTTCTCAAAATAAGTAAGTAAATAAATCCGATATTCTGACAGCTGTGTTTCTAAGGTAAAGTTAGAACTATTGAGGAGAAGAATCTCAAGTGAGGGGTAGACATTCAACTCAATTGTTAGGGAAGGGAATTTCAGGTGAAGCTTCATCAGTGACCACTCATCCTCCAGTTGACCATAGTGGCTCATTATGGCATAATTTTAATGAAAATCCACAGGTTTTTTTTTTACTTTTGAATTAGTCTGAATGAGATAAAAATGGCAACAAGAATACAGCTTTCAGAATTATGGCGGGTAAAAAAGTAAAATTGCTTGCTTTCCGGTAACTATTTATATATCAGTATTATAGCCAATACTTTAAGTTTTTTCATTATTGAGAAGAGAGTAATACGAAAATTTTGTTTAATAATATCATTAAATAGGAATGCCAATGGGTCATATAAATCAGCACTTTTAAATACAATACCTCGAGATAAAAGTATTCCATTGTTATACGTATTATAAGAAAAGTAGTATCAGTACTACTCTTAGACTCAGGCAAGAGGGAGCCTGCGCTTTGGAAAACCTTGTTCTGGTCTTCTTCAAGCTACACCCATTTCTATGAGACAAGAGAGGAGCCCATGCAGAACCCGCAGACTTCTTTCCCTCAGGACCCCAGACTTCCCAATGTCAGGGCCCAGGCAGCCTCCTCCCTGGGTCCATCTTCTGGAGGGTGAGCCATACTGTCTCCGTGCACTCCTCTAAGCTCAAAGGGTGCTGTTAGCGGCGGGTGTGGATAGAACTTTGATGTATGGTCTGGGCTGTCCACACATGCTCACGCAGTCCCTCACGATCAGGGTTGGAAAGAGAAGAGAAGCCCCATGCCATTACAAGCTGGCAGAACAACGAGGAGCCTGGCTACTAGGTCTTTATGAAGAGAAGAAGATAGAAAGTATTTAGCAGTTTGTTACCTTAAAGTATACCTGATAAATATAGAAACACATATGGTATGAGGCCCCCATTTGTACTGTTGCCTGGAGGACTGCAAAGTGGATGGCCTGAGAGATATAGGCCCACTGCAAAATAAATAAAACCTTTGGCATAAGTTGGTCTTTAGTTTCAACCTGAGTAAATCAAAACTCTGAAATTAAAAGCCTGAGGCTTTCTACCCACAAACTCAAAACTGAGCCCAACATACAAAAATCCAATTCTCCTGTGTTAAAAAATGTAAGGATCTTAATATCCCCTAAGGCAACTACAGCTTTTAAAATCATATTTGGAAAATCTCCATCTACTTCAAATTTTCATAATAAAGGCAGGTTTTACTGCTAATCACTTGTTCCAGTTAGCCCAAGTATTTTCATGCCAGTATTGAAGCCACTTTCCTGAACCTTAGTGCAAGTGCTCATTGTCTTTCTATTGAATCACTAAGAAACTGTCTATTGAGTTTAAGCACTTAAGAGTAATTCAGATGACAAGCTTTTAGGAAAGCAAACACATCAAGTAACATTTCTCACAGGCATCCAGCAGTCTCCCTCCCTGATTCAATTCAATAAATGCAACCAACATCTATTGCACCCTGAAGTGAAGAGCACTGGGCTCTAGAGGAACAGGCAGAGGAGCAGAGATACCTAATTTGGGGATGCCTGCAGTCCAGAGGGGCAGGCAAAGACCAACAGAATAACCCAAAATCAAAGTCAAATATAATAAGGATGAAAAAGGAAGATTAACATTAAGTTGGTGGTAGGGAGAGAGGGAAAGAAACTAGATGTTTGTCAGAATTAATATTTTCATCCCCTTTATCTGGGAAAAAATGACATGGAATAGGTGCAATTTGAATTAAGTAGACTTTGAAAAATAAATAGGATGACAATGGGTAGAAAATAATAATAACTAACATTTCTTGAGTCCTTACTAATTTCCAGTCACTGTTCTTACATGGGTTATCTTAGTCCTCCTAGCAAGTAACCTTATGAGATAGGTAAATATCATCCACCCTGTTATCCCAGTTTGCAGATGAAAATAATACACAAGATGGAGACAACACACACTAATCATTTTGTCCACATGAGACATAGGGAGGTTAAATAGTTTGCCTAGCATCACACGGACAGTAAGGTAGTGCTGGAATATGAGCATATGAATGGAAGCAGTCTGACTCTGGAGCTTGTGCTTTATTCTATGCATAAGAGAATATCTTATGCATAGAATGTCTTTCCTTCTCCAGTGTTGCTGGACATGAATAACATGGTAGATTAGAGTGAAACCACTGGGTGAAATATAAGCATATGTTAGTCTTAACAAGAATCATCAAATATTTTTTCAAAGTGATTAGATCAATTTGTTTCATAGCCATGCAAGAGAGTTCCAGTTGCTCCACGTTCTTGATAACATTTGACGTTATCTGCTATTTTCTTTTATAAATTTCCAGCCACTTTTGGTGGGCATGTAGATACTGTATAGATTTCATTTATTTACTGATTAATTATGGTAATTCTTTCAAAATTGAAATGTTGACATAATAAAATCCCAATGAAAACCCAAGCACATCATGCATATATAAATATATGTAAAAATTGATAATCTAATGTTAAATTTATGTAAAAATGCAAAGCGCTTAGGATAACCTGGATAATGCTGAAGAAGAAGAAGAAGGAGAAGGAAGAAGAACTTACACCACCAGATATGAACACTTAAACTAAAGTCACAGTAATGAAGACAGTGTGATATTGGTGCAAGGGTAGACAGAGGGAACAACAACATGGCAAAGAATCCAGAATCAGAGCAGAACATACATGGTCACTTAATTTGAACTGTCTTCACTCCAATACAGAGGAGAAAGAATGGAATTTTAAATGAATTGTGCTAAGTCTGTTATATATTCATGTGGAACAAAAGGCCTTTGAACCCTGCCCCATGCCATATAAAAAACTAAGATTATAAAATCTAAATGTGAAAGCTAAAACAATCAAACTTTTAGAAGAAAGCATAGGTGTATATTTTGTAACCTTAGGATAAACAAAGATTTCCTAAATAGGAAGTAAAAAACACAAACCATGAAAAGATTAATAAATTGGACTTAATTAAATTGAAAATGTTCATTCAAAGACTCCATTAAGAGAGTGAAAAGACAACCACACATTAGGAGAAGAGATTGCAATACATATATCCAATAAAAGACATATACAGATTAAAGAATGGATACAAATTAGTAAGAAAGCCAACCCAATATAAAATTAACAAATGACTTAGGCCCTATATGAAAAATGATAAAAATTAGCAAAAAACATTTGAAATGATGCTAATAGAATTTTCAAGTATACATTGAAACTTACTTCTTTATGAACTAATCCAGAATCTGAGACTCCAAAGCAGATAGCTACAGAATATGTTTTTTTGGTAGTAGGAGAGCCAACCTAATGGATAAAGATCTTCCAGTACATCTCCAATCCAGCCAGGATTGCTGAGCACTGCTGGATTTTGTATGGAGGACTAGACCTGCATCATCTCCCCATTCTTATTCACAGTCTTCATTGCCCAGGATGTCCACTTAACACAGAGACTTCACTGGCTTCACTTTGGCAAATGGAAATGTACTTACACTCACAAAAATTTGGAGAACCCTTCATGCAGGGATACCTACTGTTTGGTTGTAGGAATGGAGATAGTGGTTATGTACCTCTCTGGGATCAACCAGATGCACCTGTGGGACATTCGCTCCATGAAAACCTAGGAGAGTGTAAAATGGGCAGATTATAATGAAGAGCAACTCATTTCTGTTAATCCTACTACATCTAGAAGTGGGAACCATATCAACTTTTGAATCTGCCTTTGGTCAAATGAAACGTTTAAATCTTTACTTTGTTGAAATAGTTGGGAAATTTTACTTCAACATCAAATTTTATCTTCTAAAGTAAAATAATTTAAGTACACGAAGAATAAATCAGACTGCCTTTCAAGTGCCCGAGATTACTGGGACTCCCTAAGGTTGTCAAAATCAACTGAAACATAAAATATACTTATAGACCTGGCAGAAATTTTAAAGGTTATATACATAGTCCGTTCACCCTGTGATAGAAAGAAGATGAGTTTCAGAAAAACTTACTAATTAGGCCAAAGTTATATATCTAACAGGGCATGATTAAGACAGAATTAGGGTTCCCATAGCCTTGCCTGGTGGCCTTTCACTTTCAAGGAGGAGTATTTTCAGAGATTCCTTACAGAAGACCCTCACCACCACTACATATGGATAAACTTGAATGTTCAATAAATCTCTATTATATTGAAATAAGGAAGAGAGCAGGCTGCCTTGAAGTTCTTTCAGTATTTCTGGTATGTGGATATGAATCTTTTAGACTCTAAAACGAAGAGATGGGGATTTATTACTGTCTCAATTCCTTTCTAACCTTTGGAAATCAATATTTTACATTGAAAACCAAAAAGTAATACAATGCAAAGATTGAAAATTTTGAAATGCCTTTTAGGAGCTAGCCTAGTACAGATAACTTTTTTTCTCATTAGGGATTAACTTTTCCAGACGTGTAGTTTTCTTACAGATATCTATATTGTAGACCAACACTATTTTATCAATTCAATATAAATGCAACTATATATACATTTTGCTTTAAAGGAGGAAATATCTAAATTTGGTTTTTTCACCATGTTTGGTGCTCTCAAATACAATTCTGAAACTTTTAAATATATGGATTTAAGAGAACTGCAAGTAGATAAAAAGAGATCTGTTAATATCCAAAACAGTTCTTAATATTTAGGGAGAACATGCTATTTAAGTAGACTCTTAGGTATGAATGAACGTCACAGGTGGAAATTCAGAGGCCCTTCTTTATCAGTGCACCTCCTTGTCCCTTTGAAATAGATAAGGATTTTGGCAGTGCCACAACTTCAGATTTCCTAATGTCAAACAAAACAAGCGTCTATTGCTTAATCAGCCCTGTCCAGTTCAACTGTGTCTTACTGAGAGGATTAAATTTAAAGAAACTTGACATTTGTCTGTGGCATTAGCTGTATTCCCTTCCATTGTTCCTTGTTGCCAGATGTCACTTTCCCAGGGATCTTGTTGATCAATTTTACTGCTGTCACACAGAAGGAAGAGTTCAATTAGTTTATAGGAGATTACAGAACTGACAGCTAAAGTGGTCAAAGACAAAAGAAAAATGCCCAAGAAATGGAGAAATGTGTGTGTGTGTGTATATATATACGTATATATGTATGTATATATATACGTATATATGTATGTATATATATACATACACATATATATGTGTATATATATGTGTGTATATATATAATTTCCTTCCTACTCTTCATTCTAGCTTTTAAAAATAGAAATTCAAATTATAGCACATTCCAAGATTAAAGTGGTATTAGAAAAAAATAGTTCCATTCTTTTAAAATATGTCTTTTTTTTTTTTTTTTGAGACGGAGTCTCGCTCTGTCGCCCAGGCTGGAGTGCAGTGGCGGGATCTCGGCTCACTGCAAACTCCGCCTCCCGGGTTCACGCCATTCTCCTGCCTCAGCCTCCCAAGTAGCTGGGACTACAGGCGCCCGCCACTACGCCCGGCTAATTTTTTTGTATTTTTAGTAGAGACGGGGTTTCACCGTTTTAGCCGGGATGGTCTCGATCTCCTGACCTCGTGATCCGCCCGCCTCGGCCTCCCAAAGTGCTGGGATTACAGGCGTGAGCCACCGCGCCCGGCCCTTTTAAAATATTTCTTATCTAACTAAAGTAAAACGTGTTCCTCTGTCATAGTACATGATATACTCAAATTACAAATGGGCTGTATTCCAAAAATCAATTTGTAAGATGGGTTGGTTAACACTCAATTTGTTGTAGCCACATTTCTCATAGGTTTTATCTGCAATTCAGGAAAAATATTCTAAGTACTTGTGCAGTGCATAGACCCTCATACCACCTTAAGGAAGCTTACTTATCCTACAGTTCTGGTCCCTGAAAACAATGCTTTCTCTCTTAGCAGGCCTAATTGTAGCATTGGTCCTGCCTGGTTTTTCCTCCTATCTCTTGGGTATATCTTTTCTGACTCATCTGTAGGCTCCTTCTCCTCTGCTTAACACCGAATATGGAATTCCTCAATACTTGATCTTAAGCCACCTTCTCTTTTCTCTTTATTCCATTTGCCTGTTCAACCTCATCCACATCCATGCATCAAGTGATAGCTTCAAATTTACATCTCCCCTCCTGAGCTTCTCTACAGAATCATCCACTCAGTATCTCTACTTGGATTTCTCAAAGTCACCCCAGACTTAGCATGTCCAAAATATATCTTCTACTCCAAATATGGATATCTTCTATGCTCCCTAACTTGAAGAATGGCTCCTCTACCATCTGTCCCAGTGGGCAAATCAGAAATCATGGGGTCATACTTGACAACAACCGCTCCCTCATTCTTCCTCCCTCATATCCTGTCTCCTGCCAAGCCCTGTTAGTTTTACTTCCTAATCTCCCCACTTCTCCCCAACGCTCTCTGAACATGCCATGCTGTTTCTTGGCATGGAGTCTTTGCCCATGTTGTTTGTTGAAACAAGAATCTCTTAATTGAACTTCTCTTTTTTTAATAAAAAAGGAAATAATCCATTGTAGTTACTGATTTGTCAATTCTTTCTGGCCTGGATGGAGACATGTACAGAGTAGATATTTGTTAACTTCTGTTAACTTCCTAGTTGAAAGCAATTTCTAGTGACAACCAGGATTAATGGTTATATTATGATGGCACTAACCTTGAAGTCCATATGTCTCAAAGACAACTTCTTATAAAAATAACCTAGTGGGGATGATTTTTTAGTTACAAAATATGTAAAGGATTATTATAAGATATAGAATTGATGACACAAGGGTCATTGGTCAGAATCCTGTCTCCATACTCACCTAGGTCTGTAGCCTCTTATGGGAGAGTTCTCACCAACAACTGCATTTCTAGAACATTTTCAGACATAATTCTGTTAGCAATGTCTAAATAAGATAATGTGGAAAATTATAGACTTTAGAGTTCGAGAGGTTATAATTTCCTGCCTCTTCATTTTTCTTCTGCTTCCCACCCTCCATCTCTGCTGAGAAATCTCCTACTCATTCTTCTGAGCTCAGCTTTAGTGTCAATTTCTCTCCAGAGCCTTTCTTGACTCCTAACCCTACATCAGGCTCCTTTCTAGAACATTGCCAGGGAATCTCATTCCTTTCCTTCTTGTTAGTTGTCTCAGTTTGTAATTGTACATTTATTGGTGGAGTTTTTTTTTTTTTTTACTAACATCTGTTCTTCCCACTAAAGTTTAAACCCCCATGAAAGTAGGGATCATGTATTTTTGTTGTTGTTGTTCGCCATTGTAGCCATAGAGCCTAGCATGGCACCGTGTAAATGCTCAATAGAAGTTCGTTAAATGCTCTTGAATGAGTGAACTGAAACCAGTATAGAACCACTGTAGCAGGTATAATTTTTTTAGTAGACTGAATTCAGAATCTGACTTGGTTTCTGGTATACAACTTCCTAACCCCAATCCTTCCAGTCACTTGAAGAATTGTCCTTCCTCTCCTGATGCGGGTGGGCTTCTCCTAACCGCAGGCCATTCTGAAATCTTAGCTGCTGGTACTATTCAGATGGTCCAAGTCAAAGACTCACTCAAGGAAGATGAGAGTGAGGAAATCTGTAAGGAGAAGAGAATGTAAATAGAGTGCTGGGCAAAAATGGGGATAAAATTCTTAACTTCTATCATCTGTAGTCCTGACCAGGATTCTCCTCTCTGGTAGAGAAAAAAGTTCAGTTTTGCAGCTTTTCTCTTTCTCTCACATGATCAGTAGATGCATCTATGACTTTCCTCCCCTTCCCTTGGATTTCAGGGATTGTGGGGAGAACAGAGTGTGCACACGTGTGTGTGTGTGTGTGTGTGTGTGTGTGTGTGTGTGTGTGTACGTGCTAGGGATTGGGTGAATGTTGAGAATTGGAATGTGGGAAATGTTACCAAAGTAGAGAAAGGCAGTGGGAAACGTAAGAGAGCAAGAAAGTAGAAGCCATTTATGTTCTTTCTCTTACTTTCTCATTCCTGATGCCATCAGTCCACTCGATGGACTTTGGCAAACAGTCTGAAGTTGTGTGCAAGGGTTGTAGTTCAGTCCAATATCAGTATGTGTTGGGGTGGAGAGGCACTGCCTAAGTTAGTCTCCTGTGTATCCTACGAGTACATGTACTTTTCCACAATGTAAATTAATCCTGAAAGCAAAGCTAGCACACATTGTAGTACTGTTTTGTATCATGTATTTATTCCCTAAAAATATTCCCATGGCCCTTTCCTCTTAAAATTCAATTCTTTATTCATTATTTTTACCTCTCCTGCTTGGCCCAATAAGTAATAAGTAGTTTTTTGTTGACTCAAGAAATATCTTTATCAGGCAGAAAGAGAAGCTGAGTCTGTAAATTAATTACAATCACTTTACAGTAGTGGTGGCAAACCTACCTCTTTGTTAATTCTTTCAGCAAATATATTTTAAGCATTTGCTGTGTGTCAGACAGTGCTATAGGCACTAGCTGTACAGTGGTGAATACTTCAGTTAATGTTCTTAACTTTTGGAACACAGAGAGCTCTCCTTGAAAAGCTTAAAAGTCACAGAACTAGAAGAGACCTTAAAGCTGACTTCATTATTGGGAAAACAATGGCTCAGTGAGGGAATGTGCGCTACCCAGGTTGGCAGAGCTGAAGCTAGAACAAGAACACAGGTCATTTTGCCCAGGCTTCCCCCTGCAGCTCGTCACTTCTGCACTATATCTGGCTTGGTTATAAGCTGCAGGCCCTGTTCAAATCATAGTCATAGTCATGTCTCTTGGTGCATGCAGCGGTCCTTCCTAAAAGGTTTAGCAATTTGTCAGTGGTATTAGGCCAAATGGTATTATTTTTAAGGCAAGACCAGAAAGGAGATGTATTCTGTTAGCTGCGAAGCATATTGAGCAACTCACAGGGGAAGTATTTCCATAAGACAGAAATAGTGAGTGTTTATATAACCACATCATTTTGACCCAAGCTCTTAATCGTTCAGTGTGGCAAAGCTTAAGATAGTGAGGAGAGGAAGAAGGTGGGGGAGGCAGATGGATTAAGGGTTGACATCATAGATCTGTTCTTAGAATGAGAGGCTGTTGATAGAACTCTGGTAGGAGCCAGATAACCTGTCCTGGTGTGAGCTTAATCAAGTACAATAAAGACTGTGTAACATACTACTTTGCAAGTAAAAAAAAAAAATCTAGGAAAACCCTGGTAAAAAGCATTTCTAATATTCAAAATTGTAACTCTTTAATTAATGCTGCTTTGACTATATAATAATCTGTAATGAAATTATTTGGTTTCTCTAAGCAGAACTGAGATATTTTATTTCCCTAACCTAAATTGGGAACTCATACCATGAAATGATTTCAGGTGATATGTGGACCAATATTATAAATATACATAGATACATATACATATATACATACACATTAATCACATCAAACTGATTACTCCACAAATGTTATTCACTGATATGAAAGTAAAAGTGAGTGAATTTAAAGAAAAAATATATGAGCTTTTCTTGTAAACTGCTTAAAATAATTGTTACTAATAAGCGTATACAAGTTATTTAACAAAATCTGAATGGATTTAAATTGATATCATTTTTAAAATTTTGAACTATGGTTTTAAAACATCCTGATTTTTCAAGAGGCTTTCCCAATAAAAAGAGAATACTCTATAATATGTAATCCCTATTGCTCCTTTTCCATTTATTTCCTCCATTAAACATACTTACTCTTTGTGCTTACATCTAATACAAATAGCATGGTTTGTCTTAGATGTAAGCACATGGTACAAACCATGCTATTTGTATTAGATGTAAGCACATGGTTTTGGATATGGTTTTAAACCAGAGGCAGGAAAATATATTTTGTCAAGAGCAGAAAAAGAATTAATGAAAGCTTGTAAAAAGAAGATCCCAAAGACCACCTGTCATTCAATTTGGTTTTATTTTTAATCCTTAATTTATTTTATCTTCTTTTATAATTAAAAATAGAAAACACAAGTCTTTATTCAGTAATGACTAAAGCTGAACAAACAGGAGAGAAAGGAGTAGAGAAGACAAATGAAGAGGGAGGGAGAGTACAAGAGTAGGGAAAATGGGGAAATGTAAGGAGATTGACAATGATGAAGAAGAGAGGTATACATAAAACAATATCCAGAGAAAAGAGGGAGAAAGAGAGGTTTTGATGGAATAACACACAATTCAATTTATTATGAGGTACTACATTTCCAGTTAGACATTTAAAGATGTATTGTATTTTTACAACGATAGGCATAAATGAGAAGATAATCTTTTGAAAGTTTTCCATAAACCTGATCAAGTACAGATATGGGAAATATCTGGCTTATATCTTAATGTGTTGAATCTGTGCATCTCCAACATCTATTCAACATTATTTGATTATAAGTAAAATTACGCTGATTTGTTTAATTCTTTTTCTCTGTAGCAATTTTCAAAGACCACAAATAAATTAGCTCTAAATGAGCCATTCTATTCAAAATTATTTTGACATAGGACTTATAAAACTCAGCTGAAAAGGTTTTATACTGTCATACTTATTTATATTTGGTACCATTTGTGATTCTAGCAAGTTGAAAAAACTTCCAAATGAGGATGCCTGTCAAGGAGTTAACATTTACGTGGCCTCCCTCCCAACAAAATCCACATTGAAATATGACATTTTAGGCAGCAACATTTTTGGCATGTGAGGAGACACATTTATAACGAATCCCATTACCTCTGCTTTGACCTAAGTGTGTGCCAAGAACAAAGTCAAAAATTCTAAATCAATGTAGGCAGTTATATTCATCTTGAAGTTTATATCCTTCTCAACATTCCTTGATTTTGACATAAAATGTCATTGCATTTACTTTTAATATTCCAAAGGAGTTATTAGCCTATTACCAGCATGGCAATTGGGTGTTGCTCAAAACTGAATATATTTGTTGGTAAACTAGTATATCTTTGTATACCTATAGTATGTGATAATGACTCAGGGGGAAACCACTCTTCATTCAGAGTTCTAGATTCCAAGATTAAAAACTTTACTGAGGAATTTTCCTTATACATACCGACCCAAGAAATCTAGAATATATTTATGAAATTTGTGCCTAGATACATTACCATCTTGTTTTTAAAATACTTCTGCATATAACATTTTGCTCTGCATTCAAAACTGTCTTCTCTACACTGATTCCTTGAAGAGGCTTGCCTGCTTTCCAAAACTGATTTTCAAGTTTATTGTAGCTCCTGAACTGATAAAGCTCTTTCTTTAGCTTTGCTAGGAACCAATATGATGGAAATGTTTTCTTCTTCTTCTTCTTCCTCCTCTTCTTCTTCTTCTTCTTCTCCTTCTTCTTCTTCTTCTTCTTCTTCTTCTTCTTCTTCTTCTTCTTCTTCTTCTTCTTCTTCTTCTTCTTCTTCTTCTTCTTCTTCTTCTTCTTTTCTTCTTTTCTTCTTTTCTTCTTCTTCTTCTTCTTCTTCTTCTTCTTCTTTTTTTGAGACCAAGTCTCACTCTGTTACCCAGGCTGGAGTGCAGTGGCGTGATCTCGGCTCACTACTACAATGTCTGCCTCCCAGATTCAAGAGATTCTCCTGCCTCAGCCTCATGAGTAGCTGGGATTACAGGTATATGCCACCACACCTGGCTAATTATTGTATTTTTAGTAGAGATGGGGTTTCACCATGTTGGCCAGGCTGGTCTCAAACTCCTGACCTCAGGTCATCCACCTGCCTTGGCCTCCCAAAGTGCTGAGATTACAGATGTGAGCCGCCGCACGTGGCCTGGAAATGTGTTCTTCTAAAGTTAAGTACAAGTTCAGTTATCTGACATAGTCACCTACAATTCTGGGTCATACTTTCTTTTGAAACCATGTGCCCCAACTTTTTGTAACAAGCAGCGCTAACTTCATTGTCATTAAAGAAATTATTGCATGCCTAAACTGTAGGATATCTGTTCCTAGATGTTGCTACATCATGTAAACCCTTGATGATAAGACTTCAAACCTTTGACTGAAAAAGAAATGCATCAGTGCTTCAGCTAGGCTTCTACATATGGCTGTTTCATTATGATGTGATACTAAGGGTCAAAAACAAGAATATTCATAGGGCTTTCTCTTTCAAGTGCTGGATCTGCTCATCAGCAGAGTTGATTCCTTCTTTGGGATGAATGACACTGGAGAAATGCGTGTTTTAGTTTTTTGGCTTAACATCACCTCTCTCCCTTTAATAACAACAGGAGTTGTCATAGTTTTGTCTGCTTGTGAGATGGGATACCTCTTCACTGCTTTTTTGGAGTGCCAGGGTTTCTAAAATGTGGATTTTCAGAGTAATAAATTATCAGAGGAGACCATGTTCCACCTTCCCTACTTTGAGAATCTCAGCAAAACTCAGAGTGTGAGGAAGATTCTGTGTCAGCAGCAGCAGCAGCAGCAGCCTGCTTCGTGAGGCTTTGAGATCTAAAGTAGATTTAGTCTCACTGATTGGGAACTCCTAGGTTACAGGCTGCTGTTTTTATTCCACAAATATGAAGCTCACTATTTTTGGAAGCTAACTTGACTCTTGGTAGTGACATATTTTGCTGTTTGCATGTTATAGATCCTGGACCCAATGAGCTGGAAGGAACTAAGGAAGCTGAAAGGATTTGAGACAGATCCTGCAGAGTTCACATGATGGTGCAGGTTGCAGTCAGGAATGGCTTTGCAGGAACTAGGACCCTGGACTCCTCATGCCCACTCTGTCACTTTGAATTAGTGGCATGTTCTTGTGTTACAGTGGTGCTCCTCTGCAGGCCAAGCAGCATAGCTCCCACTTTAGCTCAGCTTATCTCTGGCTGGAGGACTGTGCTTCTCCACAAGAGTCCTTGATGGTAATGGTATTAATCTTCTCAGGCTGCCATGACAAAATGCCACAGTCTGGGTAGCCTAAACAACAGACACTTATTTTCTCACAGCTTTAGAGGCTGGAGATCCAAGATCAAGTTTCCAGCAGAGTTGGCTTCCTGTTCCTGGCTTGTAGATGACCACTTTCCCACTGTGGCCTCATGTGGCCTTGCCTCTGTGTGTGGCACACCTGATGTATCTTCCTCTTCTTAGAAGGCCACCAGTCCTTTTGGATTAGGGCCTCACCCTTATGACTTTATTTAATCTTGATTGCCTCCTTAGAGGCCCTGTCTTCATGTACAGTGACATTGAGTGTTTGGCTTTCAATAAATGAACTTTTGGGGAACACAATATGGTCAATAACATGACCCAGCCACTCAGTAAAATCTGCGGGCAACTGGACTGAACTCTATGCTGGGCAGCTGTATTTTGCGTTACCTAACTGAAGCAATTTCAGTTAAAGGATATTCAGAGAACGTTATTTATTGGGGCATCCTAAATTGAAGTCAGTGTGCAAATTTATCTGGAGTCTGTGAAAGCATTGGGCCACCAGCTAATACATTTAAAGTAATTTTTGGATAGGTCATACATGAGTATGATATGGAATTCAAAAGTATATACAGTGAAAGGTATGTCTCCCTCTCATTCCTCTATCCTAATCTGTGACTAGTGACTATTTTTGTACTGTTGTCTATGCATTGTCAAGCACTCTGTATGGACTCTTTTATTTTCTTTTTACATAAATATAGCATACTTCTAGACTTTGCTTTTTTCACTTAATAAATTGAGATAATTATTCACTATCCTTGCATATGCAGCTAGTATCTTTTTATACACACATATATGTGTGTGTATATATACACACACAGGCTGGAGTGCAGTGGCGCAATCTTGGCTCACTGCAACCTCCACCTTCCGAGTTCAAGCGATTCTCCTGCCTTAGCCTCCTGAGTAGCTGGGATTAAGGGTCAAAACCAAGAATATTCGTAGAGCTTTGTCTTTTAAGTGTTGGATTTGCTCATCAGCAGAGTTGATTCCTTCTTTGGGATGAATGACACAGGCATATGCCACCAAGCCCAGCTAATTTTTTGTATTTTTAGTAGAGATGGGGTTTCACCATGTTGGCCAGGCTGGTCTCGAACTCCTGACCTCATGATCCACCCGCCTTGGCCTCCCAAAGTGCTGGGATTACAGGCATGAGCCACCGCACCTAGCCAATACCTTTATATATTTTACGCTTTATAAAATCTGTAAAATATTTGATAGTATGTATACCACAATTTCCTAGCCAATCTCCTACTGATGGCATCTTAGATTATTATTTCTAGATTATAAATTATAGTTTTCTCACATATACAAACTGGGCTGCAGTAATCACCTGTATACATTATTTCACATATGTGTATATACACACACTCACTTCCATCTGTAGTCTCAGTTCCTAAAAGTGGAATTGCTGTGTCAAGAGGTATTTTTCTACTGGAAAAGAAGTTACTATATTGTTCCCCCTTGTGGTTTGTAGGACAGAATTCTTCAATGGGTCTGAAATATGAGAGAGTTTCCTGGAAGCAGAGAAACCACACAAATTTACTTCACACTGTATGTATTGGCTCATGAATCTCTCACATTCTGGAATGTTCTCCTAGTTCCTTTCTGCCTCATTACTTCCAGCTCACATTCTTCTCTCCTGTGAAGTTTTTCCTGATGACTGCTTTTCTCACTTTTATACTTGGTCTGTACCACACAATGAACATTTGCCACATGGCATTAGGAAACCTGGACTACAGGACTCTCCAACACTTTGCTAAATAGTTTTGCTCTTTGAATATTTCTTGTACAAATTTTTTCCCTAACTAGATCATAAGCTAGAAACCAAAATTTTTTACCTTGCTTCTCTAATGGTAACAGATAATTTTCGTAACGTTTAACAGGATAAGAAAGCACATTTACATCTATATTTTATTCTCTTGTCAACCCTTTGAAGTAGCCAGAGCAGTTATGATTCTAGCACAGAGGTGAAGAAGCTGCAGGTTAAATGCCCAAGTCACACAGCTATGAAGTGGGAAAGCCAAGACTTTAAACCAGTGTTAACTATTCCAAATCAAATTTTCTTTCTACTCTATCATGCCACCTCTTAACATTTAGTAGTGCTGACATTCAGTAACGACTTGTAGAAGGGATTAATAAACAATGTACAAGGAGCTCAAACAACTAAATAGGAAAAAAATCTAACAATCCAATTAAAAATGGGCTAAAAAATCTGAGTAGACATTTCTTAAAAGAAGACATACAAATGGCACACAGGTATATGATAAAATGCTCAACATCATTTATTGTCAGAAAAACGCAAATCAAAACTACTATGAGATATCATCTCACCCAAGTTAAAATGGTTTCTATCCAAAAGACAAGCAATAGCAAATACTGATGAGGATGGGGAAAAAGGGCAGCCTCATACAGTGTTGCTGGAAATGTAATTAGTATAGCCACTATGGAGAACTGTATGGCGGGTCCTCAAAAAACTAAAAATAGAACTCCCATATGATCCAGCAATCCCATTGCTAGGTATATACCCCCCCAAAAAAGGAAATCAGTATATGAAAGAGATATCTGAATCCCATGTTTCTTGCAGCACTGTTTACAGTAGCTAAGATTTGGAAGCAACCTAAGTGTTCATCAACAAACAAATGGACAAAGAAAATGTGGTACATATACACAATGGAGTACTATTCAGCCATAAAAAAAGATGATATCCTGTCATTTGCAACAATATGGATGGAACTGGAGAGCATTACATTAAGTGAAATAAGTGGGGCACCAAAAGACAAACTTCTCATGTTCTCACTCATTTGTGGAAGCTAAAAATAAAAACAACTGAACTCATGGAGATGAGATAGGAGGCGGGACACAACTCCAGAGGCAGGGTTCAGACACCAGACCAAATTGAGGATTAGCTAAAACAGGGATGGGGCGGAAGCAGCTTTCCATAAGACACGTCCACCATTGTGCCATGTCAGTTTACCATTCCCTAGAATGGCAACACCTAGAATTTACTGCCGCTTTCTATGGCAATGACCTGATGACCCAGAAGTTACCACCCATTTCCTAGAAATTTCTGCATAATCTACACCTTAGTTTGTATATAACTAAAAGTGGTTATAAATATGACTGCAGCACTGCCTCTGAGCTGCTACTCTGGGCACACTGCCTATGGGGTAGCCCTGCTCTGCTCTGAGCCGTACCTCTGCTGCTGCTGTACATTGCCATTTCAACAAAAGCTGCTAACACCACTGGCTTGCCCTTGAATTTTTTCCTGAGCAAAGCCAAGAACATTCCTGGGCTGAGTTCCAAATTTGGGGTTCACCTGCCCTTTATCATAGATAGAGAGTAGAATGATGGTTACCAGAGGCTGGAAAGAGTAGTAGGGTTGGAGTGGGGATGGTTAATGGGTACAAAAAATATAATTAGATAGAATGAATAAGTTCTAGTAATTGATAGCACAACAGGGTTATCACAGTCAATAATTTATCAGACATTTAAAAATTAATAAAATAGTATAACTGGAATGTTTGTAACACATAGAAATGTTAAATGCTGAAGTTATAAATACCTGTTTACCCTGATATGATTATTATTAAGCATTGTATGCTTGTATCAAAATACCTCATGTACCTCATAAATATAGGTACCTATTATACTGTGTACCCATAAAAATTAAAAATTAAAAAAAGACTTATAGATTGAACATAAACTTCTATCCAGATGGTCCAGGGAACACCAGAGGCGTAGCAACTTGGGTGGAAAATGCTTCCTGCCTTTTACTCTAGTGAGCCTAGCAAGCAAATCATTTCATCCTTCAGTGCTGCCTGTGCTCAGGGAATGTGTAAAACCTTTTTTCATTTTGTTATAGCCTAGGTTTCCTCATTCTTCAGATCTTACTTTTGGTCTTGATGCATTTTAAATGTGGTTTTTGTTGTGTAGAGAGCCACCACAATAAGGTCACTGTTCAATATTAGCCCCTGGCTTTGGTTTGTTAGGGCTGCTTAAATAGGCAGTGGTGTGTGTGTGTGTGTGTTGTGTGTGTGTGCGTGCACACACATGCACAGCAGCCCCACAATCAATATTTATCATAAATAACCTTCGTGATCATTTTACTATCACCTTCAACCTGTGCTCATGGTCAGATAGGCACACAGATGGGCTGGGACTTTGAGCACCCCTTCTGTCATATCCTTTGGGCCTTTGCCTTCAAGACAAACTAGTAACTTTTAATGTGGAGAGATCTGGCTGCAGCTTTCTACACTTTACCCTCTTTAAACTCTTGCAGGATTTGGCTGAGCTGTTTTGAAGCAGGCATGACCTTGGATTTCCACTCCAAACATGGTTAATCTGCTGCTCTTGTTTTTATTCCTTCCACGAGCAGTTCTCTTGGAGGGACTGGAAGCATGCATGTTTCTGGGTAGCCTGTGAAGGTCTAGAGGGAGTTAAGTTGAAGTGGGTAATTATTTGGAAAGCTGTATATTCTCAGATGTTGGTGGAGGCTATTTTTATGTCCTAGGTGGCAAATTATCACTGTTATGTCAACAACACCCACAAACGCAACTTTGTTTCATGCCACAATGTACCAGGTCCCCCATCCTTCCTGGGCAGTGTTTTCCGATGAGTAGGTGTCACCATCTTACTTAGAATTCTCTCCCCAAGATCTCTCTCATGACTGAAAGCCTAACAGTGCACTGAGATTTTCTTTTCTTGTTTGGAGGTGGGAAGATGAAGGTAGAGTGAGGGGAAAAAGGAGATAACCCTCCTTATCATCTTTGAGAAATCATGGCTTTAACATGTATCAAAATCAGTTCCTAGCTGAAGACAATCTATTCAAGCTGCGTGAAGACCTTAGGGAAATGATAAACTATCTTCGTTCTCCAGGCTGCATAAACAAGGCCATATAAACAGCTGGCCATGCCGGGGGCCTTCACTATGATCAGGGAAGACCTGGCTGTAGTTGCATGCCCCTGGAGGCCTACTCCAGAAATGTCTCTCGCTGCTACTTTCACTATGGGAGGCAGAATAATTGCTGCCAAAAATGTCCAGAACCTGTGAATACATTACCTTACATGTCAAAAGGGACTTCCCAGATGTGATTAAGTTGAGATCTTGAGATGAGGAGATTATTCTGGGTCATCCAGTGTAATTATAAGGATCCGTATAAAAGGGAAGCATGAGGGTCACAGAGAGAAAAAGAGATGATGAAGGAAGCAGAGTCCGAATGAGGTGGCTACAAGCCAAGAAATGTGGGCCATTTCTAGAAGCCGGAAAAGCCAAGGACATAGGTTCTCCCTTAGAATTCTCAAAGGAACGCAGCCATGCCAACACCTTGATTTTAGCCCAGCAAATCTATTTCATGTTTCTGATCTCTAAAACTGTAAGATAATTTTGTGTTGTTTTCAGGCCTGAGTTGTGGCAATCTCTCATAGCAGTGATAGGAAACCAATGCATCCACCAAGACGGTTCTTGACACCCCAAGGGAGGATGAGCGACTCCCGAGAGCATTGTTTTCCCGTCCTCTCCTGTGGATCCTGGGGAGGAGAAGTGATACCACTGCCTTTGGTCACCTGCTGCTCTGCTCTCGGGTGCCTCCCTTGGCTCCTGAGCACAAGGAAGAGGCTGTCCTGTCATTGTTATTAGACCTCAGTTGCCCTCTTCTGCACCAGCCCTTGACATGCCGCCAAATCCCAACTCTTTTCCCCAGGAAGCAGCAGATATCCTCTCCGTCTAGGATGGCCAACTTCACAGTTGTCCCTAGCATGAAAGGGGGAGGAGAATGGCTCATGACTGTGTCCAGCCCATTCTTTGAAGTAAGTACAGTATTTCTAAGTGCCCCTTACCCATCAGGGAGGGCCAGGGTTAGAAAGCCTTGTCATATCCAGGAAAGCTTCACTGAGGGTTAAAGGTAGAGGACACTATGACACTGCCTCTGCTGCTTTTGCTCAGTCTGTAGTGCCTCTCCTCTCTCCCGCTAACAGCAGTGGGAGCAAGGCCCAGCTGACTGTGTGGCCACCTCCTTTATGTCTCCCAAGCCTGCCCCAGAAAGAAGCAGTACTGTTCAACATTCTGTTTTATTCCTTTTTTTTCCCCATTCCCTGGTTAACTCTTTTTTAATTTTTGTTTTTCATTATTATTGTTATTTTGTAGAGATGGGATCTCACTCTTCACCCAGGTTTGAGTGCAGTGGCATGATCATGGCTCACAGCAGCCTCCAACTTCTGGACTCAAGTGATCCTCCTACCTCAGCCTCCCAAAGTGCTGGGTGCATTACAGGCATAAGCTACCACACCTGGCTCCCCAATTAACTCTTTATCTAATTATCCCTAACAAGTTTGTCTTGAAATTCCTGTGTACTCAGATAGAAATTCTGAAGGCTAAGGACAAGGTATATAAAAATAAACCCAAGTATACTAAAGTTTTATATAAAGACAACTCAGGTTAGTATGTTACTCCATATTCTTTTTTGATAAGGAATGTGAGAACTTGAATTTTTCAGATATTATTAGTAAAGTCTCATCCTTTTAGAAATAAACCAGATTTACTAGATTGCATGTCTTTTCAGAAGACATTTTGTATTATTTTAAGAATTATTGAGTGACCTTGTTAAGATTTGGACTATCTGAAGGTAAGAGTATTAACATGATTCCAGTCTTTTCACATTTTATATAATTGTTCTATCATTACACTGGGAAAAATCAGCCAGGCTTTTCTCTGCTCTCTAAATGTATCCTTTAGTTAATATTATTCACATATAAATTATTGTTGTAAAATTTCATATAGAATATACTTCATATTTAGAAAGATGCTCTATCAGTTGCTCAGCAACCCAAATATGTAACTGTCTTTTGCCTTAATTAGAATCCTATTTAAGGTTGAAGTCTTGACATTCAGTGTTCTGTATTTCCAGTGAGGAAATGAAGTTTTATGGTTGTAATGTGTTGGCATGGTTCTGAGGCTCCAGAAATTAATATTTGCAAATGATATTCCAAACAAAAATTAACTCAAGATAGATTAAAGACTTAAATCTAAAACCCAAATCTATAAAAACCCTAGAAGAAAATCCAGACAATACCACCACTCAGGATATAGGCACAGGCAAAGATTTCATGACAAAATCACCAAAAGCAATTGCAACAAAAGCAAAAATTGACAAATGGGATCTAATTAAACTAAGGAGCTTCTGCACAGCAAAAGAAACTATCATCAGAGTGAACAGGCAACCTGCAGAATGGGAGAAAATTTTTGCAATCTGTCCATCTGACAAAGATCTAATATCCAGAATCTACAAGGAACTTAAACAAATTTACAAGAAAAAAACAAACAACCCCATTAAAAAGTGGGCAAATGAAATGAACAGATACTTCTCAAAAGAAGACATACATGTGGTCAACAAACATACGAAAAAAATAAAAAAGCTCAACATCACTGAGCACTAGAGAAATGCAAATCAAGACCACAATGAGATACCATCTCACACCAGTCAGAATAACAATTATTATTAAACAGTCAAGAAACAACAGATGCTGGTGAGGTTGCAGAGAAATAGGAACACTTTTGCACTATTGCTGGGAATGTAGATTACTTCAGCCATTGTGAAAGACGGTGTGGTGATTCCTCAAAGGTCTAGAACCAGAAATACCCTTTGATCCACCAATCTCATTACTGGGTATATACCCAAAGGAATATAAATCATGCTATTAAAAGATACATGCACACGTATGTTCATTGCAGCACTATTGACAATAGCAAAGACATGGAATTAACCCAAATGCCCATCAATGATAGACTGGATAAAGAAAGTGTTGTACATATACACCATGGAATACTATGTAGCCATAAAAAGGAACGAGATCATGTTCTTTGCAGGGACATGGATGGAGCTGGAAGCCATTATCCTCAGCAAACTAATGGAGGAACAGAAAACCAAACACTGCATGTTCTCACTTATTAGCGGGAGCTGAACAATGAGAAGACACAGGGAGGGGAACAACACACACTAGGCCTGTCAGTAGGTGGGATGTGAGGAGGGATAGCATTAGGAAAAACAGTTAATGTATGCTAGGCTTAATACCTAGGTGATGGGTGCAGCAAACCACCATGGTATACATTTACCTAGGTAACCTGCAGGTCCTGCATATGTACTTAAAATAACTTAAAAATAAAAATTAAAAAAAGAAAGTTGTTAATGTGAAGAAAGCTATCATTTTATTTTACTTCGGAGTCATTTACGAAAGAGAAAATAATGGTAATTTCTCGAATAAGCAAAGGGAAACCATTAGGACCAGACAATGAATACTCTGCACTGGTTGTACAGGCACTTATGGAAAAAGAGCCACAGGTGTCAGAAGAGGCCTTTCACTCCTGGGTGTTGCAGAATGCAGTCTGTGGGCATGTGTAAGCCAGTGACTATAAATATAAAATTACAGTGCATTAGCAGGGTTGTCTTGAATAGCCTAAATATAATTTGGAACTTTCAAATAGATGCTGAAAACAGGTCCAAAGGAAAGAAAGAACAATTTTTTTTTTTAATTTTGGTTACTTGCCAGTCTTTTTATGCAGGTAAGTCCATGCTTTCAGCATATGTCTAAGGCAAGTGTCTCTCTGAACAAGAATTTAAAATGCTCTTAATTTATCTGTTCAGTAACTGCTGTGATTAGCTGGGTGGAACCAGCCTGTCAGCATTTGCTGCAAGTACTATCATCTTCAGAGCCAGACTGTAAATAATTAATAAGTCCTTAAGATTTGTGTTTTATGTAGTTAAAAAAAAAAAGCAAGGTGAAAGGATAGTGATTTGGTCCTTCAATTTACACATTTTAGTCGTTATAATACTACCGGATAAATGCCCAAGGATTAGAATTATTGATATGAATATTTAAATGATTTTGCCTCTTTCTGGAAGCTTAGTTTCTGCAAAATGACATCAGTTTGTAAGGTCATCATGTATCTGTTAGCAATCAGTTATTTCTATCTTTCTAAATGTTTTAAAGACCTACTTATAGGCTGCCACCCACTCTCTTTTTGTCTTGGGTGAGTCTCTAGGCCTCAGTTTTTTCTTTTTGCCGCTATGGAGGTTGAACTTGGGGAGTGCTTTTTGGCCAGCTCCCAGAAGTAGTACTCTGTGGTCTGTGGCAGCTCGTCACAGCACTGTCTACATCTGACATCTCTTTGGTGATCGGCTTAACATCGGTACTTTTTTTTTGAATGAGCAGAGGCCAGAAAATCATTACCACCATCACAATAATAAAGCCCTGCTTTTAGATTCTGCCTTGTTGTAAAAGTCTCTTAATCCTATTTTCCAACAGGGATGTGCCAGACAGTTAGGAGTTAAGCACAGGGAACCCTGGAAGCATCACTGACACCAGCTTCCGTGTACCACAGACCTTACAGTCACTTTGGAAGCAACCAGGTTTTAACTACAATGAAGCTAAACTGCTACAGTTTGTGGTAGCATTTGCTGGAGGGGCAACCAAAATGCTTCAAATGAGGACAATCTTTTTCTATAAATATTAATTAAAAACTACCCGGTGTGTGATGTTCCCCTTCCTGTGTCCAAGTGTTCTCATTGTTCAATTCCCACCTATGAGTGAGAACATGCAGTGTTTGGTTTTTTGTCCTTGTGATAATTTGCTGAGAATGATGGTTTCCAGCTTCATCCATGTCCCTACAAAGGACATGAACTCATCATTTTTTATGGCTGCATAGTATTCCATGGTGTATATGTGCAACATTTTCTTAATCCAGTCCATCATTGTTGGACATTTGGGTTGGTTCCAAGTCTTTGCTATAGTGAGTAGTGCTGCAATAAACATACATGTGCATGTGCCTTTATAGCAGCATGATTTATATTCCTTTGGGTATATACTTGGGGTGGGGGGAAGGGGGAGGGATAGCATTAGGAGATATACCTAATGTAAATGACAAGTTAATGAGTGCAGCACACCAACATGGCACATGTATACATATGTAACAAACCTGCACGTTGTGCACATGTACCCTAGAACTTAAAGTATAATAAAATATATATATATATTTGTGAATATTTTCACAATACAACTGCATCTGTATTGCTGCAAAGGACATGATTTCGTTCTTTTCAATGGCCTAGCATGCTATAGTGTAGATGTACCACATTTTCTTTATTCAATCTGCTGTTGATGGACACCTAGGTTGATTCCATGTCTTTGCTGTTGTAAACAGTACTGAGATGAACATACGCATGCATGTGTTTTTATGGTAGAACAATTTATTTTCCTTTGGGTATACCCAGTAATTGGATTTCTGGATTGAACGGTAGTTCTGTTTTTAGTTCTTTGAGAAGTCTCCAAACTGCTTTCCACAGTGGCTGAACTAATTTACACTCCCACCAGCAGTGTATTAGCATTCCCTTTTCTCTGCAACCTCACCAGAATCTGTTATTTTTTGACTTTTTAATCACAGCCATTGTGACTGGTGTGAGATGGTATCTCATTGTGGTTTGATTTGCATTTCTCTAATGATCAGTGATGATGAGCATGTTTTCATGTTTGTTGGCTGCTTGTATGTCTTCTTTTGAGAAGTGTCTGTTCATGTCTTTTGTCCATTTTTAATAGGATTGTTTTTTGCTTGTTCAATTATTTAAGTTCCTTGTAGATTGTGGATATTAGGCCTTTGTTGGATGCATAGTTTGTGAATATTTTCTCCCATTCTGTAGGTTGTCTGTTTACTCTGTTGACAATTTCTTTTGCTGTACCAAAGCTGTTTAGTTTAACTATGTCCCACTTGTCAATTTTTTTGTTGCAATTGCTTTTGAAGACTTAGTCATAAATTCTTTCTCAAGGTCAAAGTCCAGAATGGCATTTCTTACATTTTCTTCTTATTCTTATAGTTTCAGATCTTATGTTTAAATCTTTAATCTATCTTGAGTTAATTTTTGTATGTGTGAATGGGAAGGGTCCAATTTCAGTCTTCTGCATAGGGTTTAACTAGCTATCCCAGCACCAGTTATTGATAAAGAGTTGTTTCCTCATTGCTTATTTTTGTCAACTTTGTCAAAGATAGATGGCAATAGGTGTGCATCATTATTTCTGAGTTCTCTATTTTATTCTATTGGTCTGTGTTTCTGTTTTTGTACCAGTTTTTGTACAGTTTGGGTACTGTAACCTTGTAGTATAGCTTGAAGTCGTGTAATGTGATGACTCCAGCTTTGTTGTTTTTGCTTAGGATTGCTTTGACTATTTGGGCTCTTTTTTGGTTCCATAGAAATTTTAGAATAGTTTTTTCTAATTCTGTGAAAAATGATGTTGGTATTTTGATAGGAATAGTATTGAATCTGTAGGTTGCTTTGGGCAGTATGGTTATTTTAATGATATTAATTCTTCCAATTCATGTACATGGAATATTTTTTTATTTGTGTCATCTCTGATTTCTTTCAGCCATGTTTTGTAGTTCTCCTTGTAGAACTCTTTCACCTCCTTTATCAGATGTATCCTTAGATATTTTTGTCTATGTGGCTATTGTAAATAGGATTGCATTCTTGATTTGGCTCTCAACTTGAACGGTATTGGTGTATAGAAATGCTGCTGATTTTTGTACATTGATTTTGTATCCTGAAACTCTACTGAAGTCATTTATCAGGTCTAAGAGCCTTTTGGCAGAGTCTTTAGGGTTTTCTAGGTATGTAATCATAACATCACTGAAAAAAGATAACTTGATTCTTTTCCTTTTTGGATGCCTTTTCTTTCTCTTGCCTGATTACTGTGACTAGGACTGCTTCATAATTGTAATATACTACTTGGCTGTACAGTAAACGGTATTTGCATAGAAGGACTATTGATGTGCCTATTCATCCAGTGAAGGATTAGGAAATAAGGAGGAATGGTAGGGGTGAGTGTGAGTTAAGTCTTCATCTACCATGACAGGATGGCAGTAGAAAATGTCTAAAATTGATAAACCAAGAAATATTACTATAAACATATTACTTAAAATATGGAAAGAGATATGCAGGGAGCTATCAAGAAGAGTTGATGGTGGATGCATCTGAGAGCTGCTGGTTCAAACGTGAGCTTTGCAATGATGGAAAGTTTATTTTACTAGTGGGAATATAAATTATATCTTTGAGAATTGCTTTTCTTTTCTTTCAGAAAGAACAAAACCATTTCTAAACTTAAATAAGTCACCTAGCCAGGCTGAGACTCATTTTCTTTCTCTGTAAAATGAAGGAGTAAATGATATCAGAGTAGATTGTGTAACCCCCTTGTAGTACCTAATTGCCTTATTCTGTCTTTCCGTTCAGGTTCTAGAAAGCAGACGTGGGCAGCGCATTTTCTTCCTTGTTCAGGCAGAGCAAGTTTTGTGGGCTTTTAAAGAGGGTAACGTTGTTTCTTAAATCACTTTCCGTAATTTAATATAAGTAATCTATTTATAGAAGAGAACAGCCACACTCCCTGAGAAAGTTTTATATGGCTTTACTTTTTAATTTTGCTTTTAAGCTTGGCTGCAATATTATTACTGAACCTGTGACACTCCACTTAAAATGTCAAATCCTTTAGTGGAGAGGGTGTTATTTCCTTGCCTTAATCTTTTTATACACCAGTGATTGTGCCCCCTAGACTAGCAAACAAAATCTGTCAATAAACTGACTGAACAGTTCTGTCCAATAGAAATACAATGTGAGCCACACATTTAATTTTAAATTTTTAGGTGGCCACATTTTTAAAAAAGGAAATAGAAGCAAGCAAAATTAAAACTAAAATATCTTATATAACCCATATATCCAAAATGTCATTTCAAAATTTAATCAATATAAAAATATATGTTTATAAATATCTCATTAGTAACAATTATTTAGATTTTTATACTAGGTCTTCAAATTCCAGTATATATTTTACACTTCAGCACATCTCAATTTGGTTACTAAATTTTCATTAGTAATACTTGATCTATATTTACATTTCATAAAGCTCAAGGTTGAAAACTAAATTTTCATACCTAATTTGTTTCCATGTGGCTAGTGGCTACATTAGACAGAAAGCTTTACAGAATATCTGATGAGTTTAGTTTACAGAATATCTCAGTGAATGCTCTCTCTTTAATACCCAAAATACCCAAAAAATATCATTCTCTCATAAGGTCAGAGGTGGAAGAGAAGGATCCTTGACTCTCCCTTCAGATAGGCAGTTTGGTGGTTTTCAGTAGCTGTGTGTAACTGCAACTATTTTTGTGTTAATTGGGCGTGAAAAGGTATTAAAGAAAAGATTCTAGAACTACTTATGCTGAATGATTCTCCTTTTTAAGTTAAAAATGGGAGGGGCAAAATTCATGTAATTCATGTTTTTGCATTCGCTGTTTTCTTTCTCTTTGTAAACAAATTATTAAAGAGTGATATTTAGGAGGCAGTGTAGTGTCACTAAGGCATGAGCCATTATAGCTGGTATTTAGGACATCAGAGAACTATGGAGAAAGAAAAAAGAGAGAAGTAATTTTTGGCACAGTCTTGGTTTGGGTTTATTTATAAGCAGGACTGAGACAAAATTCAGGGCCAAGCCATTTATTTAAAAGTTGATTCCAGGAAACACTTGTTTGGGAGTGGAGAAATGCAACAGGGAAGGAAAGGAGCCAATAAATCATATGTTATCAAGGAAGTAATGAAGCTTAATGCCACTGGGGAGCTCTGGGAAACAGTGCAGAAAATGTGCAGCAGAGTTTCACTAGCACAGTGAGGGAGGAAACTGAGGTATTTATACACCCACTTTTTTAGTCATTAGTTCATGGCTGCTCCTAGGTGGTAGCAATTCCTCCTTTCCCTTGGCCCACACCAAGTGAGAGTGATAGTCAGTGGTCCAGAAAGTCACTTAAGCAAAGAAATACAGGTGCTGGCAATTGAAAATCAAGACAATGTGCACTAAAATGTATGGGATAGGGGAGTGTAATGGACAGCATCTGTTATAGACACTTTTTGATTTACAGTGTAGACTGTATCAAACAAAGGACAGGAAGGTATGTTTCAGACCTTTGTAGCTTTTTCAGAATACAAACTCAGTTGCCGAACCCTTCTTCCCATCCTAGACTTGAGATCTTCCTAAAATGCATTCAATTCTACCTGCCCTAAGAATACTGATAGAGAGAATAAAGACCAAGAAGATTTATAGACTCTGTTCACTTACATATTAGTCTAAAAACCTTTTCATACCAATGGTTATCAGAACTCATCCCAATAATTTATGTATCAAGCCAAAGGATATGTAGTGTTTTATTTGGAGCTTGAGCTCTGATCCTTAAGAGGCCCATTTTTTATCTGCCAAGGTATATCACCAAGTTCTATCCTGTTTTTGCTATTTCACTCCTCAAGATATTAATACAGGTTGAGTGTCCCTAATCTGAAAATCCAAAATGCAAAATGATTCAAAATTTAAAATTTTTGAACACGGACATAACACCGCAAGTGGAAAATTCTACATCTGACCTCATGTGACAGGTCACAGTCAAAATGCAGTCACACGGCTGGGCACGGGGCTGACACCTGTAATCTCAGCACTTTGGGATGCCAAAGTGAGCAGATCACTTGAGGCAAGGACCTCAGGACCAGCCTAGCCAATGTGGAGAAACCCTGCCTCTACTAAAAATACAAAAATTAGCTGGGCATGGTGGCACGTGCCTGTAGTCCCAGCTACTCGAGAGGCTGAGACACGAAAATCACTTGAACCTGGAAGGCAGAGGCTGCAGTGATACAAGATTGTGCCACTGCACTTCAGCCTGGTCAACAGAGTGAGAATCTGTCTCAAAAAAAAAAAAAAAAAAGGCAGTTATACAACATACAAAGTTATTCACCATCTCCAAAGGAAAAAAGACTTTCTTACCCCCTTTAGCTTCAATCTCTTTCCACGCATGCCTAGATTCCCCCCACAAGCATGCCCAGGAAAGGTAATAAAATGGCACAGGTGCAGGCCAGATTCACCAATGGCAGATTCCCTGAAGTGCCCTACATGAGGCAAGATCTACATGCATTATACACTGTATTATTTTTGCTTATTCTTTGCTCTATGGTATAAATATATTGTTGAAAGTATCAAAAAAGACATGCAGTTACCTCTGTGGGTAACAATGATAAGAAAAGGAAGACAAATTTATGCTTATCTATAGTACAGAAAGCCAAGCTGTTGGAGAAACTGGACAGCAGTGTAAGTATGAGATGTCTTATGGAAGAGTATAGTGTTAGAATGACCACCCCATGTGACCTGAAGAAACAGAAGGATAAATTCTTGAAGTTCTGTGTTGAAAGTGATGAGCAAAAGTTAATGAAAAATAGAAAAACACTGCATACAGCTAAAAATGAAGAGCTTCAGTATGTACTGAGTGGATCTGTCAGCTTCACACTGAACATTGGCCGCTTAATGGTGTGCTGATCATGAAACAAAGATCCATCACAATGAACTGAAAAAGGGAACTGTGACTATTCAACAGGCTGATTGCAGAAACTTAAGAAATAGCATTAATTTTTTAAAGATTTGTGGTCATAAAGTTTCTGCTGATCACAAAGCAGCAGAGGCATTCATTGATAAGTTTTACAAGGTCATCGCTGATGAAAATTCGATGCCAGAACAAGTCTATAATGCTTATGAAACATCGCAGTTTTAACCTTATTGCCCCAGAAACACACTGACTACAGCTGATGAGATAGCCTGTACAGAAACTAAGTATGCCAAGGACAGAATCACCGCTGGGATGTGCTAATGCAGCAGGCATGCATAGTTGTAAACTAAAGTGATAAGCAAAGGCATGTGTCTTTGATATTTCAAGGAGTGCTTCAAGGTCTTAATTTCTTATCAGTTCATTGTTATTTTAATAAAATGGCATGGATCACCAGGGACATGTTTTCTGACTGGTTTCACTGATTGTTCCAGTGACCCATGCTCACTACAGAGAAGCTGGACAGGATGAGGACCTGCAAGGTTTTGTTAGTCCCTAACAATCGTTCTGCTCATCCTCCTGCTGAAAAATTCTCACCAAAAAAAAAAAAAAAAAGTCTGTGCTACATACTTCATTAATTCAGCCATGACCAGTGCTAGATCAAAGAAGAATAAATATAAAAACACTTTCTTGAACAGCAGACTAGCAGCAGTGAACAGAGGTGTGGGTGTGGAAGGTTTTCAAGAGGAGGAAGGATGCCATATATGCAATTACCAATGCTTGGAACACAGTAACTACAGATACATTTGCGCATGCCTGGCTCAAGCTCTGGCCTAAAACTCTGTTCAGTGATGATGATGAATAAGGTGGTGACTTTGAAGGGTTTCATATGTCGTGAGAAAAAGATGATGTCTGACCTCCTTACACATGTGAAAAATATCTTCAGAGTCCATCAGTAAATTGGAAGAAGTGCATATCAAAGAAGATTTTGCCATTGGTGAGGCTCCTGCTGTATATTCGTTGACCAATGATGAAATAGCCAAAATGGTTCTGAATCAAGGTGATTGTAATAATAGTTATGGTGAAGATGACGTTAACACTACAGAAAAAGTGCCTATAGATAACATGGTGAAAAACATGTGATGGGCTTTTTGAAAGAGTAAGGACTAGAGCAGCATGCATTCATAACAAGATGAAATCATGTTTGTTTATGAAAATCAATGAGAGCATTCTAAGACAAAAAACATTGTTAATGAGGCTGATGACTCTGGAGGAAACATTTTAAAAAGACTTCGAGCAGAATGCTTCCTCAACCTTAGAAAACCTACTTCCTGGTTCCTCAACTACTTGTGATATTCTGTCTCACCTTAAAAAATCAAATACAATGCACTATAACCTTTTAAACAAAACACAGCATCACAGGTGGAGACCAAAGTCCTGCTTTTGTTTGTTGCTGCTATTTAACAGCTGATACAGGCACCTAGTGATGCTACTGTGCTGCTTAGTTACCCCAAACACATTATTTTTTCTCTGTATCGATGGTATGTCATGTTTTTTATTGTGAAGTACCTATGTGTGAATAAGTATTAAAAAATTATTGCTTTTTGGTAGCATATAAATTCGAAGTCAGGAATGATGGTGGTGCCAAACAACCACAGGTTGTCCAAGTGAGTGGCCTAGATAGTGACACCTTTGCTTTCTGATAGTTCAGTGTACACAAATTTTATTTCATGCCAAAAGTTACTAAAAGTATTATGTAAAATTACCTTCAGACTATTTGTATAAAGTGTATATGAAACATAAATGAATTTTGAGTTTATACTTGGGTTCTATCGCCAAGATGTCTCATTATGTATATGCAAATCTTTCAAAATCTGAAAAATTCCAAAATCTGAAACACTTCTGGTCCCAATCATGTCAAATAAGGATACTCAACCTGTAGTTGGTCTTTTAACTTGACCTTAATACTTGTTGAATTTATAGTATACGTCATCTTACTATAGGGAAAACTATATGGGGATTTCCAGCTTCTAGAAACCAAAATAGTAAACTTTAATTGGCCTTAAAAACAGGGATTTTCCAATCTGAGCCTTTAATAAAGGAATCTCTCACTTCTACTTTCAAAGACTGCTGAAGACAAGTTGTTGAATACTTACACGTAGAAATTATTAAGCAAGTAAAAGTAATGAGACAGTTGGTAATTATACAGTAAATTGGGAATTTCCAGATAACTTCTGCCAAACAAATAACCAAAAATTTTTGAGAAGAGGTATGTATTAGTCTGTTCTCATGCTCTATAACGAACTGCCTGAGACTGGTAATTTATAAAGGAAAGACATTTAATTGACTCAGTTCCATAGGGCTGGGGAGGCCTCAGGAAACTTACAATCATGCGGAAGGGGAAGCAAACACGTTCTTCACATGGCAGCAGGAAGGAGAAGAATGAGAGCTGAGCAAAGGGGGAAGCCCCTTTAAAAGCATCAGATCTCATAAGAACTTGCTATCACAAGAATAGTGTGGGGGAAACTGCCCACATGATTCAACTACCTCCCACCCAGCTCCTCCCACTACACATGGGGACTATGGGAACTATAATTCAAGATGAGATCTGGGGGCAGGGGGACACAGCCAAACCATATCAAGGTGCTTCATCTATATTTTCCCATTCCAATGGTACAGAATAGTGTATCATAAATATCTAGAAGTTCATTAGATCCATGATACTGTGATTGTTTTTTAATTGTAATTCTAGGTTCTTGCCATGTATTGTTAAAAATAGCCTAAAGGGGATCGGGCATGGTGGCTTATGCCTATAATCCCAGCACTTTGAGAGGCCAAGACAAGCAGATCACCCGAGGTCAGGAATTCGAGACCAGCATGGCCAACATAGTGAAACCCCATCTTCCCTAAAAATACAAAAATTAGCTGGGCATGGTGGCACAAGCCTGTAGTCCCAGCACCCCAGAAGGCTAAGACAGGAGAATCACTTGAACCCAGGAGGCAGAAGTTGCGGTGACCCAAGATCATGCCACTGCACTTCAGCCTGGGTGACAAAGCGAGACTCCGTCAAAAAAAAGAAAAAAAATGAAATAGCCTTAAGGGGATTCATTGTGATTTTTCCCAGTAGTTCAAAGCAAAATAAAACACAATTGCATGTTTTCTTTTATTATGTGAGTTTCAGACTAAAAATTACACAATTTTTATTTTTCACTACCTTAAGAGAGTAATATGAATTGAACCATTAATTGCTAACCCAGTTATTCATTTTTTACTTTGAAGATTGATTTTGCATTCATCAGCCTTCGAGTTTCCGTTCATTGACCAAAACAGGTGGAAAGTTTACCTTTTAACGTTGCAGAAATGGCAACTTGCCCAGTTTGGGCTTCATGGTCCCCAGCTGTTTTCAGAGGTCCCTACAATATCCAGGTGCTCTCAGTTGTCCATAAGCTCATCCTTGTCCCTGGACCCCAGTGGAAGCCAAGGTTAGTGTGCTCCTTCCCACTCTGCCTCCTTTGGTCTAAATGCAGGTTTCATACTATCTAGAATGCTCTAAGTATTTATTTGATAAATGTTGATGATGATAATAATAACTGTTAATACTTACTGAATGTAATGTGTGTTCTAGGTTCTTTGTGTGCATTCTTTCATTTAATCCTTACTCAGCCCTTTTGTTTTGGTACATTTCATATGAGAGTGTGAAAATAATGAACCTGAAGCTTCAAGGTTTAATAAGTCTTCCAAAGTCACCCAGCTAGAAGTTATGGTAAATGATTCTGCTATTTAATTTCATTTATGATATTATTATCAAGATTGAAATGCTGGGAAATTTTGGTCTCTCATAGTCTCCTATACTGTGATTCCACTAGTCTGCTCCTTAATGAGACTTACATGTACAGTTGAACCTTGAACAACAACGGTTTGGTCTGTTTACATGCAGATTTTTTCCAGTCAAATTCAGATTGAAAATAGAGTATTCCTGAGATGTGAAACCTGCATATACAGAGAGGCTACTTTTTGTATACACAGGTTCCTCAGGGCCAATTGCGGGCCTACTGAGTATGGGCAGATTTTGGTATATGTGGGGGTCCTGGAAGCAATTCCTTGCATACACCAAAGAACGACTATATATTGTTTTTTGTCCAGCAAAAATTAGAATTTAATATATTTTATATATAAGCAGAAAGTTATTTCAGCATTATTATTTGCTCTAATAGAAACTGACTTTAATGAAAATGGAATTATTGTAAAATCAATTTAGTATTCTATGATTTGTTTCATTTCAGCCTGGACTCTATCATATTATTTTTAGCCATTTGAAATGCTCACAGAACTAGCAGCAAGTTATTTTTTAAGACTGATTTACTGAATATTTTCTAAGAAAACCCTACAGGTGAATCTCTAAATACAATGCCTTATTCTATATTCATCACTCCCCATACAGTTATCACAAATTCATAAATAATTCTGTATTCATCACTCAATAATGTAATAAGTCAACCTTCAATAAATAATTCTGTATTCATCACTCAATAATGTAATAAGTCAACCTTCAATAATTCAATAATTCTTATTCTACATTTATCACTCACCCTACAGTTACCACAAATTCATAAATAATTCTATACACTTGTAGAATAGGAATGTCTACAAACTTTCAAAAAAGTATGAGTCATTGATCACCTCAAGTATAGCTGAGGAATTGACATCAGTGAGATAATTGTTACTAGAGCCATTCTAAGGAAAATAAAATTGGCTATTGTTAGCATCTCCTTTAAATATGTTTTTAAATTCTGTAACAGTTAGCTCTAACTGTAATGACAAATCTACACTGAGAGGATCTGTTGTGAAATTACAATGCACTTCAGGAACATCAGCATTTGACATATTTCAAGTTGGCAGCAGAGTCTTGGGGGAGCACAGATTAACCAGTGTTCATTCAGCAACTTATATGAGCCTTACATATTTTGAGCTTGCAGGTCTTCTGGAGAAATCAAGTCAGTTGGTTGGCTCTACAGGTTATCAATTTGGTTGCTGAATGATACATTTTCAAACTCCTAAATTAGTCCTATCAATTTAAGTTTTTATCTCTTGGGAACTATTTTTATTGTTCAGACTAAGATTGTCTTCCAGACAGCACACTCCCCATCTTCAACAAGTATGGTAATACCATGAGTTTCAGGAAAGATACATATTTCAGGATAGTACTAACTTCTCCCTAGTGTAGAAAAGCGGATAGAACACACTTTGGAGCCATATGGAATGACTGCTTATTCATGGTCTAGGATGACTTTGGAATCGTATGTGCAAGGCAGAGAGCAATAATTTAGTGTAATATGGATATTCTTTTCTGAAATGTATGAAAACGCTAATGGCGAATTCGAATGTGAATTCAAATAAGTTGATTGAAGTAAAATTAAATTATAGACCACCTAAGAAATTACATGGGAGTATATGAGAGGTTCAGTGACTCTGGTTGGGAATTCAGAAGACCTGGATTCATTTTTGTGTGTGTCACTACCTGGTTATATAATATGGACGTAAAGTGCAGAAAATTCAAACCAAACCACTTTAAGCAAAATAACTGCAAAACCCAAAGGTAGACTGACTTCAGATGTGGCTTGATCAAGGCTCAAATCATGTCATCAGGTTATTTATGGCTCTCCTCTTTCATTGCCAGCTCTCTTCTTGGAATTTTCGTCTCATGGATTGAAAGTGACTCTCACAACCACAGATGCTCCAGTTTAAGACCAAAAGAAGGCCTTTGCTTCGTTATAACTCAAATAAAATTCTTATGTGCCCTGCCCCTACCTGAGCAGTAGTGACTGTGACAGGTGAGGGAATCATACTGATTGGATTAGGTCATTATAGTAGAGGGAAATTGGACTGAATTGTAACAAGAGAAGGAGGCACAGATGCAGGCTGATTTGTGTATTTGGCAGTGGTAAGACAACAGTAATGGTACTAATAAAAGTTAACATCTACTTAGTGGGTTCTGTATGGAAAGCCCTGTGCCAAATAATCCATTGTGAATTATCTCATTTAATAATAGGACAGGATATTTGCCTCTTGTGGGTATTTTTTCTCAACGACTTCTGTGGTAACATCACTGATTTAGAATGTGGGTGGGAGGGGGTGTGGGAGGTTCCCGGAGAGACATAAAGGTATGAGGTCATCATTTGGACAAAGGGGGAGTGAGTCCAAAATAGAGGAAAGCAGGGTGATAGCAGGTGTTCAACTGAGGATAGTGATCATAAATTTCAAGTGAAAAAAAGGTGACTTGTGAGATTTCCCTCTTAGCAATGTTCACATGAAGAGGTGGAAGCATAGAAAAAGCAAATTTTGTAGGGCAGGTTCCATGGAGAAATAGAAGTGCAGGGGAGCTAAGGGTATTTTAAGAAGAGTTTATAATGGTGGATCATGGAATGTGGGCTGGTAGGGAGAGAAGGGAGGCCAGGAGAGGGTTGATGGATAGAAAGTAGAGGGGAGTAATAGGGTGGGCATGACTGAGCAAAGAGATCTGGAAGAAGAGGAAGTGGCACTGGAAAATGACGTCTTTGAAGTCAGCATTCCAGAGGTGGTGCACTTTCTAGTGCTGACAAGGTCCAGGATACAACAGTGGGAATGTGTGTCTAGGGAGCAATGGAGGCAAAGGTCAACAGGGAGGAAAGGAGCAAGCAATGGACAGGCTCGAGTACTGGCTGGGTCATCCTCGCAAACACTGAGATTCTGATTTGAGGAGGATGAATATTGTGAGCTAGGAGTTAACTGAGGGAAAGAGGAGATAACAGGAGGTTGGCAGATGGTGGCAAGGAGAGATGGGACAAGGTTGTAAATCCAAGTGAAAAGAATCTCAAAAGATGAGTGGCTTTTGAAGGAGGATGTGATGGGGCTAGAAGTAATGATCTGGAGATACAAGATAGAGCACACTCAGCAAACCATCTTCTGGTGCTGAGGCATGTGGAATGAATGGGGCTTAATAAAAATAAATTTAATTTAAAAAATTCTTTCCTTCACCGTAATGCAGAGAAATCAGTGTCTTCATAGGAAAGCCGAACCAATCAAAGCAAGAAGGTTAAGGATCAAGGAACTGAAGGGATTATTCTAACACCAGGGCTGTTAGGGAATTTGTTAACTAGAGGCTTAAATTTCTAAGAGTCACATAGGAAGGGTTTGAAAAAGGAAATTATGTTGGATTCGATGATCGAATGAGGATCTGAGTGAGAACTCATGACATAGAAGGCCGGAACTTCAGCAATGCCTCAGGCAAAAGGTACATGGGGTCATCTGAGAGGAGGGTGAGAAGCCAGTAATACTGCAGAGAGCCTGCCCTCATGGGAAGCCTCATTGGTTGTTTCTTGGTGCTTGGGGCTGTCTAAACATACTCAACTCTGTTCTGGATCTTCTGGAGGAACAAGACTAAGACCTCCACCTTGGTTTTCCCCAGAAAATAGGATCAGGCAGAGAAACTGGTTCTATCAGGGGAACATGAGCTCATTAGGAAGTTATCAAAACAACAGAGGAATCCCACCATTATTAAAGATAGTACCAAATGAGTAGATACCACCTGAGAAAGAATGGTTTAAAAATGGACCACAAATATTAAGGGAAGATTCTATGCAGCAGGAACTAGAAGTTGTTTTATAAAACACATACACACACAATGGGAAATATTTAGTGTGAAAAATACAATACAGTCTTGCCTCCATCTTCCCTGGGGATTGGTTCCAGGACCACCTGCAGATACCTGCACAAACTCAAAATCTGCACAAACTCACCTCCCACGGTCAGCTCTGCAGAATCCCCAAAAAGTTGCCTTTCGTATAGCTAGGTTTCAAATCCTGCAAATACTGTATTTTATGTATTTGTTTTTCTGAGACAAGGTCTTGCTCTGTCACTCAGCCTGGAGCACAGTGGCACAATCATGGCTCATTGCGGGCTCCTCGACCTACCAGGCTCAAGTCATCCTCCCACCTCAGGCTCCCAAGTAGCTGGAACTACAGGAGCATGCCACCACACCCAGCTAATTTTCGTATTTTTTGTAGAGGCAGGGTTTCGCCGTGTTGTCCAGGCTGGTCTCGAACTCCTGAACTGAAGCAATCCTCCTGCCTTGGCCTCCCAAAGTGCTGAGATTACAGGTGTGAGACCCCATGCCCAGTCTCAAATGCTGCATTTTTTATTCACATTTGGTTGCAGATCAAAGGGCCAATTATATCATTGAAAAAAATCCATGTATTAGCGGACCCATGCAGTTCAAGCCTGTGTTGATGAAGGGTCGCCTGTAGTTTAAACAAAGAGCACTAAAATATGGGATAAAATATAAATGGATACAATAAAGACAAATTTATGAGCTGGAAGATCAGCTTCAAAAATTAGAAGTCACTCACAATGAATGAAGAGATATTGTAAAGACACAATGCAATACCTTTGTACACCTCTCAGGATGGCTAAAATAAAATAGTGATAATACCAAGTCTTACCAGGATACTAAGAAACTGAATCATTCATACATTGCTGGTGGGAATGTAAAATGATACAGCCACTCTGGAAAACAGTTTGTCCGTTTCTTAGAACACCAAATGTTCAACTACCGTACAAGCTAGCAGTTATACTCCTTTGCATTCATCCCAGAGATATGAACATTTATATTCATCCAAAAACTAATGTTCATAGCAGCTTTATTTGTAATATCCAAAAACTGGCAATAATCCGTATGTCCATCAATTGGCGAATAATTAAACTGTGGTGTACCACATTCTCTACCATGGAATTATACTCAGAAATCAAGAGGAATGAATTACTGATACATGCTTGTTTGGATAAGGACATTATGCTGAATGAGAAAAAGCCAATCTAGAGGATCACATACCATATGATTCCGTTTATGTAACATTCTAAAACTGACAAAATTAATATGGAGAATATACAAGGCTTAGGGAAGGGAAAGCAGAGAGTGAGGGGATTTCTTATTGATGGTGGAATATGTCAGTGTCTTAATTGTGTTAGTGGTTATATGACTCTATATATGTGATAAAATTTCATAGAATTAAACACAGAGACATTTAAAATTTTGTACATGCAAAAACTGGTGAAATCCAAATAAATTCCATAATCTACTTAATTATATTTTGCCAATTTCCTGTTTTGATAATGCACTATAATTATATAAGATGACACCATCAGAGGAAGCTGGGAGGTTGGTTCATAGGACCTCCGTGTACTGTTTTTACCTCTTCTTTTTTTTTTTTTTTTTTTTTTTAAACAGAGTCTCACTTGTCACCCAGGCTAGAGTGCAGTGGTGTGATCTTGGCTCACTGCAACCTCTGCCTCCCAGGTTCAAGCAATTCTCCTGCCTCAGCCTCCCAAGTAGCTGGGATTACAGGCACACGCCACCATCCCCGTCTAATTTTTGTATTTTTAGTAGAGACAGAATTTCACCATGTTGGTCAAGCTGGTCTTTAACTCCTGACCTCAGGTGATCCGCCCACCTCAGCCTCCCAAAGTGCTGGGATTACAGGCATGAGCCACCATGCCCGGCATGTTTATACCACTTGTTATTAGTCTATAATTATTTCAAAATACAGTTTTTTTTTCAAATGAGAGGGGTATAAGAAATATGGAGGAAGAAAAGGAGGTGCTACCCCAACAGGATAATAGGAATCACAGGAGAGAAAAAATTTAGGAGGAAATACTGTAATAAAATATGAAGAAAAATGTTTCAGAATTAAAGATAAAATGAAATACCTCAGATTGAAAATGTACATGTATTACAAATATAACTGAGTTCTCTCATAAACAGACATGGTGACATTGTCAAGACATTGTGAATTATCAATTCTTAGTAAAAGTAAACCACAGATTACTTACTTATTTTACTGCTGTTGAATAATTTATTTCTTTCTAGTTTTTTCACATTTTTCCTAGCTTTACTGATGTATAATTGACAACATTAAATTGTATATATTTAAGTATTCTCATCACTTACTTGATGGTAGGGAGGTACAGTCTGCATTTGTCAATATGGATTCCCCTCTGTAACTTCTGAGAAGAGTCCTGAATGGTTTTCTAATTTTAATAACATAATTATCTTGTCTTTTATACATGGTCATGTGATACCCCAAATAATGATAGTGTGTGCTCTTCTTTCCAAGACTTAGCATCCAATTTCTTTGTCTCTTGCACCAAGTATAACTTCTTACAATGTTGGCTCATCCTGTCTTATTCATGATTTTAACTGAAAAACTTCCAGTGCTTTTCCCCCATTTAATGGAATATTTCTTAATGATACTTATTATCACATTAAAGAAATTTCCTTTTATTACTCATAAAAAGAATCAGGAATGAGTTCAGTCCTCAACAGATGGGTTCCTTCTCTGTGAAGCTGGCTGCTCATGTCTCTCCATCTGAAGTCAAAAGGAAGGGAGAGAAGGGACCTGGAGAGCACACACTCAGTTCTTTTGTAGATAAGTTCCTGGAGTGGCGAGTATCATCTGTACTCACACCTAGATGACCAAATACTAATCACACACCACACCCAGCTGCAGGGGAGCCTTTTCACTGGACAGCCTATGCCTAGCTAAAACATTCATACTGTAGAAGGAAGAAAGGCCCAATATTGGAGGACAACTAGCTATGTAATATAATTGTATGCCTTATTCCTTTAATTTGTTAATGTACTAAAATGTACTAATATATTTTCTAATATTAAATCATCTTCACATTCCTAGGATAAATCCCACTTGGTCATGAAGTTTTTTTACTGTATTATTGGATTCTGTTTGTGAGTACTGTATTTAGGATTTTTACATCTGTGTTTATTAAAAATATACTTGTTGATGCAAAAAGTAGTAATTACACTTTACATTTATATGGTATTTTGCAGTTTTTAAAATAATTTCATACACATTCCTCCTGAGAATAAATGATCAACAAGAGAGGACTATAGTTTTGAAAAAGTAGATATTAAGTGTACAAATAGAAAATATCTACAAATGGGACAATATAAGTTTTTTTGGTCACCTGAGGACTATAGTTTTGAAAAAGTGGATATTAAGTGTACAAATAGAAAATATCTACAAATGGGACAATATAAATTTTTTTTTTTGTCACCTAAGTTCTAGAGGGCCAACAGTGAGACTGAGATTGAAGTAAAGATTAGTGTAGAGAAAAGAATACAGGAGGTTGAAAAAGGATTTTTGATCAAACAAACCCAGGGAGAGATGCTGTCACTCTCCAGGGTCCCAGGGAAGAATGGGATTACAGGCTTTGTGAAATGTCTAGCACTGTACTGCTATTCTAGATATTTTATTAATACAATGTCTAAACAACCTGGTTTGAATTTACAAGTAAAGCTTTCCTAGTTATTAAACAATATTTGGCTTTGTGAACTTCTGTTTTGATTCCTTATTAATCTGCATATACCAAATTAGATCCTGGCAATGGAGCACTCTCAAGGGAAAAGGAAGCACTAAAAATACAGGATGCTCCTCTGCTGTCGTCTGGCAGCCAGGTCATATGTGTCCTGGTCACACATTTTCTCCCTGACTGTAGAGCTTTTCCAGAGCACACAATAATTACATAATAGCAACTTCTCACCACTCAAGTATAAAGTGCCTTTGGGAGGAAAATAGATAGTAGGCTGATATAATTTTGCAAAAAGAGGCACTCTGTGTCACAGTAAATAGAATTGCCCAAATAGCCGGACCTCCTTGTGGGTTTTCCCATACCAAATATGCTATTTGTTAACTTCTTTTCCCTGAGCCTTGGAATGTCATAGATGCGTAGTAGCTACTTAAGGCAGCATTGAACTCTCAGATCACTGTGCTGGGCTTGCACCACTCCCCCTAGCCCCACCCCTTTTTCTCCTTCCCTGCCTCACACCCACCCACAGAAGCAAAGCATATCCTAGTATACTTGGGAGAACCTGCTGGCTTCTCCCTGAAACTGTAGCTGCAGATTCCAAAATGAAGCAAAGATCAGGGAATTTGATACTCATATCAGTGCACATGCCTCAGTTGAACAATATAGATCCTGGAGGAGCATTTTGCCCTGGATTTTGTGCATTCATCAGAATAAGATAATTCATCCAAATCCACTTTGTTTTATATCTTTTTTTGGACACCCTAGATACCTAAATTCTTAGTGACTGTTTCTATTAGGATAAATACATATCCCTAGTATCACTTTTCACCATGCACAATAGACTAAAGCACACCAGAGTAATCTCCCAAAATCTCATCTGTTTTTACCATGATGAACTCTAGAAATGTATTATGAATACTGAAAATGAATAAGGTTGAAGCTCAGATGAACAGGCCCTCCCCACTGCCATTTGCACTGTTTGTCTTTCTAAGTGGATATTATATGTCATGAGGGCACAACAGTGGCACAGACAACACAAGTGGTGTAACTAAGCACTGAAGTTTAAAATAAATGCTTTAAAATAGTTAATTATACTTTACCCTACAGGAAGAAAAAGTGTTTTCTGAAGTCCCTGAAAATGGATGATGAGTATTTAAAGCCTTGTGGAGATCCAAAATTTGGTTGCCTATTTTTAAAATGCTGAACTGGGATTTAAAACAAGCTGTCCAGGTCCAGAAGCCAACTCTGTTAGACTCTAGTTTCTTAAGTATAAGTAATTTAGGAATATTGTATGGGTGGGGAGGGGGATAGTGAAGGAAGAGTTAGGCTACCAGATAGTAAATATGTTAAAAGCTATACAACTAAAACAGCCTGTTACAGGTTCAGCAAAAGATAGGTCAACCTCACAACAAGAGCAAAAAGTGCAAAATTGACCCAAATATATCTGATAATTTAGGGGAAAAAATTGCATCCTAATCTTCCTTCTTTCTGCTTATCACATTGTAAGAATTCAATAAATATTGTTATTAAATCGAAGATTGCTCAAGATTTAAATGTAAAAAGTAAAGCTGTAAGGTTTTGAGAAGCTATTTTAGATGAGTATTTCTATAATCTTGGGTGGAAAATAGTTTCTAAATAGTTCTAAAGAGTATCAAAACTGGAAGCCATAGAGGAATATATTAGTGAAATCTGACTACTAAAAAGTGTAAGTCTGGGCATGGTGACTCAGGCCTGTTATCCCAGCACTTGGGGAGGCCAAGGCAGGTGGATCAGTTGAGGTCAGGAGTTCAAGACGAGCCTGGCCAATATGGCGAAACTCTGTCTCTACTAAAAAGACAAAAATTAGCAAGGCATGATGGCGCATACCTGTAGTCCCAGCTACTTGGGAGGCTGAGGCCTCTAAAAATTGCTTGAATCTGGGAGGCAGAGGTTGCAGTGAGCCGAGATCATGCCACTGCACTCCAGCCTGGGCAACAGAGCAAGACTCTGTCTCAAAAAAAAAAAAAAAAAAAAAAAGTAAAACTTGTGCATTTCTGAACATCCAAAGCCTCATAAATAACCCCAAGATCCTGTCCCAAAAAAAAAAATGTACTTCTAGAGCTTTAAGTAAACATGCCAAAATAATATAAATAAGGGAATAAATGAAATGAAAAATTATTATTCTACCATTACTTCAGTAACTCTAAATAGCTGCAGCACCAGGATGAGCCTCACTAGGCCAGATTAGTCCAGTATACAAAGAAGATCATGTTTCTTTAGAGACAAAACCAGCCAGCAGCCTTAATCCCCCACACAACCTCAGACCACATGCAGCCATTAACCAAAGTAAAAATGAAAAGAAAAGGCGCGTCAAAATTGCCAGTAAATTCTTCAGAGTTGAAAATCGAGCCACCACTTTCAGTTATTCCCAGAAATAACAGCCAAACCCATACTATGGCTTTATGATTTTACAATTGGATTTGCAAAATTTCAGAAATCTTTTAAATATATAATTGATGTAGCATACACAGACACTTTAATATGTAGTTTTAAAGTAGTTGTTCAGCCTAAGTGAAACACCATCAAGGAATTTAAGGTTGAAAACCTGCACAGAGATCAAGGTCAAAGGAAAGCCCTAAGTAATATTCTAAGAAACTTGCAACAGCCTGAGCAAATGTAACCTGGTAGTTCCATCTAACTGACCTCAACATGTGAATACAGCCAGCGTTAAGCAGCTGTAGTGGAGTTTAATTTTGCCCTGAATCTACAACATCCTTGTTGCAAATTTCCTCCCTTTAATTTGTAGTCACTCTAGGTAATGGGATATTTCCATGTGGATGCGAGGCCTCTGTGCCCTAATCATCTTGCATCTTTCTCCCTGGATTTGAATTGGGGTGATTCCTGCAAACATACCCTAATGAAATTAATATAAATATTAATATTAATTAATATTAATATTTGAATCTGGTATGATATTACTGAAGAACTCCTTGTAGGGGCCCCAGAACTCCTCACCAAGAGGCTTCACTTCACACAGTGTCATGATGCGTAAGGACAATGACCCATATATATAAAAGTGGCCCAAGAAAAAATGGTACTTTTGCTCCAAGCTGTCTAATAACTGGAGCAGCCGTGGTGGGAGTATCTAAGAGTGGAAGTGAAACAATCCTGGAATTATCTGTACTGCTTCCATCTTCTCCTTGCTTGGTATGTGCCTTGTGGTTCAATGGAAACATTGCACCATACTTCTCTTTGCTTGGTACGTGGTTCAGTGGAAACATGCTGTTTCCATTGAATTAGGTAAAATAAGCAGAAAATAGTTCTGGGACCATAATTTCATGTTGGCAAATCATATTAGAGCTTCTTAATGTTCTTTTTTGGTTGCTTGAGTACTCACTATAGGAGAAAATTGCCTTGGAAATAATATAGAGAGATCTATAGTTGAATATTCATAGTGTTTGTGTGGGGGAGAGAGAGCTCTCAGGTGGCATAAGACAGGACATTTTACCCTTTTGTCATGGAATGCAAAGTCCCATTCCCTTCCTCAGGGGATCTATGGAATGCAACATAGAACTGTAAACTGGGCTGGTTGGGAAGGGTCCACCTTTACCAGACCTGGAGTCAATGCTTTGGAGAGTTGAAAAGGGCATCGCAAGATTATGACTTCACTGGTACTAAAATCATGAATGCATTTTAGGTTCTTTTTTCACATATAAAACAGCAGCTGAAGAAAGCTAGGTAGCTGAAGAAAGAGAAAATTTGACTTGGTTTCTAAGTATTAGGTCTTCTTAGCCCAGCACAGAATTCTCAAAAGTACTGTCCTTATTTGGTTTCGTGTTACTGTGTCCACACATCTCACTGGGATCCCCCATATCTTATCCCCTAACCTTTATTGCCCCTTCCTTCCCCTCTTACCACAGGTGTAGAAGACATCGTGGCCATAATGATTCCTGAGCCAAAAGGGAAGGAGATAGTAAGCCTGCTGGAAAGAAACATCACCGTGACAATGTACATCACCATCGGAACCCGGAACTTGCAGAAATATGTGAGCCGCACTTCGGTTGTGTTTGTCTCCATCTCCTTCATTGTCCTGATGATCATTTCCCTCGCATGGCTCGTCTTTTATTACATCCAGAGGTTTCGATATGCAAATGCCAGGGATAGGAACCAGGTGAGTAGCAAAAAGTTAAAAAACTTTTAAAAATTGTTACAAAAATGTTATTAAACATCTTTGAACATGACAGAAAATACCAAGCCAAAACCAAAATATCCCCACTCAAGATAAACACTGTTAACATTTGCTGTATCATTTTTCAGATATTATCCAAATATATCTATTTTGATGTTTTACTGTGTTTTTATGTAAAATGGAGGTGATTTGTCCTACATTCCCATTGCTTATGTTTTTGACATTTGTTTATCCACATAATGAGGGGAACAAAAGGAAGTGCTAATAGTGTGAAGATAATTTGGAAAGAGCCAAGATTTTCTCCTTGTGAACAGAAGAAAAAAAAGGAGATAAAAACCAAAAGCTATTTTAAATAGCAATTAAACATATCATGTATACCCATGGTACAAAATGCAAAAAGTATCACATGGCGTATAATGAAAAGTAATTGCCTTCCCATGTGTGTCTCTCAGCTACCCAGTTCCTCTTCCTGGAATATCTTCCAGGGATATTCTATGCACTTATAAACACATATGCCCATATATTTCAAAAACAACAACAAATGATAGCACACTTAACTCTGTACGCTTCTCTCTCACTTCATCTTGCAGATTAATTTACATCAATACATAAGCCAAGCTTCCGTCTCACTTCTAATGACTGCATAGCATTCCATTGTCTGTATGTGTCACGTCTATTTAACCAGCACCTATTAACGGACATGTTTTCTCTTCTTAACAGAACATGTACACATGACACTTAGTACATTTGTAAGTATATCTACAAGGTAAAATCCTGGAAGTTTAGTTGCCAGGGCAATGGCATATACATTTTAGACTATGATAGATACTGCCACATTGTCTGCCAAAAAATGTTGAACCAATTTACACTTTAACAAACTATATATGAAAATTACTGTTTCCCCATATCCTTACCAAAAGAATATTATAACTTTTTTTTATTGTTAGTGATTTGGTAAGTTAAAAATGGTACCACATTTTTCTTATTACAAGTAACATTGAACATCTTTTCAAGTACAATAGAAAAAGTGAATATTTTTGGTGAAGTAACTACTTTTATTATTTGACTTCTTTTCAATTGAGTTGTCATTTTCTTATTAATGTGTATAAACTCTTTATTAGTCAAGGAAATTAACCCTTTTTTGTAGGATAGGATTCACCTCACCACCCCTCAGCTTGTCATTGTCTTTTATTTTATCCATGGTCTTGCCATGCAGAAATTTTTGGTTTTTACAGAGCTACATTTATTATCTTTTTTTCTTGAGATGGAGTCTCGCTCACTGTGTCACCCAGGGTGGAGTCCAGTGGCAAAATCTTGGCTCATTGCAACCTTCACCTCCTGGGTTCAAGAGATTCTCGTGCCTTGGCCTCCCAAGTAGCTAGGATTACAGGCATACACCACCACACCTGGCTAATTTTTGTTTTGTTTTTTCAGTAGAGGTGGGTTTTCACTATGTTGGCCAGGCTAGTCTCAAACTCCTGACCTCAAGTAATCTTCCCACCTCGGCCTCCCAAAGTGCTGGGATTACAGGCGTGAGCCACTACACCTGGTGTATTAATCTTTTTTAAAAAAATAAATTTTATTGTGTATAGTTGAAGTTTACAGTATGGTGTTTGGGGAGTCATACAGACAGTAAAATGGTTAATATAGTAAAGCAAATTGACATATCTATTGTCTCACATAGTTTTTTGATGACAAGAGCAGGTAAAATCTACTTATTTAACAGAAATTTCTAATACAATACAGTTTTTTAGCTGTAGTCATTTTACATTAGATCTCTAGACTTGCTCATGATACATTCTGCTACTTTGTATCCTTTGACCTAAATCTCCCCATTTTCTCTCCACTCCCCCACTCCGGTAACCGCTTGTTTATTCTCTATCTCTGGACATTTGACCTTTCTTAAAAAATTATATTCCATATATAGGTGAGATCAGTATTTTTCTTTCTATGTCTGGCTGATTTCACTTAACACGATGTCCTCCAGGCCCATCTATGTTGTGGCAAATGTCAGGATATCCCTTGTTGAGAATAAACAATAATAATCCATTGTATGTGTGTATGTATATACATTTTCTTTATCCATTCGTCCTTCAGTGGACACATGGACACTTAGGTCGCTTCCCTATCTTCGCTGTCGTGAATAATGTCACAATTAACATGGGGGTGCAGATATCTTTCCAAGGTGGTGGTTTTATCTCCCTTGGATATATACCCAGAAGAGGGATTGGTAAATCTTCAATGGTAGTTCTGTTTTTTATTTCTTTAGGAACCTCTGTACCGTTTCCCCTAATGGCTGTGCCCATCTACATTCCCACCAACAGTGTACTAGGATTCCTTTTTCTCCATACCCTCACCAACACTTGTTAGCTCTTGTTTTCTGCATGATAGACGTCCTAACAGGTGTGAGGTGTGATCTCATAGTGGTTTTAGCATTTCCATTCCATAATAAGATTTTCTATAGACCAAGATTACTGAAAAGCATTCATGTTTTCACCCTCTACTTTTCAAATTTCTTTTTTCTCATTAAATCTTTAATCTGTAGATAACTTATTTCAGTGTAATGAATGAAGTAGAGAGCTGACATTATTTTTTTTCAGATGGCCTACCATTTTTATAACTGGCATTTATTGAATAATTAATCTCTCCCCCCCTCATATGCAGTATCCCCATTTAACATATATTAAATACCCATATATACTTGCTTCTATTTCTGTGCTCTCTAAACCATACCATGAATCTAGGTCTCCATTCATACTCCAGCACCATCTTGTTTTTAGTACTCTAGAATTATAATGTCTCACGGCTGTTCATGCTGTTTTCTTTATTGCTCTATTTTTACTCTTTTCATGTTTATTTTTGTATGAATTTAGAATCATTATATGAGTTTTTAAACTTATAGGATAATTTAGGGGAAATTTGTAACTTTATGATGTTTAATCTTCCCATTCAAATGTAATAAGTTTTCGCCTTATTCAACTCTTCTTTTTATTCCCAGTAGCACTTTTCAGCATTTATTAATCTTGTACACTTTTCTTCAGTTAGTTCTAGGTATTTAATCATTACGTTGCCATTATAATTTAAATTCATTTTTTCATATTGGAAATTTTGGATTGTTGTATATTTTGTATATTATTAACAGCCTCATTGTTATAACCCTAATTATAATAATGTATAACATTTATTATATGCTGCAGGCATGTTCTAAGAGCTCTCTCGCTCTATTTACCTACTTTCACCTTAATAGATACTAGCCCCATAATAAACAATTTTATTGTCCCCGTTTTACAGAGTTGGAAGTAAGCACAGAGAGTTTAAGTAATTTGCCCAAGGTCACACAGCTGGTTACTAATAGAGCCAGCAATTGAACCAGCAGCAGAACTCCAGAGTCCATGCCCTTAGCCACTACTTTGTAGTATTTGTGATTATTTATATTAGTGTTGCAGAACTATATTAATAATGCTTACAGTCAGGGATAACTTACTGCTTTCAAATGTTAGACATCCTGTTTTTTCTGTTATCTCATTTCATTGGTTGGAATCTCCAGAATAAACTAAAGTAATCATGGTTACAGTGAACATATTTCTCTTCATTGTGTATTTAATGGGAACATCCTCAATTTAATGGGATTGTTTTTATCATTTCTTCATTTTATTATTTTCCCGTGTAGTCTTCTAGATTGAGATATATATTTTATCATGTTATAAAATATATAATGTCAGAAGTGTCAACTTAGTTCTATCTTATTAAGAATTTTTTAATCAAGAATGGATGTTTGATTTTAACCAATGTCTTTCCAATGGCCATAGTCTAAGTTTTCTCTTTAGATCTATTAAAATAAATGGATGATATTAATGGATTTCCATTATGAACCATCCTGAATTTCTGCTATATACTATTCCTCTAATGTGTGTGAGATTATATTTGCTAGTGTTTTATTTATTATTTGTTTGCCATTATATTCATATATGAAATCTGTTCATAGTTTACATTTTTATTATGTTTAGATAATGATTATACTGTCTTCTAAGAAGAATTTGCAAACTTTTCTCCATTTTCTGTGATCTAGAGCTGTGGTGTCCAACATGGTAGTCACTAGCCATGTGTGGCTATTTAAATTAATTGTAATAAAATAAACTTCAAAATTCTGTTCCTCAGTTACTAGCCATATTTCATGTGGCCACCATATGGCAGTGCATGTATAGGACATTTTTATCACTACAGAAAGTCTTATTGGGTAACACTGCACTCGAGCATTTTAAATAGCACTGGAATTAGCTGATTCTTAAAGTATTGGTAGAAATTTTCTGTAAGTTAATGAGGTCTAAGTTTGGGAATGTTTTAGGAGACATCTCTTCCTTTTCTATTAATTTTATCGCAAATTCTCTGCTTAAATTTTCTGTAGCTTCTGGGACAATGTTTAAAAACATTTTTATTGCTTATATCTGATTCTCAAAATGATACATGCTATTTTAGTAAATTTCACAATCATAGAAAAATTCTGAAAAAGACAAGTTACCCACTATCCCACTAAATTGTCAACATGTGAGTATATTACCTTTCAGGTATTTTTAATTCTATCTATATATATTGAGTAAATTTTCATTATATGTGTATCTATATATGCAGAAGACACAAACATATCCATGTATGTTTTATGTTCTGCTTTTTATTGAATAGTATGTCCCTCTATCATTAAATAATTTTCAAAAACATGATTTTTATGGCCACATAGTAGTGAAGTGCCACTGCTTACCCAAAATGGGAAACTTACTTAATTTCTTTATTCATTGTTTTTCTAAACTAAATGGAATGTACCTTTCTCTTACGGTCACAGTGAGGATTAAATGGATTAATGTGTATTACTTTTAAAGCCGCTGAGCCTGGCACTAATCATTCAGTCAGCACTCAATGAATGATATCCTTTATTATTATCATATAGATTCTTTGATGACTGCTTACAAATTCAATTTTGCCACTTTCATTAAATATTCTGGAATTTAAATGGATAGAATCCCAAACACAAGGCAATGAAAATGAGATGTAGAACTAATATGCTTCAGTTGGTTCATATGGGGCTACATGTGAGAAACTTTTATATATATATATGTGTGTGTGTGTGTGAGATATACATATAACATATATATCATATACGTATATATGAATACATATGAAGAAATATATATATACACATCTTCATTATATATGTGTGTGTATATATATATGTCTTATATATGCACATATGCACTGCCATATGGTGGCCACATGAAATGTGGCTAGTAACTGAGGAACAGAATTTTAAAGTTTATTTTATTAAAATTAACTTAAATTTAAATAGTCACACATAGCTAGTGACCACAGCTCTAGACTGAAGAAAATGGAGAAAAGTTTGCAAACTCTTCTTAGAAAACAGTATAATCATTATCTAAACACAATAAAAATGTAAACTATATGTGTTTCTTCATATGTATTCATATATACGTGTGTGTGTGTGTGCGCGCGTGTGTGTAGAGAGAGAGAGAGTAGAGAGAGAGAGAGAAGAGAGAGAGAGAGATGTTAATCAGACGATGATATTAGAAATGGCATCCCTGTATTTTTGGGCCTGTGATAATTTAAGCAATTATTAGGCAGTAGAGATATGGATGAAATCTTAAGCTTGAATTAGTTGAGTAATGACTTCAATCATTATGTTACTTTCTGCAGGTAGATCTAGCTTGCATGTTTATCTAGACACATGCATACTGTGAGGTATATGAAAAACAAATTGAAAGGTAGTGGTATGAAAGTGGTTCATGGGGTTTAAATTTTTATTCTCCTCCCAGTTTGTTAACTTTCCTTGAATTGTAGGATGCTACCATAGGGTCACTCAGTGAATTGTGATCATGTTAAAAGTTAACACTCCTTCCTGATCAAATGGACACTATACTTTAGCCCTTTGATGGATGGAATAACATATAATTTCCCTTAGAAAAATATTTCTGCTTTAATGGCCAGTGTTCCACTCCATTCAACAGAAAGTTATAGCTGTACAGGTCATAGCTATAATAAGCATCAGGTTAACTTAAACCATTTATTTTTATTAAAGCATTATTGTCCTTCAGAAAGAGTGACTTTCAGGTTAGATGAAGGCTCACAGCCTGAAATGGAACATCAAAGCCATTTATTTTACATTGTCGAAGTATCCAGCCATTCAGGTATATGAAAGAGAGACTGACCTTGAATTAGCCAGATGAGCACCTCAGTCTCTGCTTGGCTTTGTGCAGATCACAATTAAAAGAAAGTCACCAGCATCTTACATAATCATGGCCACTTTCATGTCACATGTACCTGGAGAAGATCATTTCAATTCAGTTTCCCATGAAGTAATATTTGCTAAATGTTCTTCACATTATAAGCCTCCCAGCAAGGTCTTTTAGATGGTAACATGGAGAATAAGGGCTACAACTAAAAATGGAGAGAAGATTTGGCTGGTGTGCCATGTTTCCTAAAGATTTAACCAAGTTAAATCTGGTAGAGGGTAATAGCTAAAGATACCAACTTTGGAGTCAGATGGGTCTCGATTCAAATCTTTGCTTTGATAATTCCTAGTGGTGTGACTTTGCACAAGTTACTTCACCTTTCTATGCCCAGGCTTCCCCACATGTAAAGCCAGCCCCGTAGGCTTGATGTGAGGGTTGAATGAGAAAATATGCGTGACATATTATTAGAGGGTTGTTAAATGGGTCACGTTTAGTGGATAAAGCAATTCTTGGAAAATATATTCCCCACCTTCCCCCCACACCTGCGCAAATAGTAAATATCTCAATTCTTACATACCTTACATATAGTTTAGTCTACATATGGCCTTTTTAGCTCTATTGACACACTTTGAAACAAAATGGAATCTTCCATCTTTACTCAAGAGTCAGGGAAAAGCTCTCTGGACCCTATCCTTTGGGGTTTTTATTGAGGTTTCATCATGTAGGCATGATTGATTAAATTATTGGCCATTGTTGATCAACTCAGCCTTCAAGCCCCTCTTCCCTCCCTAGAGGGCAGGGGTAGGAGTGAGGGAATCTGAAAATTCCAACCCTCTAATCACAGGATTGGTTCTCTATGCAACCAGACCTTTTTCTTAGAAGCTTTCCAAAGTTACCTCATTAACATAAACTCAGGTATGGTTGAAAAGTGTTTCTTATGAATTATAAAAACTACCCATTTACCTTTATCACTCCCATCACTTAGGAAATTACAAGCATTTTAGGAGTTCTAGCTGGGAGCTGGAATGAAGACCAAAATATAGATAGTCCTTATTATATATCACAGTATCACACAGCCTAATTATTAATAACTCCCCAATTTACTGTCAGAATTGTTCCAGTTTGGATGGTGAGTTCTATGGTTACCATATGTGTGAGAGAAAGAAAGGAATCAAGGACACATTTAGGTCAACTCTCATGGCATTTACTGGAACAGGAAAGATGGAAAAAGAAGAGAACCAAAGGGCTAGAGTATCAAGAATTTGGATTTGACGATGTTAAATTTAGAAGCCTTTTAGATATTGAAGCAGAGATGCCAGGTAGGTATTTTGATGTGTATGTCTGGAGCTCAGGAAAGAAGACAGGAATGGGGGTACCAATGTGGGGGATCATCAGAATACAGATGACACTAAAATTGTCAGGACAGGATGAGCTCACTTGGGGAGAGGGTATTGCAGAAGCGCTCTGTAGCCTGAGCCTGAGATACTCTAATACGGCCTCACCTCTACCCCAGCCTCTCTCCCGCAATCATATCATTTTATGTTAGTTTCTTTCCTTCCCAATTCTTACCACTATCTGGAATTTTTCTCTCCTTGCCTTACACCTTGCCTTCCCAGTGCACAATGACACTCTGAGGGAGTTGAAACAAGGAGGCTGATTTGCAAAGACCAAGGACAGCCTCACACGCCATGTGGAGCCATTGCTTCCCTGTTCGAGGTTAACTGTTCCACAGCCACCCTCTTCACTCGCGATGCTTGTTTTTCCTGGTAGCCCTATCATTTTTTCTTGAGACCATTTTCCTTTGGAGACCTTGGTCTGTCAGATGGCCTATATGTGCCTGAGTCCAGTGACTAATTGTTTCAAGCTCTCTCTGCACAGAGCTCAGGGAGGTGAATGGATTCATTCCCATTCAAGCCCTGTGACACTTAGGAGCATGTGGATTAGGATGCGGCTCTACTCAGAGCACACACAGCACATTTAGGGAGCCAATTTCCTAATGTCATATTCCAGCCCAGTGGAATCTTATCTCTGACCAAGCCCACAATACTCTTTAACATAATCAGACATAAATGTCACACCCCCAGGCAGCTAGATGGGGGTCAAGGTTGGGGTTTTAGGAGCTGGGACCACATAAAAGTGAGTAGGGTTTATATCTAACAATGGTTTTGGTGCGAAGTAGAATCAGAGTCTTAAGCAGGCCAGGGTTATAAGGCAAGAGGATAACCCAGGGTATTAAGTACATAGGACCATGTGGAGTTAGGAGCCAGATTTATCATAAAAATGGGAACAGTGGTCGAGCAAGGCAGGCCAGGTTGGGAGAGGAAGCTGAGGGAATGGTTTTCAGGTGAAGGAAACCTTTTATATCAGACTCTTCACCTGTTAAAATAGCAGGGCACTGGTAGAAGCCCTGATGGCATGGAAAGAGAAGTTGCAAACCACAACCCACTTGTCAAAGAAAGAAAGGCCCTATAATGATTACAAAAAATATTTTACTGTCCATTTAACACATGTCATGATGACTTTTGAATACCATGACAGACCTCTCTCTCCTCACCAGCCCTGATCATGCCCCTGGATGAGTACTTTAAGAAAATAGCCCATCGATGCCACCAGTGTGTGGACTTCTACACCGTGTAGCCTGGACACCTCTCAACTCAGCCCTGAGAACCCGTGTACCAGAGGGTTGCAGAGAGGAAACCACAGTCATGGGAACTGGGAGGCAGAAGACACCTGGCTGTCATTTCACTCAAGTATTTGAGAATGCTGATTGCCTGATCCTAGAATTACAGTTTTTAGAAGTTAAAGGAACAGTTGATAGAATGAATTTGGGAGAGAGAAATATAAAATGATTTTCTTTTCAAGGGCATGCAGCCAGATTGATGATTTCAAGTCAAAGTGTTTTCCACCAGACGAAGCCACCTCAATGGCATTGAGGTGCAGAGACCTAACCCAGGGGCGGGTTGCCAGTCTTTGCCTCAGTCATAGCCATAAAATGAGCAACTCTTGACCATTCAACACTGAGCGCTGGCCCTTTCCGGCTTTAGAAGCAAGGCTGTCATGTTAAGACCTTCCTAATAAAGTTATCCCTCAGCATCCATGAGGAATTGGTCCAGCACCCCCCTCCTACCCATGGATACCAAAATCTACAGTCCCTTATATGAAATGGCACATTATTTGCATGTAACGCATCCTCCCATATACTTTAAATCATCTCTTGTTTACTTATAGTACCTAATTACTTCTAGTACCTAATGTAAACACTATGTAAGTAGTGGTTATGCTGTGTTTTTTATTTATATTATTTTTGTTATTTTTTTAAATTATTATACTTTAAGTTTTAGGGTACATGTGCACAATGTGCAGGTTAGTTACATATGTATACATGTGCCATGCTGGTGCGCTACACCCACTAACTCGTCATCTAGCATTAGGTATATCTCCCAATGCTATCCCTCCCCCCACCCCACAACAGTCCCCAGAGTGTGACGTTCCCCTTCCTGTGTCCATGTGTTCTCATTGTTCATTTCCCACCTATGAGAGAGAATATGCGGTGTTTGGTTTTTTGTTCTTGTGATAGTTTACTGAGAATGATGATTTCCAATTTCATCCATGTCCCTACAAAGGACATAAACTCATCATTTTTTATGGCTGCATAGTATTCCATGGTGTATATGTGCCACATTTTCTTAATCCAGTCTATCATTGTTGGACATTTGGGTTGGTTCCAAGTCTTTGCTATTGTGAATAATGCCGCAATAAACATACGTGTACATGTGTCTTTATAGCAGCATGATTTATAGTCCTTTGGGTATATACCCAGTAATGGGATGGCTGGGTGAATGGTATTTCTAGTTCTAGATCCCTGAGGAATCGCCACACCGACTTCCACAATGGTTGAACCAGTTTACAGTCCCACCAACAGTGTAGAAGTGTTCCTATTTCTCCACATCCTCTCCAGCACCTGTTGTTTCCTGACTTTTTAATGATCACCATTCTAACTGGTGTGAGATGGTATCTCATTGTGGTTTTGATTTGCATTTCTCTGATGGCCAGTGATGGTGAGCATTTTTTCATGTGTTTTTTGGCTGCATAAATGTCCTCTTTTGAGAAGTGTCTGTTCATGTCCTTCGCCCACTTTTTGATGGGGTTGTTTTTTCTTGTAAATTTGCTTGAGTTCATTGTAGATTCTGGATATTAGCCCTTTGTCAGATGAGTAGGTTGCGAAAATTTTCTCCCATTTTGTAGGTTGCCTGTTCACTCTGATGGTAGTTTCTTTTGCTGTGCAGAAGCTCTTTAGTTTAATTAGATCCCATTTGTCAATTTTGGCTTTTGTTGCCATTGCTTTTGGTGTTTTAGACATGAAGTCCTTGCCCATGCCTATGTCCTGAATGGTAATGCCTAGGTTTTCTTCTAGGGTTTTTATGGTTTTAGGTCTAATGTTTAAGTCTTTAATCCATCTTGAATTGATTTTTGTATAAGGTGTAAGGAAGGGATCCAGTTTCAGCTTTCTACATATGTCTAGCCAGTTTTCCCAGCACCATTTATTAAATAGGGAATCCTTTCCCCATTGCTTGTTTTTCTCAGGTTTGTCAAAGATTAGGTAGTTGTAGATATGTGGTGTTATTTCTGAGGGCTCTGTTCTGTTCCATTGATCTATATCTCTGTTTTGGTACCAGTACCATGCTGTTTTGGTTACTGTAGCCTTGTAGTATAGTTTGAAGTCAGGTAGTGTGATCTTTTATTGTTTTTTCCCCCAAATGTGTTCAATCCATTATTGGTTGAATCTGCCATACAGAAAGCTGGCTGTGTCTAGTTTAAGATTCCTCACCTTAAGGGGCTTCCCAGAGAATGCTAAGGATTCATCTCCATTCTGCCTATCTAATGACCTACTATCTTGTGACCTCTTCTTGACCTTTGAGTTGGGAGGCCAGATTCATGACAGACTCCTGATCCTGAATACCAGTGTGCACTATGGACAGTTCTCCTGTCCCCACCAGAAGGCCAAGTATCCCCTCATTCCCTAGAGGTGCCACTTCTGCTGCCATTCACTGATTCTTACCATACTTATGAAAACCCTGCAGGATGGCAAGGCAAACAGCAAGCGGTGTTCCTGCCATGGCCATGGCAGGTATCCCTGTCTTTTGTGATGTCTTGGAATATTGTCTCACTATCTGCTAGGACATCTCATCTCAGACACAAGGACTGGGTCTGTGACTTGAAAAACACAGAACTCCCAATAGATGGTAGCTTATTCAAATATGGACAGATCAGATAAACTAAGTAGGGATCTTTTTTGGTTTTCATAAACAATATTGCCTTTGAGGCTAATCCAGGGAAACCAGATCTGTTTTGATTTGCTTTGTTTTTATTTGAGGCCTGGTAATGACATTCAGTAAAGTTTTCCTGAAAGATTTCTCTCTCCCTGAGAATAACTTTTCCTAATATTTACATGTACATGGCCCATGTGCCTTTGATTTCTTTTGCACGCATTGCACATTGATATTTAAACTATGTTGGAATAAAAGAAGTAATGAAATTTAAAATAAACATGAACTTCACAAAGAGAAACAGAAAGGAAAGGAGTTTGCCAAGTCTCAGCCACCAAGGGAGAGTTCAGGCAGAGATGCTTCTGTCTCCTAAAGAGTGAGGACTAAAATTGTCCCTGAAACTGCTCTAGAAGAAAGTACAAAGCCCTCAGGAGAACAGAAAGGCAAAAGCACATGTCATATCCATGCAGTCTTCAGTGAGGTAATTAGCCCTTGATTTGCTTTTTTTAGATTATTCAGGTCTCAAAGCACATTGTCTCCCTATTCTTTTGTGCATGGATGAAAATCATGAGCTGATAAAGCTAGAGATGACATTACTTTACATACCTTATGTTATTAATAAGGGGACAGAGGGCCACAGTGTTTAAGTGACTTGGCCAAAGTCACACAGTTAGCTAGTGACAAAAATAGGACAAAGAGCTGGGTCTTCTAACTTTGAAGCCATTATTTTCTGCTCTACAACACCTCCAACAACAACAACAACAAACCCTGATGTTTCTACCTCACATTGTGTGCTCACAAACAGATTTATGGCACCACTCTATGAGGTCATCACAGCTATCAAAATAGTCAAATTATTTTACCTATTTTTCTAGATTTGTGGAGTGGTGATCCACACCATGGAAATTTATTGAACTGGCTGTGCTATGACTTCTATCATATCAACCAGTCCTGGAAGGATCATTATTATGTATTAGAGTGCACGAAGAAAACGTTTCAGTCACTCTTGACCATGTGAGGTTTTAGACAACTGGGACCAACTCTGTTTACTTTGACAGTGGCCTCCCTTCACCTAGAACTTAAGAACACTTAGTTATCTTTCCATTTGGTGATGATGACAATGAACATGATCATAAAATACAGCTGTTAGGGAAAAAAACAAATATGATACAGAATTATCCAATGAAATGAGATAGGAAGAAAATAAACTCAGTTTTGATGCTATGTTTTGGAATCCTTATGTTCCAAATTTTTTTTATCACTTTCACTGCATTTCTATTTATAACACAGAACAGAGGAAGAGGAAAATTTCTTATTTTTCTCAGTTTCTTAAATATTTAGATTACTAATTTATGTGTCTCGGGTTGAACTGGAGTCTGTTGTTTACCATTCTTGTTAGAATTTATGTAGGACTTTATTATTTTAATACATGGCTCTGTATTTATTTTCCATAACACAGTTTATCTTCACTATTGTCAATAAACCAGTAACCTTGGTAAATATATTCATATCTGTTTAGATCAAATAGATGGATAAACCTAATTATTACGATGGCCTAACACCTAACAAGCTTTAGTAAGAAGCATGATTTTGGCCAGGCACGGGTAGCTCATGCCAGTAATCCCAGCACTTTGGAAGGCCAAGGGAGGCAGATCACTTGAGATCAGGAATTCAAGACCTACATGGTGAAACCCCATCTCTACAAAAAATACAAAAATTACCTGGGTGCAGTGGCACACACCTGTAGTCCCAGCTACTCAGGAGGCTGAGGTATGAGAATCAGTTGAACCCGAGAAGCAGAGGCTGCAGTGAGCCAAGATTCACGCCATTGCACTCCAGCCTGGGTGACAGAGCACAACTCTGTCTCAAAAATAATAATAAGAAGAAGAAGCATGATTTGGGTCTGGTTAGATTAGAAATAATCCATAGGAGCACCCTAGAGAAAAGAGTGGAATCCCTACCTGAAACAAAAGACTGACTCAAACCTGAGGTGGTTCCTCAATCCACCTGAAGTGGTCCCTGAGTCTTCCATTAGCATCACTTTACTCTGCCTTTCTGAGAATGGCAAAGGAAAGAGTCTGTTTTGTAATAGACTTCCGGTTCCAATCCCTAGATTCTCTATTCAGGTTGGGTACAAGACTTAGTTTGAGCAGGGCCTGTAGTTTTCCTTCCCTCTTCGTACTGGGTGCAATCAAAAACCCAAAGACAGAAGAGATCAATTACAAAAGCAACAGTAAGTAGCCTTATTTGGGCCATTTCATTAAGAATGTTTATGTTTTTACTTATCTCTTTAATTTGCATTTGGAAATCCAATAAAACTAGTTTGAAAATTATTGAAAGTGAGATTTTTTTAATATTGAAAACTCTTTAAATATTGAAAGTGGTACTTTTTTTCTTTGTGTAATTTTTTTAATGGGGTCTTCTCTGCATGTGTGTAATTTTCATGTCACTTAGGAATAAGCATGCATATACTGATACTTGTTTACATGCATATGGAAATTGCATTTTTTTCAAAACTTTGTGTTGTTTTTTCCCTAATTTTGTTAATCCAGAACTCTTACAGAAAAAAAAAAAAATCTTTTATTACATGGTCCCATATCATCATATACATCTCAGAAGCTGATTTTCCTTCCCCAGGTATCTGGACCATCTGTTCTGCCCTTGCCAGGGAAGACTTTCATATCCTTTATCCACCGCTGCCAAAATGCTATGTTTTTCCTCAAAAGAGGAGAAAATATGTGTATCATTTATCAATAACATGCAGAATGAGGCTTGACTCAACGAATGTCACAGGAAAGGGAATGGAAGAGAATACCATTATACCATTTTTTAGAATGATTAAGGAAAATACGTCTTCCTACCTTTGTGAATCATTTGATTTCTCAGAGCTTCTAGGAGGAAGGCCTCATAGACTTGATGTTGAAGATGACTTTATTACAGTCATGCACTGCATAACTACGTTTTGGTCAAAAATGGACCACACATATGCAGTAGTCCAATAAGATTATAATATCCTGTTTTTACTGTATCTGTTCTATGTTTAGATACACAGATCCTTACCATTGTGTTACAGCTGCCTACAGTATTCAGTACATGCTGTACAGGTTTCTAGCCTAGGAGCAATAGGCTATACCATAGAGCCTATGTGTATAGTTGGCAGTATCATCTAGAATTGTGTGAGTAATCTTCCATGATTTCACACAGTGACGAAATCGCCTAACAATGGATTTCTCAGAATGTATCCCTGTCATTAAGCCATACGTGACTGTACTTTCTCTTTTACTCTCTTTCCCTCAATCTATTAATTCTGCTAATTTGGGAAGCCCATCTCCTAAATGACTTAATCCTCTGCTGAACTTCTTTAACCTCTCTAGGGCCCAGTCATACAAATGCCAGTAATGGAATTCGTCTTTCTAATTCCCTAGCCATTAACTTTACTGTTAGCCAAAATCCCTGTCACCTTAACGTCAGTTTGCTTTACATTTCCTCAACGGACCTGCCATTTTTAAAAAATAAAGGCAGCCTTCATTATTTTAAAAGGGCGTGGAAAGCGTTTTTTCTCTAGAAGAGACTGAGCGGATGTTTTCAAAAGCCATCTATTTTTATTCAGATGTAGCCAACAGTTAAGTTAAATACACAGCCAAAGTTTAATGCAGTCTTTGAACTTCCCCTACATGCCCACATTTAAGAAGGGCATATTTCATTTGCTAAAAAATTATTTTAAAAGAAATTGAATTTTGAAAACATTATTTCTAGTTCACCTGCTTTTTAAAAATGTTGGCTCCCTGGTCGGGCGCTGTGGCTCATGCCTGTAATCCCAGCACTTTGGGAGGATGAGGTGGGCAGATCATGAGGTCAGGAGCTGAAGACCAGCCTGGCCAACGTAGTGAAACCCATCTCTACTAAAAATACAAAAAAAAATCAGCCAGGCGTGGTGGCGGGCACCTGTAATCCCAGCTACTTGGGAGGCTGAGGCAAGGGGAATCACTTGAACCTGGGAGGCAGAGGTTGCAGTGAGCCGAGATCGCACCACTGCACTCCAGCCTGGGTAGACAGTACGAGACTCCATCTCAAAAGAAAAAAAAAATTATTTCCCTTTGAGTATAATCTATGACCATTGTATGAACATATATTTTTCTACTTAATTACTCTGGTTAGTCTTCAAAAAAAATTTTTTTAAGTGATTGAATTAGGTGCAATATTATATAATGCCAGTTAAACACAATTGCAAAAATATCTGAGTTCTTGACTGAAAAAGAAAAACAGTATTTGTTTGTTTGGGATTCAGATTCTTATTCTAAATACAATATTCTACAGGTCTGTGGCATTTACTCCCAATAACTAGTAGCCCTTTCTCAATACCTTTCAGTCCTTGCCCCGGGGTCCTTCAATGGAGAGCAGCTGTCAGTTGATACTGGCTGGGTTTGCCAAGCCAGGACCACAAGATTGCTTACCTTACAATATGTATCACTTATAGTTTGTCCCTAAATATTCCCGTTAACTGGCTAAATTTCTCAGGTTGTTTTCCTTGCAAAAAAAAAAAAAAACAACAACAACAACAAAAAACCACTCTTGGCTTAAGATTTTATTAACTCATTATTTAGAGTTTTCACTAGATTATAAATTAAACTACAGTTGATAGGAGTGTGTGTGTGTACGTGTGTGTATGCGCACACATGTGTTTTCATTACCATTTTTTTAAACCCAAAGCTATACTTGGCACAGAATAAGAGATCAAAATATGTATGTTGAATGATTGACTGCCTATTATTGAAGGCAGCTTTATTAATATATGCTGGGGATATAGGGAACAATGTGAAGCAAAAACTAAGCATAGGCCTGCCCTCAGGGAGCATATCTGAGGGCAATCTAACAGGAATTGATCATAAAAACAAATTTCAAATGTCAAACGTGACAGTGCAAAGGTACAAAGTGCTATCAGGGTCTAGATGAGAGGGATCTTGTTGGATACATCTAGGAAGGGCTCCTTGAAGAAATGATTTCAGCTGAAGTCAAAGGATGAATAGATAATAACCAGAAGAAGAGGAGAGGAAAGTTCCGTCATGTTTAGTTCACCTCAGTTCAGTTCTTTTTCTCTCGCTCTCCTGTTTTTCCTGGTATTTATCACTAAAGACTCTTCCTATTTTTGCCTGCTGCCTTAGTTTGCTAGCTACTCATGGACTTCTGCATAAATCTCAAGGGCATAGGTCTCCTTTTAGGAAACAGCCAAAACTTATCCTTCTAATTAAAATGTCAACATTATTTTAGATACGCAGGACAAACTATCAAAGAGAAAAATGAATTAACAAGGAAAACATCTCCTTTTCTGCTAATGACTTTAACTGCTGTGTACTTAGAGAAGTGCCACGTGGTAAATACTTAGTGATTCTGATTGGCTGGATGGTTGGTTGACTGGTTAGCTGGCTAGCCAGACGTTGGATGGATGGCTGACTGGCTGGCCAGGTGTTAGATGGTTGGCTGACTGGCTGATTGGTTGACCGGGTGGCTTGGCAAATAAAGGTGAGGGTGGTAGATGAGCTTTGATTTTAAAGTCAAACTTAATTTTATTCAGATTCTGACTTACCTTTCACTAACTCTATGATATTGGACAACTTACTTAAGCTCTGTAAGCCTCAGTTCATTCTATTAAATAGTGCTTTTCTCAGTTATTATAATATCAAAGGTGATAATGCATATATAGCTTTAGCATGGCACCTAGGATATATTAACTGTTCACTAATATGTGTTCACTATTTTAAAGAAAAGCAAGAAGCTTGAGTGCTTTTTCCAAAAGGAACAAAATTAGTGAAAGCAAATGATTAGTCTGTGTTTAAATGTTAACTCTCTTAATCTTAGTCCTTCTGTTTTACTACAACAGATACACATCTATTGCAGACCAGAAATAGATATACCTAAGAAGAAGATAAAACATGTAGAAAACTCACATGCAATTTTTTTGCTTGACAGATTAAAATTTAATTTACTCACCACCCTATCCTTCTCCCAGTTTTCCTCATCACCCTCTGATTGCATTATTGCAGGGCTCATTATGATGGTAATTTTCTCTACCAAAAATGGGGAGAGAATGATATATTATTTCTTGACATGGATCATGGTGGTTACTTATTTGCTAAACTGAACATTATGTTTTATGTATTTTTCTATATGCACACTCACACTTAAACATGCATAAAGGAGGTAAAATTGCCACATGAGAATGTGATGGAATAGGACAGAACAGACCAAATTTAAACCAACGTTATGCCTATATGAGCAGATTGGAAGGAATATCCAAGCAATGAATCCTGATTGTCAAAAAGAGGAGATGACACTTACTCCAGCTACTCCAGATTGGCTATCTCTGTGTCACAAATTGAGTGGCTAGAGTGGCAAATTACTAAACTCATTTTTTTTTGGGGGGGGGTAGTGTATGCACATATAACCTGCACTGTAGAACTGTAGGGCAGGATCTATGTATGTCACATGCACTTGCTTAACTCTAGGCATGAAGAACTTCTCTCTATGGCAGAAGTCTTTTATAGACCTCAACTGGTAGAGCCCCCTTGCACAAATGCCACTGCCCTGTCTTTTCTAGTCGTCATTGCTAGCATTCATACCACATGTGCATGATTTCAGAGCTAGCTGCCCTGGTGTATTAAATGATATCAGAAATGAAGTCAAGAATTACAGATCTTTATTATTAACAAGCACGTTTTGGCTTTTCAGCGCCGACTGGGGGATGCAGCAAAGAAAGCCATCAGCAAACTCCAGATCAGGACCATCAAGAAGGGTGACAAGGTAATAGCAGCCTCTTTTCTTTTTGGTGAGGAGCTATTCAAAGAAGCTTCTAACTTTTCTTATAGCCAGGGTGGAAGAGAGGAAAGGATGGGAAAGGGAAATATATGCTAACAGTTGTCCTATCAGTATCTGTTATTATACTCTTCTTAATTAAACATGAAGTTTGTTATAAAATGCGTATGCTATGATAATAAAATAGTTGTATAGAAAATATGACAAACTGATAAGTGTATAAAAAATAGATGAAGCCAGAATGAAATTAGTACACAAATGGATTACCTAAAATTTGTACTAGAAATGGGTCTCAAATTTAAGTTGGGGCTTTCTAGCAGCCAGTGCAAAGGAAACAATATTCAGGTAATATTTAATGAATTTATTCCAGTGTCCCATGAGATAAAATCAAAATGGTTGTTCCTGATGTTATGACCTGAGAAAGTTTTTTCATGAATCTTTGCAAGCAAGACAGCTTTATGTGCTGAGCTATGTTCTCCACTTGTCTACAGTATAAATGCAGGAAGTATATTCAACCCCTCTGAAATCCAGTATTCAGAACCCCAAGGTTGATAGGTGGTGTGGCTCATGCCTGTAATCCCAGCACTTTGGGAGGCCAAGGTAGGTAGATCACTTGAGGCCAGGGAGTTCAAGACCAGCCTGGGCAATGTAGAAAGACCCTGTCTCTATAAAATTTTTTTTTAAAATCAAAACACAGAGCCCCGAATTCATTTCAGTAGTCTCCTTCACTGTAGAATGATGTCATAAAGCCAAAAGCAATAGTATGTCTTGAGGAGGGAAAACAAAGCAGTCCTGCCCAGGTTTATGGGCTTCTAAGGGTCTTCCTTATTCCCTAGGCCAAGTTAGAGCATTGGATTACAATACATGGGTTTGGAACTCCTTGGGGCAATGTAAGGGATTTACAACTCCATATATAAGCAGGTATTGTCTCTAATCTGAATGATTTATTTCACAAATTATGTGCTATTATTTTTCAAGTATATAAAAACGCCATTGGGCTTATAAGATAAAATTTATTTAAAGGTATTACTAAATTTAAAGGACATTTTGGTCAGTATGTTATTTTCCTTCAATCAGAGAATAATAAAAGTACAAGGACTATTACATAAGCACTATGTTATGAGGCATTAAAAGAGATATATATATACTTGAAAAAAATTGGAACTACCATTGTGTGTTAATATTTATTTTATACACTAGATTCCAGAAGAATGGATAGATTAAATATTATTCAGATGATTCACCACAAATATTATTTCTCATCCTGAAAATTTTGATATGTTGCCTCTAATTATAATTAATAGCATTGTTAGTAATTGTACTTTAGAAAATGGTTTTCCTTACAAAAGCACTTGCAGTGGAACCTAGAAACAAGAAGTAGAGGTTGGAAGGAATGGAAACTAGTCCAATTGATGGTACATTTGATTTAAAAACTGGCACCAGCACAGCGGAAAGCTTTGCTCCAGGCAAGCTCTCCTTGGGTTTTGGCTTGGATATTTACACAAGAGATGAAGCTAAGAAAATAGGCTCATCTGTGCTTCCTCTGTTGCAGGAAACAGAGTCTGATTTTGACAACTGTGCAGTTTGTATTGAAGGGTACAAGCCCAATGACGTTGTCCGGATCCTGCCCTGCCGGTGAGTCACTAGGCTGCCTGCTTTTGATTGGGTTGTGTGTGTGGAGCGTGCCTGCGTGGCCTCCCTGGCCCCGACCTGCTGGGCATAGTGCTGCCAGGTCAGTCTGCCTCAGTGTTTCCATGTTTCTATTGCAGACAACCCTAACATTCTTGTTTTTGTATAACCTTTGTCCTTGAAAACACTGTATCATGAAATATTTTTCTGATCCCCTATCCCCTTTGCATCAAAGGAAGTATACTGCTATGAACTAGGACTTCATGAGACAGAATTTGATGATGTGGCCGCCAAGTACAAGTTTTCTTGAACAACAGATCTATGATGTTCAGAATCAATTCTGGCTTTTACCAGTACTATTTTAATTAAAATAATAAACTCTGAAAAATATTTTGTGAATGAACATGAACAGTGTGGTAATTAGAATATGGTCAGAAGTAAGTAGGAAGCCAAGGACAGATCCCATGCCCTTTCATTTTTTTTTTTTTAAACTAACAGAAAGAGAATGTGACACTCAAATTCCCTTAAAATTCTTGCATCTAGGGGAGGATGCCAGGCATGTATAGTTGGGGAAGCTCCCCAGGTGATTCTTATATAACCCTATTCCCTCTCCCTAATTGAAATTCACTGAGAAGTTGTCTGAATTCTTTTTAAATTGTTAAAATTAAATAAATTTAAATACTTTAATGAAACCAAATCTTTTTAAAGTCATGTAAAATCCATCCTCCTTCACTGACAACCATTTTTAGTGTTTTTTGCATCTGTGTAAATGTCCCAAAAATAAAAATAGAATTATGCCTTGTTGGGAGATTCTTCATTTAGAAAGATTGGCTTTCAATATTCTTAGATACTTCAGCCAGGCATGGTGGCTCACACCTGTAATCCTAATGCTTTGGGAGTCCAAGACAGGAGGATCGCTTGAGACCAACATTTCAAGAACAGCCTGGGCAATATAGCAAGACTCTGTCTCTACAAAAAAAAATTAAAAATTAGCTGAACATGGTGGTGCTCAGTACATGGTGGCACTCGCCTGTAATCCTGGCTACTCAGGAGGATGAGCTGGGAGGATCCCTTGAGCCCAGGAGTTCAAGGTTATACTGAGCAATGATCATGCCACTACACTCCAGTGATCACACCACCGCACTGGGCGACAGCGAGACCTTGTCTCAAAGAAAAAAAAAATTCTTAGAGACTTTAAAAGTAAAGTAGGAAAACATATACCACAAAGATGTAAGACAATTCACATATTCATGAAACAATGTAAACTTAAGGACTGTTTATTAGAACTACAAAAGAAACAAAAATTACTTTAGAGGAATGGCTTAATAATCCCAAAATGACAAAGAGGTGACCAAAAAAGAAGTGACAGGATACTAAAATTGATGCATAAACTCCCAAGGGAAACAGACCTTGGTTGAAATGTCCATAGGCAAATTGATCATTAGGAAAATAGGCATTAGGGAAGTACATCCTGGTGGCCCCAGCCAAAGCCGTCAATTGTGATTCACTTTCCGTTAGTTTGTAGACACCTATATCTAAGACGAAATCATAAATAGAGATAACTGAAGATTTGGTAATTTCCTTCATATGAGGATTCGCTATGTAAGTTCTTTCTAGTTATTACATACACTTAGTGTTTACTCAGTGATTTCCAGAAACACAGGCAGACAAATGCAGTATGTGAACTACAGAATGCCTCTTGGAGCAACATCTTTTATCTCTGCAGTATTTTATTAAAGGTTTTATAAAGCCTCTTAGATATAAGCAAAGTGCTTTCCTTTATTTTTTTCTTGAAGATTATTTAGAGCCCTATGCGATTACTACTAATAAAAAAAATTCAGAGCCAATTAAAGTTAAATATCTACATTTTTCTGAAAAATCCAAAGACATTTACAAATGTAAATTAAGAAAATCTGTTTTAAAAATTATATACATAGCATTACTTTAGCTCTACAATTGATACAGTATAAAATAGTTTATTTACTTAAAGCTCTGTCATGAATAAATTTCATGTTACTACATATATATATGTAGTATATATATGTAGTATATATATGTATATATGTATATATGTAGTATATATATGTATATATGTATATATATATGTAGTGTATATATGTATTTATATGTATATATATGTAGTGTGTGTATATGTGTATATATATATAATTGCTAGAGACTGCATAATATCCAAGTCATAGATGTACCACAGTTTAATTTTCCATGTCCTTATTTGGGAACATTTTTGGCTGAGTTCAATTTTTATGACAGATTGCGTTGTTTTAACAGTGTTTAGACTTTCATGATGTGTTATTCCAGATCTCCTTTTATATTGTAATTTTTTGGAAATATTAACAAAAAAATAGCATTTTAATGTTTACCACAGAAAATAAAACCTTAGGGATTTTAATGTACATTAGCCCTTGCTCTTGGCTAGTTTAGTTTGGCTTCAGGCTCCTCCTTGTTTAAACGATTATTTGATTCTTAGCTCATTCCTTGATTTTGTTTCATATTCCTTACTGTCCATCTACTATTATTTCCATACTATGAACCCTGCTTTAAATAACAAAATGCATTTGAGCATTTTCAAATACAGCTATAATTAATTACTGTTTGATCTTATTCTAGTCACACATATCTGTTCTGAATAGCTCATACATTTTTTCCATGTAGGTTTTAAAATCAAGGTATTTTTATGCCTGTTGCTGTTTTCTGCCAGACAGTTTGCACTAATGGATATTATCAAACAAATGCACTGGCGTTTGCTTTTTGCTACATAATTTTCTCTGGGGTATTATTAAGCCTTTGCTCCTATGAACTTCATAGACTCTCTTTCCCTTTATTTCCAGGCTGACTCATCCACAGAGTTCTTTGCATCTTCTTGGCATAAAAACTGTTTCAAAAAATGTTCCAGTTTATCATCTCCCTTCACTCACACTTTTTCTGTGGCCTCATAACTGCTGACATTCTTGGTGCATCTCTTCACTATTGTTTTCATTTAGAATGTCTTTCCAAATTATACTCTTGTGTCACAACTTTTTCAAAATCATTTTATCGCTTGTCTCTTTCTGAGACCCATGAACAAATTATGATGAATTATTAATAAATGCCTTCCTCTCTTTATTTGTTGTAGTGATTACTAAAGTTAAGTCATGCACATACACACCTACCATGTCTTCCCCTTCATCCTTTCTTCATCCAGTCCCTCTCTAGCACATGAAGGTGAGGCCCCCCAGAGTGAGCCTGGATGTGTACATCTACCATGAGGGACAGACACCCCTTAGCCCACAAAGCTGCTCAGCCTCAGACAGGTCTAACTTCTGTGGTTTGGATTTGATCCTAATACACCACTGAGACATTACTCAAGACACGTTGGTTTTGCTACCTCATACGTATGCCAAAATATGCATTACACTATATTTTAGGGGTGGTTTTTGTATCTAAGGTTAGTATTTGTGATTATGATTTTTAGCCACAAAAGATGTTTCATTTTATTATCTTCTCTTGCACGGAGAGTAAGTTAGCCTCTCTGATTCTTCCTGGCTTTTATCACATGGTGTCCCTACTGTTCTTCAGGGATTATTCATTTCAGCCTGTTTAGCTTCTCAATTTCAAACACACAGTGTCTCAGAAAGAATATGAATTCCTTAGGCAGGCCAAAAGTCCTTATTTGCCATTGTTTTAAACCAAAGCAATAGATAGACCGTTTCCCTGCATTCCTATAAAATTCCTCCTATCTCTAATTTATCCCTATAGCATTATCACCAATTAGGGAAGATACTAGTTTCTACTACTGTTTTTTTTCTTTGATTTTTGCAAACTCTCCTCCACAACTAAGGAAAAATGTAAACCCTGTCTAGTAATAAGCACACCCTCTTGATAAACTTTTAGTACCTAAATGCTTCATTTGGAACAAGAAACATTTTGTAGCAACTGTGTGCCAGGAATAGTGGAAAGTCCCAGCGATGAGAAGACAAATGGCATGATGCATGCTCTAAAGGAAATAGTCTAGTGGGAGAGAAAGGAATTTAAATAAGTATTCATGATAGAGAATGGTATGTGTAACAATAATAACACAATGTATAAAAATTTTGGAGGAATTAATACCAGACACAAGGAAGTTAAGAAAGATTCCACAGAAAAAAAGTAATGTTTTCATGTCTTCTAACAATGGTTTGTATTGTCCATTGCATCCTCATTCTAGAAAATTTGTAAAATGGGTAAATATTTAAATATCTGCCTAACTCCTTCATGCAGGTAACTACTGCTATCATTGTTATATATTGTCTTCTTTTTATTTCTTATGCTTATTTTGCAACTTTAAGATACTATTGTCAATATCATTTACTATCCTGTTCTTTTCACATACACTGTAAGAATTTGCTAGAAATGGTATTAGATTATTGGGGGTCTTTTTTAGATTATTTGTGCCTCATTTTTATTTTCCTTTGGCCTTCGATACTATTGACAGAAGTTGATCAAGCTCTAAGGTGCATAAACTGACCAAAGACCCTGGGATGTTGGTGCTTATATAAAACTCACTCTTCAAAGGTCAGGGTCTTTTTCTGGCCCAATGAGAATTTTCTACTGAGATAAAACAGGGAGGTGTCCTGGCCCCCTTTAGCTTATTTTTTAATATCCTTTGATGAGTTGTTTGCATTTCACCATCCTGCCCCACTACAGAAGACAGAGAAAAGCAGCTTCTCATCTTTAAATGCTTAGTTTGATTATGTGGCGCGTAGGGGCAGCATGTCCTGCTGGGTTATTATTGTCAGAGTTGGATTACAAACAAAATTCTCTAAAACTCATGTTATCATCTTTGGTAGATGCTTCCCAACTTTTAACTTGCTCATAAACAAATTACTAGTTTAGTATACGTAGTCCAAAAATCCAAATCCAAAATGCTCCATATCTGAAACTTTGAGCACCAGGATGGCCAAGGGAAATGCTCACTGGAGCGTTTTGAATTTTGGCTATTTGGATTAGGGATAATGCAGAATCTGAAAGAAATTCGAAAACACTTCTGGCCCCAAGCATCCCCAAGCATTTTGGATAAAGGATGTTCGACTCATACCGCATATAGTTCCATTTTGTAAATAGTGTTTCCCAGAGGATACACCAAGGAGCAGTGTTGTCAGTGCCACCTGGACTTAAATAAGGTCTTATTTGGGAACAGGGGGAGGTGGTTAAATCAAGTGAATACCTAACAACACCTATCCTAAAATAGTTCTTGTGGAAAAGCGTTGCACTGCTGCTGTTTAACATCGGCACATTGAAGCAGATTCCAGCATTAGAGAGCAGCACTGCCTTCTCTGAGCAGCCTCTGAGGCGGGCTCCATCACTGGCTCTGCAGGCCCAGGTTTTGCAGGCCTCAGTCTTTACAGCAGAAGTTAGTTTTGCCTGAGCAAGGTTACCTGTTAGATCAGATAATCCTGGAGCTGTGTGGGGGTTGTGTGCATGTGTGATGTTTGTTTTTTGTTTTTTGGTTTTTTTTGGTAAAATGTATATAACATAAAATTTACCTTTCTAATCATATTTAAATATACAATTCAGTGACATTAAGTACATTTGCCTTGCTGTGAAACCATCGCCACTGTCCATCTCTAGAACGTCTCAACCTCCAACATGAAACTCTGAATTCACTAAACAGCAATTCTTCATTCCCCTAGTCTGGAATTTTGTGCGCGTTTTATTTTTAATTTGAGCTTTACTTTTATTAACAGAAGAAAATGTCAATGAAGGAACTTAGATTTTGATTCAAGAATGAAATTAAAGTTGGCTAACTAGTAATTGGTATTTACACACTCAAAACCCTGACAGTGATAATTTTATATATTTATATTATTATTGCTATTGCTATTGTTATAATACTCAGATGATATTATTCTTGTCATTATCAATGGTACTATTCTGGTTTCTGTGACTATCGCTAACATCATTCCCACCATTGCCTCTTCCCTGGCTTTCTGCAGTAGCCTTTTCACTAGTCTCCCTGCTTCTACTCGTGCTCTTTAAGTATTCATTCTGATAAGTCTATTTTTAATTGTCAAGCTAGATTAGCTGGCTTTAGGTACTTTTACAACAAGTACAACTTCAAATTCATTAAGTATAACAGAAGGGTGACTAAAAAGTTATTCTTCAAGAAGATTAATTGGAATGTAATTAGATCCTTCTGTTTTTCTAAAATGTACTCCTGAAACAAGGTAAATTCACAAGAAAACTAAAAACATGCACTATTTCATATTAACTCTGTACAAGAGATTTGGGTTGGCTGGTGCAATTGCCATTGTTTTTATTGGAGATTACTCTAAGAAGCAATCTTAGCAAACTTGCCGTTGTGTCTCATTCGGATTTTGCACTCTGACTTCCTCATGGGAACTCACCAGGATAATTCATGTGTGGGAATAACTGTATTTCTCTCAAGCAAGGGGAATGTTTTTATATTGTAGATACTCAACTCTGTTCTGGATTTTTTCTGTTTGTTGACAGAAATCTAAGAGCCAAATTTGTGGCCTACCTATAGCCAAAAGGTGTTTTTTAGCCCCATCTCTTACTCTGTTTTATGTCTCTATTCTTATTATTTTTTTTCTTCTTTTGCTTTTACAATGTATTTTTGGATACTTGAATCTTCCAGTCACTTTAAGTTTTTTTGAAGCAGGTGTACCCCAAAATTGGGGCTTAGCTCAGGAGGGTTCTTGGCTTCACTCAGGAAAGAATTCAAGAGCAAGCTGGCAGTGGCAGAAAGCAGGTTCTATTAGAGCAACAGTGTACAGCAAAATGGCTGCTCCATAGACAGAGCAGGGCTATCCCATAGGCAGAATGGCCCAGAGTAGCACTCGTGGATTGCCAGCTAGCTATATTTATACCCATTCTTAAGCAGATGCTAAATAAGGGGTAGGTTATTCCTGAACTTTCTGGAAAAGGAGAAGGGAGTTCTCAGAACTAGATAAGGTTATTTCCAGATCATTGCCATGGCATCATTTATAAACCGTCAACTAGAGGTTGCCCTTGTTGCCATCTTGGTCCTAGCTGGTTTTGGCCAGTTCCTTGGCTACATTCTGATTTGATCAGAAGGGTCTTGACCAAGGATCAGAAAACAAGTCTTGCTGATCTCCTACTTCATTTTCTAGAATAAACATGGGTTTTCCATGTCTTCCAAAAGTTTGTCAGCATCATTTTTAATTAATATATAATATCCCATGTGCCATAATTTATTTGCCTAACTATTTTTGGACACTTCAATTGTTATACACACACACACACACACACTTTTTCTGCTATTATAAATAAGGCTGTGATAAGTAGCTCTGTGTATAGACTTCATTTCACATTTTAGATTAATTCCTTGTTTCTAAGATTATAAAGTTAAATTGCCAAATTATATTCCATAAAGTTGTATACAAGGAGCTTTCCAGACAAAGCTAAGAAGAACATTCCAAGCAAAGATAACTGTGGTGACCTGGAATTGTTAGAGTGTCTTGCTTGTGTTGGCGATGGGGCTGGAGAGGAGGCACCCCAGATCCTTCAGGGCCCAAATGTCTGGCTGAGAGGCCTGGATTATAACCAAGTGCTGGAGCACCCACTGTGAGGGGTTTGGTTTGTGCTTTATACACAACACACTGTCAGTGGCATGCAGCATGGTTAAGAGGGATCTGCCTGGAGTCAGAGGGACCAGTGAGGAGACTATTGCAAAGTCCAGGTAGGAAATGCTAGAAGTCTGAATTGGAGTGCTGGCACTGTGACATAGAGAGATAGACATATTCAACAGAGATTCAGGGGTAAACCAGATGACTCAACGTTTGGAGTAGTTGAAAATGACTGCCTGTTTCTCAGGTAGGTAGCTGATGGATACATATGTATTTGTTTGCATTTAAAACATGCTCATGTCTTTCCATTTGAATTCTAAATAGAAAAAAATATAGCAGCTTGCAAACTGTCACTCAAAAGCCGTAACACAAAAAACAGATTTCAAGCACTGAAAGGGATGTCATCACTCAAACACACACACACACACACACACACACACACACACACACACACACACACACACACAAACTCCACTTGAGGATCAGCCTTGGCTTATCTTCTTAAGCCTTTCTTCAGAGTTATCCAGCCCCAAAGCACTTTCACAACCCGGTCTCAGAAGCAAAGCTCCATTCTAAATAGATAACTGATTCTATTGGTAAACACTGTGTTACCCTTCCTCTTTCTCTTCTTTCCTTTTAGGAATAAGGTTAAATTTCTGTATCAGTTCCAGAGCTCCCCTTTGTAATTTGGGACATAGAATATATTATACTGTTTACTTTTTTAAAAATTTGCAATGTAAGGCTATACTTTTACAAAGACCAGAACATAACTAAAAGCCTTAGTGTTGAAAGAGATGAAGTGGAAATTTTTTAAACAGTTTCATATGAGACCAAAAATAAAAAACAGAATAAATGGTTCCTGATACAGAGCAGTAATAGTGAAAGGAGAAATGAAGTTTGTTTGTATAAATTGTGGCAATAGATACCCTAACTTGCAAAGGGATTTCTAATGACATTTGAGTATCTGAGTCAGACAGAAGAACCTAAAAGGGATAGACCTGGAGACTTGGAAAAGGACTTTTTTGAGGGCTGTTGAAAAGTCAAAACCCAAATATGGTCTACTAGTTTTAATGAATTAGTTGTTATTTTGTACCATGTGTCGAGAATTGACACAACATTCACAAATCATCCCTGTCCGTCTAACCAGACAGACAGCTGCTTTTCTGTCTCAGTTAATGTGACTGATGTATATTTTTAACATGGACCTCATTATTAATTGACTCTTTAAGTACTATATTCCATGAACTCCTGTCCCCAAGGACAGATGGCATTTTTCCCCTGCCAGAGAAGCAGCACTGGGAGACATTTAGTGTAAAGCACATGAGAAATAGTAAGGGAATCAATTGGTAAAGCTTTCTAAACAAGCACAGACTCTAAGGCTCAGAGTGACTTGCCTACCTCCTAAAAATTGATTTAGTAAGGTTTACTGAGCTAATGTAGGTGACAGCACAGTGCCCACACCAAAAATGTCTTATTAACAGCATCTTGAGTCTGCCAGGCCTTGGAAGGTTGTTTGTTCGTTAGGTCCCACAGAGCTTCCTTATCCTCATTGGACGGAAACGCCCCTGGTAGTTCATAGCCTCCTTGCTTCTCCCTAAACTCAAATATAGGATTCATATCTTGGATCCTTAATGACAACCGAGGCAAAATCAAAGTTGGACTCTGATATTCATTTGTGAAATTCCCTCTTTAGGGGGCTAGGGCAGCCTCTCACTCACTCTCCCTGCCAGGGATGACATGATCATAATAAATAGCGTAACATGAGGAAGAATTATGTAAAAAAAAAAGTGAACATCATTTTAATATTTGAAAACTTAGCGTTACCATCAAGTTTTACTGAAATCACTGAAAAAAGACACTAGCCCCTTAACATTTTTAAACCCAGGGATCAGTCTGATTTTAAGATGAGTCAAATGAATTGAATGTGTAGACAGAAAATTCCAAGCTCTTTATGAGTAAAAAAAAATGTTTACAGAATGCTGTAATGTGATGAGGATTCCGATTATGAGTCCTATAACTCGTGAAGTCGAAAACAAAAGGGCACTTTCTAGCCAGACAGAGATGACCTGTCCTGATTTTACCCTGCGGTGCCTGTTACATAGGCTTGATTAGGAACAGATTTTTTCCAAGTTCCTTTTTTTTGAAAAGAGCGACAGAAATTAGCAGATTTTCATAGGATTTGACTTACTGTTTTATGCCTATGTTATGAATTGGTCAATCTATTTATAGCTGTTTTTAAATGTGTTTTTTAAAAATAACTTTCAAGGTTTCACTGCTAATTGTGCAAAATGTTGAAAACAGAGAAAAGTATAAAGAAGTAAACAAAAATAATCTGACCACCCAGAAATAATCATTATTAATGCTGGCATAATTAATTTTTATAATATATATATAAATATTTGTATGTTTTTAAACACTGTAGAGTCAAGCAATTAATATTGTTTTTCTTCTACTTTCTCATTCAGCAATAAAAAACATTTTTTAAAAACTTTAGAAATTATTTTAAATTTTTTGGCTGGATGCGGTGGCTCACGCCTGAAATCCCAGCACTTTGGGAGGCCAAGGTGGGCAGATCACTTAAGGTCAGGATTTCGAGACAGGCCTGGCCAACATGATGAAATCTTGTCTCTACTAAAAATACAAAAATTAGATGGGCGTTGTGCCGGGTGCCTGTAATCCCAGCTAATCGGGAAGTTGAGGCAAGATGATCACTTGAACCTGGGTGGTGAAGGTTGCAGTCAGCTGAGATCGCACCATTGCACTCCAGCCTGGACAACAGAGCAAGACTCTGTCTCAAACAAACAAAAAAAAGAAATTATTTAAAAATTTTTAGTAGTTGCATAATAGTTCGTTTTTAGAGTTTATTTAACTACCCTCCAACATTGTTCAGCATTTAAATTGCTTCCAGTTTTTCATCATTATAAAATCATGAGGTTAGTTGTTTATATATTTATTCTGTATTTATCCCTTCAGATACATTCCTAAAGTGAACTTACTAGATTGAAAGGAATTTTAAAGGATCTTGAAAAATTTTATCCAATTGCTTTCCTGAAAGGTGGTAATGATTGACACCTCATTAGCAGTATGTGAGAGTGTTTATGCTAGCACTCTCTCAGAACCATGGAGTAGTAAATTTTTAAAGCATCTTTCTCATCTGATAGCCAAATATAAAGGTAATTTAAATTCCCATATGTTTGATTTCTTTGATATATTACTATTGACTAACACAAGTTCTTTTTATATCATATCATATTTAATATAAATTGTCATTGATTGTAAGATGTTTCCTAATTTTAGATAGGTTAAAATGGGAATGAAGAATGATATGGCCTAGAATTGATAAAATGTGATACTATTTTTAACATTTTGTTTTAGTGTTTTTGGTGAATCTTTTTATTAAGTATTTTTATTTTTTATAATGCTTTTTTAATTAACAATTTAAAATTTATGCTATAAAATTAACGAATTTTGTGTTCTTATCTCTTCCTCCTTACTTTAATCCTTCCCTATCAAGAAATAAGATAACTGATCAATTAACTACTCTTTTCAAATTTATATGAAAATTTATGCTGGTGTATGGCATCTCACTCAAATAGTTTATAAAAACTATTTTTTAAACCCATTTTTCCAAGAACAGAATTTTATATACTTGGCCAAATTAAAAGTTATGCAGTGTAGTAGGAGTTTAAAATAGCACAACAGCTTTGGAAATTTGTTTGGCAGTTTCCACTAAAGTTAAATACACCCTACCTTGTGACCTAGCAATTCTGTTCTTGGATATATACCTGAGAGAAATGAATGCATATATTAACAGAAAGACTGATGCAAGAGTGGCCATAGCACATTTAGCCATAATAGCCAAAAAATGAGGACAGTACAGATGTCTAACAATGGAAAATCTGCAAACAAATTGGGGTACACCCATACAATGGAATACTACTGAGCAATAAAAAAACAAGCTATTGATGTACACCAAGGCACAGATGAATCTGAAAACCATTATTTTGAATTTAAAAAGCTAGACAAAAAAGAATACATACTTTATGATTCCATTTGAAATTCAATAACAGGGAAAACTAATATATGGTGACAGATGTTAGAATGATGGTCACATGGCAGAGAGTGGGTATTGACTGGTAAGGGGCACAGGAGGACTTTCTGGGGTGATAGGATGGTGTATATCTTCATCTGGGTGGTATGTACGTAAACATACACACACTTAAGAAATCATCAAGCTCACTTAAGGTTTATGCATTTTGTGGTACATTATACCTTCATTTAAAGTAATGGAAAAAAACTTAAGTACCAAAGAAGCTATGCAATAGAATTTTAAAAACAACAGTTCACTCTACACATTAGTAAAAATTACACAGTATTTCTAAGTTTGGAGTTTGCTAAGTGTTTTCTTATCGTTTTTCTTTGATTACTTCAGATTTTTATGTGTACAACATTATATATGTAAAATATATCACTTAAGGGAATAAAGGAAGGGAACATGAAAGAGATGGCAGTGCTGTAAATGATGTTGTTTTTCAACATAGCAAATGTCGCCTTAGGACAGAAGTCTTGCACTGTAATAACCTCGTTAAATATGGCATTCTGGCTTCAAATGTCCTGATCCCCAGTTATATTAATCAAGTAGACACACGGGATGAATGCCAACTAGCTTTGCTGCCCCAGCCAAACGATATAATTAGAACAGAGTTAAGTTCTAAGCACAGAGCCTCCCTCTGCCAGAAACCCAAGGAGTGAGACACACTATAAAATGAGGGTCCTGCAATTCCTCCCAGCTTGCATTCCCAAAGTAAAAATTTCTTCCATTGTAGTTTAAAAAGAAATTGATGTTAGTAGCAACAGGATCTGATATCCTTTCTTTGTTTTTTTAAGTTGTTGGTTTTTCTTTCATGCTATAAATCTAACGCAATGCAGAGCTGTGTGGAATAAATGGTTCTTTATATATTATAACACTTTATATATATATTTATTATATATATTATATATATATTATATATATATAATATATATATTTATATATATATATTATAAATATATAATATATATATATTTATATATATATATATATTATAACACTTTAACTTTCAAAAGCACTCTACTCTTCACAAAGCACTTTTGCATATAATGTCTAATTTTAGCTCAGACCAGCCTGTAATATAGATAGGACAGATATCAATGATTGCCCCTGTATTTTATTAAAAGAAAACCTTAACTCAAAGAAGTTGGTCCCAGGGCCCAAAGTAAAGCCAGGTTTTCTGACTTCTGGGCCAGCACTGTATCATTGGCTGTGGAGTTGACACCATAGCCACACTTATTCCTGCTCAGGGATCCCTGTTGTACTTTCATACCTCTGGGGATATGGTTTTGGCTAAAAATCTGCTTCAGAAACCCCCTCTCACTCTAAGCAAAATGTCTAAGCAACTCAAGGAAACTAAATCAAATTTAGCCAAGTTTTAAGAATTTTACTTCCTCTGTATGTTTTCTGGATATTACTTTCCAAACTTGTTTCTGTGAGCCTGAAAAGAAAGCAGACTTTTCGTAGAAGGACAGTGCTTGTGCGGTGAGCAGCAATTTACCTTATTGCATTCTTTTTTTTTTCTTTTTTGCTCTATCACATGAAACTGCTATCATATTTGCTTGCCAAAACAAAGTTATTATGTTTATAACTACAGCCAGAATATGATTACTACTGGTGCTATATTGCAGCTTTTTTCCGTTTGTCTTTTCTTTTTTAAAAAATGATGTTTTTAGGCTGGGCACAGTAGCTCACACCTGTAATTCCAGCACTTTGGGAGGCCACGGTGGTGGATCACCTGAGATCAGGAGTTCCAGACCAGCCTGGCCAACATGGCAAAACCCTGTCTCTACAAAAATACAAAAATTAGCCAGGCATGGTTGTATGTGCCTATAGTCCCAGCTGCTTGGGAGGCTAATGTGGGAGAAACACTTGAACCTGGGAGGCGGAGGTGGCAGTGAGCCTAGATCACGCCACTGCACTGTCCAGCTGGGCAATAGAACGAGACTCTGTCTCAAAATAAATAAACAAATTTTAAAAATAAATAAATAAATATGATGTTTTTAAATAATTGGCCCAACCATTTCAGATCAAGCCCATTAGCAGAATTGTCCCCACAGTGTGGCACTAGGTCAGTGGGATTGAGGATATGGTAGGATGAGACTGGTGTCTACTTACTTGACTTAATCAACACCACATAGCAAGTGATGACTAGATCATCCCCATCACAAGGACTTCCTGTATAGGAGACATAGAAAGATGGAAAAGTATAGAAGGAAATAACTTAATGATGTGAAGTTCACCATCACAAGGAACAGGGAAAAGCATGGCTCCCGTCCATTATTTTCTTCACCATTCATACCTCTTTCCTAGATTATTTCAGAATGTTGATTTAGAATCATATTTTCCAACTTCATTTTCTGTTCATCCACTTAACATAGCCTACATTTCAACCCATACATATCATAATACAGGTTGAGTATCCTTTAACCCAAAATGCCTGGGACCAGAAGTGTTTCACATCTCGAATTCTGGAATATTTGCATTATACTTACCAGTAACCACCCCTCATCTGGAAATCCAAAATCCAGAATGCTGCAGTGAGCATTTCCTTTGAGCACCATTTTGGCACTCAAAATTTTCCAGATTTTAGAGCATTTCAGAGTTTGGATTTTCAGATGAGGGAAACTCAACTTTTGCTTCTTCTATATGTTGAGTTATGTAAATCCCTTCTTTTTGAATTTCTTTCCTCCACTGTAAATGCTTCAAAGTTCTTCCCATGCTTTAGGCTGTACAAAAGGCCTTACCGTATCCCATAGCCTTTTAATTTCCTCACAAACTTCTCCCTTCGCTGAATTCAGTAGCAGTTTTATTTGTATTTATGACCTGTCACTGTGCATGTTGTACCAACATCATTTAAAATAGTTAATATTACCATTATCCCCTGAACACTTACTAATGAAGCACTATACAAACAAGCATTTAACCCTTACAACAGCCCCATAAGTTATTTTACTAGTCAGGATAGGCGAAGCTTTGATGCAGTAACAGCAACGAACCCAACTCTCAGTGGCTTAACACAGCAAGGATATCTCACTCATGCTTTGTGTTCACTGTGTGTCAGCAGAGGGTATCTACTCATGGCAGTCAGGCTGACAAAGCAGTCACTATCTCAAACATTGTTAATTGATAGGTCAGCAATTAAATGCCATGACCTGAAGTGAAATCTGTCATTTCTCTTTATAATTTATCTGCCAGAATTAGTCACATGGCCATAGCCACCACCAGGAGAGCTTGTCATCTCCCCATGTGCTGGAGAGATGGAGAGCTGACATACTGGGTGACAGTATTGGGTGCCTCAGATAGGTGCTGCTGTTATCCTCATTTTATCAGTGAAGAAACTAAGGCTCAGAGAGGCTAAGCTGGAGCAAAGAAATACACTGGGAAAGAATAAAGGTTTGAATACCTCCAACTACCCCCCTTACCTGTGACAGCTTGAGGATGGGGTGAGGAGTATAGAGTGGGTAAAAACACTGACTGTCAGTTGGAATTTGAATCCTAGCTCTGCAGCTGACTAGCTCTTCAGATAATTTACTTTAATGAGCTTCAGCCTTCTCTTCCATAAGACAGAAATAATAATTTCTACTTCATAGGGCTTTTGTGATTTAATTATGTATGTAACATGCCTGGTACATAGTAGGGATACAATAACTGGTAGATACTGTCAGCATTCATTAATTACTGACATTAATGTCAGTGTTCATTAATTTAAAATTCACTCTTTATTGACAGTTTTGCAAATAAGATTCAGAGGCTCTGCAGAAACATTTCGGGTATGCATAGAAGTACTAGGTATCTTTTTAAAATAGTTCATGTTGCCTGGGAGTATGGGATTCTCAGGTACCTGAGTGAGTCACATTTTTTAATAACCACTTCACTAAGGAGAATGAGACAGCTTGCACTGGTGCCAAAGGAAAACCACAGGGTCCTAATCTCACTTGCAGGGTGTTAGGGTCCAACGGTGTCTACAAAAGTGAAAGAGATGGGAAAAACAGAACAGCCTTTTCTCTCTCCAGCTGGGGAAAAAATGTCATTAAATTGGGGAGGGAATCACACATATAGGTGAAAGAACAGCAGAAAACAAGAATCAATAGATGTGGAAATTAGATTAGCTTGGTTTGTCATTACTGCCAAAAAGTGTGAGAACTTATTATTCATCATCATCTCTGCATCATTATGCAGTTGTCTGCATCCTCTGTTTTCGGGTGTTTGAAGAACTATTTTTAAAATGTTTGCTTCCCTTTGGTGAATGAGGAAAGAAAACAGTTTTGGCCAACTCTTTGTTGTATTTCCAATTTGTCGGGATTGTTAAGAGATGGATTATCTTGTCTTCCGTGTGTGCTTTCTCACTCAGCACTTGTTAAACCATGGGAAGATTCACTGCTATCCTGTGAATCCTATAAAAAAGATGAGATGGACTTTGCCTTGGAGATGTTTACTAACTGGTGCATTTCACTCAACTCCAGATCCTTTCCCTATCCTTTTGTTTGTTTATTTAGTCTGTTGACTTTTACTTTTCTTTCCACTTAGGAGGAAAAATACTGCTTTCCAATCCCAATTATAAGGATAAAGTTTTCATATTTGATGATCAATATGCTACCAAAAAGAAATGATTGTGAATTAATAATAAGCCTGACTGCCCTGTGTGGCATTTCAGCAGTTTTTCTTTTTTGCCCTTAGTTCTCCCTCTGATTTTTTTAAAATTTGTAGTTATCTGCTTTCCATGTTAGGAAGGTTACACAAAAGAGTAGAAATCATAATAATCACATAATATCTTTAAAATAAGATGTAATACAATGCTATTAATAAGATTTATGGTAGTTTACAATTAAGGAGTACCAGGACTTATGTTTTAAGCTTTGTGAGTATTATTTATTCCCTTTCCCCGCCCCTTCTCTCTCTCCCCACACCCCAAACACACACACACAGACTCATTCACTCATGAAGCCCATACCTATAAGACAAAATTTCACTGATGAGGAGCTGAATCTTACAGAGCTAAGGTAGCCTGCCTAGGACAATTAAAGCAAACAAAAAAAAACCCCAGCAGATCCAGGAGTGCAACCTTTCCATTGTCGTTAACAGTGAATCGCTAAATGACTGTGATGCTGCCTTAAAGGGCAGGGCCTTGTCTTATTCATCTTTGTACCCAGCTCTCAGCACAGAACAGAATGGAACACGGGGGTGACGTAACCAGTGCTATATTTTAGGAAGATAAATCTGGCAACAATGAGTGGGATGAAGAGAACAAGAAAAGACTGGCAGTGTGGAGAGCAGTTTCGATGCCATTGAAGTGACACAGAGAAAATGATGATGAGCCAATGCAGGAGGGAGCCACGCTGAGAGAAGAAAAGTCCCGAATGTGACAGAGATTCAGGAAGAGTGCATGAATGAGACTTGACCATGTGGAGGCAGGGAGGAGTGCTAGGTCCTTGGGTAAATAAATATCTGTTCATGCAGCAAATGTTTCTTGAGCATCAGCTGTGTGTCGGGAACTGTTCTAGGTCCCGGAGATGCAACAGCGAATTGAGCAAACCAGAATTTTATTCTCCTACAGCTTGTGTCCTAATTGGAGGGATATGTTGGTCAGGATTCTCCAGAGAAGCAGAACCAGCAGGAGATATATAGAAATGGAGATATAGATACAGGTGGAGATTTCAAGGAATTGGCTTATGTGATTGTAAGATCTGGCAAGCCTGAAGTCTTCAGGACAGGCCTATAAGCCGGAAACTCTTGGCAGGAGCTGATGCTATAGTCTTGAGCAGAATTTCCTCTCAGAGAAGCCTCAGGGTTGTTTGGTTGGTGGGTTGGTTGGTTGGTTTTGAGGTAGAGTCTTGCTCTGTCACCCAGGCAGGAGTGCAGTGGTGTGATCTCGGCTCACTGCAACCTCCACCTCCCAGGTTCAAGCAATTCTCCCATGTCAGCCTCCCAAGTAGCTGGAATTACAGGCACACAACACCACGCCCAGCTAGTTTTTGCATTTTTAGTAGAGACAGGGTTTCGCCACGGTGGCCAGCCTAGTCTCAAACTCCTGAACTCAAGTTATTTGCCTGCCGCCTGCCTTGGCCTACCAAAATGCTGGGATTACAGGCATGAGCCACCATGCCCAGCCAAAACCTCAGTTTTGCTCTTAAGATCGTTCAAATGATTGCATAAGGCCCACCCAGATTGTTGAGGATAATCCCCTTTATTTAAGGTCAACTGATTGTAGATATTAACCACATCTACAAAATGCCTTCATAGCAACATCTTGACTTGTGTCAATTGAAGAACTATACTACAGCCTTGCCAAACTGACACATAAAAACTAAGCATCCAGGCCGGGCACGGTGTCTCACGCCTGTAATCCCATTACTTTGGGAGGCCGAGGCAAGTGGATCACGAGTTCAGGAGATCGAGACCATCCTGGCCAACACGATGAAACCCCGTCTCTACTAAAAATACAGAAAATTAGCTGGGCGTGGTGGTGGGTGCCTGTAGTCCCAGCTACTCCGGAGGCTGAGGCAGGAGAATGGCGTGAACCCAGGAGGCAGAGCTTGCAGTGAGCCGAGATCGCGCCACTGCACTCCAGCCTGGGCGACAGAGCAAGACTCCATCTCAAAAAAAAAAAAAAAAAAAAAAAAAACTTAGCATCCAGAGGAGGTGTAAGAATGACCAGTGCATAGAGAGAAATAACTGAGGGTGTTTGAGAACAACGACCAGTGTCTGTGGATCAGAGACTCTGGGGAAGGCTTTTCCGCTGTAGTATTAAATACTTCTCCATCCTACAGACAGGCCACTGAGACTTGGGGATATTAATCATCTTATTTGATTGCTAATGAATGGCCTTGCTGTCATTCTGACTCAGCCTATGTGCAGAAAACAGCAGAGCCCTGCCTCCAGGGAATGGTCAAAGGACCAGAGCGTTTGCCTTTTTCCCAGGAGCAACACCAGTTGGTGAGCAAGTTCAGATTAGGAACTTAAGCATCAACTGTGTGCCAAGAACTGGGGTTGCCAGGATGCAACAGTGAATCAAGCAAACGAGGATTTTGCTCTCACAGAGAGCAATCCTCCACTCTAATTGGAGGATATATTGGTCAGGAGTCTCCAGAGAATTAGAACCAGCAGGAAATATGTAGGAATAGAAACAAAGATACAGGGCCGGGCGCGGTGGCTCACGCCTGTAATCCTAGCACTTTGGGAGGCTGAGGCGGGTGGATCACGAGGTCAGGAGATCGAGACCATCCTGGCTAACACAGTGAAACCCCGTCTCTACTAAAAATACAAAAAAATAGCTGGGCGTGGTGGCAGGCGCCTGTAGTCCCAGCTACTCAGGAGGCTGAGGCAGGGGAATGGCATGAACCCAGGAGATGGAGCTTGCAGTGAGCCGAGATCTTGCCACTGCACTCCAGTCTGGGTGACAGAGCGAGACTCCGTCTCAAAAAAAGAAAAAGAAATAAAGATACAGAGCGTAGATCCTGAACATAGGGAGGTCAAAATTGCTTTTTGGAAGTGCAAGGAAAGGAATGGCTTTATCCAACTTGGGTGCCAGACACCCCCTTCTCCTTGCTCCCCCTCCCTCCCTGCGCTCTTGCATGAGCCATTCCCCCTTCTTCCACCTCCCCTTCCCCTCTATGTAAACCATGACCCATGTACCCCTTAGGTTTCAGCTTCGTCACTTTGTTAGGGAGCCCTTCCCTGAACACCCCAACTAGGATAAATCTCCCAGTTATAAGCACCTCCTCGCCAAGCTCCCTTTTATTCTAATGTAGTACTTAACACTGTTGTCACTAAGTACTTTACTTCTGTATTATTTTATTAATGTCTGCCTCTCCTGCTGTGCTTCCTGACGGAAGGAGCCAAATCACCATTGTGCTGATTCTGTCTGTTGAGCACAGTTCTTAGTATATACTACTTGTTGCATGAATGCACAGATAAAGGAGTGAATGGATGAGTGAATGAAATATACTCCTTCCAAGTAGTATGTATTAGTCTGTTCTCACACTGCTATAAAGAAATACCTGAGACTGGGTAATTTATAAAGAAAATAGAGTTAGGCCAGGCCCAGTGGCTCATGCCTGTAATCCCAGCACTTTGAGAGGCTGAGGTGGGCAGATCACTTGAGGTCAGGAGTTCAGGACCAGCCCGGCCAACATGGCAAAACCCCGTCTCTACTAAAAATACAAAAACTAGCCAGGCTTGGTGGTGGGCACCTGTAATCCCAGCTACTTGGGAGGCTGAGGTACAAGAATCACTTGAACCCGGGAGGTAGAGGTTGAAGTGAGCTGAGATTGCACTACTGCACTCCAGCCTGGGCGGCAGAGCAAAACTCCATCTCAAAAAAAAAAAAAAAAGAAACAAAAAAACAAGAGGTTTAATTGGCTCACAGTTCCATAGGCTATAGGAAGCATGATGCTGGCATCTTCTGGGCTTCTGGGGAGGCCTCAAGAAACTTACAATCATGGCAGAAGGCAAAGAGAGAGCCAGCACTTCACAAGGCTGGAGCAGAAGGAAGCGGGGTGGGGAGTGCCACACACTTTTAAATGACCAGATCTCATGAGAAATCACTATCACAAGAACAGCACCAAGAGGGAAATCTGCTCCCATGATCCAATCACCTCCCACCAGGCCCCACCTCCAAACTGGAGATTACAATTCGACATGATATTTGGGCAGGGACACAGACCCAAACCATATCATAGTAAATCTGCAGGGCATCTTCAACAATAATCTGGAAACATAATAACACATCCTTGTTGCTACAGTCCTTTTTTCTAATCCCCAATCTGATCATATCCTCTATGCAGCCAATCTCATCTTTGGCATTGGCGTTCTTCTAATTTCAGTTTAAAAGGTAGCAATTCCCTGAACTCTTCTCTGATTTGGAGGTACTTTTTAAGTATTTGAGCCCAGCACCCTCTAACACAAGGCAAATGAGGTTTTTGGAACTATTAGAACAAAAGGAGGTGCAAGTGAGAGAACAGAATAGAAATATTCAAGAACATTGCTCCATTGCAGAGGGGTGAGAGGCAGGGAGTACAGAAAGAGAGTCAGTCATGCATGGAATGTCCTGAGGAAGTCCTCAGACTTAAAACAGATAGTTCTTTCTCTTCTTGCCCCAGGCAGAAAATTCTGACTACTTCTGCCTGTAGTCTGGAGTCTTGGGAGTTAGAAGAAAAGCTTCTGACTCAAGGAGTTCCTGACATCTCTGTGTGGACTCTTTCAAGCGAAGTTCAGAGAAAGTTCAGTTAGGAAGCCCTCCTGTAGCCACCAAATGCCCCTTCTGCCACGAAGATAAAAGCTAGTAATGATTGGCACATGGGAATGACCATGTAGTTGAGTTAATCAACTGTGCAGATATGACGGCTACCTACGTGAAACCCCAGAGCCTTCTACTCTGGCTTTTGATTTGACAACCAGAAGCCACAACTTAAAATGGCATTGGTGTTACTGAATGCTTTCAGGAGCTCTTTTGCCCTTTTGTGTTAGATCCCAAATATTAATGGAAATCAGCCTTTACTTGCAGTTTTCTACTGACTGTGGGAAAAGAAATTCTGCATATTTTTTAAAGTAGTATCAATCAAGTCATCCTACAAGGTGTGTACAAGTTTCCCCACTTGCATTATTTTCATTGGAGCTTCTTCCTATTGAGAAAAAGAAAAATCTCTCAGTTTCTGCATTTTCTACATTTTCTGAAACTTGGAAAACTCCATTGCAAATTATATAGGACAGTCTTGGGATCCAGACAGATTTTGACTATATCACCACAGGTTATAACAGGAAACACTTTGGCCCACAAGTTAGGGATGGAGGTTTGAGTCTTGGCTCTGCCACTGAGTAATTTTGTGACCTTGGACGAGTCCCTGGGCCATGGTGGACCAGGTATTCTCTGCAGTTACCGCCGCTCTAAGATGTATGGTTCTCATTGCAGGCATCTTTTCCACAAGTCCTGTGTTGACCCCTGGCTTCTAGACCATCGTACCTGTCCCATGTGCAAGATGAACATTCTTAAAGCCCTAGGGATCCCGGTAAGCACAGCACAGCCTACAGCATTATAATGTCTGTCTTTCTGCGTTGCCCTCAAAGCAGGGAGAAAACATTATACTTGGATGTTCTGTGTCCCCTCAGTCACACATAGCAGTCACATCATCTTACAAGGCTCCAAGAGAACTCCTATGTCTGAAAGCATTTCTCCCCTCACTTTTTCTCTGAGGACATCCCAACCTTTCACCATGTCCATTATATTTGTCTGTGAGTCAAGGTATCACTTGTGCAGCTCATTGGCTTCTCTTCTGGGCTGCAGCATGGGAGGGCAGGTGGGACGGCAGCAGATACACCCCGGGCCAGTTGCACACTGAGCACCTCTTGCATCATCATCACCCTTGTTTGGCCATCAGGAAGATCCGTAAGCCACACTTTGCCCCACGATCACCTGGCTTTCAGAGGGAGCGAGCACCTCCCAGCAATCGGAGGGGAGGACAGAGGCTGAAAGTCAGGCTCAAAGCCTCAGCTAAACTCAGATCTCTGTGGAGACTTTGAGTGAACAGGAAACCAGAGCCAGAGCTACTTAATGCTAGCACTTAGTTCTCAATTTAACGGGTTCCCCCAGTTGACTCCCCCAGAGACTAAATGTTTTCTAAAGTTTAGTCTCTCCCCTGTACAAAGAGAATCAGCCAGCTGGCTTGATGCTCCAGGGAGACTTTCCCAGAACTGTATCAGGTGAAGCCTGCAAACTGGTGGGTGGTGAGACACCAGCTGCTATGTGTTCTCCCCTCTCAGCAATGAGGGCAGGAAGCAAGGCAGGCCACCAAATCCAAGGACTACACTGAGAGATGTGAGAAACCATACGGTGCTGTGTAGAAGTCAGACAAACGAAATGCAGATGCCAGCTCCCCCTCAGCCCCTCCACTTTGCTGCCACCTGCCTATTGTCATTCCTCACTGCTAATGGCAGAGAATAAAGAGAATGTTAATAGTCCCAAGATGTCACTGAAGAAGGATCAGATCCCATATCAAAGGTTTACTTTAATGCCAGAGATGCATTATCTTAGGAATATCAGAGTGGCTCTGCTGGAGAGGGCGCACCTGAAGCATTATGAGGACATGCATTGGCTGAACTTTCTACCCTGTGCCAGCTGCCTCCATGCCTGCTGTATGATTTGCATGGTTGATACTCTGAACACACATCAACTTGTGTGACTATACCTTTGAGCTAGATTTTAAAGATAATGCATTAAATTTTCAGACCAGTTATAAATGCATAATGCATTCATGATGAAAATCAATTACAGGAACATGAAACATCAGTAAAAACCCAAGAGCTCTACCAGATACTGGTGACTTAGAAAGCTGAGCTCAGTTTTTGTACTGTTCACATTTCTGTCTATAACTGAGTCTTTCAGGGGAGGGGGAAATGTGTGTATGTGTGTCTATGGTCTCCAAAATCTTTAGAATCCTGACAGTTCTCACAATGAGACAGAGACAGTTGCATCCTTTGATGTGTTCCTATTGTTCAGGGTATTTTTAGAGATATTAAGTGCCAATCCCACTGCTCTCTGGTCAGGACAATGAAACTTAACAAGCATCCATCGTTCAATTTTGTACTAAAGAGTATTTGACTCCAGATTTTTTCAATGGAGGTATAACTTCTGCAGAAGCTACTTGTAAATAAGTTGCAAATATTGCTGTTAATTATTTTTAGAAGAATTATTGGGTGGTCTTTTCTCTTATTTCCAAGATGAATAACATTTTAACTTTTAGCATTTGGGCATTCTGGCCATGGTTTGATGCCTAACAAGTCGGATAGGATTTTACTTTGCACAATGAACTGTCAGAAAAATAAACATCAGTAGCATCTTTTGGATTTGGTAAAGATTTTTTTTTAATTATACTTTAAGTTTTAGGATACATGTGCAAAACGTGCAGGTTTGTTGCATGTGTATACATGTGCTATGTTGGTGTGCTGCACCCACTAACTCATCATTTAGCATTAGGTATATCTCCTAATGCTATCCCTCCCCCCTTCCCCCACCCCACAACAGGCCCCAGTGTGTGATGTTCCCCTTCCTGTGTCCATGTGTTCTCATTGTTCAATTCCCACCTATGAGTGAGAACATGCTGTGTTTGGTTTTTTGTCCTTGCAACAGTTTGCTGAGAATGATGGTTTCTAGCTTCATCCATGTCCCTACAAAGGACATGAGCTCATCATTTTTTATGGCTGCATAGTATTCCATGGTGTATATGTGCCACATTTTCTTAATACAGTCTATCATTGTTGGACATTTGGGTTGGTTCCAAATCTTTGCTATTGTGAATAGTGCTGCAATAAACACACGTGTGCATGTGTCTTTATAACAGCATGATTTATAATCCTTAGGGTATATACCCAGTAATGGGATGGCTGGGTCAAATGGTATTTCTAGTTCTAGATCCCTGAGGAATCGCCACACCGACTTCCACAATGGTTGAACTAGTTTACAGTCCCACCAACAGTGTAAAAGTGTTCCTATTTCTCCACATCCTCTCCAGCACCTGTTGTTTCCTGACTGTTTAATGATCACCATTCTAACTGGTGTGAGATGGTATCTCATTGTGGTTTTGATTTGCATTTCTCTGATGGCCAGTGATGGTGAGCATTTTTTCATGTGTCTTTTGGCTGCATAAATGTCTTCTTTTGAGAAGTCTCTGTTCATATCCTTTGCCCACTTTTTGATGGGGTTGTTTCTTTTTTTCTTGTAAATTTGTTTGAGTTCATTGTAGATTCTGGATATTAGCCCTTTGTCAGATGAGTAGGTTGCGAAAATTTTCTCCCATTCTGTAGGTTGCCTGTTCACCCTGATGGTGGTTTGTTTTGCTGTGCAGAAGGTCCTTAGTTTAATTAGATCCCATTTGTCAATTTTGGCTTTTGTTGCCATTGCTTTTGGTGTTTTAGACGTGAAGTCCTTGCCCATGCCTATGTCCTGAATGGTATTGCCTAGGTTTTCTTCTGGGGTTTTTATGGTTTTAGGTCTAACGTTTAAGTCTTTAATCCATCTTGAATTAATTTTTGTATAAGGTGTAAGGAAGGGATCCAGTTTCAGCTTTCTACATATGTCTAGCCAGTTTTCCCAGCACCGTTTATTAAATAGGGAATCCTTTCCCCATTTCTGGTTTTTGTCAGGTTTGTCAAAGATCAGATAGTTGTAGATATGCGGCATTATTTCTGAGGGCTCTGTTCTGTTCCATTGGTCTATATCTCTGTTTTGGTACCAGTACCATGCTGTTTTGATTACTGTAGCCTTGTAACCAAGTTTGAAGTCAGGTAGCATGATGCCTCCAGCTTTGTTCTTTTGCCTTAGGATTGACTTGGCAATGCGGGCTCTTTTTTGGTTCCATATGAATTTTAAAGTAGTTTTTTCCAATTCTGTGAAGAAAGTCATTGGTAGCTTGATAGGGATGGCATTGAATCTATAAATTACCTTGGGCAGTATGGCCATTTTCACGATATTGATTCTTCCTATCTATGAGCATGGAATGTTCTTCCATTTCTTTGTATCCTCTTTTATTTCATTGAGCAGTGGTTTGTAGTTCTCCTTGAAGAGGTCCTTCCCGTCCCGTATAAGTTGGATTCCTAGGTATTTTATTTTCTTTGAAGCAATTGTGAGTGGGAGTTCACTCATGATTTGCCTCTCTGTTTGTCTCTTATTGGTGTATAAGAATGCTTGTGATTTTTGCACATTGATTTTATGTCCTGAGACTTCGCTGAAGTTGCTTATCAGCTTAAGAAGATTTTGGGCTGAGACGATGGGGTTTTCTAGATATACAATCATGTCATCTGCAAACAGGGACAATTTGACTTCCTCTTTTCCTAATTGAATACCCTTTATTTCCTTCTCCTGCCTGAATGCCCTGGCCAGAACTTCCAACACTATGTTGAATAGGTGTGGTGAGAGAGGGCATCCCTGTCTTGTGCCAGTTTTCAAAGGGAATGCTTCCAGTTTTTGCCCATTCAATATGATATTGGCTGTGGGTTTGTCATAGATAGCTCTTATTATTTTGAGATACGTCCCATCAATACCTAATTTATTGAGAGTTTTTAGCATGAAGCGTTGTTGAATTTTGTCAAAGGCCTTTTCTGCATCTATTCAGATAATCATGTGGTTTTTGTCTTTGGTTCTGTTTATATGCTGGATTACGTTTATTGATTTGCATATGTTGAACCAGCCTTGCATCCCAGGGATGAAGCCCACTTGATCTTAGTGGATAAGCTTTTTGATGTGCTGCTGGATTCGGTTTGCCAGTATTTTATTGAGGTTTTTTGGATCAATGTTCATCAAGGATATTGGTCTAAAATTCTCTCTTTTGGTTGTGTCTCTGCCAGGCTTTGGTATCAGGATGATGCTGGCCTCATAAAATGAGTTAGGGAGGGTTCCCTCTTTTTGTATTGATTGGAATAGTTTCAAAAGGAATGGTACCAGCTCCTCCTTGTACCTCTGGTAGAATTCGGCTGTGAATCCATCTGGTCCTGGACTTTTTTTGGTTGGTGGGCTATTAATTATTGCCTCAATTTCAGATGCTGTTATTGGTCTATTCAGAGATTCAACTTCTTCCTGCTTTAGTCTTGGGAGAGTGTATGTGTCGAGGAATTTATCCATTTCTTCTAGATTTTCTAGTTTATTCGTGTAGAGGTGTTTATAGTATTCTCTGATGGTAGTTTGTATTTCTGTGGGATCGGTGGTGATATCCCCTTTGCCATTTTTTATTGTGTCTATTTGATTCTTCTCTCTTTTCTTCTTTATTAGTCTTGCTAGCGGTCTATCAATTATATTATTATTATTATTATTATTATTATACTTTAAGTTTTAGGGTACATGTGCACAATGTGCGGGTTAGTTACATATGTATGCATGTGCCATGCTGGTGTGCTGCACCCATTAACTCGTCATTTAGCGTTAGGTATATCTCCTAATGCTATCCCTCCTCCCACGCCACAACAGTCCCCAGAGTGTGATGTTCCCCTTCCTGTGTCCATGTATTCTCAGTGTTCAATTCCCACCTATGAGTGAGAATATGCAGTGTTTGGTTTTTTGTTCTTGTGATAGTTTACTCAGAATGATGATTTCCAATTTCATCCATGTCCCTATAAAGGACATGAACTCATCATTTTTTACGGCTGCATAGTATTCCATGGTGTATATGTGCCACATTTTCTTAATCCAGTCTATCATTGTTGGACATTTGGGTTGGTTCCAAGTCTTTGCTATCGTGAATAGTGCCGCAATAAACGTATGTGTGCATGTGTCTTTATAGCAGCATGGTTTATAATCCTTAGGGTATATACCCAGTAATGGGATGGCTGGGTCAAATGGTATTTCTAGTACTAGATCCCTGAGGAATCGCCACACCGACTTCCACAATGGTTGAACTAGTTTATAGTCCCAACAACAGTGTAAAAGTGTTCCTATTTCTCCACATCCTCTCCAGCACCTGTAGTTTCCTGACTGTTTAATGATCACCATTCTAACTGGTGTGAGATGGTATCTCATTGTGGTTTTGATTTGCATTTCTCTGATGGCCAGTGATGGTGAGCGTTTTTTCATGTGTTTTTTGGCTGCATAAATGTCTCTTTTGAGAAGTGTCTGTTCATGTCCTTTGCCCACTTTTTGATGGGGTTGTTTGTTTTTTTCTTGTAAATTTGTTTGAGTTCATTGTAGATTCTGGATATTAGCCCTTTGTCAGATGAGTAGGTTGCGAAAATTTTCTCCCATTTTGTAGGTTGCCTGTTCACTCTGATGGTAGTTTCTTTCACTGTGCAGAAGCTCTTTAGTTCAATTAGATCCCATTTGTCAATTTTGGCTTTTGTTGCCATTGCTTTTGGTGTTTTAGACATGAAGTCCTTGCCCATGCCTATGTCCTGAATGGTAATGCCTAGGTTTTCTTCTAGGGTTTTTATGGTTTTAGGTCTAACGTTTAAGTCTTTAATCCATTTTGAATTAATTTTTGTATACGACGTAAGGAAGGGATCCAGTTTCAGCTTTCTACATATGGCTAGCCAGTTTTCCCAGCACCATTTATTAAATAGGGAATCCTTTCCCCCTTGCTTGTTTTTCTCAGGTTTGTCAAAGATCAGATATTTGTAGATATGTGGCGTTATTTCTGAGGGCTCTGTTCTGTTCCATTGATCTATATCTCTGTTTTGGTACCAGTACCATGCTGTTTTGATTACCGTAGCCTTGTAACCAAGTTTGAAGTCAGGTAGCGTGATGTCTCCAGCTTTGTTCTTTTGGCTTAGGATTGGCTTGGCAATGCGGGCTCTTTTTTGGTTCCATATGAACTTTAAGGTAGTTTTTTCCAGTTCTGTGAAGAAAGTCATTGGTAGCTTGATGGGGATGGCATTGAATCTATAAATTACCTTGGGCAGTATGGCCATTTTCACGATATTGATTCTTCCTACCCATGAGCATGGAATGTTCTTCCATTTCTTTGTATCCTCTTTTATTTCATTGAGGGGTGGTTTGTAGTTCTCCTTGAAGAGGTCCTTCACGTCCCTTGTAAGTTGGATTCCTAGGTATTTTATTCTCTTTGAAGCAATTGTGAATGGGAGTTCACTCATGATTTGGCTCTCTGTTTGTCTGTTATTGGTGTATAAGAATGCTTGTGATGTTTGTACATTGATTTTGTATCTTGAGTCTTCGCTGAAGTTGCTTATCAGCTTAAGGAGATTTTGGGCTGAGACAGTGGGGTTTTCTAGATATACAATCATGTCATCTGCAAACAGGGACAATTTGACTTCCTCTTTTCCTAATTGAATACCCTTTATTTCCTTCTCCTGCCTAATTGCCCTGGCCAGAACTTCCAACACTATGTTGAATAGGTGTGGTGAGAGAGGGCATCCCTGTCTTGTGCCAGTTTTCAAAGGGAATGCTTCCAGTTTTTGCCCATTCAGTATGATATTGGCTGTGGGTTTGTCATAGATAGCTCTTATTATTTTGAGATACGTCCCATCAATACCTAACTTATTGAGAGTTTTTAGCATGAATGGTTGTTGAATTTTGTCAAAGGCCTTTTCTGCATCTATTGAGATAATCATGTGGTTTTTGTCTTTGGTTCTGTTTATATGCTGGATTAGAATTATTGATTTGCATATGTTGATCCAGACTTTCATCCCAGGGATGAAGCCCACTTGATCATGGTGGATAAGCTTTTTGATGTGCTGCTGGATTTGGTTTGCCAGTATTTTATTGAGGATTTTTGCATCAATTTTCGTCAAGGATATTGGTCTAAAATTCTCTTTTTTGGTTGTGTGTCTGCCAGGCTTTGGTATCAGGATGATGCTGGCCTCATAAAATGAGTTAGGGAGGATTTCCTCTTTTTGTATTGATTGGAATAGTTTCAGAAGGAATGGTACCAGCTCCTCCTTGTACCTCTGGTAGAATTCGGCTGTGAATCCATCTGGACCTGGACTCTTTTTGGTTGGTAAGCTATTGATTATTGCCACAATTTCAGAGCCTGTTATTGGTCTATTCAGAGATTCAACTTCTTCCTGGTTTAGTCCTTAGGAGGGTGTATGTGTCCAGGAATTTATCCATTTCTTCTAAATTTTCTAGTTTATTTGTGTAGAGGTGTTTGTACTATTCTCTGATGGTAGTTTGTATTTCTGTGGGATCGGTGGTGATATCCCCTTTTTATTGCGTCTATTTGATTCTTCTCTCTTTTTTTCTTTATTCGTCTTGCTAGTGGTCTATCAATTTCGTTGATGTTTTCAAGAAACCAGCTCCTGGATTCATTAATTTTTTGAAGGGTTTTTTGTGTCTCTATTTCCTTCAGTTCTGCTCTGATTTTAGTTATTTCTTGCTTTCTGCTAGCTTTCAAATGTGTTTGCTCTTGCTTTTCTAGTTCTTTTAATTGTGATGTTAGGGTGTCAATTTTGGATCTTGCCTGCTTTCTCTTGTGGGCATTTAGTGCTATAAATTTCCCTCTACACACTGCTTTGAATGTGTCCCAGAGATTCTGGTATGTTGTGTCTTTGTTCTCGTTGGTTTCAAAGAACATCTTTATTTCTGCCTTCATTTCGTTATGTACCCAGTAGTCATTCAGGAGCAGGTTGTTCAGTTTCCATGTAGTGGAGCGGTTTTGAGTGAGTTTCTTAATCCGGAGTTCTAGTTTGATTGCACTGTGGTCTGAGAGACAGTTTGTTATAATTTCTGTTACTTTACATTTGCTGAGGAGTGCTTTACTTCCAACTATGTGGTCAATTTTGGAATAGGTGTGGTGTGGTGCTGAAAAAAAATGTATATTCTGTTGATTTGGGGTGGAGAGTTCTGTAGATGTCTATTAGGTCCGCTTGGTGCATAGCTGAGTTCAATTCTTGGGTATCCTTGTTAACTTTCTGTCTCGTTGATCTGTCTAATGTTGACAGTGGAGTGTTAAAGTCTCCCATTATGATTGTGTGGGAGTCTAAGTCTCTTTGTAGGTCACTAAGGACTTGCTTTATGAATCTGGGTGCTCCTGTATTGGGTTCATATATATTTAGGTTAGTTAGTTCTTCTTGTTGAATTGATCCCTTTACCATTATGTAATGGCCTTCTTTGTCTCTTTTGATCTTTGTTGGTTTAAAGTCTGTTTTATCAGAGACTAGGATTGCAACCCCTGCCTTTTTTTGTTTTCCATTTGCTTGGTAGATCTTCCTCCATCCCTTTATTTTGAGCCTATGTGTGTCTCTGCACATGAAATGGGTTTCCTGAATATAGCACGCTGATGGGTCTTGACTCATCCAATTTGCCAGTCTGTGCCTTTCAACTGGAGCATTTAGCCCATTTACATTTAAGGTTAATATTGTTATGTGTGAATTTGATCCTGTTGTTGTGATGTTAGCTGGTTATTTTGCTCATTAGTTGATGCAGTTTCTTCCTAGCCTTGATGGTCTTTACAATTTGGCATGTTTTTGCAGTGGCTAGTACCAGTTGTTCCTTTCCATGTTTAGTGCTTCCTTCAGGAGCTCTTTTAGGGCAGGCCTGGTGGTGACAAAATCTCTCAGCATTTGCTTGTCTGTAAAGGATTTTATTTCTCCTTCACTTATGAAGCTTAGTTTGGCTGGATATGAAATTCTGGGTTGAAAATTCTTTTCTTTAAGAATATTGAATATTGGCTCCCACTCTCTTCTGGCTTGTAGAGTTTCTGCCAAGAGATCAGCTGTTAGTCTGATGGGCTTCCCTTTGTGGGTAACCTGACCTTTCTCTCTGGCTGCCCTTAACCCTTTTTCCTTCATTTCAACTTTGGTGAATCTGACAATTACGTGTCTTGGAGTTGCTCTTCTTGAGGAGTATCTTTGTGGCGTTCTCTGTATTTCCTGAATTTGAATGTTGGCCTGCCTTGCTAGACTGGGGAAGTTCTCCTGGATAATATCCTGCAGAGTGTTTTCCAACTTGATTCCATTCTCCCCGTCACTTTCAGGTACACCAATTAGACGTAGATTTGGTCTTTTCACATAGTCCCATATTTCTTGGAGGCTTTGTTCATTTCTTTTTATTTTTTCTCTAAACTTCTCTTCATGCTTCATTTCATTCATTTCGTCTTCCATCGCTGATACCCTTTCTTCCAGTTGATCACATCGGTTACTGAGGCTTGTGCATTCGTCACGTAGTTCTTGTGCCTTGGTTTTCAGCTCCATCAGGTCCTGTAAGGACTTCTCTGCATTGGTTATTCTAGTTATCCATTCATCTAAATTTTTTTCAAAGTTTTTAACTTCTTTGCCATTGGTTTGAACTTTCTTCTTTAGCTCAGAGTAGTTTGATCTTCTGAAGCCTTCCTCTCTCAACTCGTCAAAGTCATTCTCCGTCCAGCTTTGTTCCATTGCTGGTGAGGAGCTGCATTCTTTTGGAGGAGGAGAGGTGCTCTGATTTTTAGAGTTTCCGGTTTTTCTGCTCCGTTTTTTCCCCATCTTTTTGGTTTTATCTACCTTTGGTCTTTGATGATGGGGACGTACAGATGGGTTTTTGGTGTGGATGTCCTTTCTGTTTGTTAGTTTTCCTTCTAAGGTCAGGACCCTCAGCTGCAGGTCTGTTGGAGTTTACTGGAGGTCCACTCCAGACCCTGTTTGCCTGGGTATCAGCAGCGGTGGCTGCAGAACAGCAGATATTGGTGAACCGCAAATGCTGCTGCCTGATGGTTCCTCTGGAAGTTTTGTCTCAGACGAGTACCCGGCCGTGTGAGGTGTCAGTCCGCCCCTACTGGGGGGTGCCTCCCATTTAGGCTACTCGGGGGTCAGGGACCCACTTGAGGAGGCAGTCTGCCCGTTCTCAGATCTCAAGCTGCATGCTGGGAGAACCACTACTCTCTTCAAAGCTGTCAGACAGGGACATTTAAGCGGATTTGCTGAAGATTTTTAAAGGCCAGCTGAACAAGAACATGATACACATCCAAGCTTGCCCCACAAAACAGAACATCCTCCATGAAGAATAAATCACTTTCGTTCTACTTCTCACAAAGCATGAAGGCATATGGATACCTTCTGTGCCTCCCAAGCCTTTTCTGTTTTTCTCCTAGGGAATGACAAAGTCAGGATCTGGGAGGAATTTTGGATTTTGTTCCCCTTCATCCTTCTACCGTTGGGTAGCACTATGTGTTAATTATATCAGCAAGATGACTTCTCCATTCTTAAAACTTTCCATCTCACTGGGCAAGCTCACAGCCTTCTCAATTAGAAAATACTTGCTATATCGAACTGAAACCCTTTTTATGCAGCTTAAACAAATTGTCTTATAATTTTCCTATGTTCCATGTATTCCATTTCTTCTTATTCAAAGAAAATTGAAAAGAGCTTTTCACTCTCTGATAACTGATGTCTGTTCATGCTTCATCTCTGCATTCCTTACTTATGCTAAGGGCTCAATAAATGTCTATGGAATTACAGCCCTTCAGAGCCTTGAAGGCTGGCAGTTACACAATCGTATTTATGAATTTCATCCTGATTCTCCTTTGAATAGTATCAACTCGCAAACAACTTGGCTGTAATCCTGATCTACTAGATTATTCAAATACATGTGGCATATTATTTTTTGTTTTGTTTTTGTTTTTGTTGTTTTAACAAAGTGTCCTTGTATCTACCCATGGTATAAGACAAATACATCGAAAGTCAGAAACTGAGGATGTTGTTATTTTGTAAGTGATTTCTCTACAATGAACTAAAGAATGAGAGCACAGTTCACTGATTATGAAATTCCCATAACAATAGGTATCATTTTCCATTATATTTTGCTACGGGAAATATAATACTGAATGCAAATAGTGGGGAGTCCTTTATTATCAGAAGCATTTTGATCTACATTACAGTGCTTCACCCTCCATTCTATCCAGTCAGGTGTAGGTCTGTCTTGATAGAATGACAGAATACAGTTTCAGCAAATCCTCTTCTAAGGTACCATATAACCTGGGACTTTCATATGCCAGCAACCACCTCCTATCACTATTATCCTCATAGGAATAGGTTGGTGATTTTTATTGAATACAAAATCCTGCTGTATACCTGGTGTATTCACAAGATTCTATTTAGCAGTTGCTTTATTTGAGGGGTTTCCCATGCTAACTTGAATTTAAATGCCTGTGCAGTTTTCACTTGCAGATAGCATTTGACATCTTGTTTTAAACTTTATGATTGTGTCTTCTCTCAGAGGTATGTAGATTTGGTTTCTTTTCAAAATATTGTTCCATTTGATGAACCATGTAGAGTGGATATAATCTGTGAGGTTCTGTAAACTTGGTCTGTTAAATATTATATCTAAGCCAAATTATTTGTGCTTGCTACCATTGACAGTTTCACTGTGCTAATTAGCTCTTTTGCCCTCTACCCACTCTGTTAAAGATACAGCACTATTCCTACTATCCCACAAAATGAAGAACAAAAAAACTGCATCAAAATTAAGAAAATATACAAAGAACAATATCAACAGCTAGATCAACATTTTGAAAAATATGTCCATTATTATTGCATATGATTGCATTTACGTATTTATGGCCAAAAGAACAACCTGCACAGTACCCTCTTTGCGAAATCTTTTCTTCCTGAAAACCTCTCCCACAGTTAGTTTTGCTTAATAAACACCTGTGTATAGCATATCTTGCCTTTAAATAGAACTTTACAGTTTTTCAAGTATTTTCTCAAATCCTCCCTTAATTGATTTAGGGCAGATCATGCCCAAGTTTCCAGGGCAGAAATCTGAGACTCAGATCAAATTTCCAAGTCAACATTTACTGAGCACCTAGTCATTGTCAGTGGCACTATTAGGGGCTTGGAATCCAAAGTCAATATAGTGTGGTTGCTTCACTTTACAATGTTTGGGGACTAGTAGAGTGAGATCAGCACATTAACAATAGCCATACAGCATGGGAGAAGTACCTTATGAAGTGCTTGCAGGAGCAAAGATGCCCTCCTGGGAGGGAACATGCCTTAGAAAAGGGGACACTGGACCTGGGAATTAAAGGGTGATTAGGAATTCACCAGGGGCCAACTTGAGACCTTGAGATAGGAAAAAGAGGGTGATTGGATCAAATGTCATCCTGAGCACAGGGACAATATAAGCTACAGTGTTGAGAGGAGGGAGTGTATGGTGTGCTGTCTGTCTTCAAAGGCTGAAGGTGAGGCCAGAAAAGTAGGCTGGGGCCAGGCTCTTGAGCATCTGCCTCTGTCATGCCAGGGAGCATGTAATTCCTTCCTTGGGAGAAGAGGAGAAACATACCCATGGTTTTTGTTTTGTTTTGTTTTGTTTTCTTGAGACAGAGTCTTGCTCTGTCGCCAGGCTGGAGTGCAGTGGGACAATCTTGGCTCACTGCAACCTCCGCCTACCAGGTTCAAGCGATTCCCCTGCCTCAGTCTCCCCAGTAGCTGGGACTACAGGTGCGCACCACCACACCTGGCTAATTTTTATATTTTAGCTGAGACAGGGTTTCACCATGTTGGTTAGGTCACCTGACTTCGTGATCTGCCCACCTCGGCCTCCCAAAGTGCTGGGATTACAGGCGTGAGCCACCACGCCCAGCCCATGGTGTTTTTTTTTTTTTTTTTTTTTTTTTATGTTCTGATGAGAGAGTGCAGACTGAAATACACTGGAGAAGAGATTGTAAGTGGATAGGGAAACTGGTAATGGGGAGAGAATATTCATAAACCCACTTGCTCGTGTCCAATGTCAATGAGTAAATTTAGTAAATTCAGTGAATTGGTCATTCTATGAATCGACTTTTGACAGATTGAGTTTCAGTGAATTGGCTCACTTCCAATATAGCTAGAGAGGGCAAAAAGAAGAAAGAATACAGGAAAGAAATGAATAAACTGAATTTGATGTGTTTATGGAATGGTAGAGCTCTTCAGCTGACTGTTAGGACACAGGTGTGGAGCTCAGGAGACTGGCATTATACAGCTAAGAGCACAACACTAGGACAACAGCCCAGCACTTTGCATGTCTTGCTTTGTGTTCCCTAGGAGTCCGTGAGTTGTAGGTTTTCTGTTCTGATGAACTTGGAAAACAACAGTCATTGTGATATTAATTCAATCATTATCAATCCAGAGTTCTCCTCCCCTAATCCTGACCATCATGTTCTGCCTACTTTGGGAGTGTAAACCATGTAATTATCATCCTTCAAGACAAAGCTGAGGTTCAGAGCAAAAGAAATTAACAGCTGTTCTTAATCCTGCTTAAGACAATATTCCTCCACCACCACCTTTTAGAAAATAATTTTGAGTTTGTGTAGAGACAGAACAACTGAAAGTAATTTGAAAAGCTGTTTGTGGAAGAGATAGAAATATATTCATTTTTACTTCAAACCAGCAGAACTGAGATAAAAGAGTAAAACTTGCAAAGCATAAGATTTTGCCCAATAATAATAGACGCCAACACTGCTGGCCAACACAGAGTGCCTTGCAAAGCAGAGAGCTCCCATTGCTATGTTCTTCAAGGGAAGCTGTCAATGATATTGGAGAGGAAAGCGTCCTGTAATCAATGGGCAATTGAACAAGGGGGTCTCACCATAGTCTTATGATTCTAAGAATTTAATTTAGAGGATTTGACTAATGTATGATCAATACCGTATTAAGGACTTAGGGATATTTTTCTATAGCTGGCTTTAGGCTTATGTTTTTCTTAAATGTAGCCTTATCCTGTGCTCTGTGTGTGTTTGAGGGTATGTATGTATCTTTAATGAACAAGCCATAATGACTCAGATTCTATCCTCCCTCCCACTCTCATATCATTAGTATATTTGTAAACAACACATGAGTTTTAAGGGATAATGATCAGGCTACCAGCTACATTCTAGGTGTGGAATAAATAATACTATATGTAAGGAAGTGCCTTCATTGTAAATAAATTTCACATATTCCCCCTAAGTGATTATTTAAATGTAGAGATTTTGCTTATCTTGAAATAAAACTTTAATTTTTAATCTAAAAGATTAAAAAGGAATCTTTTCAATCTAAAATGAACCTTTGGAAAGGAAATTTTGGAAGATCTTTTTATGTTAATCTTATAGAAACTATATATAGAATGTTTTTAAATAAAGTGGCTCAAGAAGTAAACAATAAAGAACTTAATTTTTTCATGGAGACAGAATGTTTAGGCTATAGACATTTAATCTCTAAGTGGATGACATGTACTGAGAACAGATCTTTTTCTGCCCCATCAGCCCAATGCCGACTGCATGGACGACTTGCCCACTGACTTCGAGGGCTCTCTGGGAGGTCCACCCACCAACCAGATCACAGGTGCCAGCGACACAACAGTGAATGAAAGTTCAGTCACTTTGGACCCTGCTGTCCGGACTGTGGGAGCCTTGCAGGTGGTCCAGGATACAGACCCCATCCCCCAGGAGGGAGACGTCATCTTTACTACTAACAGTGAGTTCTGCCATACTTAAAGTGACATAGCCAGAAGGACTGTTGCCTTGTAGGAATTGGAAAAAAATACCTTTCCTCAAAAAGAAAAAAATATTGAATGAGTACATCATTGCTAGGTTCATCAGTTATAACTGCCAGCTGTTAGAAGAACTGCCTTTCCTAGAGCCAGCAGGGCAGACAGCCCACCTGGCTCTGTGTGCCCATGCTCCTGCCTGCCCACACACTGACACCAGGGCTCACACATCACAGCATTGCACACTCTCCATGTCCGCTTCCCTGTGGTACCTGAGGCACATAGGGTCATGGATCTGGAGCCTCTCAGACTGGAGGGCAGGTGAGGGGAGCAACTACAAGGGGTGCTCAGCAGGACTGGGATAGGGCACAACCACACCCACTCACCTGCGCATGCTCGCATGTGTGTACACACACACACACACACTGGAGCCCCGAGTGTGCGTGTGACTGTATGAACTAGTCTGGACCACGGACAAGAGGCTGCTTTCCTTGTTGCTGTAGGACGTGGATGTGAATGGCATCCCTTTAGATGGCCATATCTGCAAGAGACACTAAACCCCTGTGCACAGTGGCCCTGAATACTAAAATACCTTCTGGGTATTTTCCCCCATCTCATACATAGACAGTCACTAAATGCTGTTCTGTTTGATGGTAGTTTTCATAAAAATATTAAATTATGTGTATTAGCATCAAGATAGAAGTAAAAATCTAAAGTACCTACTATTCAGTCTAATATAAGAGATAAAAGCTTCAGGAGTTCTAAGAAAATCAGATGCAAATTAGCTTAGGTTTAAGGTTAAAAGAGTGAGTGGATATTGCAACTTTTATACGAAGTGTCTTTCTTTCTCTTGACAGAAGTAACCTATTCACTGTAGAAATTTGGAAATGTAGAAAAGCAGATTGAAGCATTTGAGGGTATTTTCTTTGAAGTTGGTCTTTCTTTTACATATTTGTGATTTTTATAAAATGTATGAAAGCATGCTAAAATGTAAAGATATGTATTTTTCTGATGAAAAAACTTCATTGTTGAAAAATTGAGAGATAAAGAAAGAACAGACTAAAAAAAGAATGAAAAAAATCACTGAGGGCCCCACTACTTGGAAACAATCACTCTTAACCTTTTGGTTTATTTCCTGATCATCTTTTATTATATAGTTGAGATGATCCATGGGATTTGAACATTGAATATTGTAACCATACCATTTTTACAGGACCTTGACAGAAGGTGACTTGAAGAGGAGCTTGGTGAGAAATATCTGCACATGCAAAGTTTATTAGTTTTTGATAAATAGGACCTTTAACTTGAGAAACTTGACTTTTATAGGTATAAAGATCTCAGTATTGAAATGTTGACCATTAGGCATTTAAAAGCCATTAAAGATGGATTTTGACCCCTTTGTTTTGAAGGTTTAGACTGGTGCAGCCCGATATTAATATAATGCAAGTCATGCATGTAATTTAAATTTTTCTATGGCTACACTAAAACATTAAAAATAAATGAAGTTCATTTTAATAATATATTTTTACTTAACCCTGTATATCCAAAATATTTTACATTTTTTGGTACTCAGTCTTCAGAATCTGGTGTGTATTTCATTTACACTTACAGCATGTTTCAGAATGTTTTTAAATAAAGTGGCTCAAGAAGTAAACAGTAAAGAACTTAAATTTTATTGAGACAAAATATTGTCTCCAATATTAAAACTATTGAGACAATATTTAAAACTATTAAGACAATATAAAGTTATGTTTATCTTCAAAATTAAAACTATTGAGACACTGTAAAACTAATTTTAACTAGCCACATTTGAAATGCTTAGTAATCACATATGGCTAGTGGCACCATATTGGAGTGCATAGATCTAGAATACTAGTACTTTAAATGGAAGAGAACATTAAAGGTCATTTGATTTTTACCAAAATATACTTCTAATTTTTGTCATGAGAAAATTGTGCCCCAGAGGACTAAATGTCTGACTCAGGTCAAATAGTAAGTTCTCTTTTTGGTGTACCAGGTGGTCTCAGAATTTTTCCATTTATTGGACATCTTTGATTACTGTCACACATACGACCATAAGTGACCTTAGTGAAATATATTGGAAGATGTGATAAAATTTTGCCAGCAGTTGAAAAACATTTAAGGCATGAGCTTGCTTTTGAGAACAAAAACAAATAAACATTTGTAAAGGATCATTATCCTTGCAAAAGAATGACCATTTGGTTTTCAAGAGAAGATACGTCATCTGTCAGATTCCTTATTTTGAAGAGTGGGTACATACTTCATAGATCTTAGTAAAGCCAAGATGACAACTGAGAAAGCATTTTAATTTAATGTGGGTTAAATTACATCCAAAATAAAATATATGTAAATATATTGTGGGTTAAAATACATCAAAAAATAGAAAATTATGATCTATATCCATATAATTTGTAATCCCTAAACTGTTTTTGCATAAAACAGACTCAGAGTGTTTAGTTCATAGTGACCATTCTGTAGATGTTTATTGAATGACTTGAGGTAAACATGTTCAATCTAAGCTTGAAGTGGAGACCTTCTGTTCATAACAGAAGAAAAGAAAGCCAGGCAATTTCAAAGGAAGCTACTGGTAAAGATGGGATAAAGAAATAAGAGTGATATGACAATACCTACAGTCAGAAGACTGATGGCATATATGAATATGGCTATCAGTTTCTCAGTATAGAAACTAAATTTTCTCACGAAATATTTTTCCTAAACCATATATTTCTGGTTAGCTTTATTTATTAGGATTTCTCAGAATTTTACAAACATGAACACTCTGGTTATTTGTTAATGGTTTATACCATTAACTAAGTGGCTGTAATTCCTTAGGAGAAAAAGCCTCTGCTCTATACAGATTTTTTTAATTGCCTAGTGACTTACTCAAATTAAGATTTAATTAATAAATGAACAAACACAAATGCATGACTAAATGAGTCAAAAGATTCAAGTTTTCATCAACATTATTATACTCAACTCTAATGCTATTCAGAAATCATGAGGATATACACGTAAGTGTAGTTGGATATACAATATTGCTATAAATTGCAAATAAATAACCCAGTGGAGGTTGGACATGACTTTTCTCCAAATTATTCTTTCCCCTCCTCACATCTCCACAGACCCAGGAAATTACCAAAAAAGGAAGAAATAACAGCAGCTAAGAAATACGTTGTACCTATTACATACCAGGCACCCTTTTAAGCCTTTTTCATATATTAGCTCATAACAACCCTATGAGGTAAATATTATTTTTATCTTCATCTTACTGATGCAGAAATGGAGGCATAGAGAGATTAATGTCACTGTCCAATGTCACTGATCCAAGGTTGTAAGTGACAGATGGGGCTGGAACTCACTGGGCCACCAGCCCCAGAGCCCAGGTTTAGCAATGCTATGCTCAGAGACAGAACAGGGGGAAAAATTAACACAGTTGCCTACTCACTTTTCATTTAGTTTATTTGTTCAGTTCTTCCATTTTTCTAAATCTCTTAAAAGATCAAAAATTTGTTTACTTCCTACTTATACTCTCATTCCAACCTCTATTCTTTCTTTCCTGGCCCATGTGCAGTAGATCAAATGCATGTCAAGGTCATTTCAGCACTCATGAAGCAAAGATGTAGAACAGATTGCCTTCAGAGTGAAAGTGGAAAAGTCTAGCATTAAAGGATCATCTTCAGCTCCCAGGAAAAAAAAAATGAAAAACATTTACAGAGCCAAGGAAATTCAAACTTGTTGCAAGTCTGACATTAGAAGAAAGATGTTTTTAAGTACATATTTTTTAATGTTTCTGACATTTCATCTTTTAAAACCTCACATGGCAGTCCCAGAACAGTGTATCTCCTCCACCTTCATGTGAGTGGTCATTTGTATGAATGCCCACACGTTACTCACCAGTCTTTATCTGTAAGCCTGATCATGCCAAAAACACACTTTGCCTTTAACTTCTCAAGCTCAGGATGCAGATTGTTGGGTTTGCTTCCACAGGGGAAAAAAGTTCCTTAGAACCAAAGGAAAACACAGCGAAACAGACAGCCCTGTATGTTTGGAGACTCAAGAGAGAAGTGAGAGAAAGACACAGAAAAGATGACTTTATTATCCCTTCTTAAAAACACTGAGTGCCACTCCACATCTCGCGGGGGTGGGGTCTGAAACCTTCCTGTGATTTTTCAAGGAGATTGTTGACCTCGCCATTCATTTCCTTATTCCCCTTACTGAGTCACTACACAAGTCCTCTAGCACTGCCTGCAGATCGTTACCCACTTGGCCCTTCTTCCATCTCAGACTAGAGGGAACCAACTCTTGGCCCATGGAGGGTGGGAATGGTGGAATCAAGATATGGCACATCTGCCCCATACATTCTGAAAAGCACTTGGCATGATGTGTCTGGCCAGGAGACCTGGTCTTCAAACTTTCAGAAGGAAGCAGTACACATGAATTAATGTAAAGGCAAAAACTTGGCCAGTTGAAATGAAAAATGATATGGATTTCCTCTGGGAAAATTTCCTTTGCTAACTTCCCATCAACTCTGATCCTTGGGGAAAGAGGAGTGTATCTAACATGTTGAACAGTCATCCCTTGATACCCACAGGGAATTTGTTCCATGATACCCCCTTTCCCCCAAAGATACCAAAATCTGAGAATGTTCAAGTTTCTTATATAAAATGGTGTAATATTTGCATATCCTCCATACTTTTAAATCACCTCTAGATACTTATACCTAATATTATAGTTGTTCTAGCATATTGACTTTTTATTTATATTATTTTTATTTGTATATTTTTGTTGGGTTTTTTTTTCCTTGAGTATTTTTGAGCCATGGTAGGTGGTAACCCAAGGCTCAGGCAGATGTGGGGGACCATTCTAAATGCATCTTTATTTTTGCTAATTGACCCTTAAAATGTGTTGAGTGGTTGTCAGAGTTCCTTGCCCCTGAATGAAAATTCTAGCAGGCCCAAGATTTTTCTACCTACTTTTAGGTAACTGATAGTTCTAAGAGCACCTTTAAGTTCTAAGGGTCCCTCTAAGTTGCAAACACATACCCCAAAAAATTTTTTTTCTGCTGGGCACTTTCCCTTGTAATTCAAAAAACTTGGGACAGATGGGTCGCTCTTGCTTACTCATGAGCATCCTGTGTGCCCAGGAGTCCATTTTCAGCCTCTGTCTCCTAATTTCTCCTCACCTCTCCAGGAACCCCTTTTGGGTAGGACCCACATTAACCCCATTCACCTCTAGGACACTCATACATCACCTGTCCTGACAGTCCTCTTCCAGGACAGTAGCAGTCTCCAGCCTTTGACCCCACGAAGGTCTTGGGCCTCCTCTCAAGGTTGCAGGCAGGAAGGAGACTGAGTCCACAAAAGTTTGAGACATTTTTGCTGAGTCCAACCTACAGGAAACATATTTCAAAATCTTGTTGGGGATTCCCCTGCAGCAACCCCCTCACAGGCCTGGGATTGGGAGGTGCCTTTCTCCACCCCTTTCACTAGAGGAGCAGGATTCAGCATGACATCGCTCTGTTCATTGACAATTTCTTTACCAATTACCCCATCTTCTTCCCCTTCTTTTCCATTTTTATTGCCTCAAGATGGGTGATGGGGTCAAGAATTACCGAACAAGTTCCCCTTTATACATTTCATTGCACATCTGGCAATGGGGCAGAGAGCAGAGTGATGGGTAGGGGAGGGAGAGTCTGTCTCTTGCTTCTTTGTTATTCATGCCTCTTCAGTAGAAACTGAGGCAGAAAGAGTCCCATGAAAGTGCAAGAGAATTAGTTCCTAAATGTCTTGATGGTCTTCAACTAAGGAGCACATACTTGGCTGCTATCTCTACTAAACTACAGGCTCTTAAATGGGTTAGCCTTTTTGGAAAAAAAAATATATATGTATATATATGCATATATGTATGTGAATACTTTTCAAAATGCACTTACAAGACAAAATTGTTAAAGCACAGCTGAAGCTGCAGCACAGAGAAAAGTGGTTTTCATGCCAGCTCTGACGCCTACCACTGCAAACCACCCAGGAGCTTTCCAGGGACACATACTCCAACTCATTATAGGAAAAACTTCCAAAGAGTTCATTCAGAGGTTCGTGTTTAGTCTCTGCAAGGATTTGCTTTCTCTAATTTGGGGAGCTTAATATAAACTTTTCTATGGGATTCATTGCTCCTAAAGATGCATTCTCTTAAAATTAAATGACATTTATTCTTATATTTTTTAAGTTGGAGGTTTATTGAGGGAGCAATTGATGAAGCATTTAGAACATCTCTATTTAAAACTTGTAAATGCCTGTAGACCTGCTCTGACCACACCCCGAACAGGAAAACAAGAGAAAGAATGTGCGTTCAGGACTTTTTCAGGGAATCTCTGTAAATCAAGACAGTTGAGAGAAAAAGGGAGGGTTGGCATAAACTTCAGATTTCTGTTTCACATGTGCAGCTACACTTTGCTACATTTGCAAAACAGCAATGTCCAGGTTTTATGTGACTACAAAATATACTGATGCACTCAGAAATAAATACATTTAGATCAACCATTCCAGTATTGATGAGGGAGTTGCAAGAGTGAGTAGCCATGTCTGCTTTTTTGATTTGCATTAAAGCCTGAAATGGCGAAGTCTCTGTTCTTGACTATGGATAAATATGCCAGCTGGAACCAACCAGGAGAATGATCTCCCTTGGTGCCTATAAGATTCACATTAGCCCTGGAAAGATGATTGCTTTGATTTGTGAGGACATTCCATTGTGGCAGGCAAGAGAATTAGCCAGCCATTTAAGATTTTAGGCCCCACTGTCATCTTCCCTTCAGGAAATAGTTAAGCCACAGTGACTACTTCTGTATAAAACAAAGCATTTGAAGATTGTAACACTATTCCAGACAATCATTTCCGTGACTCTTAACGTGCCAGGTCCCTAGAGCAACATCACCCCCTTGCTTCTGAGCCCTCTAGCTCACCATCTCCATGGCAGCTTCACCAGAGGCACAGCTGTTCCAAAAAGCAAAGATCTCTGCAATAAGCACATGCCATCATCGTCAAGCTTCGCAGATGGCAACTACCCAATCCACGATCCACAGGGTTTTCCGCAATAACATTTCTCCTCCATTGAAAACACTTGCCAATCCAAGAAAGCCCACTCAAAGCGAGACTGCCAGGGCTTTCCTGTCTTATGTGCCTGGTACCTCTGACAGGGAGAGTTGAGGATCTGCAGATTCACAAACAGCCTGTGAGAGAATCAATCAATTTAGACCACAGATATATTGCTACTTGGAGCACTCAGCCTGAGTATGACACAACCACTCACCCAGAAGAAGCTTGTCTTCCTGAACTGAAGTAACTCAGCCAACAGATTAAATCCATTCATTCATTGCTGGGAGATTGTCTCATATGCCCTGAGTTACTCATTGATAGCACCATCTCCAATTGATTAATTCTTCACAATGATATCTTGCTTTTGACATGGCTCAGCAACTGTTACCAGCATAAGCCGGGCAAAGGGCTGGGGGGCAGACCTGCAGTTTACCAGACACTGACACACTGTGCATGGATCTCGGCAGTGAGGCAGCAGCTGATGGCAGGAAACACAGCTTGCAGGTCAGCACTTTTTCAATGTCTGAGGAGGGTCTCGTGTAAATAAGATAACATTTGTGTTTGCATTTCGATTCTAAAGCAAATCATGGGGAAGTGCCATCATTCAGAGATTAAAAAAAGCAGGAGCAGCTGAAAATACCTCTTGGCTCACATAAGAACTGGCTTTGGAAATTCAGAGTCTGAGGGTTCTGTAAGTCAAAATATTTCAGAAGTGAAATTCAGTGGTTCAGAACAAAGGAAAGTGTCACTATTAGAACATTATTGGAGCTACTTGAGGTAAACTGATACCACGGAAACACCACTAGCCAGAGGCAGGAAATTTGGGGTCTTAGTCCTGGTTTGGCCTCCAGTTAGCTGTGTGACCTTGAACAAGTCACTTACCCTTTCTGCATTTTTGTTAGGTGATTTCTAAGATCCTTTTCAGGCCCCTAGCTCCGTGATTAAAGTTAGAGCCCCTGTCTTAGCACCTTTCCAAGTCTCACTAGAAAGGTTCAAGGTCTTGCATCCTCACTTACAAGCCCTTCTCGCCACCTTTCTCCTTCTAGCACCACTGAGCCAACCTAGCAAGGAACTGTGCCCTTAGCTTTCTCCCCGAGCCACATTCTTAAGACTAGTGAAGGTCATTGTGAGATCCAGCATCTGTCTATCTTCATTTCAGATGAATGGCTGAGAAGACAGTGGGTGGAGGAGGCTGGAACAGCAGCACAGTTGGCCTCCGTCCACAGCTGTAGCCTGATCTCCTTCTGGGATTCCTATACGCAGCGGACCCTGTCTCCAAATATCATGGTCCTCTGCTCCCAAAATGCTGTTATGCAGTATTCACCTGGTTCTTATACAGACTTCAGTGTAAATTTTAACAATAATAGCTATGATAGCATGTTATTTAAGCCAAAATATTATGCAGAAATAAATATTGAAAAAAAATTGATCTGAAAATTAAATTTAAAAAATAAGGAAAAACCAAAAAGTTCTATTGACATGCCATCAAATAACTAATTCACTAGTTCAACACACACTTTGCTTTAACATCCCCTGCAAAAATGTGCTTTTTACTACAGTGAAAATTATGCCTTTGCATGGTATACTTGGCTTCAGAAAATGTGTACCAAATTGTAAAGAGCGTTTCCTTTTTCATGCTGTATTTGCATTACACTAGCATATAGGTTCATTTTATAAGTTAGTGACTTTTGTTTTTACAGTAAAATTACTTCCCAGTGCTCAGGCTAATAATTTGCAGCTACCCTATATTTTTTCCATGCTATTGTCCTCCTTAGTGAAACAATCACCATCCCTGTTCATTCTGCCTTTTAAATATCTCTCCATGTGCCATTTCCCTCTGCCACTACTATAATTCAAGCCCTTATCAGCTCTTATCTCCCTGTGTCTGGTCCTACCATCCTCCAGTCTGTGCTCATCCTGCTTCCTGGGTAATCATTCATAGAAATCTGTTTTTGTCAGTGTTTTGCTCCAAACATTTTTATTATCTATGGGTTACAATCTCCATCTGCCTAATCTAACAAAATCATTAAGCATTTGGCCTCTGCATCTTTCTCCCTGCCTCTTCCCCACTCCCATCTGGCTCTTTACACAGAAGCATTTTAAGCCACTTGTGGTTCCAGGTACACCGTCCTCCCATGCTTCTCCCTCCACCTGCCAAATCCTATGTATCCTTCAAGCACATCTCATCTGCTGTATTCTCTGAGATATTTTCTCTGCTCCTCCAAGCAGAATCTGGTGTTTCTTTTACAATTATCTACTTTCAAATAGCTATCTCTGATACAATTTCTTGAGAAATCGCCAGTTACCCCCTTAAATTTATAGATCCTCAAAGGCTTGGACTGTGTGACTTTTTACCTTTATGTTCTAAAACCCAGCACAGTTTATGGCATACAGTTAGATTTAATAAACGTCAGTTGGATGAGTAAATGAATATGTTGAATTTTAAGGGAAACCAACTACAGTAATGGAAGGTAAAGGAGAATGTATTGCAATGTATATTTGTATTTTGGCTGCTAATGAAAATAATAAATATATCTTCCAATGATATTCAGCCTGGACCAAGGCACTAACAAACAATTCTCTGTATAGCCAGTTTCTCCAGAACGATAGTATGACCCTACCCCTGTGTGAAAGAGGAACACAGTGTTAAATTGGTCCCCCATCACAAGAGGAGAGGGAGACTAATGCCTTGTAGAAATGGACTGATTTATTATTTATCATTATTGATATTGTACTATGCAGCAGAAATGGAATTAAAAGCATCAGAGAAAGATGAAATAGCGGAAACAGCAGCAAAGGAAAATGTCACAGAGAAAGATTCTAACGTCTAACTGTGCATAAATTTCTGCAAATGCCCTGCTAATATCATAAAACCAAATGCCCAGAAACCACTGAAGACTTAAATGCAGCTTTTCGTTTTTGTTTTATACCATCTACACGACCTTTACTATTTTATATTAACCCATGATAAATAAAGATGACCCTACTGTGAGATAATGTAGGTTTGAGAAAACTGCATGACTTTGGAGTCAGACAGATCTGGACCCAAATCTTGGTCTGGCCACTTACTTACTAGCTGTCACCAATTCACTTAATATCTCTGGGCCTCAGTTTCCTCTTCATGAAAATTGTCAAAATAGAACCTACCTCATAGGTTTGTTGTGAAGGCTAAATGAATCGATATGTATATATATATATATAAAGTTCCTAGCTTGGTGCCTGACACTTAAGAAATTATAAATGTTACTTCTCTCCCCACCCCACACACCACTTCTTCATGAGAATGATATTGGTCAGACACATCATGGTATATATTGATGAAATTGAAATTTCTAGATATAAAAATATCTGCAAGGTATCTTTGTCAGTTTCCAAGATGTAGTGTCGAGGCCTGAGAGCTCTAGATTGTATCCTAAACCATCTGCCTGTGGGGATGAAAACTGACATCACCTTGCTCGTCTTCAATTACCAGAACTACTTTAGTTCCTGAGCAGAATGGCTTGCTTGCTTGTAGTTATTTATTTTTTCACTAATTGATCATTTGAGTGTTACTGAGTTACTTAGCTATAGTCTTTATGACCATGATCTCATATAAAATTATGAATGTCCTTACAACCTTATTTCCAGAGAAACCTCTGAGGTTATCAGCATCACCACTAGTCAGCCCATCAGTAAATTGGCAACCCATTAGTGTCAATTCCTAGAAAGTTGTAATTATGCCCTTTCTACACATGGCTCTGTATTGGTTATATTCAACAGATAGTGGCCCTGCCAGTAACCTTAGTGTTTTGAGCATAATGACCCATAGACAACTGCTCTATGAATAAAGCAGCAATTTCAGATTTCTAGGTCTTGATGATCTTTTTGTGTTTATAAGTTGAACCTCAGGGGACAATTTGGAAGAAAAATTTTGGAAATATCCACTGCTATTAGGTTGGTGCAAAATAAATTGCCATCATGGCAGAAACTGCCATTTCTTTTGCACCAAACTAATCTCCAGGTTTGCAGCAAATGGGACACACACACACACACACACACACACACACAGAGAGAGAGAGAGAGAGAGAGAGAGAGAGAAAGTGAGAGAGAGAACCTACTAGGATACCTTTTAAAATACAGAAATATCTAACTCACTCACCAGCTTCTTCTGTGGTGGTCCTCACTGCAAGTTTTTCCCCCACTTTGGGGAAAAATTTTCAGGGAAAACTTCTGGAGAAAAGAAAATATATTGCAGCTGAAGTGATTTAGCCAGATTCTCCTCCCCACATCTCTCCAGGACACAATTGTGGTTATCAGTTAGGACACTCTTCACTTTGTTTGGATAATTCTGAGTGTGCAAGGATGCTTAGAAGACAGTTCTTCCTCCTCGCTCCATAGGCTTCCCAAGGAGCACACACCAGGACATCAGGATGAGAGTCAAGCCAGGTTCCCTGTGCACACACATACACATGCATACACACATGCACACACACACCACCACCACCACCAATCTCCAGCCTTGGCTCATCACCCAGAATGACTGGATAGAGTTAGATGTAGAATTAGATGTCTAGGAATTTCCAGGATTATTCTAGGCAGAGGTATCAAACTGGTGCCACCTGTGACTCTGCCTGCCTACAAATGAAATGTGTTTGGTCTTCAGAATGCTTCTGATAAAGTTCAGTTAGGAGCCCACATTTAAATATGGCAAGGTTTTACATAGAAACCTGAATTTTCAATTTGGAAAATCTGGAAGCTGCAGCAATCCTGGGCCACATTTCCTTATGGTGACACTTGGTTCAGCCCTTTTGAGGCAAAGCACGTCCTCTGCAGTTCACTGCAGCCTTGCAATCCCAAATTTATGGACAGTTTCAGGGCAGCAGTACTTCTTTCACACACAGTGCTAAGATCAATGTTTTGAATGTTCCTATTAGATCTCATTTAAAAAAAAACCATTAGTAAAATCATACAGGGAAACAATACGTGTGCCTATGAGCCAACAACATGCACAGTTAACACACTGTCTCGTATCTAATGTTCGCAGCAGGGAGGAACAATTAGTAGATTTATAGACCAGAGTTCCATCAAAATTTTTTTGTCAAACAAATCACTCATTTCTATAAATTAAGACTTATGCCTTAATCAGGGCTGTCAGCACAAGAAAGTATTGGCTGCACTTACACTCCTGCTGTGCAACAAGAACAGTGGAATGAATTTTTAAAAGAAAAATAATCCCATAATAGTACTGCCACTGTTATTTAAATAGGAGTTAGAAAATAGGACTTAGAAATCAAAGTTTAAGCATGAACTCAATGGGTTAAAAAGCATATCTTCCTTGTTAAAAAACTGAGATAAAAATATATGTAGTTGGATACATAAATACTTGCATACACAAGCACATACATGCATGCATATGTGGAAGTATGTGTGCCTGTGCACATCTGTATACCAAGTGTGCCCATGCACCTATGTAGGAACATAAACCTATAACATGTTCATATATGCATATCATATGTGTCAGACATTTGTACCTAAAGCAGTACTTCGACATGCATGCACATCTGTGCTTTTATCTAGCATAAATGCATGACTGCACGCATACATACATGTTACTCAGTACCATCAACTTTATGTAATAGTAGTTAGCCATGTCTCAGCAGGGATGATTGAAATTTCTCATCATGGGTCTCCTGATTACTCCTAGAAATGAAACTGTAGTTGCAGCTTACCTCATAAGAGAAAGAACAACTCAAAAAAAAAAAATGTGTGCATCATTTTTTTTGTTAAGTGAACCTAAGGCTCTCTAATATCTGGAAAAATTAAATATGCCCCTACAAGTAAGGCAGTTCCTAATTTTAGGAATAGTATATCCCTAGCATCCAAGCCCTATGATAGAACAACACCTTTGGGGCCAGGTAAAATTGTATGTGTCCATCCATACTGAGTGGTAGTAGGTCTCTTCATCTGGTGGGGCATCAAGGAACATGATCAGATAGTAAAGGCACTGTAAGTAAACTGTAGGTCTTTGTTAGACAGCAGAGAGAGGTATTGAAATTTCCCATCCCTAATTTATGTCCCTGACAATAATGTACGTTCTTGGTAGTAAAGCTAGGTCAAGGCCCAACCCTGCCACCTGCTATCTGTGTAACTTTGGACAAATAGCTCAACCTCTCTGTACCTCTAGTTCTCATCTGTAAAATGGAGGTAATTTAGAGAATACCTACCTCTGGGATTAAATGTAATGCAATAATCCTTAGAAAAGTACCTGGTCCATAATAAGCATTCAAAAAAAATGTTACTGTATAGAAGAGAAGGTGAAGGGGCTCAAACACTAGTAAACTTTGTGCCAAGAATCTTAGAGAGCTTTACATATTTTATTTAACCTTTACAATTATCACTCTTTTATATCTAAGAAACTGAATTAGAGAGCAGTCTAGGAACCATGTCAGAGGTCACACATGGAGTAAATGGCAGGGCTGGAGGGAAAACTCTTGTCACTCTCATCAAAGCCCAGATTCTTTCTCCAGTTTCTCAAACCAGTTTCTAGCTATGGTCTGAACACCCACCTGGGCTGTAGTTGGAGTGCAGATCCATAGGCCCCTCCCCAGATCTACTCAATCACAGTTTCTAGGGGTAGGCAGAGAATTGTCACTTCTATCAGGCTTCCTGAGCAATTCGTTCTAAAGCCAGAGTTTCAAAACGTATGCCCAGCAACCCCAGAGTGCCTGCCCGAGGAAAACAGAACCCAAGACAATGCACACATTCTAAGTGGTATCTTATCCCTGCAGCGTCTTGAAATTTTCTCATATTAATTGTATGCAGGGGTACTGGAGGTAGAACATTCTCTTCAGTCAAACTAACTTTACCTATTTCTTGTTTACTCTGCCTTGAGAATCTCCCCACTGAACACATAAGTGCAATTGTGTGTGCTTGATCCTTGGAGGATCCTTCTTAAGAGACCTGTGCTGTGTGTTGATACATGCAATAAAGATGACCACTGGATCCTTACAGCCCTGGTCCAAATCCCAAAATACAATGATAGAAAATACAAGTAGGTTTTTACTTAGTCATGCCTTACTTGTGATCTTGATGGAGGTTTAATCCTAGCAGCCAACATTGCTATCTGGGGAAGTCTGCTGCCTTTTGATTATTATAATAATGGCTTCTTTGCTCATGAAACATCCCCGACCTGATGTGTGACCTACACACGGTGGTGCAGGCATTCTCTTACATTTTTAGCATAAGCCGTAATTCTAGAATCATCTACTAGAAAAAGGAAGTGCTTCCTTTCTTTTTTAAAGAAAAAAAATTATTTTTTTTTGTTTGTTTGTTTGTTTTTTTGTTTTTTTTTTTTTATTATACTCTAAGTTTTAGGGTACATGTGCACATTGTGCAGGTTAGTTACATATGTATACATGTGCCATGCTGGTGCGCTGCACCCACTAATGTGTCATCTAGCATTAGGTATATCTCCCAATGCTATCCCTCCCCCCTCCCCCGACCCCACCACAGTCCCCAGAGTGTGATATTCCCCTTCCTGTGTCCATGTGATCTCATTGTTCAATTCCCACCTATGAGTGAGAATATGCGGTGTTTGGTTTTTTGTTCTTGCGATAGTTTACTGAGAATGATGGTTTCCAATTTCATCCATGTCCCTACAAAGGATATGAACTCATCATTTTTTATGGCTGCATAGTATTCCATGGTGTATATGTGCCACATTTTCTTAATCCAGTCTATCATTGTTGGACATTTGGGTTGGTTCCAAGTCTTTGCTATTGTGAATAGTGCCGCAATAAACATACGTGTGCATGTGTCTTTATAGCAGCATGATTTATAGTCCTTTGGGTATATACCCAGTAATGGGATGGCTGGGTCAAATGGTATTTCTAGTTCTAGATCCCTGAGGAATCGCCACACTGACTTCCACAATGGTTGAACTAGTTTACAGTCCCACCAACAGTGTAAAAGTGTTCCTGTTTCTCCACATCCTCTCCAGCACCTGTTGTTTCCTGACTTTTTAATGATTGCCATTCTAACTGGTGTGAGATGATATCTCATAGTGGTTTTGATTTGCATTTCTCTGATGGCCAGTGATGATGAGCATTTCTTCATGTGTTTTTTGGCTGCATAAATGTCTTCTTTTGAGAAGTGTCTGTTCATGTCCTTCGCAGAAAAAAAATTCTTTAAAAATCTTAGATACTGAAATAAGTCCTTGAATGAGCAGATCAAAAGATAAGTTTTGAAAGAATTACCATTGGTTTTCTCAGATGCATAATTTTACTGAGGGAAGAATTCTTTGGTGTCATAAAATTAACTACCATAAGAAAAAGGATAAGACAACAAGGCTACATTTCATAGTTTCTTTGGGTGCATTGCAGCTAAGATCTGCAACACAGAACTAAGAGTTGGTAACTGCTAAGCAGAATGATCTGCCACCAAAGTTAAGAGTATAGACAATGTGTTCTGGGAGCTGATAATTGGCAGGAGGTAATAATGGTAGGAACTCTATTTTTCTTTGTTTTTATTTTCCTATCTTGATGAACAATTACAGTTATGGAACATATGGAACCATAGCTTTGCTCTTATAATGTATATAGGCTAATTTCCTACAGAGACATATGTTTTTTGCTTCCAAGGCATATTGTGGGGACTTTGACTTACATTGATGCATAGCTATGCTTATAATATGCCCATTTTCTACTTCCAGGGCTGTCTCAGTGCCTAAATATTCAGCTTCCCCTTAGAGAAACCCTGTCTCTAAAAATATAACCATAAAATAGAAAAATATACTCACTTATGATGCTGGAATTCCCATCAAAGCTTTGAAGGAAAAATGTTCAAACAGTCTCAGAAATCCCAATTAGCCCTCATGCTACCTGTGCCCCCTGACCCTCTCCAGGAGATTTTCTCTTAAAGGGAGTGGGAGAAAACCAAAGGGGACCTGGGACTTAGTCTCTAGTGGGTTAATGAACAGGATCCACAAAGGTAATGTTCTCAAGGACCCTCACTTCTTTTTGCCAGGCTTGCAGATTCCTGGGGCAAGAAAGAGTCTGCTCTCCCTGAGAGTTCCCTGAATTGAAGATGCTCCCTTGGTATCCATGGAGACTCAGGCAGCTCAGCCCCAGATGAGCAAGTTATTTGTGACTTCGAGATTTATGGATTTGTTCACTCTGCACCATACTTACATTATTGACAAGGCATCTACGTTACAGGAAACTGCCGACATAGTCTCAGGCAGCTTTCTTCATGGCAAAATAATATAAAATATTTGCAGGCCGGACAAAAATAAACATTGAAGATCTATTCAGCAGTACCTACTATTTAGGACATGGGCCATGTTTGTGGCTGCAGATTTTTTAAGAATACAAGTTCAAAATGTGCATTGATTGTTTGCTACTGGGAAGCACTGGCAAAATGTTAAACAAAGCATGCACCAATCAAAGGAGGGGACCCAGGATCTCTATCATGGACAAATATTTAGGGTTATTTGTCTTAAATATTTATGGAGTTTAAAAAGTGGGGGATGGGGCTCACTATAAACATCAGTAATCATCCCAAAAAGCAGCAGCATGATCCTTTAAAAAGAAAGAAAAATTCAGAAACTACGTGAGCCACATGTTAAAATGACTTTCTGTTGTGGAAAGGTCACAGAATATATTAACAATAACTAGGGAGAGAAAACATCATAAAACACTCTGAAGATACCTAGAAGACCTCATCAGAAGTTAATCTGGAAGTCTTTCATTAATTAAACACAGCTATTTTACCAAAAGATGTTGGTGATTTAGCATAAGATTTATTAATGCCTATTTTGAGCTAGGATGACATTGCCCCTCCTCTGAAGGAATTTAGGTTTGAACAGATGTAAAACAGATGTGTACAAAATAGCAGTTACTTTGCCAAGTGCTGTTTCTTAAGAACAGATCTCATTTGCCAGATCTACTAAAAGCTTTGTCTACATAAGGGATTTGCATAGCTTTCCTGAGTTTAGAAAGAGACAGAGAAAGGAACCATCACTCTTCAGCTTGTGGAGGAAATACTAAAACCTTAACCCCCATGTTAAATTCCAGGAACTCCCTATGGACTTGTTTAGGGAATTTGGCCTTTTGTACATATATTGGAGAATATTAGGATGAAATGCCTCTGTCTTAGATTTTGCATTCCTAATACTAGAAAATTGCTAGTTTTTCAGTTTTAAAATTTTAAGAATTTTCCTAATTCTGTGTTTATTGTGTACATGTTTAGTCACTCATGATAATCCAACTCTAAACGATACCTTTTCAGTTCTTCTCAATTCTTCATTTTTAAGCTTCACAAGCCCCCGCCAGAACAACTGGCTTATTCACACCCCCACCACTGCCAGCTTCAGGAACCATTCCACACAGGTGGCCCCTCTTCTTAGGGAGGTGCTGAGCATGGTTCTAAAAGAGAAACAAGGAAACAGAAAATGATCTTAAAAGGTACCTAATAAGGTGGAGTTGGAAAGAGCAGGAATGAGATTCCTGTCCCATAATAAATGAAACACTTGAGCTCGCTGCTCAGTCTAGGTCTTGTTTCTCTTAGCCTACTCTGTGGTTTTGCCTTGATTCCTTAGCATGATGTATTCCACATAGCATTGATATCAAAAGAGCATAAGTCCCCTTCCCCAGTGTTTTATCCTTTCAAAAAATCAACATGATATCTTCAGATTTTCCCATTTATTTATTCAGTACATTCAAGTGATAACTTTTGCATTTCTTTTATTTCTATAGCATTAGAGATGCAGTCTTGCAAAATAAGCCCCTGACCCCTGAGAAATTACAGTCTGCTCTAGTTAGGAGAAAAAACATCCATGGGTGGAATATTTAAATAATGAAATAAGGCAGTGGTGTTAATCACATGCCTGGAATATTGTGAATAAAAGTGTTCTTTGGAGAAAGGCCGGGGGGTGGTCATGGTGGCAACACTACCCTCAGACCTTTTTTTTTCTTTTAAGAGATGGATCTCACTCCATCTCCCAGGCTGGATTGCAATGGTGCAATCATGGCTCACTGCAGCCTCAATCTTTTGGCTCAAGCAATCCTCTTACCTCAAGCTCCTGAGTAGCTGGGACTACAGGTACACACCACCACACTCAGCTAATCTTTTAGCTTATTTTTTTTTTAAGAGATGGGGTCTCACTATGTTGCCCAGGCTGGTCCCAAACTCCTGGCCTCAAGCGATCCTCCTGCTTGGGCCTCCCAAGTGCTGGGATTACAGGCATGAGCCACACTACACCAGCCTCCACAGACCTTTTACTCTAGGGTACAGTTTGGCTACATCCCTCCCCAGGGGGAAGGAACTTGTGAGGCCAAGAAGTCGCCGACATCCCTCCCCAGGGGGAAGGAGCCTGCGAAGCCAAGAAGTCACCCAGACTCCCTAACCCACTTTCTGGAGACAGAGTTAGCAGGATACAAAATTGCCATTGTATGGAAGTCCTGAATTGGCCACACCTTTGCCTTTGGGTTTTTAACAAAAGTCTTTTTCAAACCCAATATTTGTGTACAGTTCAAATGTAATAAAGAGATCAGCTTAAACTCGTGGTTTTTTAAGTTAATAAATACATGAAAAGCAGCCAGCACAGGCTGGTGAAGTATAGGTCCTTCCCCTCCCTTGTTGTTGCATCACTACAAGCGGAGGCATTTGGCAGAATTAATTTTAGCCATCAGATGCTTGTTTTGTTTTAGCTTTTCAGGAAACATAGATCAGATTAGCAAAAGAACTATAGATCAAATTAGTTAAGTAAATGAGGGGGTTCAACAACTTCAACAGATTCATTACACTATTAGTCATCTGCCCTCGTACATTGCTATATAGGTGTCCCTCCATCCAACTGCATATCAAAAATATTCAGGACAAAAAAATCTCAATCCAACAGTAGAAAATAGTACCAATAAAATCTACAGTACAATAACTATTTAGGTAGCATTTACATTATATTAGGTGCTATAAGTAATCTAGAGATGATTTAAAGCAGCAGTTCCCAACCTTTTTGGCACCAGGAACCAGTTGCTTGGAAGAGAATTTTTCCACAAGAGAGGTGGTTGGGGGGACGGTGGTGCTTTCGGGATGAAACTGTTCCACCTCAGATCATCAGGCATTAGTTAGATTCTCACAAGGAATGCACAGCCTAGATCCCTCATATGCACAGTTCACAATAGGGTTCCTGCTCCTATGAGAATCAAATGCTCTGCTGACAGGAGGCGGAGTTCAGGCAGTAATGCTCACTCACCCTCCACCCACCTCCTGCTGTGTGGCCCAGATCCTAACAGACCATGGACTGGTACCAGTCGGTGGCCCAGGTTTAAAATATACAAAAGGATGTGCATAGATTATATGCAGATTCTACACCATTTTATATAAGGAACTTGGGCATCCTCAGATTTTGATAGGGGGCAGTGTCCTGGTACCAATCCCCCACGAATACTGGATACGGAAGGACAACTGTGCTAAATGCTAAAGGAGGGGGAGGAATGGAGGAGTTTGGAAAGAACTGTCTCAGCTGGGCTTGTTGCAGTTATTATTGTCAATTTTCTCATCACCACTATCATTTTCCACCACTGTCCAGCCTTCCCAGTTCCTCCCACAGTGGTCCTTGGGGTGCTCTGTGGACCTGTATGACTTCATGGAGCACCGTGAAACCTACTGGAGCAAGAACAGAAGAGCTAGGTTCAAGTCCTAGTTCTGCCACTTACTACTGGCTCTTTCTGAGACTTTGAGAGAACTATAGCCTTTCTGAAAGTTAGGTAGCCTGCTGTAAAATGGGCTCAAATGTGTTCAAGAACATTGGAAACTAAATCAAATATAATGGATGGTGATGATGGTGATAAAATTATAATAGCCACTGTTATAAAAAAAAGTGTGTTAGAACAATTCTTGGCCAAATCTATCATTTTCTACCAGTGCTATTCCTACTCACACATCCCACCTTCATTGCCACCTGCCATGAGCATGGAATATAATAATAGGTGCAGACAGGTGACTAGCTATCATTATAGTTAACCTTTAGTGAGATCAGTGATTTAAAATGGTACTTTACACCTCTTCATTTCTCTTATTAATTTGACACTTATTTTCTGGAAAGCCAAAACAAGTGGTAGCATCTGGAAGCTGCATTAAACTCCTCAAAAGGTCCCTTCCTAGGAGAAGCAAGTGATTTTGTATTCTTAGCTCTGAAAAGAAGGCAGGGAAAAGGAAACTAACATTTTTGGAGAACTTGCTAAAAGATACATTGTATTAGTCTATCAGGCTGCTATCATCAAATAACATAGACCTGGTGGCTTAAAGAACAGACATTTATTTCTCACAGTTCGGGAGTCTGGGAAGTCCAAGATCAGGATGGCTGCATGGTTGACTTCTAGTGAGATACCTCTTCCTGGCTTGAAGATGGCTGCTGTCTCTCTGTGTCCTCAGTGGTGAGATGAGAGAGTGAACTCCAGTCTTTTTCTTATAAGAACACTAATCCTATCATGGGCACCCCAACCTCATAACCACATCTAAACCTAATTACCTCCCCAAACCCCCACCTTCTAATATCATTATATTGGGGTTTAAGCTTTCAACATATGAATTTGGGGGAACAGAAACATTTAGCACACAACACATGTACAGGGAAAAATTGTTATAATAGTGAAAAATATTGTAAATAACCTAAAGGTTTCTCTGTTGGGGAAAGGACGAATAAACTATAGCATATTCTTAGATGGACTAGTTTTTTTTGTAGCAGTTAACAAGAATTAAATACATAACGAATTAAATCTGAAAACAAGATAAGGAAAAATAAGTAAATTGCAGGATAACACAAATAGCAAGCTTTCTTTCGTATAAAAAATGCTAACACAAAACATTATGTAACTTGTACATTGATTTTTTTGTTACCTGCACACATACACACACACTGATTTGCATGAAAGATACTGGAAGAATTCATATCAAATCAGAGTGGTGGTTGCTGTGTTGGGGATATGAAACTAGTGGTGAGACACAAAAGGAGCTAATGTGGGGGTTTTTATTTGTTTTTTGTTTTGCCTTAATTAAAAAGGCAGGCTTAAATGAAACATCATTCATTCAATAAAAATTTATTCAGAGCCTAGTAAAATTCAGATCCTCCTTTCTATGCTGGGGAATCTTGGGGCAATGCAGGCAGTTCCTGACTTCATGGAGATTACATCCTATTGAATAAGATAAGAAATATAGAATATAATGTCAGGATTCAATTATCAAAAATAAAATGAAAATGAGGCCAAGTAAGGAGTTAGAGAATGACCAGGGACTATTAATTAGGGCAGGCAATCAAGGAGGGCTTATCTGAGAAAGTGACATTGGACAGAGACCTAAATATCATTAAGCATTGACACTTAGTGATGGAGACACCGCAGTTTGGTTTACTATATTATTCCCTGTACCTTTGTAGCATTTAAAAATCTCTCTTTCCGCCCACCAAAAAAAATTCTGCTTCAGAGTAGCATGAGATTTTTAAAGAGGTACCAAACCCAGATGAAGCATTTAGGGATTGCAAACTTTTGAATCAATGATTGGGGTTAGGAGGAATGTGTATAGAAAAACATCACATAAAGTAATGACTTGGTTTTATAAGTGGGAAACAAAAAATGCAAATTATTTTTTAAAATACCAACTCCAGAATTCAACAAAATCTTCCTGATAGGTAAGGATTCAGGAAAAATCACAGTACTTCTGAAAGGTGTGAGAATAGAGGTGTCAAACCTTCACCAGGAGGGATAAGATTTTTAATTTTATCAAAAGGGAATGTGACTCTTTTAAAAAGAAGTTTGAGAATCTGCTCCAGAAGGGAAAATAAATCGTTTAAATGAATTGTTTAAGCCAGGCACAGTGGCTCATGTCTGTAATCCCAGCACTTCGAGAGGCTGAGGCAGGAGGATTGCTTGAGCCCAGGAGTTTCAGACCACCCTGGGCAACACAGCAAGACCCCATCTCTATTTTTTCATTTAAAAAAAAAAACAAACTGTTTAAAGAGTTAGAAGACCCAATCTCAGCACTGACATAGTAAATATTATCCCATTCAACCAACATGAGATGCTGGGTTTCTTATCTATCTCCTTCGTATGAAGTGAATGGGATGGGTTAATATAATCATGAACAACTAAATAGCTTCAACTTTATCATGATCACCAATAGCCTACTTTTTATTAAGGATTTCTTTGAGCCAGAAATAGGGATGAATGCTTTATATTCATTATCTTATTTGGTTGAGAGAATTATTGAGTAAATAATCTCTAAGTCTCTTTCAGCTTTATCAGCCTAGTAAGGAAACAAGAAGAAAGCACAAGAGACTGCTACATGAGCTGTGGTTTCCATCTGCAGGGGCAAAATGGAAGACAAATGTCAGGCTCAGCTCAGTCCCCCTTATTCCTTTTGCCCTTTCATGTATCCTTACCTTGTTGAGCAGCTTACCTCATTTGTATCTCTTTTATTTTCACCCTAAACTCATAGCAAGGAATTCTTGTTGCAAGGACAAATATTTATTACAAATTCTGTTTTTTGTTCTAAACACAAAGAGCTGAAAATTATGTTCTGTGAGCCAGAGGAATGGGTAGGGTTATGATCTTATAAAATGCATGACTGCCCCATTGCTCTTGTTACTATATGCTTTAGATAAAATCCATTAGATTGTCCGGGAAGGCATGTGAACACACCAGTCCTAGGTGAATTTCAGTAATTTATTGTTGGGACATCAACCCAGGCTCCGGGTCAAAACATCAAGCCTCTTTTCTGTAGCTAAGAGTGAGTCTGTCACCTTTTCAGAGCTTATTCATACCACCACTTTGAGCCATCCCCTCCTCCCCATCCCCCAACATACCAGTTATGACCTGCTTTCAAACCAACTAAAGGTGAATTATGCAGTATTTATTGGAAGATGAGCAACCAGAGATTCTTCTAAACAAATTACTTACAATCCTTAAGGTTTTTAATCAGGCTTCTTCACGTGCTTTCTGGAGAAACAGATAGTCAGAATGGTCAGAAATGATAAAAACCTTAAATAGACTGGAAGTCAAACAGGTTGATGTAAAATGATGCCAGCATAATAAGAGCTAAGCATGCTCATGTCAGTGTTTGGTCTCCAGTTATCATTGAGCTGTTTACCTTATAATGTGTTTATGCTCTTCCTGAGGACTATATATTTAGGCACATTATTTAAAATGCTTCTTTCTTTTTGAAAATGCAGGTGTAAGAGAGTATGTTTCTATTTGTTTTCCTCTTCCCCACCCCTCCCAGAGCAAAGTAAAGGATTCCCTGCTTTGCTGTGTTCTGCAGCTTGACCTTTAAACCAGACTTTGTGTTTCCATCAGAGCCCTGTTCTCTAGTTTCTTCTGGCTCTAGTGTTGTGCTATTTTGTAACAGGGTGACACTTGTACAAGCAGTAGGGATAAGGCTGTCACATGGTGAATGAACTTTTTATGAAATGTTGATGCGTCGACCTACATCCAACAACACTGAAGAAATAGAATATTACAGAAACAGTGGGATGATAGCCAGGGAAAGGAAGGGTATAGTTTGTCACCAGCACATTAATGGGCAAAGAAGGAGCCCAGAAAGCTTAGTGGGGAAAGAATAAAACATATTCTCAGTAAATATATTAAATCCAATATTAGCTGCATATTATCTGGCATAGCGTATAGTGCACATACTGCGTAGCATTGTGCGTTATGTTTATATGCATGTGTATTTATCAAATCTCATTACAGGCTACAAAAAATGTATTATTATCAGTACTTTACTGATGAGGAAGCTGAGATTGTTTATTTCTCAAGATTTTATCTAAGCAAGTATTTGTCAAGTATCAACATCATATCATACATGTAAGTTAAATAGAGCTGTGGTAATTTAGCCTGGCATTCAAATCCTTCTGCAATCTGAATACCACCTATCTTTCTAATACCATTGCCTGTATTGAGTTACACCAGTCAGGAAAATGGAAATCACTCTAGGGATTTCAGAATAAGGAAATTTAATTCAAGAACTTAATTACAAAAATTTTGGGGGAAAATGAACAATTCCTACTTTGCACCATACATTAGCTTGAAATGAGTCATAGATCTCTATGTAAAAGCTAAAAGTATAAAAGTTCTAGAAGAAAACATAGGAGTAAATGCTAGCAACTTTAGGATAAGCAAATATTTTTTAGATAGGACTTAAAAAGCGAACCATTGACAAAGTTGATATGTTGGCCTTTATCAAAATTTAAAACTTTTAAAATTAGCTAGCTGTGGTGGTACGCACCTGTAGTCCCAGCTACCAGGGAGGCTGAGGTAGAGGGGGATTGCTGGAGTCCAGGGTGTCGAGGCTGCAATAAGCCAAGATTGTGTTGCTGCACTCCAGTATGGTCAACAGAGTGAGACTGTCTAAAAATAAATAAATAAAACTTTTGTTCCTTTAAGGACATCTTTAAGAAAATGAAAAGTCAGGCCTCAAGCTGAGAGAAAATATTTGCAATACCTATGTCTAACAAAGAATTTGCATTCAGAACATATAAAGAATTTGCATTCAGAACATACAACTCAGTAAGAAGACAAACAACCCAATTTAAAAATGGGCAAAGCATGTGGGTGACCTGCCTTATGTCACTAGTGGAGCATTGTGGGATGCCTAGTTCAGCTTTTCTTATTTATTTCCTGTTTTTCACTACTACCCACTCCACTCAGCTGAACACAACCACATACACACTTGTATGCACACTCCTCTATTCTGGAAAAATGTGGAGTAAAAGCAAATAAGTAAAAGCTAACATTGACTTGAACATTCACTTTCCAAAATAGATGTACATACTTTTCTTTTTTTTTTTTTTTTTTTTTGTGATGGAGTCGCCCTCTGTTGCCCAGGCTGGAGCGCAGTGGCGCTATCCCGGCTCACTGCAAGCTCCACCTCCTGGGTTCACACCATTCTCCTGCCTCAGCCTCCCGAGTAGCTGGGACTACAGGCGCCTGCCACCACGCCCGGCTAATTTTTTTGTATTTTCAGTAGAGACAGGGTTTCACTATGTTAGCCAGGATGGTCTCGATCTCCTGACCTCGTGATCCACCCATCTCGGCCTCCCAAAGAGATGTACATACTTCTTAGAACATATATAAAAAGAAGCTCAAGCTAGGTGCTGTGGCTTACGCCTGTAATCCCAGCACTTTGGAAGGCTGAGGCAGGCGGATCCCTTGAGGTCAGGAGTTTGAGACCAGCCTGGCCAACATGGCAAAAATCCCATCTCTACTAAAAGTATAAAAATTGGCTGGGCATGATGGTATGCACCTGTAATCCCAGCTATGTGGGAGGCTGAGGCAGGAGAATTGCTTGAACCTGGGAGGCCGAGGTGGGCAGATCACCTGAGGTCAGGAGTTCAAGACCAGCCTGACCAACATGGAGAAACCCCGTCTCTACTAAAAATACAAAACTAGCCGGGCATAGTGGTGCATGCCTGTAATCCCAGCTACTCGAGAGACTGAGGCAGGAAAATCGCTTGAACCCGGGAGGCAGTGGTTGCAGTGAGCCGAGATCGCACCACTGCACTCCAGCCTGGGCAACAAGAGCAAAACTCCGTCTCAAAAAAAAAAAAAAAAAAGATATATGTACATATATATAAAATATATGTACTCTTTTATAATATATTATATATAATATATATATAAATTAGCTGGGTGTGATGGCACGCACCTGTAATCCCAGCCACTTGGGAGGCTGAGGCAGGAGAATTGCTTGAACCTGGGAGGCAGAGGTTGCAGTGAGCTGAGGTCACACCACTGCACTCCAGCCTGGGCGACAGAGCAAGCCTCTGTCTCAAAAAAAAAAAAAAAAAGACTGATGTTGGAAAAAATGTAGAGAAACTAAAACTCTTGTACACTGCTTGTAGAGATGGAAAAACAGTACAGCCATGTTGAAAAAAACTGTTTGGAAGTGACAGGAGGAAGATGGCATAATAGAAAGCCCCAGATCCTCCTTCCTCCATGGAGATACCAACGGACTTAAGAAATGTGTATAGACCAATTGTCTTTGGAAGAAATAACAGAAACAAGTTAAGAAGTTCCTGCACTCCAGGCAAGGACAAAGCCAAGTGCTTGGAAGCCCAGGAGGAAAATTCATGGAACCCACTCATTCACCAGAGCCCCTCCCCTCTAGTATAGCATGGTGCCATTGGAGAAAACTCCCAACTCAGAGTTCTTCTCAAGCAGAGAAAGAGAAAAATGATTGTAAAGTGGGATGTCTAATATTCTGACTTTTGGAGGGGGTGTTACCTAAGGGACTGGCTTCTGTCTTCCCGAAATCTAAGCACAGACAGGAACAAGGCAGCAGGTCAGGGGGCCAAAAAAAACAAAAGTGATGAAGAGGACTTGGTTGAGCACGTGTCTCAAACATAAACACAAGGGGGAGCTCCAGTACCACAGCTTGCTACAAAGCACCAGAAAGGCTTCAGTGATGCAGACACTGGGGAAGCTTCTGAGTAAAACTGGCAAACCTCTGCAATTAGATTACATACAAAAACCCAGAAAGCACACATCCTCAGAAAAGGCCTGAGAGATCTCCAGAATCTCTAGCTGGGCTGGTTGGCGAACTACCTGTACCTGTATGAAACCAGACTGCAAAGACTGGGAGAAGTGGCAGATAATTCAAATACTGAAGTCCCAACAAAGCATGAAAAGGAGTACAAAGAAACAGGAAAATATGGCCCAATCAAACGAACAAATTAAATATCCAGAAATTACCCCTAAAAAATGGAGATATATGAATTATCAGATAAATCGTTTCAAAAGAATCATCTTAAAGATGCCCAATGAATTAAAGGAGAGCACAGATAGACAGCTGGATATAATTAGGAAAATGATGTATGAATAAAATGAGAATATCAACAAAGAAAAACTATGAAGAAGAAACAAACAGAAATTCAAGAGTTGAAGACTACAGTAACTGAATTGAAAATTTTACTGAGGGAGATTAACAGCAGACTTGATTAAACAGAAGGAAGAATCAGTGAACTTGAGGAAAAGTCACTTGAAATTATCAAGTCATAAGAGCAAAAAAAAAAAGTGAAGTACAATAAAGAAAGCCTAAGGGACTTATGCTGTACCATCAGGTGGACAAATATGTGCATCATGAGAGTTCTAAAAGAAAAAGGGAGAGAGAAAGGGTCAAAGAGCTTCTTCAAAGGCATAATGGCTGAAAGCTTCCCAAATCTAAGGAAAGATATGAACATCTAAATTCAAGAAGTTCAGTGAGCTCTAAATATGGTAAACCTAAAGAGGTCTACACTGAGACACATTACAATCAAATTGTCCAAAGTCAAAGACAGAGATAGAATCTTGAAAGCAGCAAGAAAAAATTAGCTTATCACACACAAGGGAGCTTACATATGATTATCAGCAGATTTCTTAGCAGAAACCTTATAGGCTAGAAAAGAGTGAGATGATATATTTAAAGTACTGAGAAAAAGGGAAAAAAATGTCAACCAAAAATACTATATACTGAAAAACTGTCCTCAAAACTGAAGGGGAAATAAAGACTTGCCCAGATTAACAAAAGCTGAGAGAGTTTGTCATCACTAGACCTGCCTTACAAGAAATGCTAAAGTGAGTTCTTTAAGTTGAAACAAAAGAACATTAGATAGTAACACAAAAGCTTACGGCACCATGAAGCTCAGTGGCAAAAGTAAATATGTAGACAAATACACAATACTGTGATAGGGTGGTGCATAAATACTGTAATGGTGGTACATAAATCACTTTTAATTCTGGTATAGAATTTAAAGGACAAAGGTGAAAAAAACTACTTTAATGGATGTAAAATATACTAAAGATATAATTTATAACATCAGTAACTTAGTGTAGAAGGGAATATATAAGAGTAGAGTTTTTATATGTGGCATTATCTGCTTAAAATAGATTATTATAACTCTGACATGTTTTATGTCATCTCTATAGTAACCACAAAGAAAATACTCAAAAAAGTACACAAAAGATAAATGAGAAACAAATCAAAGTATATAGCACTACAAAAAAAAATGAACAAAACTAACAAGAAGGCAGCAAGAGAGGGAAAAAGAGAGATAACTACAACATAGAAAATGATAAAATGAAAATAATAAGTACTTCCCTATCAGTAATTACTTTAACTGTGAATAAACTCTCAGATCAAAAGACTAAATAAATGAAAAACAAAAGGTAACTATATGCCGTCTACAAGGCAGTCACTTTAGATTTAAGGACATACCTGAGCTAAAGGGAAAAGATGAAAAAAGATGTTCCATGTAAATGGTAACCAGAGAGAACAGAGGTGCTCATATCAGAAAAAATTAGACTAAGTAAACAACTGTCACAAGAGACAAAGAATGTCATTATATAATGATTAAAAGGTTAATTATTCAGAAAGATATAACAATTATTAATATATATTTACCTAACAGAGCACCCAAATATATGAAGTAAACATGTACAGAATTTAAAGGGAAAATAGTAACACAATAAGAGTAAGAGATTTCAATACCCCATTTTCAAAAATAGATAGAAAACCAGACTGAGAACAATAGGCATAAGTAGAATAGAGCAACACTATAGATCAGTTGGATCAAACAGACATATACAGGACACTCCACCCAACAGTAGCAGAATACACATTTTTCTCAAATGCACATGAAACATTCTCAAGGATAGATCACATGTTAGGCCACAAAACAAGTCTTAAGAAATTTAAGAAGATTGAGTGGCTCACACCTGTAATCCCAGCACTCTGGGAGGCCGAGGCGGGTGGATCACGAGGTCAGCAGATCGAGACCATCCTGGCTAACATGGTGAAACCCCGTCTCTACTAAAAATACAAAAAATTAGCCGGGCGTAGTGGCGGGTGCCTGTAGTCCCAGCTACTCAGGAGGCTGAGGCAGAAGAATGGCGTGAACCTGGGAGGTGGAGCTTGCAGTGAGCCGAGATTGCACCACTGCACTCCAGCCTGGGCGACAGAGCAAGACTCCATCTCAAAAATAAAAATAAAAAAATTAAAAATAAAGAAAATTAAGAAGATTGAAATCATACGAAATATCTTTTCCAACCACAGTGAAATGAAACCAGAAATCAATAGCAAACTGGAAAGCTCATCAAAATGTAGAAATTAAACAACATCCTCTTTTTTTAAAGAGATGGAGTCTTGCTTTGTCACCCAGCCTAGAATGCAGTGACATGATCATAGCTCACTGCAGCCTGAAACTCCTGGGCTCATGATATCCTCCCACCTCAACCTCCTGAGTAGCTGGGACTGCAGGTACATGTCACTACACTTGGCTCTTTTGCTTTGTTTGGTTTTTCATAGAGACATAGTCTCATTATGTTGCCCAGCCTGGTCTCAAACTCCTGGGTTCAAGCAATCCTCCCACCTTGGCCTCCCAAAGGACTGAGTTTACAGGCATGAGCCCCCATGCCCAACCAACACTCTCTTGTATAACCAGTGGGTCAAAGAAGAAATCACAAGATAAACTGGAAAACGTCTTGAGACAAATGAAAACAAAAAGGTAATGTACCAAGACTTATGGGAGGCAACAAAAGAAGTACAAAGGGGCCAGGTGTGGTGGCTCATGCTTGTAATCCCAGCAGATTGGGAGGCTGAGGCAGATGGATCCCTTGAGCTCACAAGTTTGAGACCAGCCTGGGCAAAATGGTGAAACCTCATTTCTACAAAAAAATACAAAAATTATCCAGATGTGATAATGTATGCCTCTAGTCCCAGCTACTTGAGAGGCTGAAGTGTGAGGATGGCTTGAGCCCAGGAGGTGGAGGCTGCAGTGAGCCAAGATCATGCCACTGCATTCCAGCCTGTGCCATACAGCTAGACCTTGTCTTAAAAAAAAAAAAAAGTACAAAGGAAAGTTTATATCAATAAATGACTACATTAAAAAAGAAAGATCTCAAAGAACCAAACTTTATACCTCAAGGAACTAGAGAAAAGAAAACAAACCAAATTCAAAATTAGCAGAATTTCAAGGGAATAATAAAGATTAGAGCAGATATAAATGAAATAGAGAATAGAAAGACAATGGAATAAAGCAACCAAACTTAGAATTTGTGTTTTGAAAGGATCAACCAAATTGACAGATCCTTAGCTAGACTAATTAAAATAAAGAGAAGACTTGAATAAATAGTTAGACATTAAAGAGGAGACATTACAACTAATGCCAAAGAAATAAAAAATATTATGAGACTACTGTGAATAACCTAGAAGAAATGTATAAATGTAGAAATTCCTAGACAAATGCAATCTGTTATGACTGAATCATGAAGAAATAGGAAATTTCAACCAACCTATCACTAGTAAGGTGATTGAACCAGTAATAAAAAGACCTTTTGTTTAAAACAAACAAACAAACAAACAAACAAAAAAAAACCCAGGACCAGATGGCTTTACTGGAGAATTATCCCAAACATTTAAAAAAGAATTTATGACAGTTCTTCTCAAACTCTTCCAAAAAAAAAAAAGACTGGAGAGGAGGGGACACTTCTAAACTATTTTATGAGGCCTGTATTACCATAATACCAAATCCAGACAAAGATACTACAAGAAAAGAAAATTACAGACCAATATAACCAATAAATATTGATGCAAAAATCTTTGACAAAATATGAGGAAATCAATTTAAACAGTACATTAAAAGATTATATACCATGACCAAGTGGGATTTATCCCTGGAATGCAAGGATGATTCAGTATACAAAAAAAAATCAGTCAGTGTAATACACCACATTAACAGAACAAAGAATGAAAATCACATGATTATCTCAACTGATGCAGAAAATGCATTTGAAAAAATTCAACATGCTTTTATAATAAAAATATTCAACAAACTAGGAATAAAAGAATTCCCTCAACATAAGAAAGGTCAAGTATGAAAAGTCTATAGCTAACATCATTCTAGATGGTGAAAAACTGAAAGCTTTCTTCCAAGATCAGGAACAAGACAAGAATGCTCACTCTTACCACTTCTATTAAACACAGTACTGGAAGTCCTAGTCAGAGCAATTAGGAAAGAAAAAAATATATAAAAAGCATCCAATTTGGAAAGGAGGAAATAAAATTATCTCTGTTCACAAAATGACATGATCTTATATGTAGAAAACTTTAAAGATTCCACATTTCAAATGCTCTTAAAACTAATAAACTATTCAGCAAAGTCAAAGTTTCTAGGTGCAAATTTTTTTTTTCTTTTTGAGACAGGATTTTGCTCTGCCACACAGGATGGAGTACAATGGCACAATCACAGCTCACTGGAGCCTCAACCTGGGCTCAAGTAATCCTGCCAGCTTAGCCTCCCAAATAGCTGGGTCCACAGACATGTGCCACCATGCCAGGCTAGTTTTTTTTCATCTGTAGAGACATGATCTTGCTATGTTGCCCAGGCTGGTCTTGAACTCCTGGACTCAAGTGATCCTTCTGCCTCAGCCTCCCAAAGTGCAGGGTACAAAATTAACATAAAAGATTAGTTGAATTTCTGAACAGTAACAATATGAAAGGAAATTAAGAAAACAGTTCCATTTATGATAGCATCAAAAAAGTAAAATACTTAGGAATAAACTTAATGAACAAGGTGAAAGACTTGTACACTGAAAACTTAAAACATTGCTTAAAAAAGTTAAGACATAAATAAATGGAAAGATATCACATGTTCACGGATTGGAAGACAATGTTGTTAAAATGTCCATACTACCCAAAGCAATCTGTAAATTCAATGGAATCTTTATCAAAATCCCAATGGCATTTTTTTTGTGTGGAAACAGAAAAACAGTCCTAAAACTCATATTTACTCCAAATAGCCAAAACAATCATGAGAAAGAAGAACAAAATTGAAGGCCTCACACTTCCTAATTTCAAAACATATTACAGAGTGATGGTAATCAAAACAATATGGTACTGGCATAAAGACAGACATGTAGACCAATAAAACAGAATAGAGATCCTCATGTATATGGTCAAATAATCCTCAACAGTGAGCCAAGACTACATAGTGGTGGAAGGATAGTGTCAAAAAATGGTGTGGAGAAAAGTGGAGGTCCACATTGCAAAAGAAAGTAATTGGACCCTTATCTTAGAGCGTAAGCATACAAAAAAATCACTCAAACTGAATTAAATACCTAAATCTAAGACCTGAAACTGTAAAACTCCTAGAGGAAAACAGGAGGGGGAAAGCTTCATGGCATTGTATTTGGTAAGGATTTCTTGGAAATGACACCAAATGCACAGGCAACAAAAACAAAAATAGACAAATTGGACTACATTACACTAAAATCTTCTGCACAGTAAACAGTCAACAGAGTGAAAAGACAAGCTACAGAATGAGAGAAAATATTTGCAAACCATATATTTGATAAGGTGTTAATATCCAGGATACACAAAGAACTCCTACAACTCAAATTACAGAATAAATAACCCTATTGAAAAATAGGCAAAGGACTTGAATAGATAATTTTCCTAAGAAGAAGTACAAATGGCCAACAAGCATAAAAAAGATACTTAACATCACCGATCATCAGGGAAATGTGAATCAAAACCACAATGAGGCCAGGCACAGTGGTTTACGCCTGTAATCCCAGCACTTTGGGAGGCCAAGGGCAGGTGAATCAACTTGAGACCAGGAGGTTGAGATCAGCCTGGCTGATATGGTAAAACCCCATCTCTACTACAAGTACAAAAATTAGCTGGGCATGGTGGTGCATACCTGTAATCCCAGCTACTCAGGAGGCTGAGGCACAAGAATTGCTTGAGCCTGGGAGGCAAAGGTTGAGTGAGGTAAGCCAAGATTGTGCCACTGCACTCCAGCCTGGGTGATAAAACAAGATTCTGTTGAAAAAAAAAAAAAAAAAAAAACACAATGAGATATCACCTTAACCTGTTAGGATGACTAATATTAAAAATAAATAAATAAAATTTAAAAATAAACACAAAATAGTAAGTGTTGATGGGGATATAGAGAATCTTTCTCCCTCTGATCTCATTGAAACCACAGCCAACACTTCAGGAGCCACAGTGACCTGTCTGAACCATTCCACATCCTTCATACACTAAGCCACAGGCAAGTCAAACCATCCACATGCCTTGAAATTTGCTTTGATGATTGCTATAGTCATGCTGGCCCTTCTGGAAGGAATTCCATTTCCCCTTACCTCCATACTTCCCAATACTAATTAGATCCTCACTGCCAGCCTACATGTAACCTACTTCATGAATCCTCTTGGTTACCCACTTAGAGGTGATATTTTCCCCACACCTTTGTTTCCTTAACATTTTATTTACACCTCTCTTTTAGCATATGTCACCTTGTATTACATTTCTATGGATACAAATCTGATCTCTTTTAGTAGATCAAATTCAGCTTAAAGTCAGAGCCTGTATTTAGGTCATCTTTCTTTTCTCCACACTGCTCATCAGCAGTGCTGTGTACCTAATACATGTTCAATAAACATCTGTTGAATAAAGATTAAGTGAATTGTTGAATGAATAAATGGGGTCTATAGATAATTTTATACGGTTGCAGAAATGGATAAATATGTATGAACTCTGCCTATCTCTCTAAATCCATTTGGCAACTTTCTCTTTTACACTCCTTTTTCATACCAATCATATTTACATTCATCAAAAGTCTTTCATCTACCAGATATTATGCTTAATGTTTAAGGTTCTCAATAGGTGGTACTAATTGGGCATTGTAAAAAAAAACTGTTGACAACACAATGTGCACTAGATTTTGTCTCCTTCCCTGCAAAAACAAATGTAAAACTAATGTAAAAATCACTTTGCCTCTTCTTTTGGCACTTAGCAAGGAATGACTCAATGAATGAACTGCCAAGGAAATCAGTAAGGAATTTGAGCAGTTGGAGAAAATCTTTCCCCTGCTAGATGAAGTGTCACAGGGAAAGAAAACCAACAGCAAAGAGATAAAAGCAAAGTGAAATCCTAACTATGTGATCTAATTTAATATACAGGCTTCTAATTTAATATACAGGGAATTCTCCTTCACCAAATCCAAATGAAAACAATGTTTTAAACTTCCCCATCTGAAAGGTGAGAAAGAATTTTCCTAATTTGACCGCAAGATGTATATATTTGCAATTATGGAACAGGAATTGAAAAGGCAAAACTGTCAGTTATATCTGAACAATTCTAGAAGTCACTTGGCCAAATGGATGAATTTGTATCATAAGCCTGCTGGGTTTCCAAATGTGGCTGAGTCTTGTCTGTAAGAGCAACATAGCAGCCAAATAGAACTCTAGTAGCTCTGCCATTCCAGAATAGTACAACTGTCAATTTCACTGACTTGGGTTGAGATCCCACTTCTTCCATCTTCTATGTGCTCACCCTCACCTATAACATGTGAAGCCATCATAGCGGTATTATTGTGAGGGTGACGTGTGATATATTTAATGGCATAGCAAAATGCCTGGCATGTAGGAAGGAGCCAGTCTATCCTAGCTATTAGTATCCACCCTATTGCATACCCTCTGAGGAAAGCGGTCCAGAGACCTTGCCATTCTCACATCAGAGGCCACTCATAAATGGGAAAACATAAACCAAGTGGGAAGTAGTTTATCTCCTTAGAAATTCTTGCTAAGGCAAAGAATTCAAAGGAACACATTTCCTTATTGCAAACACGCTGCATTTAAAGTCTAATTAACTTTCCCACTAACATAATGACAGGCTATATAGACACTGCCCCAGCCTGAAGGGAGTTTCACATTCTGAGATGAAAAGACAGCAACATTATAATTCAACCAATGTGGTTGAAAGTGCCTTCCCTATAGTGCTCTTGTACAATACAGGGTTGATTGGAAATTATGCCCTATTTTCAAGAAGATAAGCATCAGCAGCAGTGGACAGAAGGATGCCATTTTTCTTTGAAACCTTACTTTTCAAGTACATGAGGAAAAATAAGCTTTTGTGTAATGCAGAGCAACTCCCAGCATGCAAACACCAGACCTCCTGGAGAATAGGCCACCTGGGGGATTATATTAACCACCACCTTATTTTCTCTCAAAACAGAGAGCACTTATTCTGAGGGCAATGTTTGTTAATTCCTAACAGAGGAGGACTTATGCCAGCCTGCTACTGGTCTGTGCCTTCTTTCATAAGACAGGCAGTAGAGTGAGTAAATAAACCTCATTCAGGGAAGGATAGTTTTCTGCTTTAGCTTTGAATAACCACCATAAAGAAACAATTAAGTAGGAAAGCAGTGACTTCATGTGAAAACTATCATGTCAAGTTAATAGAACACATAGCTAGTGGAATGTAAACCAAAATATGCATTAAAAAAAAACACAAACAAAACCAAGCCATTCTGTTGCTTACTGTAATGTGTTATCCAACTCACCAGGGATGCAAAATCATTTAAGTGAACGGTTCTTAGCCTTTCGTGAGTTTGAGAATCTGATGAAAACTACCAGGAAAAGGCCTATATGTAGCTATAAATGTGTGTATGTAATTTTAAATGCCTAATCCCCCAGCCCCACCCTGCAAATCACTAATCCTTAAGTTAAGAATCTCAACTCAAGAACAGATTATGGGCCAGGTATGGTGGCTCACCCCTGTAATCCTGGTGCTTTGGAGACCAAGGTGGGAGGATGGCTTGAAGCCAGGAATTCAAAGCCAGCCTGGGCAACATCGTGAGACTCCATCTGTATGAAAAAAAATATTTTAATTAGCCAGATATGGGTGGTGCATGCCAATAGGTAGCCCCAGCTACTTAGAAGGCTGAAGTGAGAAGCTTGCTTGAGCCCAGGAGTTCAAGGTTGGAGTGAACTATGATCACCCCACTGCACTCCAGCCTGGGTGATAGAGCAAGACCCTGTCACTCACCAAAAAAAAAAAAAAAAAACGTAATGATTGTCAAGTTCATGGACTCTGGAGTCAGATAAAACCAGGATTTGAATTCTGTTTCCAACTCTTACTATTATGTAAGCTGTGGAATTTTAAACCTTTTTGAGCCTTGGTTTTATTACCTGAAAATGGAAATAGTAATACTTTCCATGTCATAGTTAATTAAGAATATTAAATTATTTAAAGAACTTAGCATAGGCTGGGCATGGTGGCTTATGTCTGTAATCCCAGCATTTTGGGAGGCCAAGGAGGCAGGATTCCTTGAGATCAGAAGTTCAAGACCAGCCCAGTCAACATAGTGAGATCTTGTTTCTACTTTAAAAAAAATAAAATAAAATCAGCTACTCAACAGACTGAGGCAGGAGAATTGCTCAAGATAGAGGCTGCACAGGTGTCGTGGCAGATGCCTGTAGTCCCGGCTATTCAGGAGGCTGAGGCAGAAGAATCGCTTGAACCCAGGAGGCAGAGGCTGCCATGAGCCGAGACTGTGCCACTGCATTCCAGCCTAGGTGGCAGAGTAAAACTCCAGTGAGCTGTGATTGCACCACTAAGCTCCAGCCTGGGCGAGAGAGCGAAACCCAGTCTCAAAAAAATAAAGCATAGTTCTTGGCATGGACTAAGTACTCAGTAAGCATTAATACTGTTATTAGTTCTTAAAATAAAAAACTTTCCTATGTGGCCAGAAAGCAACTACAATTTTATCTCAATTCTAGAAATATTTACCAAGTGCCTCCTCTTTATGAAGAAATGCAGCAGGATCCTGACATGGGAACATTGATAATGGAATGAGCTTGAGCCAGGAAATTGATAAAGGCCCTGGATATACCCAGCACTGAACAGGGCAGGTTTCAGAGTCTTGTCTTCTCAGGGTTGGAAAGAACTTGAAGAGTCATGGGGCCCACTGTTATCGACAATCATATCAAAACCACAGCAGAACTACAACTGCAATGCCTGTGTCACAAAGGGAAACTTGTGAGTCTTTAGGTAACATTTTATGTATTTAAGAGGAAAGAGATAAACCAAAGATATCAATAATTTATGGACTAAATGGAATTAATAAACCCCACCACTGAGAATTATTTGGTTAACCACAGTTTAGGCTACTGATGGATTTTACTCAGAATTAAAGTGGAAATATATTAAAGCAATAGTTTTGAGAACAAAGTAGGTCACAAAGCTCCATTTAAAATAGAATAGGCCGGGCATGGTGGCTCATGCCTGTAATCCCAGCAGGGCAAGGCAGGAGGATTGCTTGAGCCCAGGAGTTCAACACCAGCCTGGGCAACAACGAAACCCTGTCTCTACAAAAAATGCAAAAATTAGCTGGGCGTGGTGGGACACGTATGTGGTCCCAGCTACTTGGGAGACTGAGGTGGGAGGATGGCTTGAGCTGTGAGGCAGAGGGTGCACTGAGCTGAGATCATGCCACTGCACTCAGCTTGGGCAACAGAGAGAGACCCTGTCTCAAAAATAAAAAAATAAAATACAGTATTTTCTGCTCCATCTAATCAGACACTCTGTAACATTGTGATAAGAAGATTGAAGACAGAGAATGAGATGACTTGGGATCAGTCTTTAAGTCCACCCCAGCCAATCCAGTAATACTATAGTCTCTCTTTTCCTTGGGTATGGATTTTATTTATAAAAGATGAAGGAGTATATTTAAAGGAAAATGAGGAAATGAATCAATGACACTATATTCTTCCAGTTTTCAGGCTCTTTGGGGGCAATTTTCAGGCTCTTTGGGGGGATTACCTTCCTCTGCTGTTCTTCTGCTCTCCTCCTATGAGATTTCAGACTCAAATAAATGTCTGCACAGGCCAGGCAAGCAGTGTGAACCACTGATTTAGCCCATTTGGTGACTGTGATGACCTGGAGCCTGTGTTCCTTGGGCTAATGGCACAGCTCTTTCTCAGCTCCCACCAGTGGTGTCCATCTGGGAATCAGACAGGTATTACCGTATCTTCCTTTTTCGAAGACAAATTTCAAATATAAATTTGTATGTGAAATGTCCTGACTTGCAAATATTGGTAACTAATTCACATTTGAAACAAAACAAAACATTGTCCAGGCCAAACAAAACAGCATCAAGGGTCACCAGTTTGGGTCTTTTGCTCTAGGTGTTTGGGTTTCTTCAAGTTCTGTCCCTGGCCTTATCTTCTCATGCTACAATCACTTCCTATTAAAACAAAAACAAAAACAAAAACCTCTCATCTCTTCTGTGGTTTAAAATACCTTCTCTGTACTGAAGACTTCCAAATGTATTGAGAGTCATGGCCTCTCCTCTAAACTCCAGACTCAAGTATCTAGCTGCCAACTCCACATCAACCTTGGATGTCTTGTGAGCATCTCAAACATAGCATATGCAAACCTGAACTCTTGATGTAGTTCTAACACCTGCTTCTTCTCCAGTTTCTCTGGCTCAATAAATGGCATCTGTATTGCTCGAAAAACATGGGAATTTTTCTCTACTTTCTCCTCTTTTACTGCCCTTGGCTAGTCCATCATTTCCTGTAGATCCTTCATCCAAAAATCATTCTTTGATTTGTCCCCTTATCTCCACCTTTAGCACCACAATAAGCCACCATGTTTCATCTGTTCTGTAATAGTTTCCTAACTGGATTCCTTCTGCCCATTGTCCTGCCAATATTTTTCTTGTAACAGCAAGAGTGACCTCTTAAAATGTTAGGCAAATCAGATTACCTCCTGTTTAAATCTCTCAATGTTTTACAATATGTAACAACCAAAAGAAGACAGATATGATCCTACTATGTCAAATGGACTAAGAGTATTTTTCATCTATAAACTGGAATAAAAATACCTACATCAAAGAGTGGTTGTATCAAATGAGGGCTAATATTACTTTTACATTAGTTTTTGTTAGTTTTTGCAGAGAAGGAGGCAAATTCAGTCGACATTTATGTTGTTAATAGCTACTTATAGTCCCCAATTAGTACCACCTACAGAAAACCTTCTAAATAGTTTGCTGACAAAGTTTTCATTCGTATTATTGTAGCCTCAAAGTAAAACATCTGTCTTGATTAAATTATAAAAACTGTTAAAAATTATGGAACAAACCAAGTTTGATTAAAAACATAGAACATACTTAGAATAATTTCACATCCTCAGATTATTTTAAAAACAAGTTTTTAAATGGAAAATGATTAGATGATATTGGTGCAATGTTATATCATAAAAACCGAACCATTTTTGTAAATTTCTCTATTTTCATTTATTTGAATTCACCTTTGCCTTGCACTGTATAGTAAAGTCTTAATTTCCAAAGTAGCACCATGAATTCAGCAGCTCATAGTTACATCAGTCCCTGTGGCCCCTTTTTCTTTCAGTTCACACACTCCCATTTAGAAAAAACCAAGGTGTGAATGAATCTATGGAATCTGCTGAGGCTGGTGGCTGCAAAGCCAGAATGAAGTTGAGAAGCTGTCACTGTAGGTAGCAGTGAGTTCTGTCTCTATAGAACTGTAACTAAGTCAGCTCTTTATCTGTGCTATTTTTTTTTTGGCTGGACCCATATGAAAGTCATAAATTCATTCCATTATGAGCTCTTTGGTTGACTTCCAGTTTAATTGTGAGCTGAAAATTTTGGCTTCCTGTGAACTGAGTTGATTGATGGGCCACTGCAAGAAAAGAAGTGGAAATTTAATTCCCTATAAAGTACAGCTCTCATTTTTTATCTCCAGGAATAAGATTTCAGCTTTCATTACACCTCCAAGTGGGAATTCTCCCATTCGTGTATACTTGTACTAAATATACAAAAGCAGGCATTTTTTATTAAGAAAAAAATTGCAAAAATAAAAACAATTTGAAGAATTGTAAAAAAGGCAACTTTGTTTCTCAGTGGTCATTCTATCTAATAATTATTCATCAGGAACCCACTATGTAGGAGGCCCTGTACTAGATTGGCATCAACACATAAACATGCATAAACAACAACTGGAAAGGACTCTAATGCATCCAGTCCAAATTCTCATTTTCTAGGCAATTAAACTTTAGCCCTAAAGGAGAAAAACAATTTTTACAAAATAACACATGCAGTTACTAATAGCAGATGCTAGAATATAGTATCAAGTCAGATAGATTCCCAGTTCTCATAAGTATAAAGTGTGTGTGTGTGTGTGTATACATATATATATATATAGAGAGAGAGAGAGAGAGAGAGAATTCTTATTGTAAAAATGATGTTTAAGGAGAGCACTGAGTAAAAAGAGTGGACCTGCCATATGAAGCCACTCCCAGTCTCTCCTGAAATTCCACAAAAACCACAGTGAAGGGATTTTTTTTTTAAAGACAGAGCACGACATGGACAGGGAAAATGCAAGAAGAGACAATAACAAAATTTAGGCAACTGCAAAAAACAGATGAATGGTCCATGACTTAGTAGACTAGAGACACAGCAAGCCCCTGCATCTGGCTGTGTGGGTTGTGTCCTGCCCCACTTCAGGAGCCACTGCTCACTCAGACTCCAGAGTGAAGCTGTGCTGTGGAGTGGTGCTGTACACACCCTGCACAACAGCACGCCACGACCCTGCTGAGAAAACAAGCACAAATCAGGCATGGGGAAAGGGAGAACCACCGTAATTTGCACTTGAGAATTTCCCGAAGGTCAGGGATCAAAGGCACCAGGTGGCTCTGGAGAAGATAAATGAAAAGGAAGTGCACACACACACACACACACACACACACATACACGCACAAAATGAAGATGGGAGATCATATATAGCAAGCTTAGAATGTATTTTGTAGTGAAGTGTGAGGCACAGATCCAGTTTCACTTTTTTCTAAATGACTAGTTTTCTTGACTATTTGTTGAATGCCACTGTTTTTAAATACCAAAGACTTGTATCTTTATAGAGCTGCTTCCAGGGTTTTCATTTAACCATTGATCTGTTACATTGCTATGAACTTCCTGCAATTGTGGATCTAGGAAACGGATAAGAGCTAAGTCTTCAGGTTGGATATTTCCCTGTGAAATACCCCATTTCTATAAAACTGATTTTTCAGGCCATAATTCTTTGTTTGTTCTCTTATTTGTCTCCTTGAAAACATCTTAGGAATTCACTGTCCTTCATGAAACTCAGGTATTTTTCTTAACTGTGCCACATCATGAAAAAATTACATTAGCGATTATCAGAACAAAAGTATTATAACCATTATTATTCTTTAGTACTTATACATTTTTGTTGGTTTTTTTAATTGCATATTTCTTCTGCAAAGTAAGAGAAAGTACAAGACCTTTTGGGTTGAAAGCTGCCTTTATGCAGCTCAGCTCTCTGGCCTCCTCTGTCCATATTCCCCAGCTTGACTCTGCATTCCAGTCAAATTAAAAACCCTCTGATATCTGCCTGCCCACAGCTCCCTATCACCTCCAGCCACCTGTACATGCTGTTGCTTAAAGGATTATTTCTTCTTATTCATCTGGCTATAATACAGATTATCCTTTAGGACTCAGTTTAGACATTGCACCCAGTATATGGTTACATAGCCCTCTTACCTGCTCCTGTAATACCTGGTACATCTTCCATCCTGGTGCTTATCTCACTGTGTTGTAATTGCCTAGTAAATGGTCAACCTGCCCACCAGACAATGAGCTCCTTCAGGATAGGGATTGTCTTAATCTCCCCTATATCCATAGCCTCTAGCATAATCCTTAGTGTGCAGTAGGGACACGGTAGATAATGTCTTGAATGAGTAAGTGATGTATGTTCATTGAAGAGTATTTGGGAGAACTGAAAAAAAATGTTAACAGAAAATGAATATAAATCCCAACACTAGAGATGACTCTCGTTAGCATTTTTGGTTTCTTTGCTTCCATTTAACTTTCTCTGTTGACCCCATTGCATACAAAGCTTTAAATATTTCTGTTTTCACTTAACAGTATACTGTGAACGTCTTCTCATGTAACTACAAATTCTTTGAAAACATCATTTTAATGGTTATAACAACATTGTCCTTTAGAAGTAATAGGTTTATTCAGATGTTCTCTATTGTTGGACTTTAAGTTACTTGCAATGTTTTGCTACTGTAAATCATGCTTAATTGAATAGTTTTGCATCTCCAGTTATTTCTCTATAATACATCCTGGAAATGAAATTACTGAGTGAAAATTTTACAGTTCTATATGCAATGTATCATGTACCTACCTACCTCAGTGTACCCTTAACTGTAATATTATCTTGTCTTTTTTAAAGAGTGAAGATTACATAGACAAAAAAGGATATCTTATTTTTACCTTATATTTATTGGTCATTTATATTACACTCTTCCGTGAATTGTGTAATGGTAACCTTTGTCCATTTTTCTATTGAACTGTTTTTCTTATTGATTTAAAAGCTTTCTATATGTTAAGAATAGAAACCTTTGTGAAATTTTTTGCAAATTCCTGAGTTTGATATGCCTTTTGATTTTATTTTACATGTGTGTAACATTTTAAATGTTACGCATATGTAACAATCTTTTCTTCTGTAAATTACCCAATTACTTTTCTAAATAGAATTTCTTGCCCAACTTACGGTAGATATATATTTTCCTACTAAGACATATCCTTAGATGATATATTTTATTATTCTAGTTTCTTTTGTTTGCATTTAACTTTTTGGCCCATGTGAGATGAGGCTTTAACTAGAGTTTTTACAGAATACCCAATTTTTCTAATACCTTCTCTTGGCCTTTAAAGAAATGTTATTACAAGCAATTGTACTGAAATAAGCAGCATGCAAAGACATAGCTCGGTGTTCACTGTGAACTTTGCTTTCTCCTCCCAGGTGAGCAGGAGCCAGCTGTAAGCAGTGATTCTGACATTTCCTTGATCATGGCAATGGAGGTTGGACTGTCTGATGTAGAACTTTCCACTGACCAGGACTGTGAAGAAGTGAAATCTTGAAACGACAAATCCAGAAGCAAAGAGATAGTAGGACCCAAGGGAAAGGAAGGGAAGAGTGCTCCAAGACTTGGACCAGGCACACACACACCTCCAGATCACCTTGGCAACTCCAGGGCGCTCCGTTCAAGAATGCTGACGAAAAGCAATATCCAAAGTCTTGTCAATCAGGATGCAGTTTCTCCATCGGTATGGCAGTCTGTGGCCTTGGCAGCTGGGAAGTTGAAAGCTGATTTCCACTCCTATGTCCATGTAGACATACACTTCAGAAGCTCCTAAAACAGAGACTGAAAGGCCACCTTTAGGATTTCTTAGTTTCATTTCAATTCTTTCCATGTCTCATCATTCTTGTTTTTGGCATGTTGTTTGATTTCTTTGGCAATTTTTTTAAAGATTATTTGTAGTTTACTTTCCATCTATTCCTTTGTTTTTCCTTTGATGCACTCCAGCTTTTGTATAGGTTTCTGTTTAGAAGCACCAGTTCCTGCTATGATCAGTTTGTATTCCATCTCTGAGATATGTGGTCTTGACCTCCCAGCATGAAGTGTGCATGGCTTTGAGAAGTGCCTCAGCACCCTGAAATGGACTAAGGCCAGCTTTCATTAAGAATCTAAGTTCTTCTAAGTGGGCCTTTAAAAACCCCAGCTGCCAGAGACCCCAACACTAAGCCCTAAATCTGCTGAGGCCACTGCTGGTTATTTTAAGCCACATCACACTTGCTTCCACTTGCCGGGCTTGATTAAGGGCCCACGTGACATGAGAAGGGAGCTCTAGGGAAGCCGTTTCATTCTTCTGGGTCTTACAGTCTTTGGCTGAAATTCTGAACTCAGAAGTCCCCTCCAAGGCATCCAGTCTTTGGTGGTTGTAGGGCTGGTTTTAAAACCAGATACCACATTTTCTTCCTATTGAAAACAAAATGCCAGTTGCATTGGTTTCCCCTGGGCTAGAACAGTTTTTTTCTTACCTCTGTAAGTGGGTTCTGTAAAAAATGGAGGCTTTAGAGAAAAGCCAATCATTTTTAAGTCCAATGGCAAACATAGTGGGGGCTGCAGTAGCACCTAGCTTTTACCTTAATTTCGACACACTTCTGTTGAATCTCACCAGACCATGTGGGAGGATTTAGGTGAATCCCTAGCAGATTGCTTCCCAGGGCTCCCTGAGTGTGTCCAGATACCAAGTGAGGAATGAGGTGTGATTTGCTGTATCATTTGAACCAAAAAGTATGCAGCATGAGAATTTGCTAGATCGTTTATCCTGACTGAAATAGACAAAGTAAGAGGGAAAGGAAAAGAGGTATCAAGTAAATACTGAAACCCAATGGTGTTTTTAAACTGTTTCTGTTTTTATTCATCTTTTGTAACTATGACAGAAATGTGCTATTTTTTCAGTGGGCAATTTTGTAATATATTCAGACTATCCAGATACAGAGATGACTAAGGTCATTGATAGCGTCTCTGAACAATCAGACGGATCACCTTATCTCTACACAGCTGGCAAACACCAGGCTGCGGCTTGGATTAACCAGGAAAGAAAGCTTTTCTCACTGAGTTGTTTTTATGTATTGATGGGGACTTTTCCACCTCATTAGACTAATACTCATTCAAAAAGAGTTTGGTTCTGCTGTAAATCCTTGCCGCCTGCTGAAACATGGTGTGCAGGTCAACGGAGAATACTAGCTGCTCCTTTTTCACCACCTTTACCAATTTCCTATTTGATGGTTTGTAAGTAGACAGTAAGGCAAGGCAGATGATTATTACCCTCAGAAAGGTTGCATCTCCCTAGGAGTCCAATGCTTCCTGTAATGAAATCCACTCTCTATGTGTGGGAAAAGAGGCAGGGAGGAATGAAGAGAGCTCTGAATCGAGAATCCTAGATGAACCACACGCTTTACTAAGCCTCGGCTTCTTCATCTATAATGTGAAGGGTTTAATAACATGAGTCCCCAAGCTCCTCTGGCTGTGGGACCACAGATGAGTCTTTCAGAGGCAGGATCCATTTTTGCAGATAGCTATGACTTGTGGCAATCAGGCTTCGTAGCTTGGGGAGGTAGAGTTACTTGACATGTATCATGTAATAACAGCCTTTGAGACTTGGCACAACTATGGTGCTGAGAATGAAAATCTAAATGATTGAAGTTTTAAGTCCAAGTAGGAGTTGGTTTGTTTTGCCTTGTTTAAAAATTGCTGTTAGTCACAGAGTTTGCAATCTCTGGATACCTTCAAATCCTAGCTCTCACTGTGGGATTCTTGATCTCAGAGGTGTTTATTTTTCACAGTCAGCATAGGCTTGCGCCACTGACTCCTCCTTCAGTCGGCTTTGCCCAAAACAAATTTTAGTATTACTGGTATTAAGTTTAGTCCAGTGGAATTAGAAGGATAATTCAATAGCAACAGAAATATAAATTATATTCCATTCCCAGAGAGAGAATGCGCTTTGGATTGTTTAGTCCTCTGATTAACGAGTATTTTCTCTTCCTGCCAAGAACTAGGTGAATCAGGAATTGATTGCATATGCAAGCCCTGGCCACAGCTGCACTTACAGGATGCCTCATAGACGATGAGGGGTCTGAAAGGCCAACCCGAGGCTGGCAGATCTGACCCCAAGGAGGTCCTGCTGCAAACCCCCTGAGCCTTTGCCATTCACTACTTACCAAAGTTTGTTTCTGGAGGATTTTCCTGTAGCTTTGATAGTTTAAAAAAAAAAAAAAAAAGAAAAAAAAAAAGCTTAACCAGAAAGTTTCTCTTTCAGAAGAAAGGGGAACAGCCCTTCCTTATAGCCTTCTTTACCTCCCCCAAAGAAGAGACTGACCTGGAGACCTGGTAGTCTACAGATGAGTGTCAGAGGGTGTGTGTACCCTCTAGAAGCAAATGCAGACTGTATGTGTATTTGCAGATGTGCATTTTTCTATAGCAAGAGTCTAGACTAGCACTGTCCAACAGAAACGTAATGCAAGTCACAGACATAATTTTAAATTTTCTACTAGCCACATTTTAAAGTGTAAAAAGAAACAGGTAAAGATAATTTTAATCATGTACTTTAACCTAATATTGTTTCAACATGTCACTAATGTAAATTAATGACATGTTTTACATGCTTTTGTGTACTAAGTCTTCTAAATCCATTGTGTCTTTTACACTCACAGCACCTCTCAATTTGGATAGTCACATGTGGCTAGTGGCTGCCAATTGGACAATGCAGGTCTAGAGTTCCTCCAGTATTCTCACAAGATCCCCCGACCCTTACAAAAGAAAAGAAGGTTAAAAGCTTAATTACCTCCAGGGAGAACTGGACACCACCCAAGTCGCCTAATGAGAGGCCCAGAGGTCCATTTATTTTGTAGTGAATAAAGATTCAGGCACCCTTTTTAAAATTTCTGCTTGAACTTTCTAACCATATCATTGATGTCCATGACCATTTGTTGTTACTCCTCTGACCAGTTGTTACTTAAAACTCACACAAACCATGCTGATTTGGTGCTGAAACAAAATTATACCCCTCACTTCTATGGCAAACCCTCGGACTGATATGTGGCACTTAGGAGCCAAAGAGAACTCCAGACTGAAATCACCCAACTTTACCTCAACCCCTTCTTCTTGTTCATGGTTGGTGAAAGTCCTTTCCCAGTGTCCCCCAGTCCCACAGCTGTAGTGAAAACTCACGAACTTGGGAGGAAAGAATGAGAAATGCAAGACTTTATGTGGCCTTCTTGAAAAAGAATCTTTGGGGGCCTGTGATCATCCGGTCTCTACTTGGTGAATTATGACCACCTCCAACAGCCAGCATTTTACTCCAAGTCAGCATCCACCTGCCACCCCAATGCTATGGGGAAGAAAAGGAGCATTTGCATTCACTCAAAATAATTTAGGGTCACCTTTAGGAACTGCTACCTCCTATGTGGCTAGTCCCTTTGGAAGAGCTGAGCCCTGACTATGAATACAGCTTTTGAACATTGACTTAATCTCTAGGGTTAGATATCCCCTGCAGTGTCAACTCTGGTCATCTACACAGGGAGAGGTAGAGTCTGGAGAAGGCAGAAAATTAAAAGCGGCAAAGGTACCTACCCATTTTTGACATCACATGGTAATGATCAGAATCATGGAGGCAAAGCTCTGTCCAAAAATGTTCATTTTGTTTTGTTTTGTTTTGTTTTCTTGTTTTTAACATTTCCTTCATCCTGGTGAAATATCCTGGAAATTCATAGATCTGGGTTTGGTCATTTCAAAGCTCACCATGCCCAGTGGCCATTTCAGTTACTGCCCTGACATCCCTGAGGCTACCATACTCTCAAAACCAAATCAATGCCAGTGATCTAACATAGGATTCTTTCTTATTTATGAGTTTTGTTTAGATGGATATTTTTGCAGAGCATAAAAAATTAAATGACATTTAGTTATCCATTGAATGTATCACCCTGACTTAAAAAAAAATCCTTAAATCAAAACTTTTCAAAAAATCTGGGCTATGGAGTCACTCCCTCTGTGGAGCGAGAGCCCAGTCTTTTCTGGTACTAAGGCCACAGAGGCAATTTCCAGTAGCATTTTTATATCTTCTCTAAGTTTCTTTTCCTTTTCTGTCTGTATCTGTTTTTCTCTGACTGCCTATATCTTACTTTGTATACCCATACATAAATTATTTTCCCATCTTCTCTCTTCCCCTTTTTTTCTGATTTGTTTTCTCTCTTGCAAGAAACTCTGAAATAACCTTCAGAACACAAAAAACTGGAGGTTCTATACCTACAGAGTCATTATCATTATTGTGATTACCATTGTTACTGTTGTTGGTGTTTTTCCTCTTTTTATTGTGTAGCAATATCCATATTCACTTCTGATGAGGCAAACCTGTTTACTATAAACCAATGTCCTCCCTAAAGGAGTCAGTTTCATTTTCACTTCTCACATCACCAGTTGTATCGCAACCCATCTTACAACCATTGCCATGTTTTCAGGCTTCCTTGCCATAAATGTTTTCTGGGCAAATAATGGCAAAGCAACAATTCCAGAATGCTGTCTAGATCTGCTTTCTCCCACCCTCAGCATTTGACCCTCCTCATTCGCCTGAGCCCCCAGGGTTAGGATTTCTTGGAAAAACTTGTATACTGTACCTGATGGAATGCCCATTCTTCCTAACTACTTAGCACAAGTGCTTGCTCATCGTAAGTGATCTGAGGGCCACTAATTCCTGAAGACTGACAAAGAGACACGAAGAGACTACCCTCTTAAGATGGGGATGCATGGTTCTTCATGCAGTGCTCTTGGCCACCGAGGTCCTTCATCCATGCCATTGCATGGATGAATACGTTTGATGTTGGCAGTTAAAATGGGATGGGAGTGTCACCCTGCAGGAAGTAAGAAAAGAGGATGGCAGGATCTCTGATCAGGGAGCTGGTCAAAGCAGGGCTGGAAAGCTTCTGTGCTTAACAAAATGTGCGTGCTGTCCCCAAGTAAATGCTCATCCCTAGGTTTAGAGCTGACCTGGGTTTTGGGGAGTTTGTATTTTTAAGGAATTAAATACTCATGAGTTAAAATACTCATGATTGCAAAGAAGGTCTGGATTGCCTGAAAAATAAATTAATTCTAAGAAGCTAATATGAGTTTCTCATCATCCCTTAGCTCTTCCTTTTCCCTCCTTTTGTCCTCACTCAACCCCAGACCCTGTGTAATAGGAACATTAATTTTTAAAGACCCACAGATCAATAGCCACACTCTTCCACTCTACACCTTTTATTGACACCAAGTTATCATCCCAGAACTAATGAAGCAAGTCCAGATGCTAGACGTGGCCCCTTAATATCGAGCAATTTGATTGCAATCCTGCTTGTTCTACAAGAACCTGCTAAGGTCAGTCACATCTCTCTTCACCTGCCTTGAGTGCTTCATAATCACGTGGCTTTTTCAGGAATTTCAGTGATCAAAGATCTTCTAATTCTGTGCTACCACTGACGTTTGCACTTAATACAGAGCCATTTGCTCTGTGGCCACCTGATAAATATTTGCTGATGATAAGACAAAAATATACACGTCTATTAAGAGGTCTGCAATGTCTGAACACAGTGAGGGAGAAAAATCCTTAGAGAAGGTCGCTTAATCTCAATTACCCAAAGTCATTGCTTGGCAGAATATCTGTGGTCTGTTATCCTTAGTGAAGTGACAGGCTTGGAGAAGCAGGGTAATGTGGGGACCATGTGTGCTATATAAACCAAAGACTGATCACCATCCAAATGAACACATGTTTCTTCCATTGACTAGTTGAATTTTCTCCCAATGTTCTCATAAATAAAAGCGAAGGTGGGTTGCATGGTTGAATGAAACCATTAAACCTTATGGGGTTTTCTGTTGCAGACTGTTGATTGACCTTACTAAATCCCGAAATCTAAAAAATGAATTGTGGCCTTAGTACCACACCATCTTTAAAGTCTAGTGTTTAGTCCCCTTTTCCTTCAAAACTTTCCAACAAATCTAGCGCTTTACTGAACTCAGAACATTGTTCTCTTTGAGAATGTGAAGATTTTAAATAGCCAAAGAATTTTCATGTATAAGAGCTAGCTAAATATAGTATATCCTGCTCTTTCGAAGAAGATACAAAACTGTTGCCTGTACTAATGGGTATAGTAGAGCAGTTGAAGAACTAACACATACATGGACTTTTCGGTCTGAATTTGTGTTGGCATCCATGGTACTTACTGTTCAGTAGGATGTTATTGCAAGGAGCAGAGTGCCCTCTGCTGGAGTAATCGCAATTATTCTTGCAGCAGATTAATTTGACTTGGGTCATGAATTCAACAACCAGTTACTTGCCTTTCATCATACAATTTCTTCGGTAGTTGAGAATTTGGTCTACATTTATCAAATGAGGAAAGAGTGTCACAAACTCTAAAAAGCTGAAGGAGACCCCACAGATCTTCTCACTGTCAGCAGCCCTTACTTCTGCAAAATGTTGAAGGATAATGTTGCTCTGTTTGCAAAGAAGATGCCTCTGGCTAGAATGTTTGTGCAGTTATAAGCAAGGGACTGCTTGTTTTTGTAAGTTATCTCAACTTTATTCTTGTGAAATTGCAAAGGAAGATCAATAAAAAGACTTCATATGAATGTAAATGGTGTGAAATACTGATGTGTTTTGTACATGTACATAATATATTTACTTCCTGCTTTCACATTAGTAATCTGAGATGGTTCTACCATTTTATAATTAGAAGGAGATGTAGGGGTGGGAGTGGGGAGGGACTGTTATTTTTATAGAGGGGTGTCCCTTACATTTAGAAAATGAAATAATTTTGTATTTGTGAAAAGTTACATTCCATCCATTTTCTGGAAAAAAAAATGGGTATTGTTCTTTAAAATGTTCATGAGCTGGGAGGATGATTATTCTGGTTTCCAGGGGAAACTCTCAAGCAGTACATATGTGATACTCAGTTTTGTAGACTGCAGACAATAACCAGCAATTGCCAGTTGCAAAAATGTGAAAAAGAAATAACTTATTTTAACCACTTTGTACAGCATATTATTTCCCACTAGAAAAAAATCTGCAAATAATGAATTTACAATTATAAATAATCAGACATGACATCATAAATCAATCTTCCTCCCTACTAGCAAGAGGAAATTCCAATGGCTTTTTTTCCATCCTAACACAAATTACTTTTATTGTAAACAAATGCTTGCAACAAAATGCTTTTGTTGTAAAATGATTGATGTTGGGGTAAAGTCTACTTAGCTTCCCCACAAGGTCTTTCTGGCTAGTCTGCAGGTAGTAGATGATGGTTCCATCTCGGCATTGTCTATCCTCTCCATATTCAGACTGTGTGACTGAGCTTCCTTGATTTATATAGCATCTGACCCAAAATCACAAAAAAGTCACTCCTGATGACATTTGCATGGGGAGTCTTTCATTTGGACTTCAGTTCTTAATTGCCGAAATAAGTACTAGTGAATTATGTAGCGTTTTTACCCAAAACTAATCTTCTGTACAAAGTTGTGTGCATATTGAGATGATTAGTTAAGGCAGTGTAGTTTTTTAAATTTTTTCTGTATAAATTTCTTTCCTTCTTCCCCACCTCAGGCACCTACCCTACTCCTTTCAGAGCACTTTATATCCCTCTTGAAATACAAAGAAATTGAAAAAAAAAAAAAAGTAACTGTCTTTAAAGGAATTTGTCTTCTATTAGGAGACACAGACTTTTATTTTGCTTTATTCTATTCTCTTTGTACTTGGAGAGCGTAATCAACTTGTCTCATAATGGGCTAGTGATGAAACAAGGGTGATAGTTGGAAACAGTCATTACAACATGGTTATTTTTGTTATATAGAAGACTATCATGTAAATAAGTGCAATCGTGTTCTTACGTACTGGCTAAAAAAAAAATATTGCAACTATAAGGATTTTTAAATGAGGGTTGTGAATTCCAGGAAATTTCACTGCAAAATTTCTTTTGGTTTTGTTTTTTAATAAAATGGAACCAGATGCTTGTGTCTGTGTCATCTGTATTCCCTGACTTTGTTGCCTATCCCTGAGTTGCAGAGGTGGTGCTATGGATTTCAAAACATCATATTTATTGTTAAATCACAATTATGTCCAAAGACCAAGGATAATAATAGCTTCCTTATTTTTCTCAGGTAAGTCAAGTGGCAGGCACCAACCTTCTCTTAGCTCTGCTGTTCTAAGGGAATTAAGAGATTTTAGCAATTCTGAAGAAGAATGGCTGTGAAATGAGCTTGAGGTGTAGTCTGGCAAGAACTGAGCACTATGCTTATGGACTATCTCAGGCAAGTTTATACTAGGCAGAGTTATACCATGGGGTCTGCCAGATGGGCTGGGGCAGACAGATTTCTTCTTTATATTTGCTAGTATATTTCTAAAAGATTTTAAATAGCAATTCCTTGGGATTCGCAAGGGAATATGAAGAAAATTTAAAAGATGGAGCCTGCTGGCCTGGGAAGGTGGAAAAGGAAGGCAGGAAAGGAGAATGGCCCTCTATTCATTGGCCTCACCTACTGGAACCTGGTAGGCCTTTGGTTGTGGCCTAGCCCCCCCGTGCCTGGCCCAGCCGAGACTCCTGACACATGCACTTGAGGAGCAGCCAGGATTGGACATGGCCAGGCAGGAGCTGTGGGTTTCACAGAATTTGCTAGCAAAAAGAAAACACAAACAGTATTGAGTGCTGTGGCCTCCTGGAGCTGCTGTAGATAAGGAAAACATTAGTGCCCGGAGGCTTTACTCAGGGCCAGTCTATGCTTAATTTGTAGGCAGGAAGATACTCTAAGGGGATTGCTGGGAACATTCATGACTATGCCAAATTAGAAGGCACTTTAGACTTTGTTTATGCTTCCATTATTGCAATGTTTATCTGCCCAGACACTGTGGGTATGAAGCTATTACCTAGGACCTGGAAACCATCCCTCCCAACTTCAACTTCCATCATCTTTCCACTAGACCAGGGATCCCCAAATGAGGAAATGTGTTCTGTGGGATGGGATATGTTAGAATTTACAGCAGGCTCCCAAGTTCAATTAAGTTGGGATAAGGCTTCATACAACTCATATTAGCTATTAATAAATTTTTTGTTTGTTTTGTTTTGTTTTGTTTTGTTTTGGTACAGACAGGGTCTCGTTTTGTTGTCCAGGCTAGTCTTTAATTCCTGGCCTCAACTGATCCTCTCACCTTGGCCTTCCAAAGTGCTGGAATTACAGGCGTGAGCCACTGTGCCTGGCCGCTATTAAAAACTTTTGAGAAGTCTTCAGTAAGGTCACTGATTTAACTCTATAATTCAGCTTTTCCTGAAGCTGATTGACAATAAAGCCCCATTTTATCAAGGGTTATGTTTTTCCACATTACACTGGAGACCACTGTGTGGAACATGTTGGTGTTCAGACTTTAAAAAAAAAAAAAAAAGCTGCCAGACATCATTTGCTGTAAATCTTGCATATTCCACAGACCCTTGCCTCTCTTGTCCCTGCTCCTAGTTGACAAGGGGAAAGTCAGGTGATGCACAGTGAGCAGTATTAGCCTGGGGCCTGCTTCACCTGGGGTGGGTGTGACCTGGGGAGAGATCACTGGGCACTTCCCAGAGTCACACGCATGCCAGGGCATCAGCCTGGCTTCACTGGGCATCAGCCTGGCTTGCTATCATGCTGTGCCTGAAGGCGGAGGCCCCATCCCACCTAGAAACTCCACTTTGTGGGCTTTTGTTTTGAGACTTAATGCAGCATATTCACACATTTGAGAATGGAACATTTACAACCCCAGATTTTGACAAAATTAAGTAGCTAAAAAAAAAAAAAAAAAGAAAAAGAAAACTCCCCACAGCTTTGTAATGGGCCAGCTGGGTCAGCTTTGCCGCTTAACTCTTATTCTGTTAATACCTATGTTTGGAGGACTGTAAGCTAAACCATCATTCAGAAGACACAGAAGTATATTTAGTTCTGTTTATTGTTATTGTTGTTTTGTTTTTAGTTTTTTTTGAGATGGAGTCTCGCTCTGTCACCCAGGCTGGAGTGCAGTGGCACAGCCTCGGCTCACTGCAACCTCCGCCTCCTGGGTTCGAAAGCAATTCTCCTGCACACAGCCTCCCGAGGAGGAGCTGGGATTACAGGCACCCACCACCACACCTGGCTAATTTTTGGAATTTTAGTAGAGATGGGGTTTCACCATGTTAGCCAGGCTGGTCTTGAACTCCTGGCCTCTAGTAATCTGCCCACCTCGGCCTCCCAAAGTGCTGAGATTACAGGTATGAGCCACTGTGCCCGACCTAGTTCTTTTCTAAGTCTAATAATTCTTTAGAAGCCAGTGTTAGTAGTGCTACTCATCTCCTTGAATAATGCATTGCAACAAATTGGGGAACAAAGGGTAGGGAGAGAATATGAGTCATTTTTGCTCTGCGGTAATTACTATCTACAGAAGAGTGAATACCAATTAAGAAACTCAGGTGACTGAGAGAGGTCTCCTCTTTATGAGACATTTTAAAACACTAGTTCCATCATTCTTAGTGATCCAACAACAGAAGCAATTTGACCTCTTATTTCATCACACTCACAGGTAGTAGAGAGCCTCCACCAAGTCTCACTGTAAATCTTTGTTCTTGGCTGTGAGAAGAATCAGGGAGAAAGACCTTTCCACCGAGCCACCAAAGATACCATGGGGACCCTCTGCTCACTGTGATTGCATCTCCCCTTGTTGGCTTTCAGTCACAGCACCCTAGCAAAAGAAGGTGCCGTCCTAAATCTCCAACCAGTGGTAGCCTGTATCTGCTGGCATACAGGGAGGTACAAATTAAACGCCTCAATCTCTTCGGACCTTCCTGTTATGGAAGACACGCCCCACCTTCCCCCACAGGGAACATGCCTGATTAGTCATAACCCTTAAACTAATCACTCCCGCTGTGCCTCCCTCTAACATTCCCACCTTCTTTGTTCTTAAGGACATTTACTAAATAGGCAAGGGGGAAAGCAGAGCCAGGTTTCATTGGCGGGCAACTGCACTTGGTTGCTATGAGAGCTGTATACACACACAACACAGCTGTCATTGATATTATAGATCTAATGGGAGCCAAGGGTCTCAAATCTCTAAGGAGAAAAACATAATTCAGAGCTTTGGCAATGGTATCCATGTCTATAAATACATGTGAGAGCAGAGAAGTGAATTAGAGAATGTTAGAACACAATAGAGTTAGACCTGAGAATAAAATTGCATCACTCTGGGCCTGGACCTGATGTTTTTTATGCCAGCAAAACTCCCAGTTAAATATAATTTCAGGAGACCTTTACCTGAGATTGAGGTATAATGCCAGGACCTAAACACACACAGGACCTGACTCACAGAGCTTCCTTTATGATAAGGAAAGTTAAAGGTAGTCCATTTGCCTCTTATCATATTTTCTTTCCCTCTTTTTTATCTCCCTTGTTTGAAACAAAAAGGTGGAGAGGAAAAGGGAGGACATTAATGAGGGATGGACTCAGGACTAGAACTTGGGTTTTCCTGACTCCACTGCCAGAGTTCCTTCGGCAGCACCATGCTGCTTTCATAAATGGGTAAGCACCTCCTGACCACTCAAAAATATAAGGAATGGAAAGCAAGAAAAGCTGCTGGGCATGGTGGCTCGTGTCTGTAATCCCAACACTTCGGGAGGCCAAGGCAGGAGGGTTGCTTGAGGCTAGGAGTTTGAGACCAGCCTGGGCAACAAAGTGAGAGCGCTGTCGCTAGAAAAACATTAAAAAATTATCCAGGCATGGTGGCATGTGCCTATAGTCCCATCCACTCAGGAGGCTGAGGCTGGAGGATGACTTGAGCCGAGCCGAGCCAGGGATGTCAAAGCTGCAGTGAGCTATGATTGCACCACTGTACCCTGGGTGACAGAGCAAGACCCTGTCTCTATAATAAAAAAAAGAAAACTGAAAGTTTATGTATAGGAAGATTATGTATAATCAGGAAACACTCCCTGAACAGGAACAAGTCTAGTCTGGAAGTACTGGAAGTAGAATAGGATGATGCAACCACTGTATATAAGCAGGGACACCTGCAAACACACACACACACACACACACACACACACACACACACACAACCCACAAGGTGAGTCCCCACAGAATGCTAATTTTAGCTATGCAAGGAAGCTCATTATTTTAAGACCCCAATGTGTGTTATTTTCTAGACTCGCCCCTTCAAAATATGATTAGTCATGGAAATACTGGATAGAAGAGGGTGGTTTCCCCAGCAAAGGTACCACCCTCAAGCCTGAATACCTGCGGCCCTAAATAAGGACAGACATTCCTGTTTTTGCACCCAAAAGTTGCCTTCTGGCCCACAACGCCCCCTGTCCTGTACCCATATAAACCCCAAGCCCCAGGCTGGGAGAGAAGAGAAGGAACATCAGGAGAAGTTTGGCTGGGGATGGTCAGAGAATCAGCAGCTAGACAGCCAAACTCTAAGGAAAGATCATCTTTTCACTCCATCTCCTGTCCAGCTCCCCATCCATTCCACTGAGAGCCATCACCACCACTGAATAAAACCCCCACATTCAGCCTTCAAGTTAATGTCGGACCCAATTTTTTGGGATGGCTGGACAAGAGCTCAGGATACAGAAAGTTGTCATGCTGGCCCCCTGCCCTTGCAAAAAGGCAGAGGGCCCACTGACCTGGTTAACCCTTAAGCCATCCAGAAGGGCAAGACTAAAAGAGCACACTGTAACATGCACCCACCTGGGCTTTGGGAGTCGCAGACACCCACCCCTAGACACTGCCATGGGGCCAGAGCCCCAAAGCAGTCACTCTGGTTCCTGCACCTGCCATCTTCATGATCCTCCTCCCATAAAAGGGGTTTGAACTCACCAAACAGAGAGCCACACTCCTGTCGCATGTGTTGAGAAGGGGTGCAAGGGAAGTCTCCCATTTCAGTTATATCATACTTCCCAGCACTGGCTCACAGGCCAGTGCATAAGAAGGCCATCCCTTCTTATAGCCCTGCTATGGCACTGAGACTTGCTCGACAGGAAGTAAAGAGCGAGGATTCTTTTTCATATATTAAGAGGTGCTCAATGTCCAGAGGAACCTTCCAAGTAGAGAACTCCTAAAAACAATGGATAAAATATTAACACCTCCTTTAAGACAAAGAGCTAAGCTGGTAGGAATGTAAGATAAATTCTTGGACACCAGAAACAGTAAGAAACTACTAGTCTATTCAGAGGGGAACAGGACCACCAGAAATAGAGTTTGCCCTGGGTGCCTATGTTTATTTAGCTTTCATGATCTAGGGGTCTACAATTTTTTTCTGAAAAGATACAATTTTAAAGATAATATTTTGGGCTTTGTGGGCCACATATGATTTGTCACTTACTTCATTGTTGTTGTTTCTTAGCAACAGTTTAAAAATGTAAAAGCCATTCTTAGCTGAAAGGCCACACAAAAACAGGCCACAAGAAGGGCGTGTGCTGCTCCTACAGGAGGAGCTCAGAGACAAAGCTCAGGCTCAGAATCAGAGACTCCAGCACAAAGCCAGCACCCAAAAGAATTGACACCCTTCGTGGGTAAACTGGAAAAAAAAATATGCTTACCAGAAGGAATTGATATAAGTGTTTACCAGTGTTGGCCTTGGTTCTAGTTAAAAAGGGAAAAAGATAAAGTCTCCTCCAACACCCCAAGATACCTTAGCCATAGACAAGCCTTCTCATGGGCTATGTATCAGAATCCAAGTACTTATACGACCTAAAAACCCAAAGTACGAATTTAAACTTATTGCAAACTGATAGTCACATTCAATGTTTAGTAGAAATGAATGCATATATCCTCACTAGAGGAATACTGTTTAAACCAGGTCTCAAAGGAATTCTCACAAACCAAGTTTGAAGGAATATAAACTCACCACCAAAAGCTCAAAATACATAAGGAAACAAGTCACAGTGAGGAAGAGGGTTGCAGAAAGATTGATGATACGAGAAATAATTGGTTCAAGATATAGGGTAAGTGTTCTAGGGAACCCTACAGGTGATTCTAATGCACCTTGAAGGTGTTATTGTTTTTAGAGACAGGGTCTCACTCTTTCGCCCATGCTGGAGCACAGTGGCACGATTATAGATCGCTGCAGCCTCAAACTCCTGGGCTCAGGTGATCCTCCTGCCTTAGCCTCCCAAGTAGACCTGAGACTATAGACCCATGCCACCATGTCCAGCTAATTTTTAATGTAATTTTTTTTTTTTTTTTAAGAAACGGGGTCTCACTGTACAGGCTGGTCTCAAACTCCTGGCCTAAAGCAATCCTCCCACCTCAGCCACCCAAAGTGCTGGGTTTGTAGGCATGAGCCACCATGCCTGGCCTCATCCTAAAGTTTGAAAACTACCATTCCAGTCACTTCAGAGCTCAATAGCACAACTACCAAAATCAAAGTAGGAAAGCGGGACAAGTAAAATTGTTTATTTGGTTGGTCTACTTTGATCTTATGGTAATGAACTTGGAGGAGACTAAATTTCACCTATAAAATGATGGCTTGAGACTAAAGAAGAAATAATCAAGCCTGTCCTTATACTTTACCCACAGGGTCCCATAGGAACCAACCCTGACCTCTGTCTCCCACTCACCTCTATCTGGACACTCTCCACCTGACTCACAGGGCTGCAGCCACACTGTGTCTGCTGGTTTAACCATGTATCCTGGGGACCTAGAAGGAGCTCAGGGAACATCGTTAAACTAGTAACTGAATGAATGCTGGAGGCTCAGCTTTTTAGCCCAAAACACCAAGTCCAGGCTGGCATATTAATGGAAAGAACTGCCTGCTGAGGACTTGCTGCTACTGACTCTGAAGAATAACAGTGACACTAAAATAAATGCATAGTGCTTATCATCACTGCTGTCATCTTAACGTTAGTAATAATAGTGAACATTTGCATGGTTACTATGCACCAGGCACTAGTCAAGTGCTTTGCATGCATCATATCATTTCGCCCTTACCATAACCCTTTGAAGAAAGTACTATTAGTACCCCATTTTACAAATTCTGATCATGAAGCTTAGAAAGTAGCTTGCCCAAATCACACAGCCAGTAAGTGGCAAAACTGCTCATTAATCCGTTTTCTGGCTCCTAAAAGCTGCTCTTCACCACCATGATATATTATCCTCCCTCATCTGAAAAAAGAAGCTGACAGGTTTCTGTCTTTATCTCTGTAAAATAAGATGAAAGATATTTAAATTTAAATTTAAAAAAACAAGTCTGGTGTGGTGGCTCATGCCTGTAATACCTGCACTTTGGGAAGCCCAGAGAGGAGGATTGCTTGCAGCCAGGAGTTTGAGACCAGCCTAAGCAACATAGCGAGACCCTGTCTCTACAAAATAATAATAATAATAATAATAATAATAATAATAATAATAATAATAATAAAATAAATTAGCTGGTGTGGTGGCACGCACCTGCAGTCCCAGCTACTCAGGAGGATCGCTTTAGCCCAAGAGTTTGAGGATCCAGGGAGCCATGATCACACCACTGCACTCTAGGCTGAGTCCAGAGCAAGACTCCAAAAAACAACCACAACAACAACGACAAAGCACCTTTGCAGTAGAGAAATATAATAAACACTATCTCAGTCAGGTTGTCAAAATTAACATCAACAATGATGCATACATAAGTATGTAGCCTTGATATGATGTGATGAGAATGTTACTGGGGTTTTCCTCCCAAAAACCCATAACACAATCCTGGTAGAACCATGATAAAAACACCAGACAACTCCACACCGAGGAACATTCTACAAAATACATGACCAGTATTCCTCAAAAACTGCTAAGGTCATCAAAAACAAGGCAAGTCACAGAAACTGTCAGAGACCAGAGGATCCCAATGAGACAAGGTAATTAAATGTAATGTGATGTCCTCAATGAAATCCTGGAACAGAAAAAGGACATTAGGGGAAAAGTTACAATGATAGTGAAATCTGAGTAAACTCTGGAGTTTAGTTAATGGTAATGTACCAATGTTGATTCCTTAGTTATGACAAATGTACCATGGTAATGCCAGGTGTTAGCAACAGGAAAAACTGAGTGATGGAAATACAGGAACTCTCTGTACTGTCTTTGTAAGTTTTCTGTAAATTTAGAACCATTCTAACAGGAGTTTTTTTTTTAAGGAGATACTATTATCAAATATAACAACCTATTGAATTATTAGAAGCAAAGAATTCATCTCTGATGACACTGTGGAGTGTCCTCCGTTGGAAATTTTAGGAATAAAACAGAAAGCTCAGTACCCTGAAGAATTTAAATGTTAGTCTTCTTGAAACATAACACTGAACCAAATTATTTCTTGACATCAATTATATTTTAAGACTATACATTTGTGATTTTTATTAATTGTTACAATGACTCTTCAACACTGAGTAACTGGAAAATTTGCCAAATGAAAAGTTAATCTTTTGTAATTATATGTCAGAGTTATCACAAAAATAATGAGTAGGTGTCTCAGCTACGGCACAGTAATTACATTAAACATTGGCTGGGTAAAGAACCAAACGTTACAGAACGCTTGCTGTTTGTGTTGGTATTTATGTAGTTGAGCTGTTTCTCCCAGTAGGGGGCTCTGTTGACCATCAAATGGAAAAGATGCCCTGGCGTTAGGGAACAGAGTTTTTTGGATTCTACTTTGATTAGCGTTTGTAGGGGTAACTTTGAGGAAGAAAAACCTTTCACAAATCTTCTCCAGTTAGAAAGGAAGATTAGACAACACCAACTAATGTGGTTGGGGGTAGAGGATGTTTCAGAGAAGAAAGAAGGTATATTGGACCATACCAGAAAACAGAGACCTTCAGAATGCTCTTAGGCCTAGATATTGCTGAAACCATATATGCTCAAATGAAAAGCAGGTTTGAAGTGATAAAACTAGAAATGCCATATCCCACTTTCAGGATATGTGTTCCTGAAAGGTAATATTGGAGAAATGTCCTTCTTATACATTTTTTAATTGAGATAAGGTCTTGCTTTGTTGTTCAGGCTGGTCTTGAACTCCTGGCCTCAAGCAATCCTACCTTGGCCTGCCAAAGCACTGGGATTACAGGTGTGGTCCATCACACCTGGCCAAAGAAATATTCTTGAAGTATCACTTACATACTCATTGATTGACCACTAATGCCCTATTCCACATAGCATTTCACAAGATAGCTCATGCATTTAATTCTTTATCTAAATGCAGGAGCAAGAGCAGCCTCTACACACACACACACACACACACACACACACCCACACCCACACACACACATACACATTGACCCAATAAAAAATTTTAATGATCTCCCATTTCTATAAGCCCAAGTACAGAAGAGAATTCTTGATTGGTTTCTAAGTCCTGCTCTACCTAGCCTCTGACAACATCTCCAGAATTATCTTAAACCACTTTCCCACTCACTCTGTGTGTTCCAGCCCCACTGGCTTTAACATCTTCTATTTCTAACATGCAGAGCACCATCCACTACAGGGCCTTTGCACAGGTTTTCCACACAGCCTTATTGGTCTTATCCTATTCACCTCCTTCTATTTAATGCCAATTCATTCTTTGGATCTCAGCTCAAGAGCTTTACCTTGAAGAAAACTTCTCTCACCCCTGGATTAAATATCCCAGTTAAACGTTTACATAGCACCTTGTACTTGGCCATTATAGCTCTAATGACAGGTCTACTCCATGTATTAAACAATGTTTAGTATTGATAGTTTGCTTATGTGGTTGTCAGATTAATACCAATTCTCCAACCTAGATTGCAAATTACTTGAGATTAGGATCCATGTTTTTATTCTCCATGTATCCCAGTACCTAGCATAGGACCTGGCTTAGCACAGGTTTTCAACATATATTTGTTGAATAAATGATTGAAGGAATGACCATGCCACACACACATTCTCAGGAAAAACAACACTTGGATTTCAGAATGTACTACTTCCAATGGGGAAAAAAAATCCTGCTGACTTCAGAGGGAGTAAAGCCAGAAAGACAAGCAATAAAAGATGGTATCTTTGCCCAGAATGTGTAGGTTCTCTGACATTCACTGCCTTACCAAAGCCCATCCTGTTTTCTGAAATGCTGAGTCAGGTTATTTGGAGAAATTCTTTTGGCAAAAAAAACCTCTTTTTTGTTTGCTTGTTTCTATAAGCCAGGGAACACCAAATATTGCCAGTAAACCACCAGAAGCTAGGGAGAGGCACGGAACAAATTCTCCTTCAGGACCCTCAGAAGGAACCAACCTTGCTGACACCTTAATCTCCTCCAACTTCTAGCCTCCAGAACTATGAGACAACACATTTCTGTCATTTAAGCTAAAAAACAATTTAATGTGATAAAATATAAATATAGATAGAATATATACAATGTATCTTAAAAGAATCAAAGCAGTGACAAGATAGGAAGGAAATACCAGACCTACCATGAAGAGAAGTCAGCATCCCAGAAGCACAAATGAAGACAGAAGCTTCTTTTCCTCTGAGAGTAGTTATCCACCCTAAAAATACTGGATTTTCATTTTAGTGGCCTCCTGGCACTGGAAGAAAAAAATCAACTCCCAGAAACCACATAAAATCGAAAGCCTAATAAGAGATTCACCCCTTAAATAATCTGTAAAGACCCCCCCCCCCATAGACCAGTCCTAGCACAGAACCACAACCTCAGTTAAACTCTCCTGAGTATCCTGTATTTTCCAGGTAATTTCAAGGCTTAAATTTAGTTTAAAGTTGTCTTAAACTGGTAGTGCCTCTAGATACCTTGCAGAATCAAATACAAATACTTTCTGGGAAAAAAAAGCCAATTTCATATTAGGCATCAAAAAATTTGTCCAAAACTAAGCCAAAAATAGCCAGATACACAAAGAAAGTAGATGTCATAAGAAATATCTGGCAGAATACAGACCACAGAAACAGAACTACAAAGACTTCAAGTCTTAGAATTATATAAATTAACTGTATTAACTATATTTAAATTTTTTGTTTAAAAATTAATAACATCTGAAAGGAAGGAGAAACTATGAACTGACATATATTTTTACAATTTAAAGTATAAAACAGTTTTTGAAAAGGATCAAATGGAACTTTCAGAAAAAAAGTAATAAAATACCAAAATTTAAAACTCAGTAGATGAATTGGTTTATTAGCAGATTAGACACAGGTGAAGAAAAAAATTAATATACTGAAAAATAGTGGGGGGACAACTATTCACAATGAAGGACTGAGTGACAAAAAGATTGCTGATACAGAAAAAAAGGTAAGGGACATAAAGAATACCACAAGTGTTTAATGGGTATCTCTGAGGGTAAGAAGGAAAAGAATAAGGCAGGGACAGTATTTAAAGAGACAATGAAGATTTTCAGAACCAATGAAAAACACTATTCACAGAATCAAAAAGCCCAGTGAATTCAAAGCAACAGAAATTCATAGCACCACATACACATAATAGAAAAGAAAAAAACTTAAATCAATAATCTAAGCTTCCCCACAAAAATTAAAATTAAAAATAATCTAAGCTTCCACCTCAAAAACCTAGAAAAAGAAAAGCAAAATAAGTAGAAGGAAGAAAACTATGAAACTACAAAAAATTAGAAAATCAATGAAATTGTGAAGATGAAGAGCTTCTCAAAAAACATTTCAAGGTAAGAAATGAAATTGGAAACAGAAAAATGATTGAAAAAAAATCAATGAAACAAATAGCTGGTTCTTTGAGCTTAAGCCCAGGAGTTCAAGACCAGCCTGAGCGACATGGTGAAACCCCACCTCTTCAAAAAAAATACAAAACTCAGCCAGGTGTAGAGGTGCATGCCTATAGTCCCAGCTACTAAGAAGGCTTAGGTGGGAAGATTTTTTATCCAGGAGGTCAAGGCTGCAGTAAGCAGTAGCCCCACCACTGCACTCCAGCCTGGGTGACAGAGTGAAACTGTGTCTAAAAAAATAAATAAGTAAAGAAGAATCAACACCAATTCTACAAAATCTCTTCCAGAAAATAGAAGCAATCCAAGCAACTCTCAATTTATTTTCTGAAGCGAATATGACCCTGATATTAAAACCAGACAAAGACAGCACAAAAAAAAAACCTACTGGTGAATATTCCTCATGAATATAGAGGCAAAAGTCCTTAACAAAATATTAGCAAATAGAATCTAGTAAAATATAAAAAGAATTATACACTGTGATTGCTATGGTATGAATGTGTCCTTCCAAAATTTATAGTGAACCCTAATCCCTATTTTGGTGGTATTAAGAGGTGGGTCCTTTTGAGAGGTGATTAAGTCATGAAGGCAAAGCCCTCATGAATGGAATCAGTGCCCTTATAAAAGAGATTAATGGGAGTAGCTTTGCCCTTCTGTCATGTGAGGATGCAACAAGGCACCATCTATGGAAGCAGAGAGCAAGCCCTCACCAGACACCAAATCTGCTAGTGCCTTGATCTTGGATTTTCCAGCCCCTGGAACTATGAACAATACATTTCTACTAAATTACCTGATCTCAGGTATTGTATTATAGCAGTCTGAATAGACTAAGACAATGGCCAAGTAGAATTTATTCCAAAGATGCAAAGCTGGCATCATGTTTAAAAATTAACCAATGTCATCTACAATATTAACAAATTAAAGAAGAAAAATCTCATGATTGTATCAACAAATGCAGAAAAAGAATTTAGTAAAATGTAATACCCACTCACAAGTGAAAAAAAAACCTGAAAGAAAAATAGGAATAGAGGGGACTTTCTCAACCTGATAAAGAGCATCTATAGAGAACATACAGCTATCATTATACTTAATGGTGAAAGACAGAATGCTTTCCTCATAAGACTTAGAACATGACAAGGATGTCTGCTCCCATCCCTCTTACTCCACACAATGCTGGAAGTTCCAGCCAGTGCAATGAATCAGGAAAGGGAAATAAAAAGCATAGAGATCAGAAAGGAAGAAATAAACTGTCCCCATCTGCAGATAACATGATTACATAGAAAAGCCCATGGACTCTCCAAAAACAAACAAACAAAAACCTCTTAGAACTAATAAGTGAGTTTAGCAAGATCACAAGATATAAGATTAACATACAAAAACTCTATTGTATTTCTATATGCTACCAATGAGCCCATGAACATTGAAATTAAAATACAATGCCAGTGGCAATAACAAAAAAATAAATACTTAAGTGTAAATGTAACAAAGCATGTTCACCACTCACTTACATGCTACAAACTACAAAATGCTGGTGAAAGAAGCTGAAAAAGAACTAAATAAATAGAGATGCTTTCCATGTTCATGAACTGAAGAACTCAACAAGTGTCACTTCTCCACAGATTGATATACAGGTTTACCACAGTTTCTATCAAAATTCCAGCAAGAATTTTTGTAGATATATACAAGAATAATCTAAAATTTATATGATAATGAGGAGAAACTAGAATCTCTAAAACAATTTTGGAAATGAAAAATTAAGTCAGAGATATCAATTTACTCATTTCCAAGACTTATTATAGACTTATTAATACTGTGTGGCATGGGTCCAGGAGCAGTGGCTCACACCTATAATCCTAGCACTTTGGTAGGCTGAAGCAGGTGGATCACTTGAAGCCACGAGTTTGAGACTGCCTGGCCAACATGGTAAAACTCCGTCTCTACTAAAAATACAAAAATTAGCCAGGTGTGGTGGTGCATGCCTCTAATCCCAGCAACTTTGGAGGCTGAGGTCCTAGAATCACTTAAACCCAGGAGGCAGAGGTTGCAGTGAGCCAAGACCGCGCCACTGCACTCCAGCCTAGGCCACAACCTGGGCCAAAGAGCAAGACTTTGTCAAAAAAAAAAAAAAAAAAAAAGACTATGTGGCATGGGCAGAGGAATAGACACATCAATCAATGGAACAGAATAGTGAAAACAGAAATAGACCCGCACAAATATACCAAACCAGCATTTGACAAAGTGCAAAAACAATTTAATGGAAGAAAAACAGCCTTTTTAGCAAATGGTGCTAAAACAATTGGACAACCATAGAGAGAAAAAAATTGGCTTAAGTCTCACACCTTCTACAAAATTAACTGAAAATGGAAAATAGATTTAAATGTAAAACATTACGCTGTGACACTTTTAAGAGAAAATACGGGGCCTCTATTGCTAGACAAGGAGTTCTTAGACTTCATAGCAAAAGTATAATTTATAAAAGGATAAACTGATACATTTGCTATCACCAAAATTAAAAACTTTTGTTTTGTAAAAGACCCTATAAAACATTTTTTAAAAAGACAAGCTACAGAATGGGAGAAAATATTTACAAAACACTTATCCGTCAAAGGACTAGTATAGATAAAACTCTTAAAACTCAACAATAAAAAAAACAAACAATCCAATTAGAACATGGGGAAAAGACATGAAGAGATATTCTGCTTTTCAGATATACAGATGACAGATAAGCACATAAAAAGGTGTTCAACATTATTAATCATTAAGAAAATGCAAGTTAAAACCACCATGAGCTATCCCTACATATCCATTGGGATGTTTAAATTTTTTAAAAATAGGAACAACAACAAATGCTTTCAAGAATGGAGAGAAACTAGATCACTCATATGTTGTTGATAGAAATATAAAATGATACATTCACTCTGGAAAACAGTATGGCAGTTTCTTTAAAACTTAAAAATGTAACCACCATACATCCCAGCAATTGTCCCAGAGAAATGAAGACATTCCATACAAAAATATATGCACAAATGTCTGTAACTGTTTTATTCGTCATAGCTACAAACCAGAACCAATGTAGATGTCCTTTAATGGATGAATGGCTAAAGAAACCATGGTACATCCATACCATGGAACACTATTCAGCAATGAAAAGGAATGAATTATAGCTCCACACAACAGCTTGGATGAATCTCTAGAGAATTATTCTCAGTGACAAAAGCCAGTCCTAAAAGGTTACAAACTACCTGATTCCATTTTTACAACATTCCTGAAATGACAAAATTATGAATATGGGTAATAGGTTAGTGTGGTTTCCAGAGATTAATGAGGAGAATGAGGGCAGAAGATGAAGTGGGCATAGCTATAAAAGGGCAACAAGAGGGACCTTGGTAGTGATGGAAATTTTCTGTATCTTGATTATATCAATGCCAATTTCCTACTTGTAATATTATACTGTATTTATGCAAGATGTTGCCATTGTGGAAACTGAGTAAAGAATACACAAGATTTATCTGTATAATCATGTGAATCTACAGGTATCTCAAAATAAAAAATGCAATTAAATAGAAGAAATAAATTAGTAAAACTGTCTGAAAAAAAATCACCATTTTTGTAAGTTGTAAATAAAATCTGGAACTATAATCCCAAATGATATCAACAATAGAGTGGGAAGGGGTCCTGGTTATTTATTGTTGTAATAAACTTCCTTGGAATTCAATGGTTTTTTAAAATGATCATTTTATTTTACTCAGGATTTTGTGATGGGAATTCAGGAAGGGCTTAGCTGGCAGATCCATGTCACATCATCTGGAGTAGATAGGACTGGAACACCCACTTCCAGATGGCTCCCGCCCTCATTTCTTATTTTTTTATGCTCCTTGGCTTCTTGCTGCACATGATGTCTCATCCCCAGGGCCTCTCCACAGAGTTAAGACTTCTCACAGCATGGTAGACCTAAAGAAACTGCACTTCTTCCACAGTAGCTAGCTTCATGGAGGCAGGAAGCAGAAGCTGCCAGATAGTTAAGGGCTATACTTGGAACAGACATGTATGTCACTTCTGCCATAGTCTATTGGTCAACGTTATCATTGCCCCTTCCCAGATTCAAGATGGTGGGAAAATGGACTCCAACTTGATGCAACGGGAGATAACCCTGTAGCAATCTCCGGGAAATAACATCTACTCCAGGGAATCTAGGGGAAGTAGAACAGATGGAAGCAGCTTCATTTGAGAGGAGAGTTCTTGTTGTTTAACTAATTTTTTAGGAGAAAAGGTTGATTTATGTGTTGATAATTTAAGGATAACCCTTAAAATAAAAGAATGAAAACTGTATAACTTTCACACCAGTATAGGAGAAAAAAACTGAACAAAGAAAACTTGATCCAACAGAAGGCAGAAAACAGAATAATGAGAAATAAGGAGACTGCATGGTAAATAAGAGAAAAAATAAATCCACATTTATCAGTAATCACAATAAGTCAAATAAAAGTTGAAGAATCTCAAATCTAGAGTTACGCTATTTACAAGAGACCCACTAAAACAAATATAATTCAGAAAGGCTGACAATTAAAAGAAAGAAAAGTATGTAGGCAAATTTACCAAAAGAAAATAATATACTTACTAACATCACAGAAGACAGAGATTAATGTGAAGACTATTTCAAAAGGCAAAATAGAACATTTCATACTGAGAAAGAACAAACTGACAGAAGATATGATATGAACCTGTATACCCTCATTTTGATCAGGATAGTCTATGTTGAATGACAAAAAATCCTAAAATTTCAGTGGTGCAACATAACAAAGGTTTATTTTTCATTCACATTACAAGTGCAAATTTGAGTTTGTGAGGAGCCCTACTCCAAAATTCACCCAGAGACTCCTGCTGATGGAGGGTCCTGCAGCTCTGCTTTCTGGGCCATGAGGCATCCTCAGTCAAGAGAAGTTGTTAGGGAGGGATCACATTCTAAAATACTTTGTCCCAAAAGTGGCACACATCACTTGACTCAGTCCATTGGCCAGAATTTGTAAAATGAACTTTCTTAATTGCCAGGGGGCCAGGAAAGTATGGCTCCATGGATGTTCGGTTAGCTGTAAATGTTTATGCCACAACCTCTAATGACATAGCCTATGAAGAAAAAATTACAAAGAATAAAGAGAAAAAAAATGAAACTCTACTAACATAGTGGAAGATTTCAGCACATTTTCTCAGTGACCAAGCTAAAAATAATTTTGTCTGAAATTATTCTATTAGAGAATAACTTATTTGAGTCTTAAACCCTTTGATTTCTAGTAATTTCCTATTAAAATCCATTTGGTCACCCAGGGTGAACAAATGGAAAAGACAGATATTATCAGAACCCTTTCAATCTGAAAGCAAGTCCCAGTAGGAATAGTTCATAGAATGGGAGGTACAGGTGGCATATAGAGTACTGGTAGGGGCCTGGCGAGTACGAGACAGACAGGGACAGGGCATAGAAAGAGGGAGAAGCACACTTTATAACTTTTGCCAAGGCCACCCAGCAGGAGATGGATGGAATATGAAAAAACAAGAAGTGCATTGGAGCAGAAGCATTAAGTTACATAATTAATACATATAGCTTATGCATAACTTATATAAAAACATATATAAGCCGCCTATATAACTGCTATATGCAGTTGTAACCTCGGCAACCACAATCAGAAAGAATCATTACCTTAGTGTGTAGGTAAGTGGATTTGAAAGAGTGAATTGCCAAGAAAACAAAATTCTTATATGTTTACTTGTTGCTGGAATGGGAGCAAAAAGCTCACATAAAATTAAAACCACCAATATTTACTTAATTATAAAGAAAAACATACAACCATACCAAATACTATAGCAAATAAATATTAGAGTATTTCTGCTGGGTGCAGCGGCACATGCCTGTAATACCAGCACTTTGAGAAGCCAATGAGGAAGAATTACTTGGGGTCAGGAGTTTTAGACCAGCCTGAGCATCTGAGCAACATAGTGAGACCCCATCTCTACAAAAAAAAAAAAGTTAAAAATTAACATCACCCTGTCTCTAAAACAACAACCCCAGCAGTTCAAGAATAGAGTACCTCTCATGAGTACCTTGTCTCACAGCATACATAAAACTTATATTTTGTTCTATTTCATTTAATCCCCATAACAACCTATGAGGCAGGTCAGGGAGGCATGTTTATTGTTTAGTTTGTTTATTTATTTCTGTAGCCTGTGTTGTTCCAGAAAGGATTTAAGAGTACTTGAAGAGATTAATAAACTAGAGCAAGATATCAGAATATAAGTAGAGAGTATACAAACAACAAACTACCTGAAAAAAAAAATTAAGAAAACAATCTCAAGGCAGGAGCGGTGGCTCACGCCTGTAATCTCAGCATGGACCTCCTTGGGAGGCCAAGGAGGAAGGATTGTTTGAGCCCGGGAGTTCAAGACCAGCCTGGGCAACACAGCAGAGTTCCAGGCTGTAGTGAGCTGTGATTGTGCCACTGCCCTCCACCCTGGGTGACAGAGCAAGACCTTGTCTCAAAAACAAGCAAAGAAACAAACAAACGAAGAAAACAAACTCATTTACAATGGCATCAAAGAGAATAAAATATTTAGGAATAGATTTAACCAATGGGGTGAAAGATCTGAACACAGACAACTACAAAACATTGATGAATGAAACTGAAGAAGACATAAGTAAATGGAAAGATATCCCATGTTCATGGATTGGAAGAATCAATTGTGTTACTATTTATCATTGTGAAAACTAAAAACAATCTACAGTCCAACAATAGCAGCTTTGTTACTATTACACATGCTGGCTTGCTTTCTTCCTCTCTTGCTTTTTTTTCCCCCCTCTCATCTTTCCTACCTTCCATCTGCTCTTTTTTGTTTGTTTACTTTAAGTTCTGGGATACATGTGCAGAACATGCAGGTTTGTTACGTAGGTATACATGTGCCATGGTTGTTTGCTGCACCCATCAACCTGTCATCTAGGTTTTAAGCCTCCCACGCTTTAGGTATTTCCCTTTTTTTTTTTTTTTTTTTAAAGCGACAGGGGTCTCACTATATTGCCTCGGACTGGTCTTGAACTCCTGAGCTCAAGCAATCCACCTGCCTTGGCCTCCCAAAGTGCTGGGATTACAGGCATGGGCCATCACACCCAGCTGCTCTTTCTTTCTTTCTTTCAACTCTAAGTGTATGTGGTTATCTCCAGGAGAAGATAGTGTGTTAGAAATTTCTATATACATTATGAGTTGCTAATTTTTTTACAATGAATGGACAGATTTTTATAATCAGCAAATGTATCAAAAATACTTCCATTTATTTTATTTTAAAAAGAGCATTCCTTATTGATTTATTTATTAAACAAGTAGTCATTGACGCCATGCCTTCTGTCAGTCTCCTTCCTGGATAATGAAGGGCAAGAAGAATATATGCTCAGAATCCAGAAAAAAATAAACAATTGTAATGTTAAATAACCTGGCTCAATTTGCACACATGCTAATAAATGATGCTTTGTGAATGAAACGTAAAATGTAATCAAAACTCCATGGATTTCTGAGGCCCTTCACCAGCTCAGGTCTTTATGGACATAATCTTCTAACCTTGCATTGACTTGGGTAAATAAAGGATTAGGGGAGGAGCAAAGAGAAAAGAATGATTCAGATTATCCTTTCTGTTGTCCAAGGGCCTAGCACCCAAGTTTCTGGTCTTAGATCAAGACAAGTTCATTTTTAGAGGCTGTAACAGTTTCCCAGGCTGAGGTAGAGGTGCTTACAGGCATATGTGATTGCTTTTATTGAGTGGGAAGAAGTCTCTTCTTCCTAGAAGATTTATTATTTTCTGGGCACAGTTAAGCCTACCTCACAGGGAGTACAAACATGTCTTACAAGCTTTTCATTCCTTTCCATGAACTCCATGAACTGACACATGGATTTTCACATCAAAGCACAGAATCATAAACGACTTATTCTAAAAAGGAAACTGAAGTCTTCCAGAACTTGCTAGCAGGGAATCTTTATTATGATGGAACCAGACCAAGATTGGCCATCCTCCCAAGGCATCAGGAAATGCTGGCCACACTGAACGGTGACATGGGAAAAGTCAGCTGGGGAGAGGAGGGGCTGCTCCATGGCTCAGGCAGGCCTGGCTTAAGGATTTTGAAAGGCATAAGCTCTGGTTTTTAAATTCAGATGACCTCTCTAGGTCAACCTCTCATTCAAGGCACAGTAATGCCTTTTCAGCAATTTCCCCCAAATTTAGAAGGTGGTGCTACACACAGAGAGAGCTTTGTTTTGCCTCCTTGTTTTTGTGGCATCAGCAGGACCTGTTTTCTTCTAGATACTAAATTGTTGCCATGTTGCTAATTACTATAATTTCTTACCCCCAACCAGCTTGCAGAGTTCAGAAAAATGTGCTGCTTGTTGCAGATTCCTGGATATGGAGGCTTAACAGAGCGTCATCTCAGACAGGCCTTTCTTCCTTATGTAAATCCCGTCATGACTTATTTGAAGGTGGCCTCACTTTAAGTACTAGGGACTTGCTCAGATACTTATCAAAATGCTCTAGATTCCTGCTCAACCAGCCAGACGCTGAGGCATCCCTGTGCCAGGCCCCAGGACTGACGTGCAGAAGTCAGAGGATGACCAGAAACCATTAACAGGTTCAGTATTGACTGAAGCTATTCCATTAGTTCATTGATCCAACTCATATTTAGTTGATGTTCACCGTGCCCATCTTACTGAGCATACAGGGAAAAAAAAATCAACATCTCCTGGAATCTGAAACATATGAAAATTGATAAGACTGGTATGCAAATATTTCCAGAACAGTTCAAAAAAGAATGTAGTAAGCTCTATAATGAAGTTAATTTTAAAATGTGAAAAGCAAACTCCCAGGACCCCGACTGCTTCCCTGATTACTCATCTCTGTGAATTTTATGTGTTTATTGCTTGTTGATTTGTTTACATGTGCATCTTCCCCATCACACATTCATGAGACAACTGCTTTATTCACTAACATACATGACACACACATTTACTAATTGAAGGAAAAGAGGGAGGGAATAGGGATAAAATAAAGAGAACAGCAGAAAAGAAGGCAGCACACAGAGAAGTTAAAATCTTTGTCTCTACAGATTGCCAAAATAAATCCCAACTCTGAGACATACAGCTGTGTGACCTCAGGCAAATTACTTAGCCTCCCTGTGCCTTTGTTTCTGCAACTTAAAATTGGGAAAAATAATAGTATCTACTTCATCGAGTTGAACAAAAAGAACTAAGAAAGTATTTGTGGCCTTAGAATAGTACCTGCATAAAATAAACCCTCAAAAAGTATTCATTAAATTTTAAAAATCATAAAGGAAGGAAATACTAGTTGGGGAAAATAAGGAAATGATTATCAGTGTGCTATTATTTTAGATCTTACTTGAAAGATTCATTGGAATTAAATAAATAGTGATGGTTGAAAAGGCCACTTAGAGTCAGTCAATTATAGGACGTAATTGAAAAATAACAAGCAGACAGAATGTCTACGAGGGAGTAGGAGATAGGCTTAGAAAGTCAGTTGCCATCGGGGGCATGACAAGTGTCCTGATAAGAGGAGGCAGAGGGAGATTTTAAACACAGAGAGGGCCATGTGAAGACAGAGCAGAGATGTGAAGATGCTGGCCTTGCCCATTCGAGTGATATGGCCACAGCAGGAAATGCTGGGAGCCAATGGAAGTGGGAAGAGGCTCCCTTAGAGCCTCCAGACGGACTGTGGCCCTGAGGACTCCTTGATTTCAGCTTCGTGATACTGATATAGGTCTTCTGGCCTCCAGAATTGTGAGAGAATACATTTCTATTGTTATAAGCCACTACATGTGTGCTAATTTGTTGCAGCAGCCACAGGAAACATATAGAGATAAAGGGAAAAAATAATAAGATAAAGAAGATGCCTTAGACGAATCAATGAATACAGACGGCGATGAGCTGAAACATAAACATCATTAAATTCTGCCACCTACAATCCTAAAAGAACAACAAAACAAACAAAAAATCTGTAATACCCACATAAAATGCCATTGTCAACTATATACCAAAGTTATTTAGACATTCCTCTGAAGACATACTTGGGTAATTTCAAATGTTGCCTTTAACACTTACTAAGCATAGTTAACTGGAACAGCTACATACCTTCTAGATTCTCACTTAGAGAAAAGACATAAGCAGACATGTCCCAAAAGAGGAAGTGCCACAGATTAGCAAACATGGGAAAAGATTCAGCCTCCAGGAAATACTGTTTAAAACAATAATGAAATTTCATTTCTTTGCCAATCAAAATAACAGTTTTTTTACTCTTTTTAAGTTTTTAAATTTTTAATACTATTTTTCAGCTTGTTTTTTCCCCACCTGGTAATTATCTTCTGTGAGAAAATATTTTAAATGGTCCATTTTCAAGGCATGATAAATCTAAGTACTGGCAGCCAGACTGCGGTTGTGATATACCGCACGGCTCATGCACCTAGAAGGTCACAATAAGCAAACAGAATGTAGAGGAGGGGGTCAGCCCATAAAAGGGAAGAAAGTTTCGTTATTGGGAAATCGAAACTTAAGAGGGGAAGGGGACTATAACCTTATAAGGGGAATAATGAAATATAGGCGATATCTGGGAAGATTATAACCCCATAGTACTCCACCAATGAGGAACTTGGGGAGGGACTTGTGTGCTGGGAGATAAATTATCTGCTGTAACTGCCCCGGGTGTGCCTGCCTACCAGACACCCAATCTTGCAAGACCACCATTAAAAGTCTCGCTTCCACTGTTCTTCATGTCTCTGCGCCCATTCTTTGACTTTGGACACTCAAATGTGTGTTTCTCACATCTTCCTAAACATGACTTTGAATGAAATGAATAAAATAAATACTGAAGACAGGTTAGTGAAGTCAGTAGTAGCCTATATTGCTGGTTTAGCAGATGACAGTGGCTGTGTCCTTTGAGGAAGAATTTGGCAATGTGGGTAAAAAGCCTTTCAAAGACTTTGACCTTCAGCAAATTCACTTCAATTTTATGTCTACAAATGCTTTTTAAGGTCGTAATCCTAGATGAGGAAGCACAATGTTCATCAAAGAACTAAAATACAAAAAATTAAACACAATGTAATAACTTAGAATAGGAGTCAGCAAACTATAGCCAGTGGGTCAGACCTGGCCCATTGCTTGTTTTTGTAAATAAAGTTCTACTGGAAGACAGCCATGCTTATTTGTTTACATATTATCTATGGCTGCTTTTGTGGTACTATGGCAGGGCCGAGTACAGACAATCCCCAACACTTAAAGATGGTTTGTCTCACAATTTTTTAACTTTATGATGGATCAAAAGTGCTACACATTCAGTAGAAAGTGGTATGATACTCTTGTGATCCTAGTCGGCAACAGTGAGCCACAGCTCCCAGTAAGCCTCACGATCAGGAGGAAACAACCCATACTTTACTGTGCACTGTGTTGCCGAATGATTTTGCCCAACTGTAAGCTAATGTAAGTGTTCTGAGCGCGTTTAAAGTAGGGTACGCTAAGCCACGATTTTTAGTAGGTTAGACATATTAAATGCATTTTCAACTTATGATATTTTCAACTTACGATGGGTTTATCGGGACATAACCCCATCGTAAGTCAAGGAGGATTGGTAGTTGTGAAAGATATATGGCCCACAAAGTCTAGAATGTTTACTATTTGGCCCTTTACAGAAGTTGTTTCCTGACTCCTAGTTTAGAACATGGCTATTGTTCTAATAATAACAGTAAGCTGTGGCCCATGTTCTCCCTAGACTACTTTGCTGCCATTGAAAAAAGTTCTGGGGAGTTTGAAAAATTGGACAAATGTTTCATGCTATGGGAAAATAAGAGAATATTTCAGGATCTGAGAGAATTTGGGAAAAAAAGGAAACTAAGAGAATTGTAGAGACTAGATAGTTGCAATTCTGTGAAGAAAAACATTTAAAAGGGGACTGGAGGGAAGTATAACAAAACGTCGACATCCTTTATCTTCCAGTGATAAAGAATACATGTGACTTTCATTTTGTCTTCTTTCTACTTTTCTGCTTTTCTTCAATTTACATTAACAAACATATTTTACTTTAAACTGTAAAAAATAAATATCAATTTTCAAAATTGAAACAGAAAATTTTAAATGAGCTTCCAGTGCACCCAGGTTTCACACACGGTTGGATTGAGTGTTTGATTCTGTGTCATAATACAGTGTCTTCACCAAGCACTTCCAGCTACCTAAAGAGAGCTCCCACTGCTAGAGTTAGAGATTTTGTTTCCATTCAGGTTTATATGGTAGGAGGGATTTTTCTCCCATTTCACCTTCTTCTTGTGAAAGGACACACCTGCTTTATTTCCAGGTTCTGTCTTGTTCTTAAAAAAAAAAAAAAAAAGAAAAGAAAACATGAAAAGAATTCTTGATAAGGCAAAGAAAAGAAGAAACATCTAGAGTTGTGCTAAGGTGTGGTTAATCGTACCAATAGCAGATCTGGACCTCAAAGGTCCTTTTTGCTTCACTCCTTTTTTATCTAGATGTGAATTGAAGCCACTTTCAAGGGAATACCAGATGAGCTGAAATAAATGAATGACAAACTGGGTCAGCCAGGAAGAAGCAGAAGTCAGACCTTGAGGGTAGACAGGAGAGAAAATACGGGGAAACAGCCGTGGACAACTCCTTCCTTCCTTCTGAAGTGGACTCTGTGTGCACTAAAGCTGCCGGAGGAGAAAGGCAAAAGCCTGGTTTTCATCATCCTCTGGTGGTATGTGTCTGAACTTAGTTCAGTAACAAAAGTGGAACTTTTGTAATGGGCTCCCCATCCGCCAAAATGTTAAGGGCTTAGCTAAAGGATTATGTTTAATTCAAAACCGTCAAGCATTAAGAGTAAGACACAAGTCAGAACAAAGTCAAACCAAAAAGGTGAGGTCAGCCAGAGTAACTTCACTTCTCATAATCACTTCCTATTATTTTCAAGGCCTGGAAAACTTGCAGCATTAAACTTTCTGAACTGCTGCGGGAATGCAATTGTTGCTTCCCAGCATCTCCTCATTCTTTGGGGGATAAAGGGTAAGAGCTGCTGATTTTGCTCCAATTAGACACAATTCACTCCAAATCACCAGGCAACCCTCAGCTTCCATTACAATGCCTGTTCAACCTGCATGTGCAAAGACTCATTAAAACCGAGTGAAAACCAGACAGCTGTAGGATTGACTACATGGAAGAAAATCCATTCATCATTGACTAATTTGGCATCTATTAATCACATCTCATTTCTCAGCCCTATGAAGAAATTAAATCTAATTCCCTTTTTTGGAATCAACAGCCACAACTAAAAGCATGGCCAGTTTTCACTACATCTCTATTCCTTCCAGAAAAAATTCTCCCAACTACAAAGTAGGGTCTAAAAAGGAAGCCTGACCTGGAGGGACTCAATTCATTCATTCAACAAATACGTGTCGGACGCCTCCTATGTGCCAGGCACTATTCTAGATTTGGGGACAGAGTAGCAGAAGAAACACAGATGAAGATCCTCACTCTGGAGATTAGATCCAAGCAGAGGGGAGAACAGGATTGTGTAGTAAAAATAATGTTGGAAGGTAAAAAGTGATATGGGGCAGGGAGAAAGAATAGGAGAGGTTAAGGGGGATTGAGAGTGGGTGTATGAAAACTCTGCATTGTTAACTAGAATCGTTAAGATAGGCCCTATTGAATAGGTAAGCAAAGACTTGAAGAAGATGAGGGAGTTAGGAAAGTAGTAGCCCTCCAGCTAAGGGCTAATATCAGTTCAGATGTTTCCCCTAGGACCTCTATGACAAAGCAATGAGGGTGCAATAAAGTTTGGCTTCTTGTCCCAAAAACTAATTGGGAAACCGTTTCAAGCTCATAGGGAAAATAATTACTACAATGCAGGCTCCACAAAAGCAGGGGCTCCTCTTCTTCATCACTGTGTCCCTAGGGCCTGGTACATAGAAAGACCCCAATTAGTCTTTGTTGAATGACTAAGTGATCGTATGCTATACATGAATAAAGCACAATTCAAGATGGACAATGGCAGGAAAGACACTGGAGCAATACCCTACATAGGTTGTGTTGACTTCCTTGGCTGACCTCACCTTCCTGCTCTGTTCCATAGATCAGGATGCCCAGTGTAGAACTGCAAATTGCAGGAAAGCATTTGGGAAAACTTTTCCTGGTGGCACCTATTCTATCCACCTCAGGGGTGACAGGAGTTCTGATCTTTTTAAATCAATTTACTACCACCTCTGGAGCACCTGCTTTATGTCAGCCAGGACTAGGTACTACAGGGCATCAAAGTTAGCAACATGCGGTGGTAGGCAGCCTCTTACGATGGTCCTATGATCCCTGCTTCTTGTTATTCATGTCCTTATGCAAGCTGTTTTTCTCTTTGACTGTGGGCTGAATCTAGTGACTCCTCTCTAACAAATAGAATATCGCAAAAGTGATGAGATGCCACTTCTAAGATTAGATTACAAAAAGACTGTAATCTCAATCTCTCTCTCTCTCTCTCTCTCTCCCCACTCCCCGCGACCCAATTCTTGCTCTGGCATGTTGTGAGTGGCCCTATGAAGAGGTCCTCATGGCAAGGAACTTATGTCTCTGGCCGAGTGCCTTTGAGGGCCCATGGCTGCCAACAACTAGGTGAGTGCTTGGAAGCAGATCTTCCCTGATCCAAGTCTTGAGAGGATTGCAGCCTCTGGGAGCCCTGGGAGCCAAAGACCTGGCTGAGTTGTGCCTGAATTCTTCACCCCTCAAAAACTGACAGATTACATGTTTGTGGTTTTTTAAGCCACTAAGGTTTGGGATAATTTGTTATGCGCAATAAATAACATGTGCATAAATAATAATACGCATGATCTGCCTTCAAAACAAGGTATATAAAGAGTGCATATGAGCAATAAAAACAAAGTATTTGGGATGGAGAAGATTCACAGGATTAAGAAATAGGTGACTAGGAATTATAATGACTCAAACTTACAGAACTCTTTAAAATTTACTGAGTGCTTCTGACACAATTGTCTCATTTTATCTTAACAATCAACTTGTGTAAGGATGGTATTATTTTACTTACCCAACATTAAATATTAATTGATCTAATCATTCAATGAAAATTTTGTGTCAAATATGTGCCTGTGGTGGATACTAAGGAAACCTAAGTAAGTCATAGTAACTGCCCTCAGGAAACCCAAAATAATAGAGCATAGGTACATTAAATAAACAAGAAACAGGCCTTGCAGTACAGTGTATTACATGGCACAATAGAAGTATGCACAAGTGTGTGCTAACTCAAAGGTGGGGATGACGAACTCTTCCAAGAGTTACAAAAAATATCCCAAATGAGATTCTAGAAGAATGAATTTTTTCTACTCTTTCTCAACCTCCTTTCCTGATTTCTCTTCCTCCACCATGATAAAAGAAAAATCTTCAGCCAAATTAAATTTAAAGGAGTTTAATTGAGCAATGAATGATTTGTGAACCAGGCAGCCCCCAGAATCATAGCATATTCATAGAGACTCCAGCACAGCCACGTGGTGGAAGAAGACTTATAGACAAAATAAGGGAAATGACTAAAGAAATCAGAAGTGAGGTACAGAATGGCTGGATTGGTTACAGCTCGGTGTTTTCCTTATTTGAACACAGTTTGAACGCTCAGCAGTGTATGAGTGGTTGAAGTATGGCCACTGGGATTGGCCAAGACTCAGCTATTGTTACAGGCACATACTCCTAAGTTAGGTTTTCAATCTTGTCTACCTATTAAGCTAGGTTACAGTTCATCCACAATATTTCAAATATAGAAGTATGGAGTCCTTCTCAGGCCATATTTAGTCCACTTTAACAACCATAATGTGTGATGATTGTCAGGGCACTCCAGAGAAACAGAGCCAATAGCATATATATAGATCTATAAGAGGAGATTTATAATGAGAATTGGCTCTAAGGAGGATGAGAAGTCTTACAATACACCATTTGCATGCTAGAGACCCAGGGAAGCTGGTGGTGTTTATCAGTCCAAGTCCAAGGATTTGAGAACCAGTAGAGCTGATGGTGTAGGTCCCATTGGTCCCAAAGGGTCCAAAGGCCTGAGAACCAGGAACTTTGATGTCTGAGCACAGGAGGAGATGGATACCCAGACTTAAGAATAGAGAGGTTTTGCCCTGCCTCTACCTTTTTTGTTATATTCAGGCCTCAAAGGATTAGATGATGCCCACACAGGTGAGTTACAGCAACCTTCTTTATTCAGTCCACCGATTCAAATGACAATCTCCTCCAGAAACATCCTGATACACACACCTAGAAATGATGTTTACCAGCTATCTGGACATCCCTTAGCCCAGTCAAGTTGACACATAAAATTAACCATCACAATGATCGCCACAGATCTTTGGACACAAATCAGAAGCTAGAAAGAGGCTCCAGCCAAAGCTCAAGTAAGTTCAGATGTGAACTGATGGTCTGAAATGGGATAAAGAGGTGGTGGTGAGAGAGAGAGAGGTAGAAAGGGAAGGATGGAGAGGAAGATAAGCAGCTTGAGGGAAGGGCAGAATTAAAAGACAAAGTGTCTGCAGTGTGGGAGAGGTTAGAGAATGTTTGTCGGCAGATTGTAAGGAGCCAAATCAGGAGAGATTTGCATAGGATATATCATATGAAGAAAGAAGTAACCTAAAGGCCTTTCAAGGTTCTAAGAAAAGAAATCAATTCTTAATCTGTCATGAGATTCGAGAGAAAAAACAACAACAACAAAGAAATCGAGTCTTTAAAATGATGGACCAATGTATCCCCTGATATGATGTGATAAGAAGAGTAATTCATCTGTGTGGTAGTCTTCACCATAAGCCTATAACCCCACTCTAACCATTTGTTGGACAATTTGTCTAATGGACAAATTGGGGAACATTCTACAAAATACCTGACTAGCACTATTCAAAACTGTCAAGATCAGTCTTTGAGAAACTGTCACAGACCAGCGGAGACTAAGGAGATAGGATGACTAAATGCAATGTTATAATATCCTTAGTGGGATCCTATAACAGAAAAGGGGCATTCATGGGAAAAAAATGGTGAAATCTAAATAAAGTCTGCAGTTTAGTTAATAGTAACATATCAATGTATATATTTAGTTTTGATAAGTGCACGTCAGTAATACAAAATGAAAGCATTAGGGGAAACTGAATCTGGTAAGAGTCACATGTGAACTCTTTGTATTTTTGCAACTTTAATGTAAATCTAAAAATATTCCACAATTATAGGTTTATTTTCAAAAATGATAGGCCAGTAGTAAAATCTAAATTATGGCTTGTAGAAACCAATTTTTCCATTGGCTTCACCGTTTGTAAATCAGCTTCCACAATCCTGCCTCTTGGATGTATCCTTTAGGTAAAGGGACAGTTCTTTGAGGATTTTCCAAAAGATTCCTAACTTAAATGTTATATCAAAAACAGGTTTGGCATGGGAGAATATAAAGCACTTGTAAGAGCCTCATATAAATGGTCACTGAAAGAGAATACAGATGTATTGAGAGACTAAATGGAAAGTAATGTCACCAGGCAGGCTATAGACCAGAGAGGCAGAGCCTATATTTAATCATCCTTCCTGGTCCCTAGTCTGTTGCCTAAATAAAGACATTTTCCAGATAGATAGATAGATAGATAGATAGATAGATAGATAGATAGATAGATAGATAGATAGATAGACAGATACTAAGAAAGTTTACTACCAACAGACCCTCATTAAATTTACTTATAAAAAATAACAAAATTATGTAAATTGGGAGAGGAGCGGTCAATGTTAAAATATTCAGCAGCTGTTGATTTATTTCAGAGGGAGGTGAAGATATTGATTTACTTCAGATTCTGTTAAAGCAATTGTGTTCATTTAGTTAATCTTGCACAATAAAATTTCAAGGTAAACCTATGACATTCAAACTTAAGACTTCAAGGGGAATTGGACCAAAACATGGGCTCCTCCCTTTTCTCTGTTCCACTTTTCATTCTCTGCTTCTCCCTAGAACTAGAGAATTCTCAGGCCCATGACAGGTGTTTGTTGCATATGAGGATCAAAAACTATGTGAAACAAAGAAACAGGAAACTGTAGATAATAACCTAATGAACTGTAGATTCAAATCCAGTGGCAACAAGACTGGAGTCATCCTCTTAGGCCACTCCAAAGTCCTAGGGAGGGAGAAGTTTCTCAACACTCTCTATCCTCCAGCTGCACTGGACTACTAGCTATTTCTCAAACACATCATGCTTTTCCACAACTCCATGACTTCCTCCATGCTGTTCCTTCTATGGAATGCCCTTGCACTATCCTACTTCTTCCTCAAAGTCCAGTTTAAGCCTCACTCCTGAAAGGCTTTCCCAACCCCTAGGCAGAGTGAGTTTTTCCTTCTTTAATATTTCCCTAGTGCCCTATTTACATCTCCCTGTAACACCAACCCTATTGTAGAGGTCATTTTTTCAGCCTGTTTCCCAGAAACTGTGAGCTCCTGATGAACAAAGTGCCTGACACACAATAGGTGTAAAAAAAAAAATGTTAAGTAGGTTGATAGATGGATAAGTGGATGGATGGGTAGGTTGTGGCAGAAAATAGTCAGATGCCCAACAAATCCACTTTTCCTTTCTCTTGAGCATGCTTTTAGATTACATTTCCTAGCCTCTTCCATCTAGAAGAGGCCATGTGACAGAGTTCTGGCCCATAGAACATGTGCAGAAATCATGGGTGCCATTTTCAGGATAGTCCTCTAAAATCTCCACACCAACCCTCCACATCATCTCTCCCCGTGTGCCAGGCAGATGCAGATGACCCAGTAGAAGACGCCAAGGCCCATGGCAAAGAAGCCAAGTGGAAGAAGCCTGAGTCCCCAAACAACTGAATGGGGCAGAGACCCCTTGTCCTGAATTGGATGATGACATGAACAAAAAATACACCTTTATTGTGTGAATTCACTAAATTTGGGGATTGTAAGAACAGTTAGCCCAGCTTGACTATACATGAATGAATCTAAGAAACAACATAGTTGAGTGGGCTTCTGATTTTCCAAGGAACATCATTAGCTCCATAAAGTCCACTGGCTCATCCCTAGACCATAAAATTCTTGCTATTGGTGTTGTCTTGATTAAAAGAAACAAGCAAATAAATAAAACCCTTTATGATGAAGGTGACCTCTAGCTTTTGGGGAGTCAGGAAACATTCTCCTTTTTTGGCAGAGCTGCCCCTAGAACACTGAAAATCCCATAGGTTATATTGCTGATTGGACAGTGGCTTAAGGAGGAAGTTACTGGAGAAGAGGAGCTGACTCCACCCACTTATACTACAAAACAAACAAACAAACAAACAAACAAACAAAAAACACTTGTGGCTCCCCACCACTCCAGAAACCATCCACATGTCCACAGGGATGGGTCTAAGATATGCACACCTGACCAGCCAGAGACAGTCGGACTCGCAGGAGATTCTATGCTTTGAGGGTGGCTCACTTTTCTCTAGGATTGGGAACTACCCAGACCTTGTAACTCTGGAGTAGCAATCTTCCCACTTGTTATAAGCTGAATTGCCCCCCTGTCTGCCAAATTCATATGTTGGAGTCCTAACTCCCAGGACCTCAAAATATGATCTTATTTGGTGATGCAGTCTTTACAATTAAAAATAAGATCATTATAGTAGGTCCTAATCCAACATGACTGATGTCTCTATAAAAAGGGAAACTTTGGCACAGACAGACAGAGACAGAGGCATAGAGGGAAGATAATGTGAAGAGACACAGGGAGAAGGCAGCTGTCTAAAAGCCAAGGAGAGAGGCCTGGAAAAGACTCTGCCTCATAGCCGTAAGAAGGAACTAACCCTGTTTGTGTCTTGATCTTGGACCTCCAGCCTCCAGAACTGGGAGACAATAGATTTCTGTTGCCTAAACCACCAGCATATGGTACTTAGTTACAGCAGCCCTAGCAAACTAATACATTGTCCCTTAGAGAGGGCCTCTCTGAGAATGAAAACAACACAGAGGAAAACAGAGGTAAGAAGTGGAAAAAGACAGAGCCAGCATGTAGTCTACCCAAGACCTTTCATGAATCTGAACTAGTCAATGCCTTTGTTCCTGAAGATGTTTTGAGTTAATTTTCTTTCAATGAAAGATCCTTGACTAATAGAAGTGGAAATGCTCCAAACCCAAGGCTTGCCTAGGATAATAATATTCCATAATGCCACCCTCTTCTTTCTAAAAAGTGCTGCTCAGTATGTATTTTCTTTTTTATTTAAAAGAAAAAAAAGGCAATTAAGCTTGCCTTTGTTTTGAGAATATCATGATTTGGCTATAACCCGAAGTGCTACCAAGCCATGTTAGGAAACATCATTTTTAGTTGGACATTCTTCTTAGGGAAATCTAGGTATGTGAGAAAGGGAATATAGGAGAGCACATCAGTTAAAGAGGAGCTTTAAAATAGCTATAAGAAGATTATACCACAAAGAGATATCTTGATGCATTGGAAAGCAAATTAGTTCTAAAGTCAGAAGACCTCGGCTTCCTTGAGCAAATCACCTAAGTGTGATATGGTAGAAAGACCCTGAGATTTGGAGCCACAGGAGCCTGAGTTTATATCCAGCTCTGGAACTTTCTCTGTATCCTTGAGGAAAACATTTACCTAACTGAGCAATTTAGCATCAGATTCTTTGTCAATGAAATGAGATTAAGGTCTGATACCCAAATCAGTGATCATATGAATACAGCAGTGATGACCATGACTGGTACCTAGTAGGTGCTCAGTAAATGGTAACAAAAAGTAACATTTGTTCTTACTCCTTATTTCTTATCCCTAGGTTTCTCAGTTTCTCCATTTGTGGACTCTGGATAATAATCCTTCCTGACAACAAGATTCTTACAGAAATCATAATATTTAGCAACTTGAAAGTGCTTTGTAACACAGATATCAGATACAAATATAAAGGCATTCTTATCATAAGGGAAGTGATTAGAAAGTTCATTGTACCTCCATTTCCTACACCTACCTATGGCTCTCCAGAGCAGCAGCTTTGAGTGAAAGAACTAGCCACTCTTAAGCAAGTGGACACCAGCTCCAGTAGGACAAGTTCAGGTCCTATCCAAGTCACCCAAACTATGGGACAAACCCCTGCAAGATCCAGACCTCCAGCTCACTGTTAGGCATGCCCTGCACAAACTGGAAGCAAATTAGAGGAACCAAGACAACAATAGCCAGAAAAACAAAAGGTGCTCCACACAGTACACAAATGTGCATGTTTCATATATTGTCCGTGCTTGAATATGTTAGAAACTGAAATAGTGCGTTTGACACTGAAACCATGTATGCAGGAAGATTACACCTGTCATCACTTAGCTGTTGTCTAGAATTATTCTTGGTTACCACCTAACTGGTAGGAAATTCTCCTGCTCTGCACCGTGTCTTGCTGTTGGACCTAAAGAAGTTCTAATACATTGCCTGTGGTGCCAGCTACTCAGGAGGCTGAGGCAGGAGAATGGCATAAACCTGGGAGGCGGAGCTTGCAGTGAGCCGAGATCACGCCCCTGCACTCCAACCTGGGTGACAGAGTGAGACTCCGTCTCAAAAAAAAAAAAAAGCAGGTGGAGCCAAGATGGCCAAATAGGAACAGCTCCAGTCTACAGCTCCCAAAGTGAGCGACACAGAAGACAGGTGATTTCTGTATTTCCAACTGAGGTACTGGGTTCATCTCATTGGGGAGTGTCGGAGAGTGGGTGCAGGACTGTGGTTGCAGCACACCGAGTGTGAGCCGAAGCATGGCGAGGCATTGCCTCACCCGGGAAGCACAAGAGGTCAGGGAATTCCCTTTCCTAGTTAAAGAAAGGGGTGACAGACAGCACCTGGAAAATCGGGTCACTCCCACCCTAATACTGCGCTTTTCCAATGGTCTTAGCAAACGGCACACCAGGAGATTTTATCCCACGCCTGGCTCAGAGGGTCCTACGCCCACGGAGCCTTGCTCATTGCTAGCACAGCAGTCTGAGATCAAACTGCAAGGCGGCAGTGAGGCTGGGGGAGGGGCACCCGCAATTGCCTAGGCTTGAGTAGGTAAACAAAGCAGCCAGGAAGCTCGAACTGGGTGGAGCCCACCACAGCTCAAGGAGGCCTGCCTGCCTCTGTAGACTCCACCTCTCGGGGCAGGGCACAGCCAAACAAAAGGCAGCAGAAACCTCTGCAGACTTAAATGCCCCTGTCTGACAGTTTGGAAGACAGTAGTGGTTCTCCCAGCACACAGCTTGAGATCTGAGAACAGACAGACTGCCTCCTCAAGTGGGTCCCTGACGCCTGAGTAGCCTAACTGGGAGGCACCCCCAGTAGGGGCAGCCTGACCCCTCACACGGCTGGGTACTCCTCTGAGACAAAACTTCCAGAGGAACGATCAGGCAGCAACATTTGCTGTTCACCAATATTTGCTGTTCTGCAGCCCCCAATGTGGATACCCAGGCAAACAGGGTCTGGAGTGGACCGCCAGCAAACTCCAACACACCTGCAGCTGAGGTGCAGCTAACTGCAACACACCTGTTAGAAGGAAAACTAACAGACAGAAAGGACATCCACATCAAAACCCCATCTGTATGTCACCGTTATCAAGGACGAAAGGTAGATAAAACCACAAAGATGGGGAAAAAACAGAGCAGAAAAACCGGAAATTCTAAAAAATCAGAGCACCTCTCCTCCTCCAAAGGAATGCAGCTCCTCAACAGCAACAGAACAAAGCTGGACAGAGAATGACTTTGACAAGTTGAGAGAAGAAGGCTTCAGAAGATCAAACTTCTCCAAGCTAAAGGAGGAAGTTTGAACCCATGGCAAAGAAGTTGAAAACCTTGAAAAAAAATTAGACGAATGGATAACTAGAATAACCAATGCAGAGAAGTACTTAAAGGACCTGATAGAACTGAAAACCACGGCACGAGAACTACGTGACTAATGCACAAGCCTCAGTAGCCGATTCGATCAACTGGAAGAAAGGGTATCAGTGATGGAAGATCAAATGAATGAAATGAAGCAAGAAGAGAAGCTTAGAGAAAAAAGAATAAAAAGAAACGAACAAAGCCTCCAAGAAATATAAGACTATGTGAAAAGACCAAATCTACACCCGATTGCTGTACCTGAAAGTGACGGGAGAATGGAACCAAACTGGAAAACACTCTGCAGGATATTATCCAGGAGAACTTCCCCAATCTAGCAAGGCAGGCCAACATTCAAATTCAGGATATACAGAGAACACCACAAAGATATTCGTCAAGAAGAGCAACTCCAAGACACATAATTGTCAGATTCACCAAAGTTGAAATGAAGGAAAAAATACTAAGGGCAGCCAGAGAGAAAGGTCGGGTCCCATCAGACTAACAGCTGATCTCTTGGCAGAAACTCTACAAGCCAGAAGAGAGTGGGGGCCAATATTCAACATTCTTAAAGAAAAGAATTTTCAACCCAGAATTTCATATCCAGCCAAAATAAGCTTCATAAGTGAAGGAGAAATAAAATCCTTTACAGACAAGCAAATGCTGAGAGATTTTGTCACCACCAGGCTGGCCTTACATGGCTCCTGAAGGAAGCACTAAACATGGAAATGAACAACCGGTACCAGCCACTGCAAAAACATGCCAAATTGTAAAGACCATTAAGGCTAGGAAGAAACTGCATCAACTAATGAGCAAAATAACCAGCTAACATCATAATGACAGGATCAAATTCACATATAACAATATTAACCTTAAATGTAAATGGGCTAAATGCTCCAATTAAAAGAAACAGACTGGCAAATTGGATAAAGAGTCAAGACTGATCAGTGTGCTGTATTTGGGAGACCCATCTCACGTGCAGAGACACACATAGGCTCAAAATAAAGGGATGGAGGAAGATCTACCAAGCAAATGGAAACAAAAAAAGGCAGGGGTTGCAATCCTAGTCTCTGATAAAACAGACTTCAAACCAACAAAGATCAAAAGAGACAAAGAAGGCCATTATGTAATGGTAAAGGGATCAATGCAACAAGAAGAGCTAACTATCCTAAATATATATGCACCCAATACAAGAGCACTCAGATTCATAAAGCAAGAACTTAGAAACCTACAAAGAGACTTAGACTCCCACACAATCATAATGGGAGACTTTAACACCCCACTGTCAACATTAGACGGATCAAGGAGACAGAAAGTTAACAAGGATATCCAGGAATTGAACTCAGCTCTACACCAAGCAGACCTAATAGACATCTACAGAACTCTCCACCCCAAATCAAGAGAATATACATTCTTCTCAGCACCGCACCACACCTATTCCAAAATTGACCACATAGTTGGAAGCACTCCTCAGCAAATGTAAAAGAACAGAAATTATAACAAACTGTCTCTCAGACCACAGTGCAATCAAACTAGAACTCAGGATTAAAAAACTCACTCAAAACCACTCAACTACATGGAAACTGAACAACCTGCTCCTGAATGACTGCTGGATACATAACGAAATGAAGGCAGAAATAAAGATGTTCTTTGAAACCAATGACAACAAAGACACAACATACCAGAATCTCTGGGACACATTCAAAGCAGTGTGTAGAGGGAAATTTATAGCACTAAATGCCCACAAGAGAAAGCAGGAAAGATCTAAAATTGACACCCTAACATCACAATTAAAAGAACTAGAGAAGCAAGAGGAAACACATTCAAAAGCTAGCAGAAGGCAAGAAATAACTAAGATCAGAGCAGAACTGAAGGAGATAGAGACACAAAAAAAATCAATGAATCCAGGAGCTGGTTTTCTGAAAAGATCAACAAAATTGATAGACTGCTAGCAAGACTAATAAAGAAGAAAAGAGAGAAGAATCAAATAGACACAATAAAAAATGACAAAGGGGATATCGCCACCAATCCCACAGGAATACAAACTACCATCAGTGAATACTATAAACACCTCTATGCAAATAAACTAGAAAATCTAGAAGAAATGGGTAAATTCCTCGACACATACACCCTCCCAAGACTAAACCAGGAAGAAGTTGAATCTCTGAATAGACCAATAACAGGCTCTGAAATTCAGGCAATAATTAATAGCTTACCAACCAAAAAAAGTCCAGGACCAGACGGATTCACAGTCGAATTCTACCAGAGGTACAAGGAGGAGCTGGTACCATTCCTTCTGAAACTATTCCAATCAATAGAAAAAAGGGAATCGTCCCTAACTCATTTTATGAGGCCAGCATCATCCTGATACCAAAGACTGGCAGAGACACAACAAAAAAAGAGAATTTCAGACCAATATCCCTGATGAACATTGATGCAAAAATCCTCAATAAAATACGGGCAAACCAAATCCAGCAGCACATCAAAAAGCTTATCCACCATGATCAAGTGGGCTTTATCCCTGGGATGCAAGGCTGGTTCAACATACGCAAATCAATAAATGTAATCCAGCATATAAACAGAACCAAAGACAAAAACCACATGATTATCTCAATAGATGCAGAAAAGGCCTTTGATAAAATTCAACAGCCCTTCATGCTAAAAACTCTCAATAAATTAGGTATTGATGGGACATATCTCAAAATAATAAGAGCTATCTATGACAAACCCACAGCCAATATCATACTGAATGGGCAAAAACTGGAAGCATTCCCTTTGAAAACTGGCACAAGACAGGGATGCCCTCTCTCACCACTCGTATTCAACACAGTGTTGGAATTTCTGGCCAGGGCAATTAGGCAGGAGAAGGAAATAAAGGGTATTCAATTAGGAAAAAAGGAAGTCAAATTGTCCCTGTTTGCAGATGACATGGTTGTATATCTAGAAAACCCCATAGTCTCAGCCCAAAATCTCCTTAAGCTGACAGGCAACTTCAGCAAAGTCTCAGGATACAAAATCAATGTGCAAAAATCACAAGCATTCTTATACTCCAATAACAGACAAACAGCCAAATCATGAGTGAACTCCCATTCACAATTGTTTCAAAGAGAATAAAATACCTAGGAATCCAACTTACAAGGAATGCGAAGGATCTCTTCAAGGAAAACTACAAACCACTGCTCAATGAAATAAAAGAGGATACAAACAAATGGAAGAACATTCCATGCCCATGGGTAGGAAGAATCAATATCATGAAAATGGCCATACTGCCCAAGGTAATTTATAGATTCAATGCCATCCCCATCAAGTTACCAATGACTTTCTTCACAGAATTGGAAAAAACTACTTTAAAGTTCATATGGAACCAAAAAAGAGCCCACATTGCCAAGTTAATCCTAAGCCAAAAGAACAAAGCTGGAGACATCACGCTACCTGACTTCAAACTATACTACAAGGTTACAGTAACCAAAACAGCATGGTACTGGTACCAAAACAGAGATATAGATCAATGGAACAGAACAGAGCCCTCAGAAATAATGCCACATATCTACAACTCTCTGATCTTTGACAAACCTGACAAAAACAAGCAATGGGGAAAGGATTCCCTATTTAATATATGGTGCTGGGAAAACTGGCTAGCCATGTGTAGAAAGCTGAAACTGGATCCCTTCCTTACACCTTATACAAAAATTAATTCAAGATGGATTAAAGACTTAAATGTTAGACCTAAAACCATAAAAACCCTAGAAGAATACCTAGACAATACCATTCAGGACATAGGCATGGGCAAGGACTTCATGTCTAAAACACCAAAAGCAATGGCAACAAAAGCCAAAATTGACAAATGGGATCTAATTAAACTAAAGAGCTTCTGCACAGCAAAAGAAACTACCATCAGAGTGAACAGGCAACCTACAGAATGGGAGAAAATTTTTACAATCTACTCATCTGACAAAGGGCTAATATCCAGAATCCACAAAGAACTCAAACAAATTTACAAGAAAAAAACAAACAACCCCATCAACAAATGGGTGAAGGATATGAACAGACACTTCTCAAAAGAAGACATTTATGCAGCCAACAGACACATGAAAAAATGCTCATCATCACTGGCCATCAGAGAATGCAAATCAAAACCACAATGAGATACCATCTCACACCAGTTAGAATGGCGATCATTAAAAAGTCAGGAAACAACAGGTGCCGGAGAGGATGTGGAGAAATAGGAACACTTTTACACTGTTGGTGGGACTGCAAACTAGTTCAACCTTTGCAGAAGTCGGTGCGGTGATTCCTCAGGGATCTAGAACTACAATTACCATTTGACCCAGCCATCCCATTACTGGGTATATACCCAAAGGACAATAAATCATGCTGCTATAAAGACACATGTACATGTATGTTTATTGTGGCACTATTCACAATAGCAAAGACTTGGAACCAACCCAAATGTCCAACAATAACAGAATGGATTAAGAAAATGTGGCACATATACGCCATGGAATACTATGCAGCCATAAAAAAGGATGAGTTCATGTCCTTTGGAGGGACACGGATGAAGCTGGAAACCATCATTCTCAGCAAACTATGGCAAGGACAAAGAAACAAACACCACATGTTCTCACTCATAGGTGGGAACTGAACAATGAGAACACGTGGACACAGGAAGGGGAACATCACACACCAGGGCCTGTTGTGGGGTGGGGGGAGGGGGGTGAGATAGCATTAGGAGATATACCTAATGCTAAATGACGAGTTAATGGGTACAGCACACCAACATGGCACATGTATACACATGTAACAAACCTGCACGTTGTGCACATGGACCCTAAATCTTAAAGTATAATAAAAAAATAAAAAATATTTAAAAAAGGAGGAACTTTCTCACAGTAAAAAAAAAAAAAAAAAAAAAAAGTTCTAATACATTGCTGAACTGACAGTCATTCCTCCAGAAATAGCAAGTTAACTTGCTTTAGTGCTGAAGCCATCAGTGACCAGGTGCCATGGTTTCAAACACTTTACTCATATCAATCATGTGAGCTTTTTACCTCAGGACAAAATGGAACTCAAGTGGGTTTTTTAAGTAATATATTCTAGGAAGAACATGCAAAATCTGTCATTCAACAAGAGAAACAGTATTTGTTTTCTGCCTAAACAGGGCTAATGAAATCGTGGCAGCCCCTAATATATTCAAATGAGGGACATCAGATAAAATTGAACACTAAAGGGAAAATGAAATCAGAAAAGGTAGAGTTTTGAGGGATGACCAAGGGAGAAATGTGGGCCATGCCCACTTTGCCTTGTGGTGTTTTACAAGAGGATGGCTTGTAGTTTTAACAGCTTTAGGCATATTGTTGCATCAGCAAGGGGTGACTCTGTGGTCTCCTTGTGGGCTTTCCTGCGCCCTGCCCAGATTTTGAATGAGAAAGACAGGGACAAAAGAAGACAGCAGTTTATTGTAAAAGGGAGCAAGCCCTATGTTGTGTACTCTATATGAGAGATTAGTGCATCAAGAAAGAGCCACACTGCACATGCCCAACATTGTATTGGCAAACTTCTATCAGAGAAACATACACCAAAATTACAACTTGAGATTTCTGAAAAATTTTCTTCTTCCCATAGGCTGCATTTTGGTCAATTTTCTCAATTATGTCAAAGAGAGGGAAAACCTATCATTTTTTTCCGGCTCATCGATTTGGTTGACAAGGTCTGGATAGAATTACGTTTTAGAAATGACTTATAAATAACACTTACTGGTAGTACAGTATCCCTTTACATAGCAGACAGAATACAGCTTTAAAGCCAGGAGGCCCAGCTTTAGGCAGCATCTGTCCCATTAGCAGCTAGTCCTTGAAGACAATATTCGAGTTTTAGTTTTCTTATCTGTAAAATGTAGCCCATAGCTTGTGAGAAGAAAATATATTAAGGTGTTAGGTTATTGTGCTCTGTGAGCTTAACAGCATTACAAAAATGTACAATTATTAGTAATAGAAAAGGCGAATGCTTGGTAATTGCTGACAGTGACCCCTGAAGAAGTCTAGAAGATAGCAGATGCACACATAAAATAACTCTAGCTCATCTCTAGGTGTGAAAGTCTCCTTCTTAAGAAGCCAAAAAACAATAAAATAAAATAAAATAAAACGGTCATAAACCAAGAAAATATGAAGTTCATCTTTTAAGAGTTTTATCTTCATAAGAACACTTAGGTGAAAAATCAAGATGCATCTTTGTAGTCTTTTCTTAGAAAAGCAAATTTACAGCTGCATATAGAACCTTTGTAGATACCTAACAGGACTGTGTCAAATGAAATCCGCAAGCCTCTAAATTAAATTGGGAAAAGAACAGCAAGTAGCCTCTTAGCAATGTCATGACTTAGGATTTGGCGTAAGTTGAAAGGTGTTTGAGACACTTTATTTTGGTGATTTAATATAACACACTTATCTGGTTCATTTCCACCCACTTGGGTGAGGCCTCCTTCTCCCCTTTCTCCAACCTTCCTGGGGTAGTGGGAGAACCTCCCAAACAAACATGTACTGCCACGCCTGGGCACATGTTCTTTCCTTTTCTTCTGCTCTGGCTCTCTTTCCCAATTTTGCTGACAAAGTCAAATCAAGATGCTTCTTCTCTACCATGGGGGTTGGCCATCAAGGTCACTCTGAGTCAATACAGATCTGCCTTAAAACAGCCCTCCCATTATATTGAATATTGACCAAAAAAAAAAAAAAAAAAAAACATCCCAAAGTGGAGAGCATGCCTTCCCCTACCATTCTGTCACCATGATTCCAGGGGAGACTTGCCTCGGTTCCCAGTGCCCAACAGTGAGCCATGTGTGAGAACCACTCCTTGCTTTTCTGTTATTCATCCCTTCCACCCTAGACTAAGGCATAAGCCCAAGGAACTGGCAGAAAGAACAAACTCTCAGACAGATGCAATACTGTCATCAAAATTCTCATTTCCTTGCTTCTGTTTCAACTGTTTTCTCACATCTTCTGACTGGTGTATCAGGGCAACATTTCCACCATTTCTCCATAATCAATTCACTCTCATAAAGTTTTGTGCTTCAGCTGGGTTCAGTTGCTCATGCCTGTAATCCCAGCACTTTGGGAGGCTGAGGTGGGCAGGTCACTTGAGCCCCAGAGTTCAAGACTGGCCTGGCAACATGGCAAAATCCTGTCTCTACAGACGCACACACACACAAATACAAAAAATAGCTGGGCATGGGGGGGGCACACCAGTAGTCCCAGTTACTCAGGTGGCTGAGGTGGGAGGATTACCTGAGCCCAGGGATTGAGGCTGCAGTGAGCCGTGATCACACCACTACCCTCCATTCTGGGCAACAGAGTGAGACCCTGTCTCAAACAAACAAACAAAAAAGCCAAAAAAAAAAAAAGCTTTAAGTTTCACTACAGTGATAGTTGCTGAGTGTTTAGTCACTTATTCATCAGCTGGCATCCTACATGTGGTACATTGTCAGTAGCCTATGGCAGAGATAGTATCACCAGAGACAGTGGCCAGTTTCAGAAAGAGTGCTAGCCTGGGTGCTAGCCCTAGTCTACACTCTCTAGGAAAACTAAGACAATCCTGCCATATGTGTAAGATTTCCATCATTTATAGGATTTTCTTCCAAATATCCTTCTCCTGGTGCTAACGCCTAAACCATCCCCATAAGCATGATATTCTCATATTCTGAAAATGTTTCTCCAAACACACTTTGCCACAGCTGATTCCAATTCTGTCTCTCTCACTGTAATCAAAAGTATTTATGGAGTTCTGCAAGCCCAAGTGTCCAGGCTGATCAAATACCCCAGCATGAGAATAATGCTCTGAATGATGTGAGAAAGTTCTTTTTTGAAAACAATTTAGAACATATTGGAAGGCACACCAGTTGTGTTTTTAAGCCACACAATGATATTATCAAAGCTGCTGCGGCAGGCCACTAATTGCCCTCATCCACCACCCCAGATCCATTATCTCTTCATAGTCTTCATTATGACCAAAAGATGAAGAAGGGAGAAGTAAGTGCTAGGGTGAAGAGTGCATGTGGGGAAACATTTCACTGGCCCTATAGCCCATTCTGTAATCCAGAATGGATTCCACTTGTGTCTAAAGGAGGTGTGTTATCTGCCTTCAGTGTTCACTGGATATTTGCCACATGCTCCATCGTCACTTCCCCAGGCTGTTTATCACCAGCAGGGAAGCTCTGTGGGAGAGACATCTGCAGCCCAGGTAAATGCTGATTCTGCTGCCTTCCGGAAGAGCTAGTTACTGTCAGGAAGAAGGGGGGCATACCAAGTGGAAGAAGCAGGGTGAAGGATTCACTTGGTTCCCACTTTTTCATCTGAGACCTCGCTGCCTCTTGCAGCCATCAGAATGCTCACACCAGTCCAGCCTGCCTCAGACGCTGATTTTGGTAATTCTTAGAGGAAGCTCCTCAATGGTAGAGACTAGAGTTTAATTTGGTTTGCTTTTGTGCTGTTTTCCAATTAGCATCAACCTTCAGAGAGCCCAACACACTATCTCTTCTAAAGGTATGTTATTACTGTTAGCTGAAATGATGCTCTCCATACCCAGTTTTCAGTTGGTGAATCTGTGGTTCTACAAGATAAAAGAGTTTGCCAAAAATTATTGTTTTTAATTTTTTTTTTTTGCGAAAAGGTCTCACTCTGGAGTGCAGTTTTGCAATTTTGGTTCACGTCAACATCTGCCTCCCGGGCTCAAGGGATCCTCCCACCTCACCCTCTTGAGTAGCTGGGATTAGAGGTGTGAGCTACCATACTTGGTTAATTTTTGTACCTTTGGCAGAGAGACAGGGTTTTGACTTGTTACCCAGGCTGGTCTCAAACTGCTGGGCTCAAGCAATCTGCCTTCTCAGCCTCCCAAAGTGCTGGAATTACAGGTGTGAGCGACCACAACTGGCCTGCCCAAAATTAAATGGTCTGAAATGCTGTTTGGACTCGCAAACTTCTTCTGATTTTCAGTGTCATTTATATCTTTCACCACCATGAAGACACATTGTGTGCCACATTATTCCCCATTGCAGGTCCATCTCTCCAAAAGAAATGTCCTGCCAATGATGCCAGAGAATGGCAATCACTCCTGTTTTCTTACCCCTTACTGTACTTATGGGTTTTCTTACATATTTCAGGTAGAGGGACTAGCATGAAAAAGGATACAGGGGTAGGACTTTATAAGGCATTTTGGGGAAATGCCAAATAGTCAAAGCATTAGACTATGAGTTACATAATTGCTGATAGTGGGAGAAGATTGCAAAGAATAAACCAGAGTGTGATGATTATTGATTATTCTTGCCAAAGAATTTACAGTCTCCTAATGGCCATGGAAAGCCATTATATATATATAAATATTTTTTTAAAGGAAGTAACAAGCTCAGATGTGTATTTTAGAAAGCTGCTGGCTGAAGACTAGAACCAATAACACGATACTGCCAGAGATGATTTTTTTTAAGTCTGTGGCAGTGATAGAAGAAATAGAGAAGAGGGAATGGATCCCAAAGGCATTGCAAAGTTAGAAATCACAGGCATTGGGCCAGGTGCGGTGGGTCATGCTTATAATCCCAGCACTTTGGGAGGCCAAGGCAGGCGGATCATGAGGTCAGGAGATTGAGACCATCCTGGCCAACATGGTGAAACCCTGTCTCTACTAAAAATACAAAATTTAGCTGGGTGTGGTGGTGTGTGCCTGTAGTCCCAGCTACTCGGGAGGCTGAGGCAGGAGAATTACTTGAACCCGGGAGGCAGAGGTTGCAGTGAGCCGAGATTGCACCACTGCACTCCAGCCTGACGATGGAGCGAGACTCCATCTCAAAAAAAAAAAAAAAAAAAAGAAGTGATAGGCATTGATTGTTGAACATTTAGATTGTGCAGAGGAGGGCGAAAAGGAGGAGAAACAGCAGAGTGCAAACTTTCTAGCTTATAGTATAGATGACAATATTCTTCACTGAGAGAATACAGAAGAAGGAACCAATTGGCAGGTCAGATGACAACCTCAGTTTTAAGCACATTGCATTGGAGCTAGCTGTAGGACATTCTGGTGGAGATGTCTGATGGGTACCTGGAAATTTTTGGCTGGAATTCAATGCAAAATATGAATCTGGGTAGAGAAAATGTGTGTGAAAATGAATGAGCTCACCTGGAAAAAGTGGAATAAGAAAAGAGGATGAGCAGTAAAATCTTGCAGTTACTGAAAAATTTTGGTGGGAAGATGTACAGAAAAACAATAGTTAAAGAAATTGAAAGGCCCAGCGCAGTGGCTCACACCTGTAATCCCAACACTTTGGGAGGCCAAGGCAGGTGGGTCACCTGAGCTTGGGAGTTTGAGACTAGCCTGACCAACATGGAGAAACCCCATCTCTACTAAAAATACAAATTAGTTGGGCATGGTGGTGCATGCCTGTAGTCCCAGCTACTCGGGAGGCTGAGGCAGGAGAATTGCTTGAACCCGGGAGGTGGAGGTTGCGGTGGGCCGAGATCGTGCCATTGTACTCCAGCCTGGGCAACAAGAGTGAAACTCTGTCTCAAAAAAAAAAAAAAAAAAAAAAAAAAGAAAAAACAAAAGAAAAAGAAAAAGAAATTGAAAAAGGATGGCTGGAGACAGATGAAAACAAAAACCCAAGCCTGGTGTGAGGAGCACCAGCAACTGTGTTAGGGACAGGGTGGGAAACTTACAAAACTGTATTGCTAAACCATTTAAAAAATAATGTTATATAAAATACCAGTTCTAATGCTTGCTTATTCTCAACCAAAGAATTTATAGTTTTCACAGCACACGTTTTCCAAAGTGTTTCTCAGGCCTTAATTTTTCTCTACTAATCAGATTGATATTTTTTTTAGGAATGTTTCTAAGAGTGTGTAATGGGAGTAAACTAGAAAAATGTTATTTACTGTATAGGCAACAGAGCTGGAAGATATATTTTTTAAAAATTAAAGGAGACCTGGTTTTAAAGTATAACCATATTAATGCTATGTTGCTTGATACATACAACTAAGTTCAAGTATTTATTAAAGCAACTGGCAAAAATGCATTTATGGCTTAGCTCTTTGGATGTAAAGATGGACTGAAGTGATAGGAGACACCTCTCCCTTCAAGAGCTATACAGTATAATCACAGTGGTAAGATGTTGGAAGGCACACCAGCTGTATTTTTAAGCCACACGATGATATTATCAAAGCTGCTGTGGCAGGCTACTAATTGCCCTCACCCACAACCCCAGATCCATTCTCTCTTCATAGTCACGGTGTAATTCTGGCCCTGCACAGGCTGTCAAGCTAGAGGCTATCTCCCAGCTTTTCTGGAGTTAAATATGGCCATGTGGTTAAGTTCTTACTAAAGATGAAATCTTCTCTGTCACTTACTTAAAGTCACTTAATCCTAGATTTCCTCTTTCCCCTTCCCACTGGCTGGAACATAGACCCCACAACAATCCCCCTTCAACTTCATGGATGGGGACAACACCCTAGGATGGCAGAGCAACAGGGGGAAGGGACTTGGGATGCAACTTATCTGGTAATGCAGAGCTGCCTTCTCAGCCCGGATCACTCACCATGGACTATTACATGAGGGAAAAATAAACCTCTCTCTTCTTTAAGCACAGTACTGTGGACATACATATTGGCCTTAAATCTAACTGGTAGAGCTACTATTTATTGAATGATTAACATGTTTTCTATACATTAGCTCAACAGATCTATACACAATTCTGTGGGGCAGTTATTTCATATTCCCATTTACAGATCAAAAAACTGAGATACAGACAAACAGATTAAGTAATTTGCCTTGACCAAAAACTAGCAGGTGCTGGAGCCTGGAGTTCATGTCTGCATGACTCCAAAGCCCACAGTTTTAACTCACTGCTCTTATTATTAATTATTCTTATTTTAGTAAGAACAATTTTATGTTAAATCCTTTTTTTAATTTTTAACTGACAAATAAAATGGTATATATTTATTGTGTACAACATGATGTTCTGAAATATGTATACACTGTGAATGGCTAAGTTGAGCTAATTAATGTGCATTACCTCACATATTTATTTTTTGTGGTGAAAGCACTTAAAAATCGATTCTCTAGGCCAGGCATGGTGGCTTATGCCTATAATCCCAGCACTTTGGGAGGCCAAGGGGGTAGGTCACTTGAGCTCAGGAGTTTGAGACTAGCCTGGGCAACATGGTGACACACCTTCTATATATTTTTTTTAAAAAATCTATTCTCTTAGTGATTTTCAAAATAGATTACTAACTATAGTCACCATGTTGTACAATAGATCTCTGGGACTTATCCCTCTTATCTAAACTTTTTTTTATCATTTAACCAACATCCCCCGACTCGCCACCCCCCATAGAGTGCTCTACTTCTATGAATTCAGCTTTTGTAAATTCCATGTATGCATGAGATCATGCGGCATTTGTCTTTCTGTGCCTGGTTTATTTTGCTGGACATAATGTCCTCCAGGTTCATCCATGCTGTCACAGATGACAGGATTTCCTTCTTTGTTAAGGCCCAATACACTGCATTCTTTTAAAATATTTCAAAATAACTAATAACTTTTATTTAATAAGTAATCATTTTAAGTATTACTAAAGTAACTTCTGTTTATTGGATGACTGATATCAGACTCTATACTAATTGTTTTACGTACACTAACTGATTTCATCTTTATAAAAATACTATGGGATAGTCATTATTTGTATCCCCCTTTTGCAGGTCAGGAAACTGAGTGGTGAAGCAAGTCACCCAAGGTCACTGTTAAGGGCAGAGTTATGCCCACCCACCTGCCAAAAATTTCCGAGTTCTGTCCCCCTCTCAGTACCTCAGAAGGTGACCTTATTTGGGAGATAGGTGACTCGGGAGATAAGGGATTATGGGTAAATAAGTTAAGACAAGGTCATTAGGTTGGCCTAAATTCAATATGACTGGTGTCCTTATAAAGAGGGGAAATTTGGACACCAAATTTGCATGTGCAGAGGAAAGACCATGTGAAGACACAGGGAGAAGACATCTACACGTCAAAGAAAGAGGTTTCGGAAAAAACCAGCTCTGCTCACACCTTGATCTTGGCCTTCCAGCCTCCAGAACTGTGAGGAAATCAATGTTTGTGGTTGAAGCCACCCAGTCTGTAGGACTTTGGTATGGCAGCCCAAGTTGACTAAGACAGTCACGCAGATAGGTAGATGACATCTGTTGAAGAAGGTGTAAGTTCAGAGCTCAGAGTAATTGCTGCGACAATGTCATGGAGGAGAAATAAATGTCAGCTAGAGGATTCAGCACCAACCTCGCTGTGGAGATGGCAGTTGAACAGGGCCTTGAAGAACTATAGAGGTATCCTCCAGGATGAGAAAAATAACAAGTGCATCTGCAGGGAGTGGAGGAGGACAGCCCAGGATGCACGGTCTCTGCAAAGTGAAGTGGGGCATTGCTGGGGCTCCAGGGGGTGTGAGCCCACTGTCAGCCCCAAGCCTGCTTCTCTAGTTGAATGCCCTGGGGAGGGGGCATAGGAACCTGCTGGCTGTGGCAGCCAGTGCAAAGAGGAGCCCACCAGCTGGGTGTGGGAGCTGGAAACTGTCCCATGCAGGGAGGCTTTTAATCTCCCTCAGCAGCTTCGGGAGCCTTGGCCTCCAGGGAGAGGTGCCTTCTGCTCTCACTGGGAGGCTCCCATCTGCTCACCACCCTGTGAAAATCCACAGCCAGGACCTGGGTGACGCCTCTGCTTTTTGACCTTTCCCATGTAGAGAGCTTAGTTTATTTGTTTTCTACTCTAATTATAAGATATTTCTAAACGGCTCATCCACTAAAACCTCTGTTTGTTAGTCTAGCAGGTAGCGAAGCTCCCCTGTTTAAAATAAAATATACTTCTCTTGCCTTTCCCACACTGTGAGGGTTAATTCTATGTGTCAGCTTCACTGGGACACAGTGCCCAGATATTTGCTCATTTTTCTAGATGTTTCTATGAAAGTATGCTTTTTGGGATGAGATTAAGATTTAAGTCTGTGGACTTTGAATAAAGCAGGTTACCCTTCACGATGTGAGTGTGCCTCATCCACATTCTATTGAATGGGAGGGAAGGAGGGAAGGAGAGAGGGAGAGAGAGGGAGAGAGAGAGGGAGAGAGAGGGAGAGAGAGGGGGAGAGTGAGGGAGAGAGAGGGAGAGAGAGAGAGAGAGAGGGAGAGGGAGAGAGAGGGGGAGAGTGAGGGAGAGAGAGGGAGAGAGAGGGAGAGAGAGGGAGAGAGAGAGAGAGAGAGAGGGAGAGAGAAGGAGAGAGAGGGAGAGTGAGGGAGAGAGAGGGAGAGAGAGAGGGAGAGGGAGAGAGAGAGAGGGAGAGGGAGAGAGAGAGAGGGAGAGGGAGAGAGAGAGAGGGAGAGAGAGGGAGAGTGAGGGAGAGAGAGGGAGAGAGAGACAGAGGGAGAGGGAGAGAGAGAGAGAGGGAGAGAGGGAAAGGTGGGGAGAGGGAGAGAGGGAAAGGTGGGGAGAGGGAGAGAGGGAAAGGCGGGGAGAGAGAGAGATTGATTGAGAGAACTGACAAGGGCTGTGAAAGATGTTTAGCATGAAAAATTACTAAAAAAAAAAAAAAAATCAGAAGGGAGAGTTTTGTTTTTACATTTTCCTAATTAATTACCAAGACATAAACCACACCTGATCCATCAAATAGAAAATGACTAAAGAGGATGAAATGTGCCTTTCAAGTGATACAAATCTATGCATAGTCAGTATGAACAATAGCTAATACAGATGGGCAGGGAGACCAGGTAGGTACGATGGTGTAGTTGAAGTGGCATTGTCAGCCAGGTGCAGTGGCTCATGCCTGCAATCCCAGCACTTTGGGAGGCTGAGGCAGGTGGATTGCTGTTCCAGATGAGGCTAGGCAACATAGCCAAACCCTGTCTCTACAAAAAGTACAAAAATTAGCCAGGTGTATTGGTACATGCCTGTAGTCCCAGCTACTTGAGAGGCTGAGGTGGGATGACTATTTGAGCCCAGGAGGCAGAGAATACAGTGAGTCGAAATCGCACCACTGCACTCCAGCCTGGGCAACAGAGCGAGGCCCTGTCTGAGAGAGAAAGAGAGAGAAGAGAGAGAGAGAAAAGAAAGAAGAGAGAGAGAGTTGTCATGTTATATCGCAGAGCATTTTTTAAAAATAGGTATTTTCTATACTGTTGCAAAATGTGTATTTTTTTTTTAACTCTGAAAGAGAAGAAATAGAGCTGTGGCTTATGTTTCAGGATTTCTGCAACTGATTCCAAGTACAATCAGGTCGACAATAGTAGAATCTGTTTTTCAACTAGGAAGTTGTGGGGAGGAAGACGAAGTTCCTGTATTCCTTTCTTTCCTCTCCCGTGAGGCTATGTTCGTACTGGATTACATAAAGGAAGCTGCAGGCTGGTCAGCCTCCATCTCAGAGCTGTGACCTTGCTGGATCTTGCTGCTTTGTGGAGCAGTGCTTAATATTTAGGGCCTTAAATTGAAATCAGGCACCCGAACAGATATTTGTACACCCTTTTTTTTTTTTTGAGAAGGAGTCTTTCCCTGTCGACCAGGCTCCAGTGCAGTGGTACAGACTTGGCTCACTGCAACCTCCACCTCCTGGGCTTAAGCAATTCTCCTGCCTCAGCCTCCCAGGCAGCTGGGATTACAGGCATGTACCACCATGCCCAGCTAAGTTTTGTATTTTTAGTAGACAGAGGGTTTTTGTCATTTTGGCCAGGCTGGTTTCAAACTCCTGACTTCAAGTGATCCGCCCTCCTCGGCCTCCCATAGTGCTGGGATTGCAGGCATGAGCCACCGTGCCCGCACCCGGCCTGTACACCCATCTTCATAGCAGCATTATTCACAATAGCCGAACAGTGTAAACAACCCAATCCGCAGATGAATGGCAAAACAAAATATGATGTAGAATAGACATACAATGGAATAGTATTCAACCTTAAAAAGGAAGGAAATCCTTATAAGTGCTAAAACTAAGTGAACCTAAGTGAAATAAACCAGACACCAAAGGACAACTATTGTATGATTGTACTTATATGAGGCACCTAGAATAGTCAAGTTTATGGAGACAGAAAGTAGAAAGGTAGTTACCAGGGACTGGAAGAGGCGGGAATTTAGAGTTGTTTAATGAGTACAGAGTTTTAGTCTGGGATGATTAAAAACTTCTGCAGATGAATGGTTGTGATATTTGCAAAACAATGTGAAGGTATGTAATGCCACTGACCTGTACGCTTAAAAAAGGTTAAGATGGGGCCGGGCATGGTGGCTCACGCCTGTAATCCCAGCACTTTGGGAGGCTGAGGCAGGCGGATCACAAGGTCAGGAGATAGAGACCATCCTGGCCAACATGGTGAAATGCAGTCTCTACTTAAAAAAATACAAAAAAAATTAGCCGGACGTGGCGGCGGGCACCTGCAGTTCCAACTACTCGGGAGGCTGAGGCAGGAGAATGGCATGAACCCGGGGGGACGGAGCTTGCAGTGAGCCGAGATCATGCCACTGCACTCCAGCATGGGCGACAGAGCAAGATTCTGTCTCAAAAAAAAAAAAAAAAAAAAAAAAAGGTTAAGATGGTAAATCTATGTGATAAGACAAAAACTTCAGCTGAATTAAATTTAAAGAAGTTTAATTGAGCAATGAACTATTCACAAATCAGGCAGCCACGTGGTGGAAGATTCATGGACAGAATAAGGAAAGGGAGGTTCGGAAACAGCTGGATTGGTTACAGGTCTGCATTTGCCTTATTCGAACACCGTTCGAACGGTTGGCTACATTTCATTGGCCAAAACTTGGTGATTGGCACAACTGTAGGCTATGGTCTGTTTACACCTCCACTTGTTATAGTTTACAATGTACAGCAAAACCTTTAGGCTGAACTTAAAATACGTAAGGAGGCAGCTTTAGGCTAAACTTGATTTAACATATGTGTCTTTTACCATAATTCTAAAAGAGAAGATTTAGGGCTTCAGGGTTAGCCCAATCTGCGTTCAAATTTATGTCTACCACTGACTAATGATACTGCTTTGACCTTGACCAAATTTGTTAGGCTAAGAGCCAACTTCCCCATCTCTGAAATGGAGATGATAGTATCACCTGCTTTACAATGTTATTGTAAGGGTAAATAGCACAACATATGTAAAACTCTGAGCCCAACACTCAGCAGATGGAAATGTTGAAAGAATGTTGTTTATATTATTAGCTGTTATCTTCTGGGAGAAGAGAACTGAAACCTCTAAGAGGAACTAACAGTTTGCAATGCTCTGCTTTCTTTGGCTGAAGTTTTCATGACCCTCTGCATAAATAAACGAGTTTAAAAAAAAAAATCTTCTCAGTTGTGCAGATGTTCCTTTCCAAATATCCAAGTTACTCCAGGAAGCAGGAGAAAACAACTCCAAATCAGAGAAGACTGGACACATGAGTAGAACAGGAATAAAGTAAACATATCTTAAAATGCAAATAAACATTATCTGCAATAATGCAAAATGAACTTGCAACCATCTCGATTAAATGGGGGAAGAAATCCTGTAGAGTCTAACAACCAGGAGGTGGTACACGGCGATTAGCTGTCCAGCACCCTTTAACTTAGGCTGGGTTTAATGCTACTAACAGTCTATTTAGTTAGTATGCCCTCCACTGTTTGAGTTTAGAAAATGTGACAATATTCATAAGTTCCGCCAAGGTTGGTTCTTCTGTCCTACTTTTCCCATAAAACCTGTTACCCCACCATGGAATTTCCTACTACTTTTTAGGCTAAAGTTTCCGGAAAATAACATTTAAGTTTTATGGAGGGAATTTTGTTGTATCATTGGTTACTTTCTAAGTGATTGTTTCTTCCCAGTACATTTAATTTAACTGTCACCAGTTACACTCGAGTAACAGAGAACTCTGTTTTCTATCTGCAGTCTTCCCTTTGACTGTATCAAACAATGCAGATCTTCAGCTCTGCCACTACGCCAATATCTCCCAGCTCAATCCTTGGTCTTCAACAAACAGGATTTCCACTTACCTGCTCTAACACCTGAGGATAGATGAATATTTTCCTGCTTACCCAACACACTTTGACCCAAACTTAATCTACCAGTGTCTTTGCTAACCAGCTCACCTATGCTGCCTGGACCTCCTGTTTCCAGGTGGGAAACCAGGACTGCCATATAGAACCCATGGCCTGATGGCAGCACCTGGCTCAGCTTGCCAAGCTCTATGCTTAGGGAGGTGACTTTATCCAGTTTTCACAAAAGTTCTGCCCAGGTTGTAAATGGTCTAGTGGACGATCACAGATACCGCTATCTGTAGAACCTCTCTTTGCCATCTGGGTCACATCCAGTCGGTTGCCAAGTCCTGAAAATTATACCTCCTTATTAATTCCCACATTTGTATTCTCTGAAAAGCCCTGCTCAAGCCCTCAGTATTTCATGCCCTACACACAAAGTTCTAAATCATAGAGTATCAAAATATTCTATGGAGCTTTATAAAGTGCACACTCCCCAGCCCCATTTCTGGAGACTGTAAATCCACAGATCTGGGATGGGGACCGGGCATAGTTATTTTTAAAAAGCTCTACAGACAATTTTGATGTATGACTCTCTCTGGTTGAAACTACAATATTCAGCCTCTGGTCCCTCAACCCCCTCCCTCCCAACCATAGTTGACCATTTAAACACTGCTGTCCAGTGCATCTTCACTGTGAAGATGGTACTGCACTCTTGATCTTTGGGACAAAATTTAGAATCAGAACAATAACCAGAGCATATACTCTTTCCTCTTAAAGATCGCAAGTGATGAGGTTAATGACGCAGTTGGAGAAAATTCTGGTCTGACTAACACTTTCATTAGAAACTTGGTTGCTCTGCTTGGCTGGCTAGGTGTTTGTTTCTCAAGTTTCTCTCCATCCTGGCCATTGCTATCCTCTATCACTAAGACCATTGCAATAACCTTCTAACCGGTTTCCCAACCTTCTGTTTTACTTCCTACTCTGCACTGTCACAAGTGAATCCATTCTCTGCACTGCCCACAAGTGAAATCATTCTGGACGTAAATTTTAGCAAAACATTAATTATGTTTAAAATTCTACAGCGATTTCCCAGTACCTTGTGAGAAATTCCATACTCCTACCAAGGCCTTCCCAGAGCTGGCCCATGACTAATTCTCTTGCCTTATGGCTGGCCTTTATCCCTTATGTCCACTAGGCTCAAGGACCCAATAAAGTTCTTGTAGGTCCACAAATGCTTTGTGCTTCTCATCCCTGCACCTTTCTTAATTTTTTTTTAAAATAGGGATGGGATCTCACCATGTTGACCAGGCTGGGCTTGAACTCCCGGACTCAAACGATCCCACCTTGGCCTCCCAGACTGCTAGGATTACAGGTGTGAGGCCATCACACCTGGCCATCCCTGACCTTTCAACGCACTGTTCCTCTATCTAAGATATTCTCTCCAACATATCCCCTTTCCCTTTCATCTGACCTATTTACCACTCATCTTCCAGCTTTCAACCTTCAACACTTCCTCACAAGTCCTTCCCTGGCCTTTTTTTAGGATCAGCCCCTTTACAGTGTGCTGGGATGGCATCCATAGTTCTCTTATCATCTCATCATCTTAATGGCTCCTTTAGTGTCTGTTTCCCCCATTAGACTGCAAACTCCCTGAGGGTAGGACCATGTGTAAGTTTATCACTGCTGTATCCCCATGTCTGAAGTGGGCACATGGCTTGTGCTAGATACATGTTTACTGGAATAATAAATGTTGAGATCAGCAGAAAAATAAAATATGTTGGTAAGCATTTTTATGTGAAACAATTAAATAAAGTATATATACATCTATTGATCCAATACTCTGTGCTAGACATTTTTCTAGGGCCTTGGAAAACAAAAGAACAAGATGGGTTCTCTGACCTCCTGGAGCTGACAATTTAATGCAGGAAATCAATGACTATAATCCAAGTCCACCGTAGCTTCAGTAAAGGTTATAAAAAGTGCCTAGAGTTTTATATATCAACTCTGGAAAAAAGCAGTGCTATAAATATCTAAAACAATGATTCTTGAAGGTGGGCTCAAACTATCCCATAGCCTTCCATATGTATTCTTTAGGGGCTGCCTGGGTTCCTCTCCCAGCTCCACTATTTTTTATCTGTGCAACTTGGAGCAAGTTACTTAACTTCTCTGTACTTCAGATTCATAATTTCTATTAGTACAAGGATTAAGAAATTAATGTATTAAAGTGTTTAGCACAGTGCTTGTCACATACTAAGGGCTCAAAATGTGAGTTTTCATCATTATTATCAAGACTTAATACAGGTGGGTGCCAGTGGTTCACGCCTGTAATCCCAGCACTTTGGGAGGCCAAGGCAGGCGGATCACTTGAGGTCAGGAGTTCAAGACCAGCCTGGCCAACATGGTGAAACCCCGTCTCTACTAAAAATACAAAAATTAGCCAAGCATGGTGGCATGCACCTGTAATCCCAGCTACTAGGGAGGCTGAAACAGGAGAATCACTTGAACCCAGGAGGCAGAGGCTGCAGTGAGAGAGATCACACCACTACACTCCAGCCTGGGCAACAGAGCATGACTTCGTCTCCAAAAAAAAAAAAAAGACTTCATAGTTACAGGAAGTTTCTAAGAATAAAATTTGATGTTTGTTGGTCAGGCACAGTGGCTCATGCCTATAATCCTAGCACTTTGGGAGGCAGAGGGGGGCGGATCACGAGGTCAGGAATTTGAGACCAGCCTGGCCAACATGGTGAAACCCCGTCTCTACTAAAAAATAAAAAAAATAGCTGGGTGTGGTAGCGGGTGCCTGTAATCCCAGCTACTTGGGAGGCTGAGGCAGGAGAATTACTTGAATCCAGGAGATGGAGGTTGCAGTGAGCCAAGATCATGCCACTTCGCTCTAGCCTGGGTGACAGAGCAAGAATCCGTCTCTAAAAACAACAACAAAAAAATTGATGTTGTACTGAAAAATTAGCATATTCTAGAGTTTATTAAGGACTGTAATTCAATATTCTACTCAGATGACTGTGCTAGGCAATGCTTGCTAATGTATCAAAGTTCCTATTGCCCATGCACCTGCTCACATGTGGGTTGGAATTCCTGAAGTTTTCATGAAGCACTTCTTGTCATTAATGTTGCCCTGAGATAGTTATATTTTTTATTGTGGCTCTCTTTGTTCTTTTAGCTATCAATTCCCATTAGTTTAGCTTCATTGTTACCTATTTAGTTTATTATTGGTGATCTGGCTGACTCAGAAATTATTAAATAGATGCATCAACAATATTTTCTCGGATTATAATTTTTCAATAATTATACTTTTAAAAAAGTATACCTTGCAGTTCATACTTAAGTGACTGCATTCCTATTGGACACACAAATGGAAACCCTTCCTTTTTCCCTCTCAATTGCTTTTATAATAACTCTTCATTGCTATTACTAAAATAACTAAATTATTTTACAAATAGAAAATTGAAGTAGGTGTTCTAGATGGGCGAAGGAGTCTCTTGCACATTCTAAGTAGACCTAAGTCAAAAAGCCTTGGACTGGCCAGGCACAGTAGTTTATGCCTGTAATCCCAGCACTTTGGAAGGCTGAGGCAGAAGGATCCCTTGAGCTCAGGAGTTTGAGACCAGCTTGGGCAATATAGCAAGACCCCATCTCTTAAAAAAAAAAAAAAAAACTAGCTGGGCATGGTGCACACACCTGTAGTCTCCGCTATTTGGAGGTGCTGAGGTGGGAGGATCACTTGAGTCCAGGAAGTTGAGGCTGCAGTGAGCCAAGATCATGCCACTGCACTCCAGCCTAGACAACACAGCAAGACTCTGTCTCAGAAAACAAATCCTGGCTGGGCACTGTGGCACACGCCTGTAATCCCAGCACTTTGGGAGGCCAAGGAAGGCAGATCCCCTGAGGTCAGGAGTTTGAGATCAGCCTGGCCAACATAGTGAAACCCCATCTCTACTAAAAATACAAAAATTAGCCAGGTGTGGTGGTGCATGCCTGTAGTCCTAGTTACTAGGGAGGCTAAGACACGAGAATCGCTTGAACCTGGGAGGGGGAAGTTGCAGTGAGTCAAGGTCACGCCACTGCACTCCAGCCTTGGTGACAGAGCAAGACCCTGTCTCAAAAAAAAAAAGAAAAAGAAAAAAAGAAAAAGAAAAACACAAATCCTTAAAATAAGAAACAAATGATTCACACGAGCACACACACACACAAATACACTTAAAACAATGTCTGGCATATAGAATGTACTATGTAAGTGTTTCTGTTATTATTTAGCACAATAGCTTTTGACCTTTTTTTAAAAAAAAAGATGGAACTCCCTTCTGTGGTAGGCTGAATAATGACCCTCAAAGAGATCTACACCCTAATCCCTGCAGCCTGTGCATATTACCTTATACGGAAAAGGGGTCTTTCGAGATGCGATTAAATTATAGCGCTTGTGACAAGGAGATCATCCTGGATTATCCAGATGGGCCCAAAATGCAATCAAAGGTTTCCTTCTAAGAGGGAGGCAAAAGGAGATTTGACATAGAAGAGAAAGAGAGAGATGTGATAATAATAGAAACAGAGAGGGGTTTGATGATGCTATACTGCTGGCTTTGAATAGGGAGGAGCTGGATGTGGTGGCACGCACTTGTAGTCCCAGCTCCAGCTACTAGAGAGGCTGAGGCAGGAGGATCCCTTGAGCCCAAAAACTCAAGGCTGCAGAGAGCTATGATCCCACCACTGCACTCCAGCCTGGGCAACAGAGCAAGATCCCATCTCAAAAAATCAAACAAAAAATAAAAGAGGAAGGAAGGGACCATGGGACCATGAGCCAAGAAATGCCACCGGAACTGGAACCACATAGAATTTCCAGAGGGACACAGACCTGTGACCCTTTAACTTTATGTAGCCTAAATGGATTTTGGTCTTAGGGCTTCTAGAACTGTAAGAGAATAAATGAGTGATGTTTCAGAGTAACAAATTTTACAGCAGCCACAGGAAACTAATATAGGTCCTTTATTTCTTTAAATCTTATCTGAAAGGTTATTTTATATTATTACATTTTATTACATCTCAGTAACAATCAAAACTTTAAAAAATTAGTGGAAGAAAGATTAAGCTGTGGAAAGAAAGGTCAGAACAGGTCTCAATTGAAAAAACTGCTACTACTTTCTCTTTGATAAGGGTCCTAGGAATCTCTTGGGGGAAAGCTTCAAACTGTAGTAAATGCAGTTTGGAGGAGTTGTGGTGTAATAAAGTAATGCAGCTTCTTACTCCAAAAGCAGACGCTTCAAACCTGCAGTTATAAAATGAGTAAGCTGGAGACCTAATGTGCTGCGTAGTGACTATAATTAATAATGTATCATATACTTGAAATTTGCTAAAACAGTTGACCTTAAGTATTCTCACCACACAAACACACACACAAAGGTAAGTAGGTGAGGTGATGAATATGTTGATTAGCTTGATTATGATGATCATTTCACAATGTGTATGCATATTAAAATGTCATGTTGTATCATAGTTTGCCAAGAGTAAAAGCAAAAAAAAAATCACTTTGCATACCTTGAATAGGTACAATTTTTGTCAATTATACTTCAATAAAGCTGAAAAGGCCAGATGCCATGACTCACGCCTGTAGTCCCAGCATTTTGGGAGGTGAGGCAGGAAGATCACCTGATGCCAGGAGTTTGAGACCAGCCCGAGCAACACAGCGAGACCTCATCTCTACCAAAAAATACAAAAATTAGCCAGGTGTGGTGGCACGTGTCTATAGTCCCAGCTACTCAGGAGGCTGAGGTGGGAGGATCCTTTGAACCCAGGAGATCAAGAGTGCAGTGAGCCACTGCACTCCAGCCTGGGTGACAGAGCAACGCCCTGTCTCAAAAAAAAAAAAAAAAAAAAAAAAAAAAGCTGAGAAAATAAAAACAAGCCAAAAGGTATGTCTTTGTGTGCTTCAGGATTAAATTTTGAGATAAGACTAGCTTACACACTGCAGGAGGACTAAACAGATTGTACTTCCCTTATATAATACTTTTATTATAATGTAAATGATGATGGTATACATCTAATGTCTGAAAGTACTATTGCCTTACAATACTAAACAGAGTAAATAATGTACCCATTCTACACATGAGGAATCCATTTTTCCCAAAATGAAGAAAGTGATGTGACTTGCCCAACATCACAGATCTACCAAGGGATGTGGCTGGAAATCTCCTTCTGCTAAAATGCTCAAGAAGGACATGACCCAAAATGCATTCGTGGCTCCCTTAGACAAAAATCCTTTCCAGAGGGGAAGAGCACCTGTTTTTACAGTGAAGGGGAAGGATGTAGATGTGTCTGGGCGGGGAGCGGGCACAGGAGATGTTTTTCACTTCCCCATTCCAATGTGAATGAGGGGGCAGCCCACACAGCAGACACTGTGGGAAATGTTCAGCTGCCCAAAGAGCTGTCCCCCTCTCCTGCGTTCCTGTCTCCCCCATTTGCAGTCCCAACTTAAAGTTGAACCAACTTGTGTGTTTTCTTTGTCCTGACAAAAGGAAAGGGAACTAATCCTCATTGGCGTCATCCTCTGTGCTAGCATTTGGCATGAGTTTTCTTACTGGTTCTGGAAAGCCAGGCCGCATCACAGCAGCTATTTAAAAATCCAGGTCTGGAACTTGAAATAATGAATTTGGTAACCATTAGCATGGAAGAAAAACATAAAGCCAAGAAACCTCCTTTAAGAGAGAAAACTAGGCAGATTGCTAGTGTCAAATTGCTACAGAGAAGTAAAAAAAAAAAAAAAAAAAAAAAATATATATATATGATTGGGAAAGGTCAGAAGATTTGGAGTGCATAATAAAATTGGAATGACCTAAAGCCCATCTGTTTTGTGGTGTGGTGTATAGTGGATTAAGCTCATGGGCTTTGAAATCAGATGGTCTGGGTTTACCTGTGTATTCATTCATTGTGTAAATATTGATTTGGTATTACTATTTGCTATTCTCTGTACTCATGGTGTTTATATTCTAGAAGAGATAGATAACAATCATGTAAACAAGTAGATATATAATAAATACTATTGATTAATTCATTCTCCCAATACATACTACAGTTATCTAGGAGATAGGGTCAGAAAGGCAACTAAAGCCAGAGAGTTTAGGATCTGGTAGTCCATTGTGAGGGCTGTGGCTCTTACTCTAAATGAGACAGGAACCTATTGGTGGGTGTTGAGCAGAAAAGTGACATGATCTGACTCATATTTCTAAAAGATCACTTTGGCTGCTATGCAGAGAATAAGCTGAAGAAACCTAGAGCAGAAGCAGGGAGATCAGTGAGGAGATTATCACAATAATCTCGGCGAGAAGCAGTGATGGTGATGAGGCCGGGGGAACCCCATGGAGGCAGTGTGAAGTGTTTGCAGCCGGGATCTAAGTTGAGGGTAGAGAACAGGATTTCCTGACAGATTGGGCAGGAGGAATGAGAAAAGGAGAGAAGTGAAAGGTGACCCTAAACTTTCGCTCTGAGGGATTGGAAGACTAGAGGTGCCATTCATTGAAATAAAGAAGACTGCAAGAATAACAGATTGAAGGAAGGCGGGAGGAAGATCAGGGCTCATTTTTGTAAGTTTATGGTAAACTCGAGGAAGTTTATAGACAGCCAAGTGGTATGTCAAGTTGGAAATTGGTTATCACAGCTTGGAGTTCAGAAGAGAGGTCCATGGACTAGGCGTGAGGGCTCATGCTTATAATCCCAGCACTTTCGGAGGCTGAGGCAGAAAGACTGCTTGAGGCCAGGAGTTTAAGACAAGACTGGGCAGCATAGTGAGACCCCCATCTCTACAAAAAATAAAATAATAAGCTGGGTGTAGTGGCATGCAGATGTAGTTCCAGCTACTTGGGAGGCTGAGGCAGGAGAATCACTTGAGCCCAGGAATCCAAGGCTGCAGTGAGCCACGATTGAGCCACAGCCTGGGCAACAGAGTGAGACCTTATCTCTAAAAGAAAAAAAAAAAAAAAAAAAAAAAAAGAGGTCCAGGCTGAAATAAACAGCTGCTAAACTAAAAGGAAAAATGAGGCAGGCTGTTGGAGATAAAGATCAATAAGGGTTAAGGATGCCATTCTAGATAGGAGAGCTAAAGACCTCACTGAAAAGGGATATTTGAACAGAGACCTGGTTGAAGGGAAGGAGAAACCCACTCAGTTATCAGAGGGAAGGGGAGCCCAGCAGAGGAAAGAGCACACTCAGGACTAGTGGAGAGCATGCTTGGCTTTGAGAGGAAGAGCCAGAAGTTCAATGGGGTCACCAAGAGATGGCCTGGTAAGGATATAAAACCAGAGAAGTAGCAAGGGATTACATCATGCATTCCAGTCCTTGCTCTGCCACTTGCTAAGAGTACACCCTGGCTGGGTGCAGTGGTTCATGCCTGTAATCCCAGCACTTTGGGAGGCCGAGGTGGGCAGATGCTTGAGGCTAGGCATTTGAGATGAGACCAACCTGGCCAACATAATGAAACCCCAGCTCTACTAAAGATACAAAAATTAGCCAGGTGTGATGACACACACCTGTAGTCCCAGCTATTCGGGAGGCTGAGACAGGAGAAACACTTCAACCCAGAAGGTGGAGGTTGTAGTGAGCCGAGATCGTGCCACTGCACTCCAGCCTGGGTGACAGAGCGAGACCCTGACTCAAAAAAAAAAAAAAAAAAAAAAAAGAGTACACCCTTAGATAAATTACGTACCTTTTCTCAGCTCCATTTTCTTTATAATGGGGTAGTAATGGAACTTACCCACTTAGGATATTGAGAGAATCAGATGAGATCACGTACACAAAGCATTTAACACAGTGCCTGCAGCATAGGTGAAATTTCCCGGGTATTCACTAAGTACATTTCAAAGTGTCCTGCAGCATCTCCTGTGTGGTTTCTGGGTGAATAATTTCATCTCTCTGGGAAGTTTGGGTTTTGTGGTTGGTGTTAGGCTCCTCAGCTCCTCAGCTTCCATTTTGCTGGTCCTGCTGGCACAGTCACCCATCTGGTAGTTTGTCCTTGATAACCACAGCTCATGGGCACTTTCGGATGGGCAGGGGAGTCTGGGAGATCCACAGTCACTGACTTGAATTGCAGATGGTGTGACTCCGTGCTCACCCACAACCTCCAGCTCGTTGGTTCTAACACTGGATCTCCCCCCCGCCAACAAGGGTTACTCCAGGGTTGGCAAGACGTCCAGTCAAGTCATTCCATCCCCAGATAAGCTCTCACCAATCTCTTGGCAAGAAACCCAGTCACATCTGGCCTTGACTAATGATATTAGTCTTCACCCTGAATCTCAAGGGAGCAATGTCCCAGAGGCTTCTACTCTGGATGTTCCTTCCTCCCTACTCAACTGGCATAAAAAGGGGAGGGTTAAAACACAGAAGTTTGCTCTACTTAAGCATAGCTATGTTGGGAAAATGCATTTCATTTCATACATCAAATGTAAGTTAAGACCCCCGACACAATATCCTGGGAACACCCTGATGCAAGGTTAAGGGGGGAAAACTGTAAAGATTGAGGGAAAGAGAGAAAAAGGAGAGCAGATAAAATGAATTTTTATTAAGTCTTACCCAACATTGAGTCAACCATTCAGAAAAAAAAAATCAGATAATATGCTAATGACTACAACCTAGCCAGATGCTAACACACACCCTCTATTGTGCTTCAGAGTGAACCAGGTTCATCCTTTCTCAGGAGAGTCTGACCATTGCTCTTCCAATTTTCAGTACGAAAATGTGATAAGGAATGAGACCAAGTCAAGGGCTACGGAGAACAGGAAAAGCTGAATGCAAGCAACAATCTGACTGTCAAAGACGAACTAAGCTGGACACTAGCTAAAGCCAGAAGGATAGATTTTATTCAGTAATAACTATCGCTATAGGGAAGGAGTCCAGCAGGAACTGAACTTTAGCTTCAATGAAACAGAAGGAAGAGACTTTTTTTTTTTTTTTTTGACAGAGTCTTGCTCTGTTGCCCAGGCTGGAGTGCAATGGCGCAATCTCAGCTCACTGCAACCTCTGCCTCCCGGGTTCAAGTGATTCTCCTGCCTCAGCCTGCCAAGTAGCTGGGATTACAGGCATGCGCCACCACGCCCGGCTAATTTTTATATTTTTAGTAGAGACAGGGTTTCGCCAAGTTGGCCAGGCTAGTCTCAAACTCCTGACCTCAGGTGATCTGCCCGCCTCAGCTTCCCAAAGTGCTGGGATTACAAGCGTGAGTCATCGTGCCTGGCCTTCAACCTGAAGAAATCTTGTCATATGTCTCCATATATGATCTCATGTTCTCATCCTTTAATTCCTTTTCTTTCATTTGAAACAATGTCCTAATTTACTTCAGTGTAGAAAAATGGCCTCCTGATAAAAAGATTGTAAAACATGCTGAGAAACCTACTAAGAAAAAGATTGTAAAACATTTCATCCCTTATATGTTAATTAGAATATGGACAAAGTTGCTGTAACTGAAGCCCAAAATAACAGTAAACAAGGAGTTCATTTCTCTTCCATGTAATAGTCTGGGACTGGCATAGCAGGGACCCAGGCTCCTTTAACCTGGTTACTCAGCTGTCTCTAGGATAGTACATGCATATTGTCTAGGGTGGATCCTGTGACCACATTCCATAAAGCAGGTTGGAGGAAGAAGCAGGAAAGAGATTTAAGAACATGTCTGGGAAGTAAGACATACCACTGCTGGTCTCTTGGAAGTCTTATTGCTGTAGAAGAAGGGAATATTTCAATTATGTATTTCTATGTAACAAACTTTTCCAACACCTAGTGGCTTAAAATATATCAACTTTTTATTATCGGTCATAATTATGTGAATTGAATGGGCAGTCCCTCTACTGACCTTGCTTAGAGTTTCCCAG